>NC_000004.12:144546381-145171381 GCF_000001405.40 Homo sapiens | reverse complement strand
TACGTTGGTGTGTGTATGGAACTTGGACAGGGTGAAGTTTGATTTCTTTTTTTTTTTTTTTGAGGTGGAATTTAACTCCATTGCCAGGCTGGAGTGCATGGCATGATCTCGGCTCACTGCAGCCTCCGCCTCCCGAGTTCAAGCGATTTGTCTCCCGAGTATCTGGGACTACAGGCGTGCACCACCATGTCCAGCTAATTTTTTTATTTTTAGTAGAGATGGGGTTTCACCATATTGGCCAGGATGGTCTCGATCTCTCGACCTCGTGATCCGCCTGCCTCAGCCTCCCAAAGTGCTGGGATTACAGGTGTGAGCCACCACACCTGGCCTGCAGAGTTTTTCTTCCTAGGCAACTGAGAAGGCAGAGTTCTTTCATGCAGGTTCCTATTTCCATGATCATCTCGTGAAGAGGGAAGAGACTGTTGAGACAGAAAAGGATAGCACTTACTCACCAACTCCTGCTGCTATACTTTTTCAGTCATGTTTATGTTAAAAGGATTTTTCTTAATTTTTCTGTTTACAAAACTAACGTTCTCACTGTAAAAATCCAAGTATCTTGGAATGCCATTTAGAATGTTAAGGTAAAAATAACATTGGCAAAGAAAAAAGCTAAGAAGAGTTAAGGAGTAAAGGGAATGTAATGTAGGAACCAAGGGTGTTTGATCGATGACTGATGTATCCATTTGGTTGCCTAACACTAATTTGAGTGCTTGTTATGGGCCAAGAATTCCTAGTCACCCTGGGGATGCAGAGATAATGTAGATAACAAAAAAGTTTCCCTATCATAGGAAAGAAGGTCAATACAAGCTAGAAAAGGAGATTTGTCACAAGAGGTATATAGCTGTGATGCTGTAGGCATTCAAAGTGTTATTTCTAGCTGGGTAGACAAAGCAACACTTGGAGAGTGAGTTGTATTTGAAGTCTGAATGGATTCTAAATAGGAAATGCCTGGGCTGAAGGGCATTCCAGGCAGTGAAAACTGTGAGCAAAGCAGATTCAGAAAACAGTTCCAATTGTGTGGAGCATTGAGTATGTGAAGATAAGAAGTGGTGAGAAAGGAGTTGGAAGGCAGGTTGGGGCCAGACTGTGGGAGAGCCTTCAGTGTTAGGGTCAGTGGTTTGGAGCTTATGCTTTAGACCCGTGTTTCTCAAAGTGTGATCTGTAGGTTATCTGTATCAAAATCACTTGATGTGCATGTGAAAATGCAGATTCCCTGGCCCCTATTCCATACCTGAATCAGGGCCTCTGGGCCTGGGGCCTAGGCATCAGGCATTGGGAAACCATATAAGGTTTTTGGGGCAGGAAGTCAGAGTAGTGGTTATCCTATCTAAAATTGTAATTCTCAGCTTCCATCACTTTCCCTGTACCCCTCTCTGCTTTATTTTTCTCTGTAGTGCTTATATCATTTAATGTACTGTGTACTTTGTCATCTTCCTACTTGAATTAAGCTCCATGAACACAGAGTTCTGTATGCTTTATTCACTGCTGTGTTCCAGTTCTGAGGGATTTTGTTGACTGAAGGGTTGGATGGCATCTTCTGACAGTTGTTTCTTTTTTGTTACTAGCAACAAATATTTATAAATCTTCATTCTTATTTTTTTGCTTTCCTGGGCTGGGCACAATGGCTCGTGCCTGTAATCCCGGTACTATAGGAGGCAGAGGCGGGAGGATCACTTGAGGTCAGGAGTTCAAGATGGTGAAACCCTGTCTCTACCAAAAATACAAAAAAATTAGCCAGGCGTGGTGGTGTGCACCTGTAGTCCCAGCTATTCAGGAGGCCAAGGCAGGAGAATCGCTTGAACCTGGGATGCAGAGGTTGCAGTGAGCTGAGATTGTGCCGCTGCACTCCAGCCTGGGCAACAGGGTGAGACTCCATCTCAAAAAATAAATAAATATATTTTTTTGCCTTCCTAATATATGGCTGTATAAAATGGAAACAGAAACCATTTGGCAGATATTTGATGGATAAACTCAGTTGCTTCATCCAGTTCTCAGAGAAAGCATCTTTATCCTCTTAATGAGTAATAGTGGAGCATTTTGAAGGTACTTCAAACTTGTGCGAGAATATGTTTTTGTCAGCTTTGAGGTAAAATTGACATACAGTGAAATTCATCACTTATAAATATACAATTTGATGAGATTTGACAAGTGTATATGCTCATGTAACCACCACAGCAAACATCATAAAGGACATTTCCATCTCTCCAGAAAGTTTCCTTTTGCCTTTTTGCAGTTAATCCTCTTCCGCCTATCCCCTGGGACCTGGCAAGCACTGATTTGCTTTCTAAGTTTTGCTGTTTCTAGATGCATATAAGTGGAATGATAGAGTTTGTAGTCTTATGTATTTGGCTTCTTTCACTTAGCCTATTGGAAATACTAAAATTCATTCATGCGTTTAGCAGTAGTTCCTTTTTATTGAAGAAAAATAATCTGTGTATGTATCTATCACAACCTGTGTATACATTTACCAGCTGATTGATATTTAAGTTCTTTACAGTTCTGGGTTGTTAAAATTGAAGCTGCTGTGAACAATTGCTTATAAATCTTTGTGTAGACATGTGTTTTCTTTTTTCTTGGATTAATACCTTAGAGCAAAATTGCTTGGTCATCTGGTAAACATATTTTTAAGAAACTGCCAAACTTTTTGAAGTGACTGTACCATTTTGCTTTCTCATCAGCAATATTATGAGAATTTCAGTTTCTCCACATATTTGCCAGCACTCTTTGTGATTTAACTTGAATTTCTCTAATGATGTTGAGCATCTTTTCATGTGCTTATTTGTCATCTATCTAATTTTGTTGGTGAAATGTCTGTTCATAGGTTTTTGCCCATTTTTTAATTGCTGTTGTTCTTACTGAATTTTACTAGTTCTTTATACTGGATATAAGTCCTGTATTGGATATGTGTTCTACAAATACATTCTTCTAGTTTGTATTTTGGCTTTCCATTTTCTTTTTTTTTTTTTTTAATTTTTTATTTTATTTATTTATTATTTTTTTTTGAGGCAGAGTTTTGCTCTGTTGCCCAGGCTGGAGTGCAGTGGCATGATCTCAGCTCACTGAAACCTCTGCCTCCCGAGTTCAAGTGATTCCCCTGCCTCAGCCTCCAGAATAGTTGGGATCACAAGCTTGGCTTTTCATTTTCTTAACAATGTCTTTTGAGGAACAAGAGCTTAATACTGATGACTAAGAACATTTAAGTTATGTAATTTTGTTATAGTATGGTTAATTAGTTAAAACATATTTTGAAGGAATTCTTTTTACAAGAAAGATATATGTCACACATCATAAAAAATGCTGATTAAGTAAAATTACAGTGTTAGAAGACAGTGGTAGTATAATATCGATTTTTTTTTTAAATAATTTAATACTGACACTGCTTGGGGAAGATTTTAGGATATCCATTGTTTACCTAACCAGACTACAAAAGAATTTATTCTGAAGGTTACGTATCAAAAAGTACATTATTCTCATGTAGCATTTTGTTGAGATGGATAGAATTTTTCATTTTTAATTTTTTTTAGAGATGGAGTTTCACTCTTAATACGCAGGCTGGAGTGCAATGGTGTAATCTCAGCTCACTGCAACCTCTGCTTCCTGGGTTCAAGCAATTCTCCTGTCTCAGCCTCCTGAGTAGCTGGGATTACAGGCACCCACCACCACGCCTGGCCAATTTTTGTATTTTTTAGTAGAGATGGGGTTTCACCATGTTGGCCAGGGTGGTCCTGAACTCCTGACCTCAGGTAATCCACCCTCCTTGGCCTCCCAAAGTGCTGGGATTACAGGCGTGAGCCACCGTGCCTGGCAGAATTTTTCATTTTTTAAAGTGATGTAATACTTCTTGTATAAAAATTAGAAATGTAGCTCGTGTGTTTGATCTAAACAGACTCATATCAGTGAACGGTTTCCTCTACACCAGAGGGTATCACTTCTAGCAGTTTGTGAGAAGCCATGATTGTTAGGCTGAGGCTTATTTTAAGAGATCTATTTTAATATATGGCACCTATTTCATTTTGAAAATCAGAGCTAACTTTTAAGAACTATTGAAAAGTCTCTGAGGGAAAAGATTGTGCTGGTCTAAGATCAAAACATTGTTTAAAATATTTTCCTTATTTCAGTTTTTCTTTCCTTTCAAGGAATAAGTGGCAGCATTCATTTACCAAAGCTCATTGTTTTTGGTGACTTAATGTATTAAGTCTTTACCGACTTCACAGTACTATAGGAAAATATTCTTACGGTAAAAGTTTTAAAATATAGATGTATTATAGAATAAAGGGTGAAAATTCTTCATTTTTCCTCATGTTAACTTCCCTGTCTCTATTGTCAATTTAGGATGTATCCTCCCCATCCCCTTTCTATGTGTGCACATGTACCAATATATATGCCTTTTTGTTTTTCACAAATAGTATTATTTTCCCATGATTTACTTTTAAAACTTAATCTTGAGTGATTTTTCTAGGTCATTTCATGTGGTTATACCTCATTCTTTTGAATGAATGCATGATATTCTATAGTGTGGCTGAAACATGAATTATTTTTTATGAGACATAGTTTCGCTCTTGTCTCCCAGGCTGGAGTGCAGCAGCGCGATCTCGGCTTACTCGACTGCTGCCTCCCAGCTTCAAGTGGTTCTCCTCCCTCAGCCCCCGAGTAGCTGGGATTATAGGCATGTGCCACCAGGCCCGACTAATGTTTTGTATTTTTAGTAGAGATGGGGTTTCACTGTGTTGGTCAGGCTGGTCTTGAACTCCCAACCTCGTGATCTGCCTGTCTCGGCCTCCCAAAGTGTTGGGATTACAGGCGTGAGCCACCACATCCTGCCTGAAACATGAATTATTTTACTATTCTGTAGGAATCTTAGGGACTTTTTTTTTTTTTTAAACACTGTTACAAATAACTCCCAGTGACATCATTATTTTACATACACTTTTGTAGATGTGAAATATTTCTTTATGATAGACGTATAGAAGTTGAATTGCTGGGTCACAGGGTATATGGGACATTTTAAATTTTGAAACATACTGGCCATTTGCCTTTCAGAAAGGCTTTAAGTGACTTTTCTAAGGAGTGTAGAATTTCTCTTGTTTTCAAAACAATTGCTAGGACACTGCTCTCTTTTGTACCTTCATTTACCCTGAAGAGAAGAGATCTTCTGCCCTTTTCTATACTTCCCAATTTTCTGCTTCTATTCAATATTTCTTTCTTTCTTTTTTTTTTTTTGAGACCGAGTTTTGCTCTTGTTGCCCAGGCTGGAGTGCAATGGTGCAATCTTGGCTCACTGCAACCTCTGCTTCCTGGGTTCAAGCGATTCTCCTGCCTCAGCCTCTTGAGTAGCTAGGACTATAGGCATGGGCCACCACACCCGGCTAAGTTTGTATTTTTAGTAGAGAGGGGGTTTCTCCATGTTGGTCAGACTGGTCTCGAACTCCCGACCTCAGGTGATCCGCCCTCCTTGGCCTGCCAAAGTATTGGGATTACAGGCATGAGCCACTGCGCCCAGCCGCCTCTATTCAGTATTTCATTTCCCGAGCTTATACCATGTGCCAGGCGCTCTCCTGAGGGCTAGGCTGGAGGATAGCCCTTGCCTTCAATACGTTCTCAACTTGGGCCAGGCGCAGTGGCTCACGCTTGTAATCCCAGCACTTTGGGAGACTGAGGCGGGTGGATCACCTGAGGTCAGTAGTTGAGACCAGCCTGACCAACATAGAGAAACCCCGTCTCTACTAAAAATACAAAATTAGCTGGGCATGGTGGCACATGCCTGTAATCCCAGCTACTTGGGAGGCTGAGGCGGGAGAATCGCTTGAACCTCGGAGGCAGAGGTTGCGGTGAGCCGAGATCACGCCGCTGCACTCCAGCCTGAGCAACAAGAGCGAAACTCCATCTCAAAAAAAAAAAAGTCTCAACTTAACAGATGCCATGCTGTGGTCTTGCCACACCAATAGGAACTGTCATTTCACCCTGTTAGTATTTTTTTGTGTATGTGTGGGAGAGACTTGGACTGCATTTTACCACATATTGTGGTCTGTTTTATATAAACGTTTTTATAATATTCACAATACTACTAATAATAATGAGCTTTAAGAACTCATTACGTATGCTGTATGAAGGTATGTATAGAAATATAAAGTGGAATCTAAAAAGTGTGAGACACTTACATGCCACCTTTTTTTCTTCAATACAGGAATGGGTAGGACAAGTGGAAATAAGTGCCCTTTCTCTTATGTACAGGTAAACACTGTAATAACATAAGTAAAAGAAAATGAAACCAGTGGGAAATTATATTCCATTATATTAAAAATGTTAAAATAGCAAAGCTCTTTTATACTTTAGTTATGAAGTATCTTTTCTAAGTTTTTTTTAATTGCATCAATTAGATTTTGACATTTAGATATGTCAGTGTTTAGAAATTTTAATTCTCAAAATACTTTGGAAAAGGGTACAGAAATTTTTCCGGTCTATGTTCTGTAAGATATCACTTATCAACTTTGTAGAGAAATGATTTTCTACTTTCTCAGGGTCAGTGGTATTGAATGGCCACTAGAACCGTACTAAAATACCATGTTACAAATTGGGTATTCCTTATCTGAAATGATTGAGTCCAGAAGTTTTTGGATTTCATTTTTTTTTTAAATTTTGGAATATTTACATTATGCTTACCCAGTTGAGCATCCCTAATTTGAAAATCTGAAATCCAAAATGCTCCAATGAGCATTTCCTTTGAGTGTCATGTTGGTGCTCAAAAAGTTTTAGATTTTGGAACATTTGGGATTTTGGCTTTTTAGATTTGGGATGCTCAACCTGTATTCAATTTTGCTACTTTTGCCTAGTAGAGGAGCAGGTAAATACTTTGTTTTTTCTTTTCAGAATGTTGTTTAAATTTCATCTTCAAAATTTCTTTGATTTTTGAAGTGTCCCTTTAGAATTATATCTGAAATTTAATATATATACAAATAATATTTGAAATTTTACATGTTAAAAAGGTTACTTTTATATAGATATTTTACAACTTAGTTATCTCATTATTGTCTTTTGTATCTCCAGTGGTTGGGACAGTGCCTGGCACGTATTAGGCCCTTGATGAATGAATGAATGATTAAATTCAAATTCATGAAGTATAGTCCATTATAAATAATTTCTAATTGTTATTTTCAGGAAAGATTTTATAATTTATCGGGAACCAAATGTTTCTCCTTCACAAGTAACAGAAAATAATTTTCCTGAAAAGGTAAGAATTTTTCAAAGTGTTCTAAAGTATTTAAGTAAAAGAACCGCTTAGTTGCTACCATGACCTCATAAGCTATAATTTTAAATGATTTTTTGAAATATTTCTGTATTAAGGTTATGGTATTCTGATTTCTTAAAAGTTCCTATAGCCGGGTGCGGTGGCTCATGCCTGTAATCCCAGCACTTTGGGAGGCCAAGGCAGGCAGATCACTTGAGGTCAGGAATTTGAGACCAGCCTGACCAACATGGAGAAACCCTGTCTCTACTGAAAAAATACAAAATTAGCCGGGCGTGGTGGCACATCCCTGTAATCCCAGCTACTAGGGAGGCTGAGGCAGGAGAATCGCTTGAACCTGGGAGGTGGAGGTTGCAGTGAGCCGAGATCACACCATTGCACTTCAGCCCGGGGATCAAGAGTGAACCTCCGTCTTAAAAAAAAAAAAAAAAAAAAGGTTCCTATTAATTGTCACTTAGTCATATTATTTTGTATTTTTTTTGCTCCCACAAGTTACTGTATTTAACCCTTTTATAACATTTTAGTAGAAACACTGAATTATGAGACATTAATACATATGATGAACTAGACTATTATAGTTTTTTATCAATATAAACATTAGTAAAAAAAAATAACTTGTGAAAATAGGTTCTGCCATTACATCCAGGAATACTTTAGTAATCATAAATATTTCCCTAGTGTAAATTTTACTCACAAGGGTGTCGTTGCATTATCTGTCATAAAGCAGAAGCAACTGAAAAATTTTGTGAAGCCTAGAAAGAAAGATCAACTGACTTATTATAAGAGAATTTTTGTCTTAAGTAGCTATTTTGGAGTCATGATGGCCAAATTGAAGTGACTTGTGTTCCACCATGCTGGTGGTGTTAAGTTAGAGGGGAATTGAGTGAAATACTACTGTTATAAGGGTTTTGGGGTTTCTGGGACTTTCTAAGGGATCTGGCTTTTTCAAAACAAGTTTTGAAATATATTGTTATATTCTAAACAAAATCAATGTGCATTTTTCTTTGTATAAGTGATGATTTAGAAAATCACTTATACAAAGAAATTTAACTTTGATTTTGCTTGTTAGAAAATTTTGCATGTTAGAGGTTAGCATTAATAAGGTTTTGAAATATTTTCTTACAGTGTCTTGTTCTTTAAGTAGTTGAAAGCATGTTTTCATATATTATTTTTATTTTTTTGTGATCCTATAAACATTTCCAGAAATCATTTTGAATTTTTTGATTTAATGTTTATATAACATTTCAGCATATGGATGTACTGTAGCTTGACAACACTGAAGCTTTAGGTTACTCCTAAAATACTCACTGTCTGTTTGGAAATGATCTAGTAATTCAGAGGCATTGGAGACATACATTGCTATGTAAATGTTATATGTATGAGGGGCTGAAATGTTTCTTTTATTTTTCCCTTTCAGGTGTTACTGTGTTTTTCAAATGGAAATCATTATGATATTGTGTATCCCATAAAGTATAAAGAAAGCTCTGCTATGTGTCAGTGTAAGTATCACCTTGTGTTTATATGGGAAATTATATTCCTAAACTTATACAGTCTTTTTGTTTTTTGTTTTGTTTTTTGTTTTTTTTTGAGACGGAGTCTCGCTCTGTCTCCCAGGCTGGAGTGCAGTGGCGTGATCTCCGCTCACTGCAAGCTCTGCCTCCGGGGTTCATGCCACTCCTGCCTCAGCCTCCCGAGTAGCTGGGACTACGGGCGCCCGCCACAACGCCTGGCTAATTTTTTTGTATTTTTAATAGAGACTAGGTTTCACCGTGTTAGCCAGGGTGGTCTCGATCTCCTGACCTCGTGATCCGCCCGCCTCGACCTCCCAAAGTGCTGGGATTACAGGCGTGAGCTACCGTGCCCGGCCTTATACAGTCTTAATGTAAACAAATCAGAGCAAATAATTCTATTCTGTTATAATATAAAAGATATGTCCAAGAACCTTAAATTACCAAGAGTATTAATATTATAATAAAAACTTGTTGCAGTAGGAGGAAAGGTAGCTGGGCATGGTGGCGCATGCCTGTGGTCCCAACTACTTGGGAGGCTGAGGTGGGAGGATCACTTGAGCCCAGGAAGTCAAGGCTGCAGTGAGCTATTATTGTGCCACTACACTCCAGCTTGGGCAGCAGAGTGAGACCTTGTTTCAAAGTGAAGCAAAGCAAAACAAAACAGAGAGAAATTGGAGGAAAGGGAGCTTGTGGCTAGAGTTTGACTTGTAAATACCAACTTTTTTTTCCTGCAATCATTTTGGTAATAAAGATTTATATGCATTTTAAAAACTGTTAGTGTATAGCTTGAAAATCCAAATGACTGAGCAAATCAAACATTTGATTGTATTTGGCTCCGGGGCAGCATTTTGAACCTTGGAACTATTGATATTTTCGGCCAGATACTCCTCTGTTGTAGGCTCTCTTGTGAACTTCAGAATGTTAAGTAGCATCCTTGGCTTCTACCTAGTGGATGGCAGTAACACACTCTCTCTCCCTTTGTGACAACCAATAATATTTCCAGATTTTGCCAAATGTTTCCTGGGCATATGAATTCCCTTTGCCCTTCTTCTGTGTGAGAATTCCTGCTGTAGAAGAGCAGTGACCCTTCCTACCAGTTTCTTTTATATCATCCGTTCTGGCAAAGTACAGATCAGTCATAAAGCAGTGGTGCTGGGCTTGTGACAGCTTTTTCCTCTGCTCTTAAGCTAGTGGTAACCAGTAAAGATATGTGCAATACACTATTTTAAATAATTAATCCATTGTAAGATATCGAAGTGTAGCCTCTGTACCCTGGGCTGTGTCTTCTCCCTCCTAGCTAGTCACAATCTGGACACCTCAGCTTTGGGAAAGATAGCTCCTAGAGCTTGTCTTTCCTGTGATTCTAAGTGCCTGTGGTTTGGGTGATACGAGGGCTGCAACTCCTGTTACTGGAACCTGGAAGAAAGATGGTCTATAAGAAGGAAGTCTCTGTGGGAACTCATTTAGAGGTGGACACCCAGTGTTTGTTGTTGTTGTTGTTGTTGTTGTTGTTGTTTTGAGGTGGAGTGTTGCTCTCTCGCCTAGGCTGGAGTGCAGTGGCACAATCTTGGCTCACTGCAACTTCCGCC
The DNA here is from genome assembly GCF_000001405.40 of Homo sapiens. Lineage (NCBI taxonomy): Eukaryota > Metazoa > Chordata > Mammalia > Primates > Hominidae > Homo > Homo sapiens. The sequence continues at coordinate 145,161,038 of NC_000004.12, read as the reverse complement.
TCCTGGGTTTAAGCTATTCTCCTGCCTCAGCCTCCCGAGTAGCTTGGATTACAGATGCCCGCCACCAAGTCTGGCTAATTTTTGTATTTTTAGTAGAGATGGGGTTTCACCATCTTGACCAGGCTGGTCTTAAACCCCTGACCTCAACTGATCCGCCTACCTCAGCCTCCCAAAGTGCTGGAATTACAGGCATGAGCGCTATCCTGTCCGGCCTTTGCTGTTTTTTAAGACAGGGTCTCGCTCTGTCACCCAGGCTGGAGTGCAGTGGCATGATCTCAGTTCACTGCAACCACTGGCTTCTGGGTTCAAGCGATTCTGCTGCCTCGGCCTCCTGCGTAGCTGGAATTACAGGTGTGCACCACCACACCTGGGTAATTTGTGTATTTTTAGTAGAGACAGGGTTTCACCATGTTGGCCAGGCTGGTCTTGAACTCCTGACCTCCAGTGATCTGCCCGCCTTGGTCTCCCAAAGTGTTGGGATTACAGGTGTGAGCCTCCACACCTGGCCCCATTGTTGATGAATTCTTAGTACATTGTTTTCTTAAAGCTCATTGTTATAAAACCAAATCAGAGTCCTAAAATCCATGTATTTTTGAATTTTTGTTAAAATATATTTCCCTATATTCAAGACTGGAGTTTTAAAATTTTACTTTATTTAAAGCAGCAAAGTTGTCTAAATATGCTTCTTTCTTTCAGTGGCTGCTGAGAATATATTTTGTAACAGCTGCTTTTTTAGTTCCTTATGTAAAATTAAAATCTGGAGCTAGGTTATGTAGTCAAACATCCTCTTTTTCTATAGCAACCTGAGAAGTGCTCGTCCAAGGTTACAATTAGTGGGAAAGCTTAGACTAGCATCCAAGTCTTCTGACTTGTCAGCTAGTATGTACTATACTATATTCCTCTTTCTAGCAATCTTAAAGCTTCTTAATGTTTTTAATCTAAGTCTCTTAAGATTGGGCATGTTGTATGACATCCCTAAGTCTCAGTTTCCTTATCTGTAGAATCAGAATAATGCTTCACTGTGCTGGAATTAAACGTAAGGATATATAAAGCTGCACAGTGTGTGGAATGTAGTAGTAATAATTGCTCAGTGTGTGTGTTTTGGCTTTTCCTGTTGTCCTACTTGTTTCACAGTTGTGATACCTTTTTGTGATGGTGTTAGTTTTAAAAATGGCACTGTCTTTTGCGATTATTTTAAACTACTTAACTGCACTTACAGAAATTTTAGCTGTACCCTAGGTAACTTTCTGATAAAATTATGTTATTGACCATAAGGTTTAGCAGATATCTAGTCAGGATTTTAAAAGCCTGAGCAATAGAAAGTTACAATGTGATGGTCTGTTCCTGTTTTTAAAAAACTGCCTGTAGTTAATGTTGGAAAATCTGTCTGTCATTAATTGCAGCTCTCCTTTATGAATTGCTGTATGAGAAGGTATTTAAAACTGATGTTAGTAAAATTGTGATGGAACTAGACACGTTGGAAGTAGCTGATGAAGATAACAGTGAAATATCAGATTCAGAGGATGACAGTTGCAAGTAAGAATGAAATCCTAAAATACCTTTCTTAGTGCCATACAAGGAAAGTTAAGTAAATGTCTTTACATTTCAGTAAATGTCTTTCTATAACATATATTGAGGTATTAATGGTATTCATAAAATACAGCAGTCTGCTGAAGTTTCTTTATCCCTGTCACTAATTTTACCTAATTTCTATTATGGGACTGTTTGTTTTGAAAGTTGGTGTTTTTGGTTGATGAGAATTTACGTCTGCAATCTAGATGCATATTTGTAGAATAAATTTGGTCCTACCTATATGTGTGTGTATTGTAAAATTTTAAAGTTAACTTGTCAATTGTTCACATACCCAGTAATGAAATAAAATGGCCGTTTGGATTTCCTTCACTTTCTTTTATTGTTTTCTTTCTTAGGTAGTGCCTCTTTTTAGATAATGAAAGTTCCAAGTTGGGGTTATAAGTATGTGAACACCTGGATAATGCCTCTGTGTAGGTTGTGAGTAAATATGTCTGAACGTAGAATCTCTGAGGCTTAGCTTTCTTTTTCACACAAGACGTACAAGATAGTGTTTAAGAGGTTGGGCTCTGGTTTCAATCATGGCTTCCTGCTAACTTGACTTGGGGCAGGTTACTTAAATTCTCTAAGAAGCCTTAATTCCAATACTCTAAAATTAGGATATAATCAGTATTTCCTCAAAAGGGACAATTCATGAGATTCAATCTGAGATAGCATATAAAGTACATAGCCTAGGTCCTAGATACGGTATCCAGTATATTAGTTATCAGTTATATTAGGATGTTTACTCTGTCTTTTATAAGAACCAAACCTATGGTATTCTTATTGAAGCTAAAAGTATACATTGTTGTATGAGAATATGAAAGGATTGTACTTGGTATGTTACACTCTGTGACACTAGAGATAGAAATGGAACTTAAGGCTTAGGATATCTAATTCTTTATTATAAAAATAACTTTAAAAATATATGTATATCTCTTGATTTGTTTTTTTTTTGTTTTTTTTTGTTTTGTTTTGTTTTGTTTTTGAATCGGAGTCTTGCACTGTTGCTCAGGCTGGAGTGCAGTGGTGCGATCTCGGCTTACTGCAAGCTCTGCCTTCTGGGTTCACGCCATTCTCCTGCCTCAGCCTCCCAAGTAGCTGGGACTACAGGCGCCCGCCACCAAGCCTGGCTAATTTTTTGTACTTTTAGTAGAGATGGGGTTTCACCATGTTAGCCAGGATGGTCTCGATCTCCTGACCTTGTGATCACCCGCCTTGGCCTCCCAAAGTGCTGGGATTACAGGCGTGAGCCACTGCCCAGCCTGTATATCTCTTGATTTGTAATTCCAGGTATTTATTGAATTAAAATTTTCTGATCCTGATTGAAAATTTGGCCACCATTTCTTTCTAACTTGAATCAGTGTCTGCCATTGTAAATTTAATTCTAGAATAGACTGACTTTGCCTAGGTAGAAATTTTGCTTTACGGTTCTCTCTGAGCACCATGTCATTGAGCATGGGGGACATTGGAAGAGAGAATGACTAGCTTGTTACAACTTATTACCTGTGATTGGGGTTGGGGGACTTTTAGAACATGCCCTTTGGTTGCTGTTGCTGTTAATGGTGTTAGAAACAACTGGGTCTTGTATGGCAGTTGGCAGGTGAAGTATAGAGTAGGGGCTAGTAAGCTGGAGAAGTTTACCAGAGAAGGTAGAGCAGGTGTGTAAGAAGATGTGTTCACTATTGTGTTTTTCTTTTTATACTGCACTGTTGTTGTCCTTGGAATGTGGATTACCTTTCTATTGCATTATTAAAATTTCTTTTTTTTTTTTTTTTTTTTTTTGAGACGGAGTTTTGCTCTTGTTGCCCAGGCTGGAGTGCAATCGTGTGATCTTGGCTCACTGCAACCTCCGCCTCGCGGGTTCAAGCGATTTTCCTGCCTCAGCCTCCCGAGTAGCTAGGATTACAGGCATGTGCCACCACGCCTGGCTAATTTTGTATTTTTAGTAGAGATGGGGTTTATATTGGTCAGGCTGGTCTCGAACTCCTGAACTCAGGCGATCCACCCGCCTCGGCCTCCCAAAGTGTTGGGATTACAGGCGTGAGCCTCTGCGGCCTTTTTTGTAAGACCATCAGATCTTGTGAGAACTCACTATCATGAGAACAGCATGGGGGAAACCACCCACATGATTCAATTATCTCCACCTGGTCTTGCCCTTGATACTTGGGGAGTATTACAATTCAAGATGAGATTTTGGGTGGGGACACAAGGCTAAACTATATCAGCCTACATCTCAACACTCATTTTTTGCCTACTTATTTTTTTTTCTTTATAGCAGTTATCAGCATTTAACATACTTATTACTTATTTAGTTTTTATCTGTTGTCACCAGATTGTACATTTCATGTAGGCGGAGTTTTTGTTCTCTTAAATGCTAGACCCTAGCACCTAATAATACAGTCATCCCTTGGTGTTTACCAGGAGATTTGGGACTCTTGAGTATACCACAATCTGCACATATTCAAGTCCTACCACGGGCCCTGTGAATCTGTTTATATGAAAAGCTGGCCCTCTGTATACTTGGGTGTCACATCCCGAGAATACTGTATTTTTGATCTGCTTTTGGTTGAAACAAAAAACCTGTGTGTAAGTGGACCTGCACAGTTCAAACCTATGTTGTTCAAGGGTCAGCTGTGTACACTGCATGGCACATAGTAGACAATCAAGTTATTTATTGAGTATATGAATGTGTAGGTGTGTATGTGACAGTGAATTTAAAGGGCTAATGATGGTGCTTTCATTGTGCTGAACATTATTTGACGTAGAGTATTTTTTTTTTTTTTGAGACGGAGTTTCGCTCTTGCTGCCCAGGCTGGAGTGCAGTGGTGTGATCACAGCTCACTGCAACCTCCGCCTCCCGGGTTCAAGCGATTCTCCTGCCTCAGCCTCCCGAGTAGCTAGGATTACAGCCATGTGCCACTACGCCCAGCTAATTTTGTATTTTTAGTAGAGATGGGGTTTCTCCATGTTGGTCAGGCTGGTCTTGAACTCTCAAACTCAGGTGATCTGCCTGCCTGTGCCTCCCAAAGTCCTGGGATTACAGGCGTGAGCCACCATGGCCGGCTGATGTAGAGTATTTTTAATAAAAGGGTTGTCGAATCTGCCTATGGATACTTTTGTTGTAAATGGATTGTGTTTTTAAACGGGGCCTCATGTGTATATTAAAAGGAAGTTTTTACATTCTTTTGTAAATTCAATTATTCTACCCACCCAAATTTCACAGTTTATGTTTTCTTATTACTGAGCCAGTTAGAATTACTGTTGTCTTTGACTTCTGTCTTATATACACACATTTACATACATATACCCTTTTATATATAGATATACTTGTACCAAAACTTGTATGAGCTCACTGGAATATAGCTCTTTTTGGAGCATAGTTCTGACTTTGAAGACGTTTAGATGAGGTTAGAAGGTAATTACGTGCAAATACCTTTTTCTGCCCCAATTATGGTTATCTTTCTTTGTAGGAGTAAGACTGCTGCTGCTGCTGCTGATGTGAATGGATTTAAACCTTTGTCAGGCAATGAGGTATTTTTTTTAAAAGTGGTTTTAAATGTAGTTCTTTAATATAAGAAAGCATGTACATTAAAATCTTAATTTTTTTCTTTTTTCTGGTACATTTCAGTCAAGTCAGGATCATCTACTCAGAAATTGATTTGGTGGCTTCCTAATTTTTTGAAGTTTCTTTTCTTCATTTGACTTTAGTTTTACGTGTATCTCAAACAAAAATGTTTTAAAAGCACTTATGTGTTGATTGGACTTCCTGACTTTGTTTAGCAGCTGAAGAACAATGGGAACTCTACTAGCCTGCCTTTGTCTAGAAAGGTTCTTAAGTCACTCAATCCTGCAGTCTATAGAAATGTGGAATATGAAATTTGGCTGAAGTCTAAACAAGGTGAGTTAAAAATCTGCATTTTCCATAAATTTGCTTTGTAGCACTTGAAAATAAGTCAACTTTATATTATACTGACCTTTTTTTTTTTAACAGCTCAGCAAAAACGTGATTATTCCATTGCTGCTGGCTTACAATATGAAGTTGGAGACAAATGTCAAGTAAGTGACTTATGTAAAAGAAGAAGAGATTTTACTTGAAACTTTGCTTTTTCTAATACAAACAGAGAAAACAGCTGAGGTGTGAATGTGTTGTTAATTTGGGATTTCAGAATATATTTATCATGTATATACATTTTAATAGTTTACAAGTATTTAGCTTTTTGACTCATTTGAATACGTTGCTAAAATTGTATGTATCTAAAACCGTGGCATCCCATCACATGATCTTTAAAAACAATTCAGCCTTTGGTATTACTTGGTTCAAAGAAGTAATGATAACATTTCAGATATTGAGGTATTTTTGTTAAAATGGACTGAAATTGATTCAAAATTGACTTTATAGGTCATTTAGTTTTGTTTATGAAAATCATCTTGGGAGATGTTGATACGTACACAATATTTACTGTTGGACTGAGGAAAGAAAGTGAGCCACAGAGGAGTTTTTGCCAATTAATTTGAATAAGCAGCTGCCCTGGATTTGAGTAGCTGATTGTTAAAGGAAAAAGTTGGATTAAAATCAGTGTTTCTTAAACTAGTGGTTAACCCTCACTCTGCCCCCCGCCCCCCACCACCACCATTGAACATTCAGCAGTGTCTGGAGACATTTTTTATTCTCACAACTGGGAGGGTGCTACTGACATCTAGTGGGTAGAGGCCAAAGCTGTGGCCAAACATTCTACAATGGACAGGACAGCCTCCCTCATCTCCCTCTAACAAAAAATACCTAGTCCAAAGTGTCAGTAATGCTTAGGCAGAAGAAACCCTAGGTAAGATAATTTACAAGGTCTCTTTTCTTGTTTTTTGTTCTTCATTTGTGGAAAAATACTGCTATTTCAAAAACAAAAACAAAACCCCCACATACACAAAAAATGTTATATGGAAGTTAATTCTCATCAGAAATTATTTCCATCAAAAAGTGTTGCCTTTTAAAAAAACTACTTTAAAACAGCCACTGGCAAACATTTCTTTTTGACTTATGGAGGAAACACTCATTTACTTTATGATAAATTGGTTTATGTGAAGTCATCTGATTAGCCAGGATTTTATTTTAAGAACCTTCAATAGTTCTGGTTCTGGGGTATTTAAAGGTGAGGGAGAAGAGAACATGATTCATTCAGGTACTGCCTTATGGGATTGTCATAAATCTGCTCTAATTGTAGAAGGGAATTGTGGAAGTTTTTACTACATTGATTGGGAAAACTTGAAAGAGAACAAATGAGATTAAATCCAGGGTTTAAAGGTCTCTCTCCCCACCCTTCTCAAAAGAGAAGATGGCTTATGCTGTATCACTAAAGTCGTGTTACTTATTTTAAGTCAAGCATATTTCCTTTGAGGTTGAAACTGCTTTTGGTAAAGTAGGTGCTTTTGATAAAGTAGATGGTAAAGCACATGCTTTCATTTTTTTCCTATTGAGAGTATTTTATTTCTATCTGTACTACTTGACCATTCTTTTGGATAACATCTCATTAAAATTTTAAGAAACTGAGATGACTCTAAGGTGATTTGTTTACTCAAGTGTGTAAGATGTAGTTTAAACTTTTGATAACTAAGTTCAGAAAAGAATTTTTTTATTGTGAAACTTTTGAAGGAAAAATGTCTTTATTGTCATTGATGAAGAATGAAATACCAGCTTGAGGACTTTGATTTACTGCTAAAAGTGGGAGGTTGCTTAAAGCATTGTCCTGTATGTTGTACTTGGCAGGTGCACAATTTCAGTGTGGGCAGTTTATAGGAAGAAAACTTAGGCTTATTTACTCTTTTATCATGGATTTACAACTGCGTAATATTAATTGTATGCTAGAGAACAGTTAATGGATCTATTTTTAGGGATAAAAATCACAGTTGCACATTTTTAATATAGGAAAAATGGGAAGATAATAATTGTAATAATAGTTGCTCTCACTTGTAGAGTGGTTGCTGTGTGCAAGTTGGTATTCTTTATGTGTATCCTGTGCACCCTCATTCCATCTCCATGAGTTCTGTGACGTAGGTACTATTATTAGCTCCATTTTGCATTATGAGGAAACTGAAGGGAGAGAAAAATAACTTGCCCAAGGTCATATTGCTGGCAAGTGGAAGAGCCAGACCTGGAAGCCTGGGGTATGTGGGGCCACAGCCCTGCCTTCAGAACCAGGACCTGCTGCCTGTTTTGTTTAGAGCCTTAACATATTGTGCTCCTACTTTTTGAACAATTTAGAAAATAAGTGTTAGAAAAAAATTTAGAAGGACAAAGAAGAAAAGGTTTTCTTTCTTTTAGGTAGGAGATATGGAGGTCTGGGAGGTTAAGGAGATGGATTTGATTGTAGACCTATTTGAACTTATTTTGTTTTTACTGATAAACTTTATTTTCTGTTTAATTAAAGACTAAATTTTAAAAGCTGGGTGTGGTGGCTCACGCCTGTAATCCCAGCACTTCGGGAGGCCTAGGCGGGTGGATCACTTGAGGTCAGGAGTTTGAGACCAGGCTGGCCAACACGGTGAAACCCTGTCTCTACTAAAAATACAAAAAAAAGAAAAAAAAAAAAAGCCGAGTGTGGTGTCACACACCTGTGATCCCAGCTACTTGGGAGGCTAAGGTAGGAGAATCCCAGGCTTGAACCAGGGAGGTGGAGGTTGCAGTGAGCCAAGATTGTGCCTCTGCACTTCAGCCTGGGTGACAGAGTGAGACCCTGTCTCAAGAAAAAAAAAAAAAGAACCGCAAAAAACTGATAAGTAATGCAAAGGAAGCAGGTGACTGATTTTTTTTTTCCTTTTCATTTTTGGAATTTTTAACAGGTTAGGTTGGATCACAATGGAAAATTTTTGAATGCAGATGTTCAAGGAATTCATTCTGAGAATGGACCAGTTTTGGTTGAAGAACTGGGAAAGAAGTATGTACTACTCTTCAGCTAAGGCATTTACTGCCTCCTCCATTTAGCCTAATCATGAGCATTTTAAAATGGCCTTCAGTATTTGCAAATTCAATGAAAGATAATTGCCCATGTATAGAAAGTATATTTGGGCCAGGGACGGTGGCTCATGCCTGTAATCCTAGCACTTTGGGAGGCCGAGATGGGTGGATCATGAGGTCAGGAGATCAAGATCATCCTGGCCAACATAGTGAAACCCCATCTCTACTGAAAATATAAAAATTAGCTGGACATGGCAGCGCATGCCTGTAAATTCCAGCTACTCAAGAGGCTGAGGGAGGAGAATCGCTTGAATCAGGGAGGCAGAGGTTGCAGTGAGCCACTGCACTCCAGCCTGGCGACAGAGCTAGACTTCGTCTTAAAAAAACAAAAAGAAAGTATATTTGTTCCGACCTCTAGAAAAGCACTAAATGTGCAAATTTAGTATTTTGCACATTGTCAAACTTTAAATGAAGATTATTTGTTTTGTTGCTTACTGTTTAAAATGTACCATTGTGCACAAAGGCAGTTCAAGAAATTGACTAGATCGTAATATGGGAACTTTGGAGGGATTCATTTTAAATTCATTCAGTACTGCATTGCATGTAGTTAGTATTCAGTCAGTGTTTGTCAGATGGAGTAGCAAAATATTGTTGGCTTACCTTATACAGTGTTATTTTAGAGCATCTTTGTTTCAGTTGCCGCTGGGCTTTATTAGAGAAAAAGGTAGTAAGTCACACCTTAAACTTTACTGTGGAAAAATTTAAACATATACAAATTAAGAATAGATCCCCATTATAACCAGCAGCACAATTTTTGAATCCCAATATAACTCAACACCCATTTTTAGCAACTAACAGCGTTTGGCAAATTTTTTTCATTTTTTTTGAGATGGAGTCTTGCCCTGTCACCCAGGCTATAGTGCAATGGCGCAATTTTGGCTCACTGCAACCTCCGCTTCCCGGGTTCAAGTGATTCTCCTGCCTCAGCCTCCCCAGTAGCTGAGATTACAGGCATGTGTCACTACGCCCGGCTAATTTTTTCTGTTTTTAGTAGAGATGGGGTTTGACCATGTTGGTCAGGCTGGTCTTGAACCCCTGACCTTGTGATCTGCCCACCTCAGCCTCCCTAAGTGCTGGGATTACAGGCATGAGCCACTGCACCTGGCCTTGGCAATATTTTCTATTCTATTTTCCCTAATATGTTTTTAAAAAATGAAAATGAAATTGGCATATTTTGAAGGAATCCAAACATCACACCATTTCTCCAGTAGATGTTTATATGTTTCTCTAACAGAACAAAGACTTCCTTCCCCACCTTAACTACAGTACCATTATCCTAACAGAATAAGTCATTCTGTATTTATTTAACTTTTGCTTAGATTGTGATTCAACTGTCTTTTTTTAAAATTAGAAAATATGCTTTTGATTTATATCATTTTTTTTTATTAGAATTACATCTGGATTGGTAAATGCAATTTGTACCTTAATTGTAATTTGTTTTTAATGTAAGAAATAAAACTAGAAATTCTTATATAAGCTGAAAATAAATATGCAGAATATTTAACTATTCTTACTAGGGTATTTTAAGCTATCACAAGTCTTTTCCCCTTTGAAGGCACACATCAAAGAACCTCAAGGCACCTCCCCCAGAAAGCTGGAACACAGTGTCAGGGAAGAAGATGAAAAAACCTTCCACTTCTGGACAAAATTTCCATTCTGGTAGGAGCACATCAAGCTATCATTCCTTTGGGATTGGGATGATGGTACTTGGGATTGTTTATAATATGAATATTATCATGTACTTTTGGGTTCTTACAACAGATGTGGATTACAGAGGGCCAAAGAATCCAAGCAAGCCAATAAAAGCCCCATCAGCACTACCTCCTCGACTGCAGCATCCTTCAGGAGTAAGACAACATGCGTTCTCTAGTCATTCTTCAGGGTCACAGTCTCAGAAATTCTCCAGTGAGCACAAAAATCTTAGCCGGACACCTTCACAGATCATAAGGTAACCTTCTTGAATGTAAGAGAAGTATAGAAATCAAGTAAGAGGCATTTGTTATATTTGCCACATTATGTGCATTTGAATAATTATAACTTTTTACTCATATCATTGTCCCTATATTAGTATTAAGAGCATTTTGTATAAAACTTCATGTGAGGATCTCAATTCTTTATAATTCTCTTCAAAGCAAGGAAGTATATATAGAGAGACCTTTATTTTTTAGTAATTTTTTCAAATGGTTTGGGAGATCTTATTCTAGCCCAATTCTATTCTGGCACTTAATTATTTTCTGGTGGCTTGTAATATGGTAAATACTGGATTCCAGATTGCATTCCTATTTCCTTGGGAGGTGAGGATACTCCCATTTGTACAAGAACTTAAAACAGCCCAAAATTATTGGTTTACTTTGATCTGATAAGTTTTGATTGTGGTGATGTCTCTTAATACCGAATGGGGCTACAATTTTAGGTCTGTGAAATTATAAATATCAGCATTCTGACTAAGTATCCAGAGGCAGATGAACTTTTAGGATCATAATTTTCCTGTGCTATATGGATTTTAATTTTTCCCTAGTCTTCACTTTCTGTTCAGTAATTTTATAGCCCTTTGGAAGAGCTTTATTTGAGAGGCTGTGTCTTATGTTGAAACTGTCTTCATCGTGCAAATATGACCGTGTTTCCTGTGGAGTCTTCATAGGTGACTATGACAAGTACCTTTCCCATCAAAGCACCTTCTCAATTGCCCGAAGAGCTGTAGCATCAGCTTATGTGTTTGCTAACCCTCTGGTCTTTAGTTCCATTATTTCTGGCATTTGGGTGTTCCTTTTTTTGTGAATGCACTTAACATTTTGTCACTGAAGATGTATAGGCTGGTGTGAAGGTCGTGAGTTATCTCAGTTGATTGTTCACAGTCAGTTACAGATCAAACTCCTTGTTCTACTCTTTCACCCCTTCTCACTACTGTAGTTGGCTAGTCTTAAAAAGAAAGGAAAGAAAAAAATATGTTTTATGTAGCGTCTTCAAGACAGAATTATAGCTTCTTAAGCTGACATTTATCAATACTATTTTAGTTTCTTGGGGCTGTTGTAACAAAATACCATAAACTGGTCAGCTTAAAACAACAGAAATTTATTTTTTCACACTTCGGGTTGCTAGAAGTCTGAAATCAAGTTGTTGCCAGGGCCATGCTGTCTCCGAAGGCTCTAGGGGAGAATCCGTTCCATGCTTGCCTCCTACTTCTGGAGTTGACTGCAGTCCTTGAGGTTCCTTGGCTTGTAGGTGCATCACTCCATTCTTTGCTTCCATCATCACATGGTGTTCTCCCCATGTGTCTGTGTCTGTCTCTTCTTGTAAGGGCATTAGTCATACTGGGTTTAGGTCCTACCCTATTCAGTATGACCTCACCTTAACTTGATTACATCTGAGAAGACCCTATTTCTAAATAAGGTCATGTGCACAGGTACTAGAGATTAGGAATATGAACATATCTTTTTGAGAAATACACTTCAATCCATAACAAATACTAATGATTCTAATCCGTTATATTACCTCTCCCAAACAGACAGAATTTATGCCACTAATCAACTAGTTATGGCTGAAGTTTGTTGTTTGGACATTGACCAAACTCCAGTAGCCCCTGGTGGTAGCTTACTCAATGCACGAAAAGTATCTAAGATATTAACTTACTTTGAATGTTAACTTTGGAAACCTAAAAATATAAAGTAACTATAGGAAGGTTATAGGCAGAAAGTAATTGTTTAATATTCCCATTTTTTGACAGAAAAAGCAATATTCTTTTTCCTTGAACACAAGTGTACTCTTTAGTGATTTAAAGATTAATAAAGAAAATACACATAGACTACTAAATGGTTAATTTAAATAAACTTGTTTATTATAAACTGAATTTATAATCCAGTGTGTTTCTGGTGTTGACTCTGATCGCCTATGAATTGGTATAGTGCTCAGATAGATGTCTTGTACCAGTAATACTTTTAATCAACAGTTTTTTTTTTTTTTTGAGACGGAGTTTCACTCTTGTTGCCCAGGCTGGAGTGCAGTGGCGCGATCTTGGCTCACTGCATCCTCCATCTCCCAGGTTCAAGCGATTCCCATGCCTCAGCCTCCCAAGTAGCTGGGATTATAGGCATGCACCACCATGCCTGGCTAATTTTGTATTTTAATTAAAGACGGGGTCTTACCATGTTGGTCAGGCTGGTCTCGAACTCCTGACCTTAGGTGATTAGCCCACCTCTGCCTTGCAAAGTGCTGGGATTACAGGCGTGAGCCACCGCACCCGGCCTCTAATCAACAGTGTTTTCAATACTATGGTATAGAGAAGCATATCTTATTAGGATCCTTTTTTATGTGTTAGCTATATGTGTTACTTGGTATGTAAAAATACTTGATGGTGTGTGACAAGGCAGTGGTAATTAATACCATAGACATGAAACTTTAGAGATTTTTTGACATTGTGACTAATTACATTAGAACCTAGTGGTATTTGCAGTTTGTCATTAGGTTAGTATGCCTTCTCCATTGTGTGTGTGAGTGAATTTTACTAATGTATTAAAACATTTAAAAACTTTATTGAATATTTAAAGTAAGATTACAAAATCTAGTCAGATTTTAGAATTTTATAGCTAACAATCTAATTGATTTAAGCCCAGTACAGTTCATCTTCACTGTATTTCTAATCTGTAACACATCACTTTTGAATTTCTTCTAGTTATAGAGCAAAAGAGAACCGTAGTGCTGGATATGAGACCTTCTTGGCCTCTCACTTTTTCCAGTTTTTCTTCATTGATAATTGTCTCTTCCTGTGGAGAAAACACAGAATATAACCAAAAACCAAGCAAGATTGCCATATATGCTTTTGTTAATGTGGCTATCCAGGAAATACTGTGGCTGAATATCTGTCTTCAAGCTAGATGAAAATAGGTAGTAGTAGCTTCTCTCTGTGTGGTAGGTGAGGATGAGATGAAGGCCATATAGTAGTGGTCATTTTTTTTGGATGATAGGAGATGGTGATAAGGTAGTGCTAATTTTCCAGAGACTCCTGACAGTTGCTGAGTCCTCTTCAAAATTTTTTACCACTGGGATTTGGGAAGGATTGGTCTAAAATTTTGAGAGTCCAGATTTTCTATCCCTCCCTTTTTTCATCGATACCATTAGGGCTGACATCTGTCCTATTGTAATTAGAGTGTGATTATAAATGGGACTGTGTAAGGACATGAAATGGCTATTTATTTCAGAGGTTAAAAAAAAATCAGATAACATCATAGTGCTCTACTCGAGGAGGATAATATTTCTTTGTACTGTGACAAAGTATTTTTTTTAGAGGTTTTTAGATTTTCATGTTCCATTTTGAAGAACTGTTAGACATGATGGAAATAGTATTCATACTGCTTTTGATAGTTATAAGCCATATAACACATTAGGGTTGGATTATAGGGTACTAAACTCTATTCATTAATTTCTTGTCATCCTTTTTTGACCAAAATTATGTTGAAATGACAGCAGTCTTATCTATGCAATTGGTATCCAGCCTGACATGTTTTAGTTTTTCTTTTTCAGCTTTGTGTCTCCCTTGGTGGTGTCATAAACAAGTGGGAAGATGGTCCTAGTGTCTCATTGGACCATTGGACCATTCCCCTTTACTTAGAACAGAAAGTGAGAATGCTTTTGAGACCTAAACTAATAACTTTCCCTTTGAGAATTAATTCTTAATGAAAATATTGGAATATGGTATAACAAGTATATACAGTGCTCACTCATTTTTGTATCATTTGGAAATAAGTTTTTTTTTCTTTTCCCCTCTACCTCCCATTGCTGTTTGTCTTCTTGACTCTCTGTAAGGTAGGCTAATGCTACAGGAGCTTCCATTTGCTTAAACATTCATTAACCAGACTGCCAAATGTTCTAAAATGTCAGTGTAGCTAAATTAGTAAAATGTTTGTGTTGCAAAATAGATCATTTTATTTTAGGTACTCAGTACAGTTTTGTGTTTTTTTTTTTTGACAAGAATGTTTTATTTATTTATTTATTTATTTATTTATGTATTTTCTGACAAGAATGTTTTATTTGACAGAAAACCTGATCGTGAAAGAGTTGAGGATTTTGATCACACAAGTCGAGAATCTAACTATTTCGGCCTTTCCCCAGAAGAGCGCAGAGAGAAGCAAGCTATAGAAGAATCCCGTTTACTCTATGAGATTCAGAACAGAGATGAACAGGCTTTCCCAGCCCTTTCCGTATGTATGAAAAGACAGTTTAAAAGTCATTATACAGAAGTTTCTCTTAATATAGTTTTTAGATTAAGCCATAGTTCCCAAGGGTAAACTAATAATTTTTAAACTCTAAATACTTTAAAGATCACATTTTTCACATTTTTCCTATTTTTCCTTTTCACATATTTAGTAATATCTCTAGACCTAGAGATATTACTAAAAGGTTGATGATAGAGTTGAGGCAAGTAAACTGGTTTGTTCACTTGTAGTGTTTCGTGTTTTCTTTTGAACTAAAATGTGTTTAATTTGTTAGCAAAAGTACTGTGTAGTAGAGGTTCATGATTTAGTTAATCCATTACAAGATCTATGTGTAAAATCAGGAAGCCCTTTTGAGAGCTGTCTTTCAGGGTGTTTGCTGTTGGAGGTGGTAGCACATGTCATCCTGTGGCTTTGTCCTTTCTCCATGTGTCAGGCACTGGGCTGTGATGGATGCTTCTCTGATAAAAGAAGTGTTCTCTATCTTCAGGTTTCTTAATTCTTTTTGGGAAGTCAGAAGGGAAAACTGTTCTCATGTAGAATGAAGTATGTGCTCTGTGAGGTGGGTTTGTTGGCAGCACAGAGGAGGGGTACCTAATTCATTCTCATGTCTGGGAGCCTGTGCCTGTGGTCTTTTACATCTTGGTAAGTAGTACCCAAATGACCTATGATCCAGAATGGTGGTTGGACACTTTCTCTCTTTAGAGTAGATTAAATAAATAATGGACTGTTACGGGAGGTTACCCAGTATACCAGTATAAAACATTAAAGCCCCACACACTCAGGTGTGTCTTCTGGTCTCTGTGGACTTCCTTAGAGGCTTGAGGAGGAGCTCAGTTGAAAACAGGTGATCTGGAATAGCAGTTTAATCTGGCACAGGCATTGGAGTTTAGGAATTATTGGAAGAAGTGCCGAATCCATTTAGGAATAATTGAAGTGCCCAAATCCGTACATAAATAAGCATTGTTTATGTGCAAAGTACATTTATCTCTCATGTCATGTGTTATTATATAAATAACAACTACAAATTGTTTAAGCTTGTATTCATACCATTATGCATTTTTCAGTTAGTGAATTGTAAATGTACAACTACTGTAATGTGGGTACAGATGGTGAAATTTCTTTCTTATTAAGAATGGGGTCCTTCATACTCATCATTTTAGACTAAGGAGTTTGATACTGATTGCTTTTGATAGTGGCTCAGATTTGTTTTCTAGAAAACTGTTAGAGAGGGCTGAGATCCTCCTCTTAGCTGTGTGGAACATTTATTTAGAATGCCAAAACAGGAACCTAGAACCCTCAGTGATAATTTAGCTTAAAAACCTCACTTATTTCAGTCCCTTATCTCATGCAGAGTTTAAGTGATTTGCTGACAGTAAGCATTTCAGTGATAAGAATCCTAGTGCACTGTATTTGCTAATTTGCACTTAGGTTCTCCCCAACTCCCCACCAAAAAATATGGCGCTACAATGATTTTTTTGGAAGGTTGGCACAGAAGATGTTGTTTTTTTTGAAAGAAAAATTGTAGGGTAAAGGTTTGTTCAGGGTGGCTTCCTGAAATAGGGATATGAAGATTAAGTCTACTAATCTAAGTTGAAATCTGATTGCTTAATCCTTTCAACTTAGCGATAAGACTATTATTCTAGGGTGTATAATTAATTATGGACCCTAGATTCTATCTTCTTTAGTTTCAGTTAAAAATACAGGGCTGTGAATTTTAAGATTTTAGAAGTATGAAGAGTGAGATTAATTACAGAATTTGTTCATGTATCTGTGGGTAAATCTTTAACACAAAATGTTGGGTTTTGTTCATTTTAAAGAGCTCATCAGTCAATCAGTCAGCTTCTCAGAGTAGCAATCCATGTGTCCAGAGAAAATCATCACATGTAGGTGATAGAAAAGGAAGCAGGCGGAGAATGGATACAGAAGAACGAAAAGACAAAGGTAAGTTATCTCATCATTAGAAAGCAGATGCTAGAGATCTCTTTAGATGACTGGCTTAATGTCATATATTTGGGAAAGAACCCTTTTTAAGTTGTTAAGTAGTTTATCTAATGTCACATATTTTGAATGTTGCAGAGAAGTATTGACTCAAGCTAAAGGATGTTAAGTGCTATTCTAAAAACTACATTTTCACTGACTAAACATGGTTCAAATAATACTTTTGGCTTCTTCTATCTTCGTATTTTGTTCTTCTGTGTTCAGACATGACTGGTGGCTTATGCTGTCTTTTTTAATCTTGATCTGCTATAGACTCTATTCATGGACATAGTCAGTTGGATAAAAGACCCGAACCAAGCACATTGGAGGTAAAAGTTTTAAACACTACTTGCATCTTTTCTTTTTCCTTAATACTGTGTAGTACAGTAGGAAGAAGTGGAAGAAGGTGAAAATAATTTCGAAATTTTATAGCTGTGTATTAGGAAAGTAGAAAAGCAGGGAAAAGATGATGGGGATTGAGAAGTCACTCACAAATTATGACAGTTTCTTCAAGGTACATTAGGGTGCCCTGCCTGAATTGTTAGAAAGTAGCCTTTATTCTCTGTCCCTCTAGAGTGATGTTTTTAAAGGAGAAGAGTATAATGTTTGAAGCCTTGCCTCCAGTGAAAACTGCCCAGTAGTTTGATGTAATAAAGATGTTCAGGCAAAGTTAGCCTACCTGTTGAAAATAACATATAATTGGAAAAAATACTCAGTGGTGAGAGGGTTCTGTCAGATACAGGTAGGGTGAATTATAAAAGGAAACCATCAATATTCCAGAATGTGGGTCTCTGAAATACAAAACTTTGCTTCTTTTTTGCTTCCAAAGAATATTACTGATGATAAATATGCAACAGTTTCATCACCATCAAAGTCAAAGAAGTTAGAGTGCCCTTCTCCTGCGGAACAAGTAAGTATATTGTTGCATTTAACATTGAATGCTCCACTCTCTGGGTTTCTGTGCTCTGTGTATAGGGTCATTTAAAAACAGAAAACATCAGTATGGGAAATGGGAGAATTTTTTCTGGCATCACAGTTTGGCTGTGGTTATGATTTTTAAATGTATTCTGATGTTAGTCTAGAATGTTCTCTATTTATGGAATGTTATAGAAATAACCACCATTTTCTGGTGATTGAGACCATTTTTTTGAATTGACTTTGAATATATTTATATTTGTTATCGTTATATTTGATACTTTGTATTACTTTGGTAGATTTCCTTGAAAATTAGATTTTTGAAGGGAAACTGAATTTCTACTTTATTTCAAAATTTAAAAGAGTTATCTGCATCAGTTATTTCACAGATGGGAGGGAATGTACTGATTGAAAAGGTTTGAAAAATATACATTAAAAAAATACCAATTTACAAATTTCATGATGAACCTGTGTTCTAGCAGACATTTTAGTTCTTGACTAATACAAGAGTAGAGAAAGTTAAATGTTAAATGCCTTTCAACCAACATTCTTCATATTGGTAAGAAAGCATATAGTTACATGAGGAGTTTTTCTAAATAATCATGAATTTCAAGATTTCAATGATTTTGCTCACTTGCCTTAAAAGTATTGTGTTGTATTTAACTCTGCTAGTGGATAGGTGCGGTGGCTCACGCCTGTAATTCCAGCACCTTGGGATGCCAAGGCGGGCAGATCGCTTGAGCCCAAGAGTTTTGAGACTAGCCTGGGCAACAGGGTGAAACCCTGTCTGTATTAAAAAATACAGTCCTTGTTGGTAGGCAACCCTTGGTTAGGATCAAATTTGTTTGCATATTATCTTTAGCTACTGTGTGTTTTTCTTACATTTCTAAGACTATAAGGGCTATTTGTACTTCATTTGTATAAAAGGCAGGCAACTCAATATGTATCTGGTGGTTAGAAATAGTGTTAAAGCAAAATGACCTCTTGTCTTTTTCTGTCTTCCCCCACTCACCCCTTTCTTGAAGAAGCCAGCAGAACATGTGTCTTTGTCAAATCCAGCTCCCCTTCTAGTTTCTCCAGAGGTACATCTAACTCCTGCGGTGCCTTCTTTACCAGCCACTGTGCCAGCCTGGCCAAGTGAACCTACAACTTTTGGACCAACAGGTTAGAGAAGGGTTTAGAAAATCTAGCCAGCCAAAATACCTTTCTAGTCAGAGACTTCAAATTCTTGAGTGGAAGTTTGACCTCTGAGCAGGATTAGGTGTGTGGAGCCTCACAGAGCTTTCTGTGATACTCTGCTTTGCTCTGCTTCCAATGTGGAAAGACCATGTACATTTGGTGTTGTATTCATCTGACATATGCCCTCATAGTCTCAGGAGCATGATGTTTGAGCTGGTTGCTTTGGTTGCTCAGCACTAATTAGCACCACGGTTTGATGCTTCCTTCATGGGCCAGCTCTTTATGGCCCCGTAATGAACCCCTTGACCAGCCCCATGTCCTACACGTGCCTGCAAGAGCTACTATTAGAAGACATTGACTCAGAGCTTGTATCCTGGACGTATTTCCTTCTTGGTGTCCAGGAGGGCTCTTGGTTGATACTAAAAGGTACTACTTTAGATTGGCTTTATCAGTTATACAGCATTCTTTATAGGTTAATGTAAGCATATTTGTAGAGATTTTCATCTTTTGTCATTTTGATTCCTTTTCTTCTCTTTTGTAGGTGTCCCTGCTCCAATTCCCGTTTTGTCAGTGACACAGACTTTGACCACTGGACCTGATTCAGCTGTATCCCAAGCTCATTTAACACCCTCTCCAGTTCCTGTGTCAATACAGGCAGTTAACCAGCCCTTGATGCCTTTGCCTCAGACATTGAGCCTTTATCAAGACCCACTCTATCCTGGGTTTCCTTGTAATGAAAAGGGAGATCGAGCCATTGTACCACCTTATTCACTGTGTCAGACTGGGGAGGACCTACCTAAAGGTGAGCTCCTTCTCCAAGTTCAAATCGACTTTATCAAGTCCAAATAAGCTTAGTTAAGAAATGAAGAGATGTAAGTAGAGGTCAGAGGTCTGGTTTCTTAGTAAGCTCAAGGATGGGAAGGACAGCAAAGTTTTAGCTATTAGTCAGTCATTCTTGTTTCAGCTTGATTTATTAGAAAATGTATTATAATTTTTTTTTTTTTTTTTTTTTGAGACGGAGTCTCGCTCTGTCACCCGGGCTGGAGTGCAGTGGTGTGATCTCGGCTCACTGCAACCTCCACCTCCCAGATTCAAACAATTCTCCCACTTCAGCATCCTGAGTAGCTGGGATGACTACAGGCACATGCCACCAGGCCTGGCTAATTTTTTGTATTTTTTAGTAGAGACGGGGTTTCACCGTGTTAGCCAGGATGGTCTCGATCTCCCGACCTCGTAATCTGCGTGCCTTGGCCTCCCGAAGTGCTGGGTTTACAGGTGTGAGCCACCGCGCCTGGCCCAGAAAATTTTTTTTTGTTTCTAGCATACTTGTTAATGCTAGTATGCTTAGTAATGATACCTCCTTCTGTGTTTTTACATAAATGGACTTGAAACCATTCTGAATTACAATAATAATTTCACTAATTAGATACCTAAACACTGTGGAGCTTTATCAACACTGGTCTGCATTTCAGACATGCATCCGTGAAAAAGTTACAGAGAAAAGCAAATATAGTATGTAGTGGCTGTTAAAGTACTATATTTAGTATGTCTTATTTTTGTTTAAAAAATTCTTTCAAAGTTTGCTTTCCCTCTTTATTTTTAAGGAATTTACACCTCCCTCCTTTTTAGTTTCCAAAATTTTATATCTGTAAATTTGAGTAATGCACTGACTACTATATGCTGTTTACCTGGATTTATGTGGATGTTTTTGTTTTATTAGTTAGTAGTTTGATGTTTGTGTCTATGAGTAACTGGCTCATGGCATATGAATACTTGGAAGAATATTATCCTGCAAATGATGCTACTAATAAGTTAGGTTTTATGTTGATTTTACCATTCTTCTCAACATTTTTATTTCCTAATTTTTAAACCCCCAGAAAAGTTGAGAAAGAAAGCCACCTGAATGTCCTTTACCCAGATTCAGTTTTAATGAGATAAAAATTTCAATCTAAGCCATTTTGGGATTTATATGCTAACAGACAAAGCCTATTGAATCTGGAATTAACCTTTGGGAACAACCTGTTTTTGGGTTGTGTTATATTACAGTTTTTATCTATGTTTTGTATCACAGGCTAGAGAAGACAATTATAGTAGGTAAAATTGTCTTTAGAACTATATATTTAATGAGGATGATTTAAAAAAATCTCTGCAGATATATAATTTTAACAAGTGATTACTTTTATTTTTAGATAAGAATATTCTTCGATTCTTCTTCAATCTTGGTGTGAAGGTATTTACATTTTATCATCTTAAAAGTTATTTTATTCATTAATAGTGTTTTAAATTATTACTAGTGTTAACTCTTACCCTGTCAGTCAGTAACCTAAAGTTTACTAAATCTCATCATTTTAAAAACCAGCATTTTCAGTACTATATCGTTTGTTTTTGGTGCTAGTAGAGGCTCCAGTTTTACTTACTTTTTTGTCTTAACTGGTGATGGCTTAACCTGTGAGTATATTTAAGACATAGCTGCATCTTTGGGCAGCCTAGTGGAAATGCCCTTGCTGGGGAATAATTAGATGTAAATCTGGGCTTGAAGTTCTGCTCCATCACTCTTTAGCTGAATTTCCCTGGGCAAGCCATGTAGTGTATCTGGGCCTAGCTTTTTTCATTTATAGAATGGGGGTAATATTCTTTACTTGCCTCCATTATTGAAAAGATCAAAGGAAATAACGTGTACATCCTCCTATGTAAGATAGTGTGGTTGTTGACTAGAAGAGCAGAGGTATCCTTTGGGAAGTGGTCAACCTAGAAATAGCTTTTCTTAGGTTGGAGAACTCTGTCCTTGTTAAATGTTAGGTTTTCTCCTGACCTAGATTAGTTTTTGTGGGTTCTAGACAGTTAAACTATGAAACGAAGTGCCCTACCTTTAGCCTGCTGACCACTTTCATAAAAAGAAACTTGATTATTTTACTATCTGCTGCATTGCTTAATTTTAATGTATTTAATGTTGATTTTAATTGGTTAGCCAATTAGCTGGTTATACTTTCTTCATATTTTGGTTTTTAGCTGAACTCTTGCAGAGGAAGGATTTGGAATATTTCATTTTCAACATTATCCCTCCCTGATTAGAGGTCTAACTTAATCCTTACATTCGGAGTACTCTTGGGGGCTCCTAGAATTGCAGAGTCCTGACATTGGAGATCATCTACTCTTATACTGACATTCCCAGTAAAACAAATTCAGATGTTAACTGGCCTGCATGGGGTCACACAGTGAGTTAGTGGTAGAGCCCGAATGTGAATGCAGGTCTGGCTAAACAGTCAGTGATGGAGATACTATCTCCTATCAACCTATGAGGACTTCAGATTGGTTTT
This sequence comes from Homo sapiens, assembly GCF_000001405.40. Classification (NCBI taxonomy): domain Eukaryota; kingdom Metazoa; phylum Chordata; class Mammalia; order Primates; family Hominidae; genus Homo; species Homo sapiens. Next base: position 145,138,863 of record NC_000004.12, on the reverse strand, counting down.
AGGACAGGAGCAAGCAATGGAGTCTTAAAGCAGTGAATTTTGTAATTCATTTTCACGTTGGTTATCACAGTGATTTAGTATTTGGACTATAGATTATATGGTCTTTGTAGGCATGAGAAACTTATTTTGACCCTAGTACTTGTAGATTGATATCCACCCAAACCTCTCTTTTTTCTCCTCTTTTGTTTATTTAACTGTTTTTTGTCTCTTCAGGCATACAGTTGTCCTATGTGGGCCCCACATTCTTACCTGTACCCTCTGCACCAGGCCTACCTGGCAGCCTGCAGGATGTACCCAAAGGTCCCTGTCCCTGTTTATCCTCATAATCCCTGGTTCCAAGAGGCTCCTGCTGCTCAGAATGAAAGTGATTGTACCTGTACTGATGCCCACTTTCCTATGCAGACTGAGGCCAGTGTTAATGGTCAAATGCCACAGCCAGAGATTGGACCGCCGACATTTTCTTCACCTCTGGTTATCCCTCCATCTCAGGTGTCTGAAAGTCATGGACAATTGTCTTACCAGGCTGATCTTGAATCTGAGACCCCTGGGCAGCTTCTGCATGCTGATTATGAAGAGTCACTAAGTGGCAAGAATATGTTCCCCCAGCCATCTTTTGGACCCAATCCATTCTTAGGCCCAGTTCCTATTGCACCTCCTTTCTTTCCTCATGTTTGGTATGGGTACCCTTTTCAGGGATTCATAGAAAATCCAGTAATGAGGCAGAATATTGTCCTGCCCTCTGATGAAAAAGGAGAATTGGATCTGTCTCTGGAAAATCTGGATCTGTCTAAAGATTGTGGTTCAGTTTCAACAGTAGATGAGTTTCCAGAAGCCAGGGGTGAACATGTACATTCTCTCCCTGAAGCAAGTGTGAGCAGTAAGCCGGACGAAGGCCGGACAGAGCAATCTTCCCAGACACGAAAGGCAGATACGGCATTGGCTTCCATCCCTCCTGTAGCAGAGGGAAAGGCTCATCCTCCCACTCAGATTCTAAACAGAGAGAGAGAAACTGTGCCTGTTGAACTTGAACCTAAAAGGACCATTCAAAGCCTGAAAGAAAAAACAGAAAAAGTAAAAGATCCTAAGACTGCTGCTGATGTGGTCAGCCCTGGGGCCAACTCTGTTGATAGCAGAGTGCAAAGACCAAAAGAAGAGAGTTCAGAAGATGAAAATGAAGTGTCTAATATTTTGAGAAGTGGTAGATCCAAGCAGTTCTATAATCAAACTTATGGAAGCAGGAAGTACAAAAGTGATTGGGGCTATTCTGGTAGGGGTGGATATCAACATGTGAGAAGTGAGGAGTCCTGGAAAGGACAGCCAAGCAGAAGTCGGGATGAAGGTTATCAGTACCATCGAAATGTCAGAGGGCGACCATTTAGGGGAGATAGGAGGAGATCAGGGATGGGAGATGGCCATAGGGGACAGCACACTTGATGGTTGTTGCCGAAGTATTTTCTAACAGAAACTCTTAGGTGGAATGTTTCTGAAGGCTTTAAAAAAAATACAATAAAGTAAAAACCGCAGTTGGAACTCTTTCCTCTCCCCAGCCCCCCTTACCTTCACTCCCATACTGGACAAGACATTTTGGACATGAGTTCAAGGGGGCAGGTTAATTCCTGGCATTGCCAGTTTTCTTCATTCAGAATCTGTTTGTTGATCAAGTGACTGTCCCCGTAAAAAGTAGAAGATAAGTTTGTTAAAGTATTTTTTATAAACAGCTTAATATAAAACATTATAGATTTAGTGTTTGGCTTTTTTCCTTATAAGTTTATAAGTTTGATTTCAGATGTTGGAAATGTGTGCTTTATAGTGTTTACTAAAGTGACAAGAAAATATACCATTTGACACACTATAGATTCCAAACATAACGTTGCACCAAATAGAAATGTATATTTTATTATGCAATGCCTTAGTCATAAACTGGGCTCAAACAATTCTCAGCCTAAAACACTGTTGTCTTTTAAAATGCTTCCAACCCAAAGGCCTTTCATCTCAATATCTGTCAAACTTGAATAATGTCTTCTCTTTAATATTCACATAAGGCAGCCTATTAACTGTGTCTTAGCAATGTTGTATATAGTTCTTTTAATATTCATAAGGTATATTTTTGAATTTTGGTATTTGTTGAGATTGCATAGAAGAATAGTAGGAAATCCAATGAAATGGCTGTTTCCACCAAGAATTCTTAGCACTGGTGTAAATATCATGGTGCCTACTCGAAAGAAATGTAGATGCTATGCATTTTGAAAATAATCTGCATCAGTTAGAACTGCAGAAGTTTTTTTAATGCCACTTTAACACTAATGCACTGACAGATTCTAAATATTTTGTGAGAAGAAATGTTAAAAATTTTTAGCTTGACAGGTTTCTAGAGTTGTTTTCTTCCTCCCCCCCCCCCCCGCACCATTGGTTGTGTATCACTTTCACTTTACACTTGCATGTTCTACTTGTCAGGGCTGGAACTATTGTATAGAAGATAATATGATTGTGACTTCTAGTTCTTTTCTAGAGGATGCTGCTAGAAAATGGTTTTGCTTTGTATTTTATAGCTTGTTACCCTTAGGTAGGTAACATCTTACATTCTGTTTTCTTCCAGTCTTTGCAGTATTCACTAGAGGTTCCCTTTGCATGTTGCACTCTGTTCTCATTTGGAGATTGAACTCTGAATTAACACAGTATTCATTCATCTGTGTTATTTTGTAAAAATAACTGTAGCTTATATTCTTTATTTGTGCATACCAATGTGAAAATCCACTCTTTTATTATGTTGAGATTATCTTCTGATCAGGAAGTTTGAGTGCTATGCAAATAACATAGTAGTAATTTCTCTTTGCATGCCATGTGTAATATACCTAGCCAAAACCAGATGCGGTGACTTTCTTTTTTTGTAAAGCAAATTACTTAAGAAAATACAATTCACTTGAATTTGACAAACTGAAACAGATGGGTTTTCTGGGTTCTCTGATAACCTATGGGAATGTTTGGATGCCAGTTGGGCTAGTGAATCGCCACTGTACTGTAATAATGGTTATTTACCTCTGTGCTGTTTTAATTACCTAACGTCTGTGTAACTGCTGATTTGAGTAGTGATTAGCATTTAGATAATGTAACAGGATTTTAGAGAGCACTTTGAAAGATAACATTTTATTATGATGGTGCTAGGTAAAAAATTGTAAAGACTGGGATGGTTGTGTGGAAAACTTTTCTTGAGAGAACCTATTGAAAGGAATTTGTTGTCACCTTCTTAACTAGAATAGTTGTTGAAGGTACCGCTTAAGCCATTTTTTTCTTAACATCGGTGGCTCAGTTAAGGAATGAGAAGATAGAGGGTCCTCCACTTTCAGCTCATGCTTTTTTATGTAGGACTAGCTTACCTGATTTTAATGAAAATCACATTTTGATACAAACACCAGATTTGAAAGTTCAATGTGTTTGATCTCAGGAGTCCAAAATAAGTTGTTGCTTCTAGTGTCCTGCATTTTATTGACTGGGGTTTGATCTCAGCTTCTGAAAATGTTTAAAAATTGGAAGGAAATACTACTCATATCTTCATTGTCACTTTGTCTTACCTCAATTGAGTAACAGAATATAGCTCCTGAAGGAAACACTGATTTGCTTTCTGTTTCCCATATCTCACCTCTAGGATATGATGGAAGAAGTGCTTGAAAGAGAATTTTAGCAGATGGTACTTTTCTCAGTGACCTCTGGAATAAAAGAACTGACTTTTGATAGTTTTAAAATTAATCTTTGCATGAAGGTTGGTTTCGCTTTTTTTCCTTTAAGTTTGTTTTTAAATGTATTAGTCCAGGGGATTTTGCCTTATGCTGAGGTCAAACTAAGGATAAGCAAGCTTTTGTCCTTCATTTTAACTGTTATGTCATACTGTTATGTTGACATATTTCTTTATAAGAGAATAGAGGCAAAAGTATAGAACTGAGGATCATTTGTATTTTTGAGTTGGAAATTATGAAACTTCACCATATTATGATCATACATATTTTGAAGAACAGACTGACCAAAGCTCACCTGTTTTTTGTGTTAGGTGCTTTGGCTGAACTTGATTCCAGCCCCCTTTTCCCTTTGGTGTTGTGTATGTCTCTTCATTTCCTCTCAAATCTTCAACTCTTGCCCCATGTCTCCTTGGCAGCAGGATGCTGGCATCTGTGTAGTCCTCATACTGTTTACTGATAACCCACAAATTCATTTTCATGGCAGACCTAAGCTCAGACCCTGCCTTGTCCTGGCAAGCATAGGTTTTCCCAGACCACAATGCTGATATATCTTATTTAATGCAGACTGTATTCTTGCAGCGTGTTGTTTCCTTTGTGACTCAAGGTTGAATTAAAATGCCTGTGAACTGCAAACTTGCTTATGATTGACTTGGTGCAATAAAGTTCCTTTCTAACCATTTCTGGTTTAGAAAACATTCAGCCATCCTAGAAACTAGCAATATTTATTTTTGCCTCTTTCGTTTTACCTTCATTTTTAGATGAGGTAAATGTTTTGTCTTTTACTTAAGGGTACTAAGCAAGGTCCACTCTAGTGTAGCTGAAGAGAATGCATATTTGGCTACACTATTTCTGTTTACTGTATTTTGCTTCCTACTTTATGTCTAAATGCTATTGTTTGTTTAAAATCCTAATAATGTCTCATTTCCAATATGTTATTTTCAGATAACTAAGGTTTTGCTACTAATGTCAGCCATTTACTCTCCCACTAATTGGGATTATTTTTTAAAAGAGGTCTTTCTCCCCGAAATACAAGTTTTAGAAAATCTTAGAAGAGGGGTGGGTGCATGTCTTAATGCTGGGAAGCGGCAACTTTGGGGTTGAACTTACTTGAATGGATTAAAAATTGCATTGTGTTACAGAGCTAGAAAATTTTATGTATGAAAAACGATAATAGCCTTACACTGAGTACAAATAATACTTTAAGAGCATGTGAAGATGTGATCATTTGTGATGTTACTTGTAAAAAAAAGTATATATACATATCTTTTGAAGTGTTAAAAGGAAACTAGTACTTTATATTCTTTATCATATCACTTTTTGTAAGTGTTGAATATATTCCTGTTTATTTTTCTATGTTCTGTTTTGTAGCCTTAAGAAGTGTTTCAAACATATCTGAATGTATAAAATAAGAGTAAATGCCCTACATGGTGTGATGCTGCATTATATATAAAACTGTGTGCATATATTAAATTTTGTCTCTTGATTCTGCTTGTGATTCTTTGGTTCCAGGGTTAACCAGGTAATATAGCATGTAGATCTTGAGAATTTTTGTAAACTCCTTAAAATAAATGATTTCCATGACATGTTTCCAGCTAGAAGACAATTCTCATACATGCAACTAAAAGCCATGTAGAATTTATAATCTATGGGTACTGTGTAATTTTCCCTAGTTTATATAACGAAATTGAGGCCAAGTTACTTGCTTAGGGTTATGCAACTAGTAAGTGGTAGGACTTGTATTTGAGTCTAGTTTTAAGTGATTTTATAGCTAGTGCTACCATTTTTTTTCTGCAATGACTAAATGGGAATGTGCAGAATATCTAAGAATATGGATTAAATTGTTTTTTAATGGTTTTTACATTTAGCATTCAGTGATATTTATGTTGGCTAAAGGTGAAAGCAAATTGAGTGTTTTGAAAACAAAGTATACTTACTTTATACTCTGAAAACTCAATTTCTTAAAGCCTGTTTTTCTTTATAAAAGTTACCAAAGAATATTATCAAGTCAATACTTGTTTACATACAATATGAACTTTCTGTTAGCCTGGCTTCCTCAGGAGGCCGAACCTGAAACAAGAGCCTCTTTCAGTTCAAGTATTTGACAGAAAAGTGAGTGATCTAGGAACAGGGTCAGCAGGCTGGGAAGGAGGATGAGCTGTTATAAAGGTAACGAGAGTTGGCATGTGGAACTTTTGAGACTGCTTTAGGAGCTGAGTAAAATATAGAACCTTGTGGGAAAGGGAGAAAGGAAGGAGAAAGGAAACATTAGGTTCTTGGCAGTATGCCCGTGGGTTTATCCATGGAGTCAATAAGAGAAGCCAGTGTTGGGGCTGGTTAGTAAGAGGTGTGTTTGTGGCTGGATGGGGGGCTCTTGCAGAATTGGTCACTCCAGAAGTGCATGGCAGTGACCCAAATTAAGTCAGCGGTCTCCAAAAAGTGTCTGATACAAAGGGCCTGCTTTTCACTTTGAATAATTAAACTTTCCCTTTTCATTCAAAGACTTAGGTCTGGGTCTAGGGCATAGTATGAGAATGTAAGTAACTATGAAAGAGGAAGTTAAACACAGCTTCCCTTCATAAACTTTTGCACCCTAACTTAATCTGTGAGTTCTTCATGAAACGTGGACCCCTCAGAATAGTTTAATAGGGTTTTCTAAGAAAAGCTACAGACAGACATAGGTATAAACATCAGTTTTTGAAACTGGTTTTTCTATAATGAATTCATTAGAGAAACTGGGGCTTTAGAGGCAATCCTTTAAAAATACATAACATTCCTGTAATTATATTTTATTTTTCACATTTAGTAAAAAGCATTACAAAGATTAAAGATGTTAATGGTAGGCCAGGCGTGGTGGCTCACACCTGTAATCCCAGCACTTTCGGAGGCTGAGGCGGGTGGATCACGAGGTCAGGAGCTCGAGACCAGCCTAACCAACATGGTGAAACTCTGTCTCTACCAAAAATACGAAAATTAGCCGGGCATGGTGGCACGCACCTGTAATCCCAGCTGAGGCAGGAGAGGCTGAGGCAGGAGAATCACTTGAACCTGGGAGGCGGAGGTTGCAGTGAGCCAAAATCGTGCCGCTGCACTCCAGCCTAGGCAACAGTGAGGCTCCGTCTCAAAAAAAAAAAAAGATGTAAATGTAGATGAGTGTGGTTCTTAAGGCCTCCTATCCCTATGAATATTCTTAACTGAACTGGCAGGTTAACCGATTGATAACAAAATTCTGTGTAGTAAGCCAATTTCTTTTTAAAAAAAATGAGAACCTTGACTTTGGACTAACGACCTCCAGATCAAATAGAAAACAAACTACTGCAATTTACCTATCTAGGGATATATTTGTTACTTGTTGCATCCTTCCAAACTAGTAGTAAAAGCATTTAAGTCCTGTATAGTTTTATAAGATACTTTTATAAATGGAGACAAGAAACCAGAAGCACAGATATAAAGTGACCATTGACATGGGAGACCTATACTTAGGCACATGCAAGGTTGGGAGCTGGAACTAACATTTTCATTAAAGCCAGAGTCACCCCAGCGAAAAGGAGTGAAATTAAAAATTCCCAGACAAAACTGTCTTGGCCTGGGATCCAGTTTCTTAAAGGCAAAAAACAAAACAACCACTGAAAATGTTACCACATTCATTTAGGTTTGAGGTCCAGAAACTCACAAACTAGGAAAACTGAAAAGTGGTTCCAGGGTGGTAACACACTTGGCTCCCCTGGCAGAAGGCAAATGGAGAGCCTCTCAAGGAAAAGACCTTTCTTGATGGCAAACAGGAAACCAGTTTGACTTAACCAGGTTTAAACAAATAGGGATTTATTTCTCAAGAAATGTGGAGAGAAGTGGCTGCTGGCAGTTGTGCAGCATTTTAATGTCAGGAGTAACATTCTTGTAGCTTGTTTTGCATTTCCCTTATATGTGTCACCTTCTGGGCATGAAATGCTTGCTCCATATATTACACCCTCAAGAAGCAGTACCAGATGATAATCTCCCTTTATTAGGAAAACGAGGTTTTCTTGAGGTATTTTCTAGAAAAACCTCAAGAGGTTTCAATTTACTGGCTAGAACTCTCTTGCAGTTAGGTCATATGGCTTAACTGCAAGAGACTAGGAAAGTATGGAAGAGGATTTTCTATGTCTTAGACCAATTATGACCAACCACGTGGGACTGGGCATTGGCAGAGGAGGTGGTAGTGGTGGTGAGTACAGGGCTGAGGATAAATGATATTTGCCACACAAAATCTCAGAATTTTCAGATACAGCCTCACTGAACATCTGCTCACAAACTGAAACACTACAAAGGAAACAATCTTCCAAGAGCAACAGTCAGCACAGTATACAGCCAAGTTTAGACCTGCATGTATTAAGTGGACAGAGTAGAAATGCTTAAAAAAATTAAGACAAAGCGGTGAAAAATTAAAGTAGAAGCTCCGGAACAACTACTGTCTGGATATTTCCGCTTCTCTAACTGGCCTTGCTTTGTCTCTTCAAGTCCTACTACTTTCAGCATGTAAAAAACTAACTTCAATCTGGAAGGCACAGAAAGCTCATCACAATCTGCCCATATCCATCATTTCCTTCCATTAATCTCTTAAATGCCCATGTTCCTTTCTGCCTCTCACCAGACATGTATTTTGCTTTAGGTAGATTATCTCACTTATCCTTTTAACAACTCAGTAAGATGGGTGCTGTTACTCTTTCCTGGGACCTAATTCCTTTATGTAGTCCTTTCTGACATTCCAACTCAGAATGATTACTTTCTCTTCTGAACCACTCACTGAGTGCTCACAGCAGACTAGGCACTGGGGTTAAGGACTTGACATACCTGTATCCAAGTATATTGATGAACATGAAGGAAATTATACAACACAGCAGTTTTGTAGTCTTCCTACTTTCTCTGTGGCATGCAGGTTCATTCCTTCAATACAGTAGGCCACTACATGCCAGACACCATGCTATATATACTGAGTGTTAAGACAGATACAAGACTGGACTTCAGAATGCTTGTAGTCTAAAATTAGGTTAACCTAAATTGCAAAAAACAGTTGTAGCATCAATACACTGCCTTTAAGACTACACTAAGTGAACACAGAAAATATGGATTATCCAGTATTATCTCAAATGTGGAGAGAAGTGGCTACAGATGCCACTATTATTATCCAATGACGATTTAAAAACTTCAATGGCTGGGCGCGGTGGCTCATGCCTGTAATCCCAGCACTTTGGGAGGCCAAGGCGGGTGGATTACCTGAGGTCCAGTTGAGACCAGCCTGGCCTACATGGTGAAACTCCGTCTCTACTAAAAATACAAAAATAGCTGGGTGTGGTGGTGGGTGCCTGTAATCCCAGCTACTCAGGAGGCTGAGGCAGAATTGCTTGAACCCAGGAGGCGGGTTGCAGTGAGTGAATATCACATCATTGCACTCCAGCCTGGGTGACAGAGCGAGACTCCATCTCAAAACAAACAAACAAAAAAAAACCCCCAAAATTTCAATGATTTATAATCACATGCAAAGTGTAAAATTCAAAGGGTATTATATATGTGTATATATAAATGTCTCCTTTTCCCGTCTATTCTTTGATCAAATTGTCCTTGTCAAAAGCAATCTGTTTCTTGAGTATTCCTTTATTTCAATATTTTGTATATTTTCACAAAAATGGTAGTATAATAAACTGTTCCAGTTTTTTGTTTTTTTAAGTATTTGAGACTTTTTCCAATTAGGACATATGAAGTAGTCTCATTCTTTTGCTAACATCTGCATTGATTTTATACTGATTTTATAAGTATTTTTCTTGTGTTAGCAATTGTAGGCCTTTCTGTTGCTATGTAAAATTTTAAGATACATATTTTAAAGATTTCATTTACATGAAAATACGTTTAATACATATTCTGTCATTAGCAGTAAGTAGAACTGTGCTCTTATATCACAAGTACTTTCTTTAAGACAATCCAGGATCAGTAAATAACAATAGCTTTTGCTTATTTTATTCAATATATTTGAAATGATCATTCACAAATTTAACCTATCCTTAAAAATAGGCATTACTTATTTTAGTATAATCCCATTTGTATACAAAACAAACCCTTTACATATTCACACTTAGGTAAGTGCACAGAAAAAAGCATGAAAGAATATACATTATTAAATTCAAACGCTGGTAACCTTTGGGAGGGTAATAAAGGGAGATCATTTTTTTATTCCATTCTGTATATTTGAATTTTTTACAACATGTATTTATGGGTTACTGAAATTATTTTTAAAAGGCATAATAGGGTCCAGTTAAACCATACTTTCTAGCCATTATTTGCATATTAATCAAGACTTCTGTTATTTCAAGTAGCTCTTAAAGTTTGTCAAACAGTTTCTAATTTCCTCCTCAATTTTGCTTGCCCCAGTCATTTATTTAGTAAACACTCTTCCTCACTCATAATTCCAGTTTAGTCAGAAGTACAACTTAAAGTGGCTCCAGGCTCCAGGTAATCCTGTTCAAAATTCAGGAACTCAAGAAATTTAGATGGGTTTTTGGAACTACAAAATGGTTTAGATAATGTGCTCTATATCCAAACTCACAAATGAATATATGTGGTACCAGGGGATACTTTGTATTGCCATCTGGGGACTTTTGCATTAATGTTGCCTTTAGGGAAGTGGTTTATAATCCTTGGCTGCCCAACAGAAAAATCTGTGGAACTTAAAAAAAATACATAGATGCTTAGGCACCATCTTTAAAGATTTCGAGTCTGTAGTTCTAAGGGAAGCAAATATTCTTTAGAAATGCTTTTTCCTAAATCTCAATCAGTGATTATATAAATATATGTGTACAAAAATGACATTACCTAGAGAATGACTGAATACAGAACCTCATGGAATGCAAAAACAAAAAAAGTTCAGAGTAAAGTTAGGGGTTTTTTGCGGGGAATGGAACTGAATTGGTTTTTGCTAAACATGTTTAAAAGCACCAAAAAAGATTAAAAACAATTTAAAAATACCTATTTTTCCAACAGTGGTGTTTTGCAGTAGATAATCTTCCTCGGAAACCATATACTGGTAATATAGTGCAAAGACTGAAAACAAACAATAAACATAATCCTGATGTTTATTTATCAAATGTCAATCAGTGGAATCTTTGACTGGCTTTTAAAATAAGGGCAGTTTCATTACACTGGCATACTTGGCAAACCAGGTAAGTACAGAAACCCTTTTCAAGATTTAAAAAATGGAGCAACACTGGTCAGCATTTGGTACCGTGAATATAATACACCTACTGAAAATCTTCCCATACATCATGAAAACTTGGAAGTAATTTGTATAGCTTGAAATGTCTTCATTTTAGAATATTATGCACAAAAGAGCCTCTTCAGGAACAGAAAAGTGGCATTTTCTGTGTTTCAACTACAATTTAGAACCCAACTGGCTTTTTATGTTATATTAAGTATATTATACTTCAAGTTCCAGAGTATGTGGGGCATAAAATCCTGATTCAAGTTTTATATGACAAAAAATTCTAGTAAATACTCCTTTTAATAAATGGCTTATCAATATTCTCAGAGTCAGTCTAATCATCCAAGAAAAAGTAGTTTCCACTCTTCTTTTGTTCTACATCCTAAAAAAGAAAACAGAAGCCACAAAAATCAGCAACACGATTCTACTATAGGTAAAAGTAGACTTTCACTCATGGTATTACTTAGCTGTGCTTAAAACAGTGCCTGTACAACCTGTTCTGCACATACCATCTGTTTCTGGATATTCCTGGGTCCACTGCTCAAAGGAAAGATAACTACCTCTGCCCCATCCCTAATGCTAGAATGACTCACTTGCACCAACTCAAGTAAAGTCCCTTTATATAAGATGCCTCACATATATAAAATTTTGCTATGTGTTATTATTTCTAGGAAAACTATTAAATTCCATTTTCATCAATGCAACTTTTATCTCCAGATTCAAAATGCAGCATACTGTCAGTTTGAGATCTGCCTACTACACAAAATATATATATATAAAGTTTTTTCCAATACTGGCCAGTAACAATCTCACCTACCTACTTGTTGAGCTGTTCTCTTATTAGGATTAAGGTATGACAATCTTAAGATGAGTAGGCATACAGAAATGATAACTCATGGTGACTGAACCATAAGTCTGTCTAAGAAAATGACAATACAAAGTGTCCTTAATGCTTCCAAAGAAATTCTTCTTTTCTACCCAATATGCTTTTCAAAACTGAGAAAACTCTTCAATTTTATGTGAGAACTTAACCATTTCTCTATCCTGGCCAAGAAGTAATATCAATCAGAAAAAAGGCATCCAGACATACTGTTAGGTGCTTAAGAATACAATGACGTGCAAGATAACTTTGCCTCTGGCATTCCAAGAGCTCATGGTTTAGCAGCAAAGCTAGGACTACAAATATGAAAATAAATGCTACAGCAGAAGTATGTATAACATACTTCTAAAGCTTTTAAGCATTAAGGATGATGGATACAGAGTGATAAAATGTAAACACTTTGAGGCACTGCAGATATTAAAAACAGAAATGATGGCCAGCATGGTGGCTCACGCCTGTAATCCCAGCACTTTGGGAGGCCAAGGCAGGTGGAACACTAGGTCAGGAGTTCAAGACTAGCACGGGCAAGATGGTGAAACCCCATCTCTATCAAAAAAATACAGAAAATTAGTCGGGTGTGGTGGTGGGCACCTGTAATCCCAGCTACTCGGGAGGCTGAGGCAGAGAATTGCTTGAACTCGGGAGGCAGAGGTTGTAGTGAGCCGAGATCACGCCACTGCACTCCAGCCTAGGTGAGAGAGTGAGACTCTGCCTCAAAAAAACAAACAACTAAAACCAAAACCAAAAAAACAACCCAGAAATGCTTTTAGAGTTCATTTACTTTCTGTTTCTGAGTGACTAAGATTTTTGCCTTTTAAGAAACAAATACTGTATTTCACAGAGGAAATCAACTGTAGGGTGCACAACTGTGAACTACAAAGACAAAAAACATTGTCAATTAAGTAGACACAATGTTTTCCTCATCACAGGAGCTTGTTTAGACTTTCAAAATATACTTTTTTTGCGGGGGTTGCGGGGGCGGGGGCAGGGACAGAGACTCGCTCTGTTGCCCAGGCTGGAGTACAGTGGAACGATCTCAGCTCACTGCAACCTCCACCTCCTGGGTTGAAGTGATTCTCCTGCCTCAGCCTCCCGAGTAGCTGGGATTACAGGCGCATGCCACCACGCCTGGCTAATTTTTTGTATTTTTAGTAGAGATGGGTTTTCACCGTTAGACAGGATGGTCTCGATCTCCTTGGCTTCCCAAAGTTCTGGGATTACAGGCATAAACCACTGCGCTTGGCCTAAAATACACCTTTTAATCATGTATTGAAAAATATAACAGAAATTGGTTAAGGTATTCTTAAAAAATTCTTTGTTACAATGGTGAATTAGTGTAATCTTTCCCCAGACATTTTAAGTGGTAATCAATATAGGTAGTACAACTGTGATACAACTTAAAGAGAAAACAGGAAGAGCTCTTGAGTTCACACAGCAATGACAGCTACATTACAATTGCTGCCTACCGCACACTAAAGTATGCCATCAGGTCTTAAAATGTAAAAAACATAGGAATTTTAAAATAAAATATGGTTGTTTTTTAATTTATTTTTATTTTTTTAGACAGAGTCTCACTCTTTTGCCCAGGCTGGAGTACAGTGGGATGATCTCAGCTCACTACAACCTCCACCTTCCAGGTTCAAGTGATTCTCCTGCCTCAGACTCCTAAGTAGCTGGGATTACAGATACCTGCCACCAGACTCGGCTAATTTTTGCATTTTTAGTAGAGATGGGGTTGCACCATGTTGGCCAGGCTGGTCTCAAACTCGTGACCTCAAGTGATCTGCCTGCCTTGGCCTCCCAAAAGTGCTTGAATCACAGGTGTGAGCCACTGTGCCCAGCCATATGTTATTGATTTTTAAATAGCCTTTCAAGTGTTTATACTGAGATCAGTAATCCATGATTTAAGACAACTTTTCTACATACCTTAATTGAATTAAGTTTGTTTATTCGTGGCCTATAGTTGTTTGGATCTCTTCTGAATGTAATTTCAAGCTGAGACAAAAATTTATTCATGCCAGCCAAAAGGGTTTGAGGACTAAGAGAAAAAAAAAAATCAATTTTGATTAAATTTTACTTCAGAAATGTAACTACCTTTTGAGAGGAAGGGTATTAAGAATTACTATTACCTCAAATTCCCCAATCATAAATCATCTGGATAACAGTATAATAACAGCATATTACAAATCCTGTGTTCAGAAATAGCTTTGCTTGGACTATATAGTTTTCTTGGCTGTAATATTTTTGTGCAAAACAAAAAAAAAATTTAACCTGGATTTCTAATCTGGTGAAAGAAACATTTAAGATAGAAGTACTACTTTAGAAAAACAGAAGATAATTAATAAGTAGATTACAGAATCTCCAATTGCACATTTTTAGGGGGGATGAGAATCTTAAAAAGTTATATTTATATGAAAAATTTGTTACTGGAGGGAATATGTCCTCCTAATAGTGGTTTTCAGTGACAATTCCTTTCTAAATTTCTATGCTTAATCGTTTTTACCCAAGTGAGTTCTTAAATCATGCCAAATCACAACATACATGTGAAACATTTTAAAATTTTGTAAATAGAAAGGTGGGATATCACTAGATGAACAAATAAACATCACATATGCTAAGAAATTTCCCTAGCTCTTTAAGAAATATGTAATTCTCAATTTATAAAAAAAAAAAAGGAATTCAGGGAAGAAGCCCAGCAAAATACTTTTATTTCTTAGATGAATTATTAAAATGGCAACTCCATTCCTTGCTCTCCAATACCAGAAAACATGCTGAAACCACATGAAACTGCTGGTTTTATAGGTGAAAACTGAACACCAGTAATTTCATTTAGTTCAATCTAATAATATAGGCTTTAGCACTAAAGGTAAAATGAATTTCTCATAACTTGATCTGAATGTTAGGCTTCTCTATATTGCAAGTGCTCTTAATCAGGCTAACAAGGAAAAATGAGAAGAAAAAACGAAAAAAGTAAAACCATTTATTTTAACTCTGCTATAGATTAATACCAGATATTTGGGATCCACTGTGAGCTCAATCACTGTCAGCATAAGTTGGACAAATCATGTAACCTCTTTAATCTTGTTTTCTTTTTCTATCATGTATGAAAGCAATAGTTTTCAATCTTTTTTGGGAAATTCAAATAATAAAGCAAACAAAAGTTAAGCTGAGAAAAGGTGAGGGGCCCACAGCTTTTTATGCTGTGGCCTACAGCTTTTTATCTTCCTGGTGAGGGATTCCACACTGAAGCCTAAACACTACTCTTCCACATGGTCCCATCCAGTCCCCAATACCAATGATCTCAGGAGTCACAGAATCAAGTCTAGAATTTCTAGCTTTCATTTTTTAAAAATTAAAGTGAGTGACTTTACTATTTACTGGAAAATTTAAAATGAATTACTTTGAACATATTAAAAAGTAATTTTACCTGTTTGCAACTGTGTTCTTAGATGGAACACCATCAAAAACGATGACGCGATCCGCTAGATAGGTGGCCATGATGAAGTCATGTTCCACAACAAAGGCTGTCTTTTTTGCATGGAGTATGAAACTAAAACACAATGATTTTGAAATCTTATAGCTTTCTATCATAAAACATTCGACTGTTATATTAAGCACACTTGTAGGACAGTATACATAATCAAAATATGGCTAGGAGCAAGATATTTACCGTTTGACAACTCGAGCTGCCATCAGTCTTTGCTCAGAATCCAAATATGCAGATGGTTCATCAATTAAATAGACATCAGCAGGTTTGCCCAAGCAAAGGGCTAAAGCTACTCGCTGTAGTTCACCACCAGATAATGTCTGCACCTAATTGGAGGAGTTTAGCAAACCATGTAAAGGCATCCAAAATTCAAAATAATAAAAAAATAAAAAAAATTATGTTAAAGTACCTCTTGATCAATGATGTTTTCAATTTGCAGAGGCTTCATTACATCGGTCACAAATTGTGGGTGAGTATAAGCATCTCTTATCTTTTCATGTAGTAACTGGCGAACACTTCCCTGTTTTTAATATAAAAAAGTATTTAAATGATAAACTTTCACTATAGAACTCTTCTATTTATGAATCTTGACAAAGTTAAGCTTCAGAATAAAAGTATATCAATTTGCCACCAACAGATATCAATGTGTATCCACCATCTATGACATGTTTTGAGATTTTCTATTCAAAACCCATCATGTCCAACAAGTAAAAAGGAATTTTTTTTTTTCTTTTGAGACAGGGTCTTGCTCCATTGCCCAGGTGTGCAATGGCATGATCAGGGCTCACTGCAGCATCAACCTCCCAAGCTCAAGCGATCCTCCCACTTCAGCCTCTAGAGGAGCTGGAACTACAGGCATGCACCACCATGCTGAACCAATTTTTAAGTTTTTGTGGAGGCGGAATCTGTTGGTCAGGCTGGTCTTAAACTCTTGGGTTCAAGTGACCCTCCTGCCTCAGCCTCCCAAAGTGCTGGGATTACATGCGTGAGCTACCATGCCCAGCCTGCAACAATCTTTTTTTTTTTTCCACTCCACAGCCCCTGCAATAATTTTAAAATTAGAAAGTAATAAGCAAATAATGAATGTTTCAGAGGAAAAATCATTTAAGAGTAGAAATTCCAAAGGTCAAAGTGGGTATCAAGCAACCTTAGGCAATCAGTAAGAGAACACAAAATGCATGATAATGTGCTAGGGATGAATCCTAAGATGGCTTTTCCTTGCTGTTTCAGGATAAGGCTGAATTTTAGAATTTAAAGCTAAGCTTATAGAGAGCATCAATGACAAAACTTTTATGGTAAGCTAAGCCAAGTAGACAAAACATAAATTGAATGTTGAGGTACTGAGGAGTTCATTACAACACCCGCAGAAATCAAAGGAGGTTAACTTTAACAGAATGGTTTCAAGGACTGTGGCATTTGTTAATATTTCATTTCTTTTTATGGCTGAATAACTAAAAGACATTTGCTCATTTTTAATTATAAGAGTTCTTTATACATGCTGGATACAAGTCCTTTATTGGATATATGATGTGCAAATGTTTCTCCCATCTTGTGGGTAAAGCCTTTTCACCTTCTTGCTGTTGTCAATTTGCAGCACAAAATACATTAGGTTTTTAATTATTTATTTAGCAAAAAGATGACAAACATCTTTATTTTTTTATTTTTTTTTGAGACAGACTCTCGCTTTGTCGCCCAGGCTAGAGTGTAGTGATGCAATCTCCACTCACTGCAAGCTCTGCCTCCCAGGTTCACGCCATTCTCCTGCCTCAGCCTCCTGAGTAGCTGGGACTACAGGCGCTGCCACCACGCTCGGCTAGTTTTTTGTAGTTTTAGTAGAGACAGGGTTTCACCATGTTAGCCAGGATGGTCTCGATCTCCTGACCTCGTGATCTGCTGGCCTAGGCCTCCCGAAGTGTTGGCATTACAGGCGTGAGCTACTGCACCCGGCCAAAGATGACAAATATCTTTAAAGCACTTTCTTAGCAGTGGATATGAATCAAGGATTGGACTCTTAATACATTTGTTTGCAACTATCAATAAAACTGTATAGAATCTAATTTGGAGAAAAATTTTAATATAGTAAAAGATGAAAGCTATAGGCATATATACAAAATTTTCTTTAGTAACCATATAAAAAATAATAACTCACAGTTGATTTGGGACTAATTTTCTGTGGCTTATAACTGACATTTAGAACTGGTACTTCTCCTGCAAAATAATGAAATACATAAGACACTAAAAACTGCCCAGATCTTTAAAGTTTACTGTGTAAAACAGAGTAAAAAGACTCAACAGTTACAAATGTACCTCCTTCATCAGGTTTAAGTCTTCCAGCAAGCATTCTGATAAATGTCGTTTTACCCGTTCCTGGCAACACAACATATGACAGTTTGATCTGAAAGATGCTTGACGTTTAAAGTAAATCACTATGTCCTATTTGGTTTTAACTGAGAAATTTGTTTTAAAGATATACACTGACATTATTGAATTCTGAAGTTTATATAGAAAAATACTTAAGTCTTTCATGGCTCACCTCTGAAGTGTCATTCTAAGGTAATTAAGAGGAATAAAGACTAGTCAAAGCTTATGACAATTTTAATAAATGGTATGTCTATAAAGTTTAAATCCTGCAATAGTTTGAAAAGATCTACTTAGCTAAATTATCAGGGCACACAATTTATTAAGACAGTATAGACTGTTTTATGAAAGATAACTGTAATTTTAAAGTTTACTTATATAAAATATTTAAATTAATTGCAACCCAATTCAAAATTCCCATTATCTAAAGACTGATACATTGTAACAATCTTTATATAAAATTTATCTTCTATAGTTTTGTAAGCTGTAAGATTACAATTCAAATAGTTCTTAAATCATGAAGGCAATATCACATATTTAGTAGTCAAATTCATCTTATATCTACACTTATGACAATTTATTATGAAATATATGCTGGTAATACAATTATTTACAAAGGTAGATTGCTCTGAATTTAAAATAAGAAAAGTTCCACATTGAAGTGTATGAGGAAAAAATTTTTAAAGCTGGATTATTTCTGAATCACCATTTATCCTTTCCATCTTAGTCAATTTATAAGATTAATAACTGCCTTATCAATTTACATGTAAAAAACCAGCTGACAAAGAACACCTTATTTTCACTAGAGGTTATAAAACAAAATAAGAACTATTAACCTGATTGAATTACAGTGAAATTGAATTACACAATGCCAAAAAAATGTGAAAGTACACTAAGAAATTTGTGGGTTTAAATAAAACTCTGCTTCTAGCCCTATAACATATGATTCAAATTTTTCCACAAAACAGTTAAAACTAATTTACTAGATAAACAGGAAGATTTTTACTTATCACAAAACAGAAAACTTACCATTTTCCCCCAGCATCACCATAATTTCAGAATCTGTAAACTCTCCAGCTACAATTGCTAGCTCAAATTCTCCCATTTTTTTCTTCATTCCTGGATATTTATACATACACATCTTTTTAACTTCTTCTTCATTTGCTGTCTCAGCCACTTTAAAAACAAGTGATGCATCTCTGAATCTCAAGTTTTCTGTTGGAACATAGCCATCCAAAAAAATGTTTATGCCTGTTGGGAAGAAAATTGTCAACCGGGAGAAATCATTAGAGCCAAAATCCTAAGCTCTCTTGGGAGCAATCTATAGACTATATACTTTAAATTTCTGTGGATTTTTGCTAACATGTTGGTCTGCATATAAAGAAGTAACTTAAAAAACTATATATATTTAATGTAAGTTTAAATAATTCATGAATATATATGCATGTCCCCCCCAACCACATGAAGTACATCTTCTCATTATCCTGTAATTACTTTTTCCATCAGGTTTTATGCAAAAGAGAGCACATGATGTCCTTTTTGCTTTATCTTTAAAGCGAAAATGACAAATATGTAAGAGTATTTTCAGATTGATGTAATATTGATATAAAAGTTTGGGGGATAAATTTTTTAATATACAATGTTATCAATATTTAATTTCATATGAGACATAAGCACATATTTTGAGGTTATAATTTATTGCTTTAAAAAAATTAATCCTGCAGGTTCATATGAAATTGAATATGAGCTAATTCCAGTTAACATTTTTTTAATGGCTTCACTGTACAAAGATAACAACCATTATCTAAACAGATTTTAATAACTTAAATCCACATTGTATACAAGAACCCTCTGTAATAAAATTTTAAGATCTACAATGGCAGACACACTGAAATGAAAAGCGTATTTGAGAAACAATGAATAATCCATATTTCAGTGTTTCCTATATTTAAGTGAAGAGAAAGCTGAAGTTTCTTGGAAGGTCTTGACGTTATTCATTTTATTTGGAACTGAGAGACACATCATGCAGCCTGTATCCTCATCCTAGAACACAGGTGTTCAATACATCTTTGCTGACAGAACAAATGAACAGATTACATTTATTTTGCCAAAATCAGCATGTTTTTTGATCTTAAACTATCTAAAACCTATAAATGTGAAGTTAAAAAATTAAATAAAAACAATTACATAAAAACATAAACTCAAAGGAACCTTAGCAGCCACTTGGTTCAAATACCTAACTTATTTTGGAAAATAAAGGCTCAAAGAACTAAGTGACTTCGTTTAAAAAAAACACAGCAAGTCAGTCTTTACAGTCCTACTTCAATGTTTGTCTTGTCAATTTAAAAATGAGTTCAAACCATAATCACCTTTACAGTTTATAGAAAGCTTTTAAGTATGCTGCACTGATTTCAATATATTAAAGGAACAGAGAAAAACTAAAGTTTCTTAAGCTGTTTTAATAGATCGAGCACATTAAAAACCTTACTGGGTACCATTTACTGAATGGCACAGCCTTTAGACATGACATTTATAACTGGAGTTGTGAAGAATGACTGCCGAGTACCCATATTATTATCAACTTGATTCAAAGACTACCATATGGTATAGAGTAAGGTACTCAATACATATTTGTTAATTGACAAGAATAAAACATTAATAAATTTGTTCTGATGTCATCCCTTAAGACTACTGGCAAGAAAACTAGGTAACTGCAAATTTTTCTTTAAAGTATGCATCTATCTCAAATGTATAAGTAGGTAAGTTACAACCATTTCTTCCCCACATCTTAATATTTATGTACTTTTTATAAATTATAAAAACTCCCAATATCTTTTTATGAAAAGGATTATAATGCAATATAAATTTATTTTTCCAAAAGAGCTTTTAGGTATAAAAAAGATTCCTCCAAGATTAAAAAAAAAAAAAAGAAAGAAAGAAACCAAAAAACCTGTCACCTCTTAGGGAACTACAGGCTACATGAATTTTTCTACTTCTAGGAGATGGTATTTTTTTCCTGAGTAAACAGCCCTTTTAGTGTTCTGAATTGTCAGTTTAAGACAGGTGGAGAGAAAAATAAAAATAAGACACAAGTAAGGAAGCAGTGAAAGGAAAATGGGAAGAAAAAAAGGAAAAAGGTATTGAAGGCAGAGAGTACATTGGTACTTTTTTTTAAGGAGCCACTTAGTGGTACGCTAGTTTCTATTTTTGCTTAAATTACACAGGTAAGGAGGAGACATGGAAGGGAGAGGCCAGGGAATCTCATTTTCTTGGAAGTACAAAGACTAAATGAAAATTTTAATACACTTACTAAACTATCTTATTAGGTTTTTAGATAGCCTTAGTTCCAAAAACATAGTATACATATTACAGATAAATTTAAAACATGAAAACAAGATGAACACTGAAAGCATTTTAAGAGTTTCATTACTGGTATTGGCCTGTCAAAGTTAATTTGAAAATGACAAATACTACAGTAATACTGCAGAAGCCAAAATGCAGAGGACTTTTACTGTAGCCTCCCAACCCCCAACAAAAGTAACATTGCATTTCTACCCATCCCCAGGAGAAAATTCTCCAAAATGAAAAAAATATATTTTGTATAACAACTGATATATATAACCTTATATGCTCAGTGATTAAATTCCAAGGAACTAGAGTTTTGGATGATATCAGACCAATGTAAAACTACTTAATATCAATAATGTAGTTTATAAGCATTAGAGTAGAAGAGAATACAGCATATGTGAAAAAAGTTTTTCAAGTTACCTTCTCTTACACTAAAAGGCATAGTGACAACTCCATAGGCGCTTGGTACACCATATAAACAGCAGATGAAGTCGGAGAGATAGTCTAATACACTTAGATCATGTTCCACCACAATGATATATCTGAAAATCAAACCAGATTTTAGTTAAAACTCTTACATAACTATTTTTAATAGTTGGAAATTTCAGAAAAAGAGATACATCTAATAAAATTTAAGCATAAAGACATAAGAAGCAAAAGCCATAAAACATTTTTAGTAAGGCTCATTATCAATGCTCATATTTAAAAATGTTTTCCTGAACTAAAAGGAAAAAATCAGCCAATTTAAAAGTTTATTGATATATGAATTAAATGCATTCTGCTAATAAGAAACATATTTCGAAATAAGTGTTACAAAGTAATTATAATAGATTTAATTCAGATGTAGCCTAAACTGTTTATTATGCTACTCAATTTATGTATTAAGCCCTGTACCTGTCCTGTCCCATGCTAGCTGTAGTAGGGGATGGACGCATACACAAAGATAGGACAGAATCCTTAACCTGAGACGTTTCCATTTAGCTGGGGAAGACAAGGAATAGGTATGAAATGGTAACAAAAAAAGATTACATGGCAAAATATGCTCCACAGATAATAAAATCAGTGAACATCAGAAAGAAAATAGGTTAGTGGGTACTGGAGCACTTTATGAATGAGAATGGGATATGATGTGAAGCTTAAGTGGCTATATTTGAATGAAGTGATACAGTATTGGCTGGAATAGAAGTTTTAGACGCAAGTAATAGTCATGAAGGTTTTATGTAGCACTTTATTCCCATTTCCATATCGAACACCATTCAACATGTTAAAAAAATGTCCTGCAAACATCTCATATGTCAAATTAATGTATCAGCTTCCTACACAAATAAAAATTCTCCATATTTGTATTAACGAAATTATCATTCCCTCAAAAATGACATTTTATTCCCACTGATATTTTGTTTAAACTGTTAAAGTCTGTGAATTCCTTCTCAACAATGTCTTGTGTTTCAATCTCACCCTTTTTCTTCTTTGCCTAAATTCTAGTTCAGGCCCTCGTATTTCTTTCATATCTCATTTTCTTTAGGTCCCCTGATGTGGGTCTCAATTCCAAATGAAATTAATCACTTAAATTAATTAGACTTAGACTTTCAACACTTTCTAAAACTTTAGTTACTATCTTTCTATTAGCTCATACACAGGAAACACTGAAGAATGCATCTTTTTTCTTAAATAAACCACTTCTCTACTTCTCTGGTGTCTAGGAAGCTATTCTTTTTCTAAGTAGTCTCCTGCCTAGATCTTTACCTGCTGAAATCCCACCTAACCCTTTAAGGTCCATCTCAAATCCAACTTGCTATGGGAATACTTTTCCTAATATGCAAATGAGCTTTCCCCCTCACTCTTGAATACTGGTAACAAGTATTTGGACTGATACTTGGACTTTTATTATTTTTGATTACCCCATAACTTGCTCATAAACATCTTAAGGGAGACTCTTAATACATTTTAGCACCTCTGTGATCTTTAGTCTTACACTGTGTACTAACAGACACCTAAAAAAGTTGTTGAATGACAAAATGAAGAGTATGAACTAATTGGAAATGAGGAAGATAGTAGTAGGTTCTGAAATAGCACTGTCCAGAACTTTCTACAATTATGAAAATGTTCTATCTCTATGTTGTCCCATATAGTGACTACTAGCCATAAGTTGAATGTTGCTAGTTTGATGAAATAAAATTTTAATTTCAATTAAAATTTAAATAAGGATGTTTGTCTAGAGGCTACAGCACAATTCTAGAGTAAGGGAATGAAATGAGAAAACATTTCAGGAGTAATCTGGCAAGAAAAAAAAAGTAACAATGGAAAATTGGAAAATAAGAGCAGGTCTAAGATGAAAAGGGAAAATTAAAAGGAAATGTTTTCTACCACAATGGTGGTAATTATCAATAAAAATGGCAAATCACCCAGGTGAGCTGGTGATACTCATCTTGCATCGGTGTCTTTGTTGGCACTAATCCATTACATGGAATACTTCTCTACTCTTAAAATCCTATGTTTCCTTAAACAGCCAGTGTGAGGGAGCATTGTATTACGTAGTAGCTTTTACTTTGCTTTGAAAAGAAGAAAAAAATAGGTCAAACTTCCTGCCCCCAACCCCAACCTTCAAATGGAGGTTATGGAGACAGAAGTCCAAAATATAAACATGATTTAGGTCAGCCATTCTGTTTTCTGAGAAGTTGGGAAGAAATAAAAATCTGGAGCATAGTAAGGAATCTAGGTTGTAAAAAATGTATACCCTACAGTTAATTTGGGGCTATCTCTTAGTCTTCAATGTTACTGATAATGTTCTGAGGTCAAACTCTATAAAACTTCTTAAATCTCTATTCTTTTGTCCAATGCATCCTCTATTTTTCATTATCCAAGGATATGATCTCCAAAATCTTTTTATGGCATTAAAGACTGAATGTATGCCTTGACCCATCAAATTTCAGAATGGAGATATACTTTTTATGACTCTTTATCATCAATCTATCACTACATAGAGATCTTAACTTTATACCTGTAAATAAGACCAGCCCACTTGTGAAATGTCTTAAAAATTTTCTCTACGTTGTCATGCCAATCTGTCTTACCATGTTATCCCTATTACAATTAAAGTTACTGTCCTCTCTCTTATAATATAGGAAAGTCTTGGGTAGTATTACTTTTCCTTAACTAGTTTTTTTTTCCCCGAGGTCCATCTACACTTATTTATTTCACTTTCCTATTGCAACTATACAAAATAGTTACTGATCTTTTAATTTTAAATTTATTCGTTATAAGTCAATATAAGTACCTGATGCCTTGTTTTCTAGTGATGTGTCTAAACAGTTACACATTGAAATACTGGCTGTAAACTAGTATTTTCTTTTAGTTTTCCTCTTATTGTTAGGACATGATTTGATATCTTTAAAGTTTTATATGAACGTAGATATTATCTATGACTTTCATTTTAGTATAAAAAGGGACTATAAAAATACTTTTTATAAAAAGTGACTTGAGTTGAGAACTAGTGACCTGACTTTGTGTATTCCTTTCAAGACTCTGGTACATGTGTATGCTTTTCTTTACCACAGTGTGTATTTTTCTTTACCACATTGTGAAGTCCTTGAATACTGGGACTGTATTTTTACACTTGCCTTCCCCAAAGAGCCTATCATAATGCCCAGGCTCTTAATGCCTGTGTATGGAGTAAAAATTATGGCTTCTATTTGGCTCACATGAGATTGTCTCTTTATCACTGATATTCTAAGTTTCACTTCAAAGTATCTACATGAATTAGTTAGTATCTGTAGAACTTGTGCTCCTTGAATCTAAGGAGCTGAATTTTTCATCAATTCTGAACAGTTCTCAGTCATAATCCTTTCATCACTTTATTTTTCAGACTATTAAGATATATGTAAATAGTTTCCTCATTACATTCTCCAGGTTTCTGAACCTTCTTTCCACATTTTAATTTTATTCTCTCTCTGCTGTATTCTAGTAACTTCCTAAGATCTGGTTTCTAATGCACTTTTCTGCTGTCCCTAACCCATCTAACATGTCCAGTGAATCTGTAATGTCACCATGCTTTTAATTTCTAGATTTGTCTGGGTTTCTGAACATCTACCTATTGCTTTTTTAGTAGCATTATATCCTTAGGGTTTTGAATCCTTTTATTTAAAGATTTTATTTTGAAGATTATTTAATAGCCGCCCTTAGAATGTCACCTAAAGTTCTTGAATCCTGCTGCCATATAATATGTGCTGGCTAATTTGCGGACCGTTTCCTCCTCTAATTTATAAATTTTATAATTTACAATTTGAGCTCGTCCTCATGAGCCATTACCTATAGGAATCCTGTGCAACCAGGGTTGAAAGCATATTGGTTCGTTGCTTCTGCTATGTACCATAAAAGTTCCAGACCCCTTAAACATATTACTTTCTCACTTTGAAGGGTTCACAGATTCCACTGGTTATATAAATTTCAATTCCATAGCCAGGCGAGCTGCTGGCCCATGAATAGAGATTTGAAACAGAGCAATCCCTTCACTTCCAGGGAGCTCAGTGAATGATAGATATTTGCTTTCTTGACATTTCCGTGCAATGATAGACAAGTTGTTTCTAATTCGCCCTTTCAGTGAGAAAGCAGTCCTTTGAGAGTCCTGGCACTTTATGTGTGAAAATCCAATACTAGACCTTGCTTCTTGCCCATGAGTGGATGTTAAAACCCAAGACCTATTACAGAAACCATCAACATCTGGTCCTATTACTCCTCTATAGTTCTAATGCTTTAGTTTTTGACCATTTGGGATTTCTCTTGCTTTCTTGCAAGATGAGCCATGTATTTAAAAGGATGTTCATTAAATTGTTAAGTCAGAAGAGGCAGTATAACACAGAAAATACTATACAGAAAAAAACCCCTGGGGTCTGGTCACAGCTTTGTCATACAGTAAATTTGTAACCTAGAACAAACAACTAGATTTTTGACCTTGTGCTTCATCTGCAAAATAGGAATACCATCTAAAGATTCCTACAAGATAACCATGAGGATCAAATGACATAATGAATCTGAAAACTCTACAAACCACAAAAGCACCCTATAAACACAGCGTATTTTGAATACTAACAGAAGTTATGATAATTTTCTTTTCTTTTGTCCAGCAAGATTCTGAAAAACCAGAATTACTCTAGTGATTCTTACAAATTCTAAGCGTGTGCGTGCGTGTGTTGTGTGTGTGAAAATGAGAGACAGAGAGAGAGAAAAAGATAGCTGGTAAAAGCTAAGGGTCTGCTTCCTATAAAGCTACGGAATTTGCATATAATTTCAGAATATTCCTAAGCTCCCTGGAAGCGGGGGTGTTAATAAATGAATCTTGCATTGAGAACCTCTGTTCTAGGTAAAGAAAGGTAAATTTAGGTGGCAGCTATAAACAACCAAGATAAAAAATATGTACATCACATTGACAGTCCCAGTGTTTAATCCTTAGAAATCTGTAAAAATCTCCAAACAAAACAACACAGTAATATGCCAGATCTCTACTTACCTATCTGGATTTATTAGAGATCGTATAGTAATAGCAGCCTTTAAACGCTGCTTGACATCTAGGTAACTAGAAGGCTCATCAAACATGAAACTATGAAAAAAAAAAAAAAAAAGCAAATATAAGTTTGAAAGACAAGACATTCTACCTTACATACTATTTTAAAGCACTGTAGTATCAAGAGCTTTTGAGTTAACCACAACACAAATCTCCAATAGTAATGAAGAGTCTACTTGTAATGGTAAAAATTTCTGTATTCTGTTCAGAAGTAGAAGGAAAAAATTACAGAAAGCAAGATTACACACCAGGTCTGGTGAGGGTCTACCAGGTTAGGCTAATTTACAAATTGGTCACTCCTCATAAAAAGTATTCTGATATAGTCTCAAGTAGTTTGGAGAGCTTTTCTCTTAAGTCAGCTGCATTTAAGCATAGTTTTTTGGAGGGTATTTCAAGAATTTATAGAATACTTTGTGGAGAAGAGTTAGCCTTCACCGGACAACAGGGCAGAAATGTGGAAAAAGCAGCAATAAATGTCTGGGAGGAGAGACACTAAATAAAGGAAGGAAACTTTCCTCTCCTCTCTTTCACATGGCATGCCACAGTGATCTACAGTGATTTAAAAGACCTCGCGTCTTGCTTCAGATATTAAAAAGCTTGCTAGCCTGGCTGGAGAGCTTAAGTCTTTTCACATAAAAACAGGGCTTAGGCCAGGCGTGGTGGCTCACGCCTGTAATCCCAGCACTTTGGGAGGCCGAGGTGGGTGGATCATTGAGGTCAGGAGATCAAGACCAACCTGGCTAACATGGTGAAACCCCGTCTCTACTAAAAATACAAAAAAAAATTAGCTGGGTGTGGTGGCGGGCGTCTGTAGTCCCAGCTACTCAGGAGGCTGAGGCAGGAGAATGGCGTGAACCCGGGAGGTGGAGCTTGTAGTGAGCCAAGATTGCGCCACTGCACTCCAGCCTGGGCAACACAGCGAGACTCCGTCTCAAAAAAAGAGAGCTTAGATAATGAATAACTGACTTTATATAAAAAGTTCCGGCACCTATCAGTTATAAACTATCTAAATAAATAAATATTTTCCCCTGTGAATATAACAGGGAAAATGAGTAGTGGATACACAACTGCTTCAACATCTTACCTCGAAATTAGGAACTTAGATACTATTTCTATTAATTTCTCTCAAAACCATTCCTCTATTAGCAGCATCACAACTGAAAACTCTACAATACGGATGAAGATAAACAAAAATTGTAAAGTAACCTACATATCAGCTTTCTGTATGCAAACGACAGCACAAGCAAATCTCTGCAACTCTCCTCCTGAAAGATCTTCAACATTTCGTTCTTTTAGGTGGGTTAAATCTACAAAGAACATAGAGGCATTGTGCTCAATGTATTTCACCTCTTCCAGGTAAAAAGTATACTGCATGTCATCATTTGAAGTTTGAATGCTATTTCAGTTGAAAATTGTTTAAATATAACAATTACTGGAGATTTTCAGTAATCCACATAAAGATGTGTACTTTCATCACTTAAGTTCAGGGCCTATTGAAATATATACACAAAATGGCCGGGCGCAGTGGCTCACGCCTGTAATCCTAGCACTTTGGGAGGCTGAGGCAGGTGGGAGTTCGAGACCAGCCTGACTGACATGGAGAAACCCGGTCTCTACTAAAAATACAAAAAATTAGCTGGGCGTGGTGGCACATGCCTGTAATCCCAGCTACTTGGGAGGCTGAGGCAGGAGTATCGCTTGAACCCGGGAGGCAGAGGTTGTGGTAAGCAGAGGTTGCATCATTGCACCCCAGCCTGGGCAACAAGAGCGAAACTCCGTCTCAAAAAATAAATAAATATATATTCACACAAACAAAAAATAAACACTTACCAAGCTGCTGACATACAATTGCCTGTGTCTTTGTTTCATCTTTTCGGTCCAAAATAGATCCCACTGTCCCCTGCCACAATATACCAAAAACAGTTACTATTTTCTTTCAATATTAAAAAGAATCACAAAGTAAAACAAGTTTATTTTGATATATCTTTTATACTTCTACTAATATCCGTTAAGTTCCCTCTATCAAAAACCGACCTTTGCAGCCTTAGGAATCTGGTCTACATATTGAGGTTTGATGATGGCTTTTAGGTCATCTTCTAGAATCTTTGTAAAGTAATTTTGTAATTCAGATCCACGGAAATAAGTCAAAATCTCCTGCCAGTCAGGAGGATCCTAAAAAAAAAAAAAAAATACAGAATCATGTGAATTTAATAATACAATGACAAAGAGGATGAATGCTACAGGAAATAGATTATATATGCAAATAGAACACTTGTGGCTTTTAACTTAAGGTTGGAGGCGAACATAATTAATAAAAGTCTCATTTCCCTATAGCAGCAAAGAAAGAAAACAGAACAGATATTATGTTATTCAAAAGCAGATTCCTAGCACCTAGGACATAGAAGGGCATCTAATAAGAGGTTAAGCTGGAAGGAATGTTTCCTGCTCATATTTTCAAAACAAGTGAAAATGTTTTCAGGTATCCAAGATATCTTTCTGGATACTTAATCAAGGATTCAGAAATGAAAAGCAAAATACACTTATGATTTATTTGAACAATTAATAGGGCGGCATTCACACTCTGGTGAAGCTCCATTTTATAATATCTACAAATAAAAATATCTAACTTAAGAACATTACACAGTGGCTCCTAAATTTCTTTATGTACTAAAGTTGGAAATTTACCATTCATGAGTCAAAAGCCTAATCAAACTATTGACTGCAACAAAAACTAATTGAGCTATTTTTACATTATTGGGACAAATTAAATAGAAACGTGTGTAATACAGCAGAATCAAGCAGAATTCTGCTTCAGATCAAGGCTTAACAACTCAGAATTTTCAGTTAAGTAACATTAACAGATTTTTAGTTCAAAAGTACAAAAGAGCTTTGTTTATAAATTTCTCAGCATTAATTCCATAAATAATTTTGAAAATAAGAATATTTTAAAAATATACATATCATCCCCCCAAAATCTCATAAAACTGACTCATGATATTAATTTTTACAAGGTGATAATACATACATCGTACTTTCCAAGGTTTGGCTTTTGTTTTCCTGCTAAAATTTTTAAAGCAGTTGACTTTCCAATACCATTAGTTCCAACTAATCCCAAAACTTCACCTGGACGAGGGATAGGCAACCTGTTACAAGTATACAAAAATAATAAAACAACTCAGATTTACACAGAAAAAGCCACATAACATCAGAATGATATATTTTAATGCACCTGCACTTCACAACCATCCATTAATAAGCTAAGAAACATATGCCAGATATTACTGGCTATTAGGAAAAAAACAGCCAAGATTAATGGCTATTAGAAAAAAGAACAGCCAAGATTAACTTACACTGTTAATTGTTAGAAATGCATCCTTAAACAACATTACTACAAGTTTTATTTATTCAGTTTTCAAAGTCCATCCTAAAGTAAATTTCTTCTTTACATATAAGGCCCAGTTTTAATGTATAACAAAATGCTTTGGTACAAAATTACACAGCAGGTGCAACCTCACAATGTCTTTCTTTTCTGGCCTGCCATTTACTTACAAGGAGAGAAGTGCCACATCAACCAGAAATATTCCACTTCCTTCTCCCTGCTGCAGTAGGCCCCTTAAAGCTGGCAGGTTGAGAAATACTTTTTTATTAGTAAAAATCTAGACTCCTAGATTCAAAGTGTTAGTGTTCAGCAGATAAAAATCCCAAACTAAGGATTTATTTGTGCCTTAATAATACATGTCCAAATTCAAAGTGATATTCTCTGTAGATCATAAGATTAATGGATAAACAAAATCAAAGGCAAGTTCCCTTAAAAGTTATTTTGGGGATAAGGGTACTAGGAACAACAGTGACTCTCAGTCCCAGTTGTATATTAGAGTCACCTGGGACTTTTTCAATATACTAAGGTCCAGACCCTATGATGTAATTAAACTGGGCTGAAACCTGGGCATTAGTAGCTTTAAAAAGTCCCATAGGTAACTGTAATGTTAGCCAGAATGAACCACAGACATATGCAGTATGATTCTGCATGATGTTATAATATTGTATTTTCCTTTAGTGACTGGTTAATAGCATTTCCCCCCAATTTCTGCACTTCTCTTAAAATCCCAAATGTATTTTACTCTTAACTTGACAGAAGAGGAATCCTGATGTGAAAATATACCTGTGAAGTTTGAAGGCATTGGCACAATATCGATGTGTGGTTTCTTTTTCCAAGTTGCTTGGTAGATTGACAATTGATAAGGCGCCAAAGGGGCATTTCTGTTATTTAAAGTAAAGAATTAATTTTTGTATTAATTTGTAGACATATACACATAACTAAAATGGATTAAAAATATTTTTATAAGCAATCTTCTAAACATGATTTCATAAAGATGTGAAATGTTGTTTCATTTCCTTCTACTATTTACTTAAAATAAAAGGTTCCTTGAACATTAGAATTATATCAATTGTCTCTCAGTATATGTGGGGAAAATTGTTCCAGGACTGCCGAGTACACCAAAAAATTGGCACATACTCAAGTCCTGCAGTCAGCCCTGGAGCACCTGAGTAAAAGAAAAAGTCAGCCCTTTCTAAAATGGTTTTGCATCCTGCAAATACTCTATTTCCAATTGGCATTTGGTTGGGGGAAAAAATACACGTGTATGTAGATCTGCACAGTTTGAACCTGTGATTTCATGGGTCAACTGTAACTTGATATTCCCTTTAGTGTTGGGTATAATCCTATACATTTAAAGAGTGCTTAATACTTATTGAAAAACCTTGTAGAACTTGAGGTTTTTTGTTTGGTTTTGTTAAAACATATTAGATGAGGGGAGGCTAAGAGGCAAGTCAACAAAAAAGTCACTGAATATATGGCTTTATATTCTTTCCAAAACAGATGTTCTCCCT
Organism: Homo sapiens; assembly: GCF_000001405.40. Classification (NCBI taxonomy): domain Eukaryota; kingdom Metazoa; phylum Chordata; class Mammalia; order Primates; family Hominidae; genus Homo; species Homo sapiens. Next base: position 145,107,384 of record NC_000004.12, on the reverse strand, counting down.
CTGTTTCCTTCAATTATTCCTGCCCTTGTATACTTCCTGTTCTACCTTGTAAAGTCGTTTGAGGTCATGGATCTTATCCTTTTTTGGGCTATTTCCATCCCACCAATAGCTAGCATATTTGCACAGACTGGGGATTAATGTCTTTCCATTATGACTTTTATCTATCTTATATGAATAAGATACTTGAATTCTCGGAGTCAATTCACATTAAAAAACAAAATAAAACACATAGGCTTATTCAAATAACATTCAACTATAAGATGACTGTCCAAGGAACAAGAACAGCAAAAACAGGAAGGTCATTTAAGAATGGTAATATGGCTAGAAAAATTTTTCGTAAGTACAGACAACTACAGAGGTACATGCAAAAATTATAACCTCATGTTATTAGAGATCTGTTCAGCAGACATGTTCAATGAGCTTAGGGGACCAATTCTAAGTTTCCGTGTTTAGAGATTCCAGGGAATTTCCATTTTATACATTATAAAAACAGATAATTACTCTTGTTTTCTAATAAAGTAATTTCCACCCTCTAACCAAAACTATTAAGTTTTTACAAATTATATTTTTCTATATTACAGTGGAGGATAGTGGAGTTACCTCCATTATCCTCTTCTCTTAAATGTACATACAATGCTTATATGCTGCAAGTGATTTAAACTCAATTCTACAAGGAAAAAAATATCCACTGTTCATATATGAGGTACATTATAATATCTTAGTGTTCAGGAATTATACATTACTTCTCCACCCTCAAAGAGGACCACCTCATTAGTATGTTTTTAGCCACTCAAGTGTATATCCAAAATTTAAAATTTAAATTAATATAATTTTCTTACAGCACAAAGAGAGAAAACAGAATAGATACTATATTGCTCAAAACCAGATTCCCAGCACCCAGGATAAAGGCAGGTATCTAGTAAGAGATTAGTAAATATTTGCTGGAAGGAATGCTTCCTGTTTATATTTTCAAAGCAAGTGAAAATGTTTCAGGTATCCATGAAATCTTTCCGGATACTTAAACAAGGATTCAGAAACCAATGTGAAATATACACACGATTTATTTGAACAATAGTGTGGTATCTGAATTCTGGTGAAGCGCCTTTTTATAATATCTACAAACAGAAAGATCTAAATTAAGTATGTTACACATTAGCTCCTAAATTTCTTTTATGAACTAAAGTTGGAAATTCACCATTCATGAGTCAAAAGCCTAATCAAACTATTCAAGGCAACAAAAACTATTAATAATTGAGCTATTTTAAGTATTATACTATTGGGAAAAATTCAATAGAAGCATGTGTAATACAGTAGAAGAATTATGTTAAATTTTAAAATTTTTGGCTGTGTGCATTTCTATTTAAAAGGTGTGAATTTAAAATTCAATACAGACTTGAAAGAAACATGTAATGTGATGGTAATGTCCTTATAAAAAGGTGAAAAAAGAGAAATTTTGGTTGGAAATGGCTTTATAAAGTTGAGTACAGCAAGAGTAACTTTTAAAAAGGGTGGTTTAATTTATTTAAAAAAGCAACAATGTCACTGATATTAGAATACCACTTTCCTAAATTTACATTCTCTATTCATTTGCTTTATACTTTGCCTCACTTAAAGTAGTTATAGCATAGTATCCAGAATTTTCAGATTTCAGTTTTAGGTTACACGTTTGATCCAGTAAATAAAATATTACTTACCTTAATACAGATACCACAACCAATACAAAGAGTTTCGGAAATCCATGCTATTTTGCTCTGGGGTGTAACCTCTATGCATAATTTTCCTGGTAAAGGAAAAGATATAATTAAGCCATTTCCTTTGATCTTCTAATTTTCCGAACACTGTTATTTAGGCAATGCTGGTTCTAAATTTCCATACAGAAGCAGATTTTCAAAAACAAAGGCCACACAAAGAAATACATTTGAGATAATGTCTTAAATCAGTGCTTTGTGGGGACAGATTTCTAATCACTTATATGAATATCCTTGTTTGGCAGCAGGGAGATGATTAATTAATATATATTTATTTTACTTAATTTACTACTGGGGAAGAAAATATGCTAGTAAAAGTATGACATATCCTGAAATATTTTTAAGCTGATTAACCTAAATTTTAAATTCATAAAACAAAATATGCCTTGAAAATGGTAAGGCAGAGCATTAAACGAATGAACTATTGTAGCTAGATCAGTAAAACTCCAAAAAGGTATGCAGTCATCTAACATACAGCTAAAATTAAACATGGTAGTAGGGATAATGGAATTTCTGAATAGCAAAGGAGACAATAACAGATGACAACTAAAGTTTCTAAGTTTCAGTAATTCTAAGAGTCAGTAATTCTATGCCTCATTCGTATATTCACAATTACTTAACATAGCCCTTAACGACTACCAATAATTTTTCAACTGAATTGTTGGAAATTTATCTAATCTTCAAAATATAGTTAAACCTTATGAATAGTCATTCTTATTAAGCTCTTTGTTCATTTTTTAAATATGAAAATACTGTCAAAGTTTACTGTAACCCTTCCCCCATTGATTATAGTAATTAATTACTATATATATAATATTAAAGTAATTATAAGATTTTGTAGATTTCAAGATCAGTAAGCTGAACTCTGCTTTGAGTTCACATCCAATACACTTTTAAATATTGATGTATTATTCTAAAATTTGGTCTTTCTTTAAAAAATATGATCCTTCAGTCACAAAGCAATAAAAGAAATTTAGAACAAACTACTTTTCTTGTCTTCACAGTTTTATGAAACTAATGGTGAACACAAAGTTTATGTTAATGTCCGTAAAGAATTATCAAACCAGTTGATTTCTTTCATGGTTTTCTTTTATACTTAAATGATCCACAGAACAGCTTACCCATTCGAACTACAGGACAACTCTTTTTGCATTCCTGTCGACATTTCTTAGGTTTACATTTGTCATGGTTGACAATAGCAATTCTCGTTAACTTGTCTGCCATAACTGGGCGAAAGAATATCCAGCTCTTCTATGAAAGAAAAATCAACAAATTTAATGCCATTAGTTAAGGGAACTAATTTGCATACATGAAAGACAGGAAAACATAAATGATCATTATATGGAGATGAAATGATTATCTGCAAAAAAAAAATATAAATTTTGACAAATGTAAAAATTGTAAAATAATCTATAATCTAGTAAGGTTGGGAAAATCAAATTTTACATATATACTTTAATCAGAAGATTTATATAAGGAAAGAAAAAAATGTCATTTACAATAGCGACAAAAAGAAAATATCTAGGAATATACTCAACAAGATATATACACAAGAAAACTTTAAAACAACACCAAATGATATAAATGACCTGAACAAATGACATGCTATCTCAGTTTTTATAATAAAGAATAGTTAATATCACAGATTTAAACCCTTCCTGAATTTATATATTTAATTCAATCTCATGAGAAAAAACAAACAAAAGAACCCCAGACATGTGGTGGTGTGCGCCTGCGGTCCCAGCTATTCCGGAGGCTGAGGTGGGAGGATTACCTGAGCCTAGGAGGTGGAGGTTACAGTGAGCTGAGATCACACTACTGCACTCCAGCCTGGATGAGAGTCAGACCCAGTCTCAAAAAAAAAAAAAAACCCCAACCAACCCAGACAAAGCAAATCTAAAGCTCTAATGGAAAAAGAATTATTAATAGCCAGGAAAACTGAAAAAGGGGAAGCAGGATGGGGGAAATCCCACAAGCTCTTCCCCCAAACTAAGCATTACTTCACGTCGTGTACATCTGACTATAATGACACTGACAGAAATGGCAAATAATCATAATAGCAATGAAATTAAAAGGAGACCAAATAACTATATGTATATACTATGCTCACTTTTAAAGCTTTTATAAGTCTTGATATTCCAATTTAATCAACTACACAGCATTAAGATCAAAGTTAACTTAAAAATCTTTCACAATATTGGGCTTAGTGGTTCAGAAATTAATTTCCTTAGAATGGTGATTAAAGTAAAAAATTCCAAAAGGTGCCTTAATACTCAAGTTTATTCCAATATGTAATGAATGAATCTGAAACCAAGATTATCCATTTAGAAAGAGATCATGTTGTCTTTTTCTTACTGTGATAATCAATCTTGATTTTATTTTATTTTTTTTAATAGACTGCTTCCCTTTGTAGACATCTCAAGTCTTTTTCACACCCATCAATATCATTAGGCTTGGATGGGGATAAGAGATCTTGCTCCTCGACGCTGTCCTAGACTATTATCTCTCCCTCCTCCCTAAAAAGTTTTGCATCTCAACTATCTAACTGCTTTAGTTAGTAGTGACCACCAGATCACTCCCTTTCATTCTTTGAAGATTTCAGCCCCTGTTAACTTTCACACACTCTTTTACAACTCCTGACATAGTTCTCGATTTCAATATGCTCACAGATGACCCTCCTGTCCTCTCATTTAACCCCTCTCCTCAAACAGCTTGTCTTCTACCTTACCACAGCCATTCATTTTTTCTGGTTACATCCTAGACCTTATCATTACCAGTAATTGCAATCCTTCTATAACCTCAACTTCAAATACTCCATTCTCCAACCACCATTCTTATCTTTTTAGTTCACCCCCTACTACACAACAATCCAACAACTCTGATTCCTCCATTCTTCAAACCTTTCATTATCTCTTGATTCTATCATATTTCCACTGTCCCTCAGCTCTTGGTGTTTTTATTTTCCTTCTCACCCAGCTAAAATACCCTAAATCACAATCTTGGTTAAATTCGACTCTTCACCTGCACACATAGAGCTGAAAATGGTAGGTGAAAAAAAAACACAAAACCTGCTGACTAGTCTCCCTTTAAATTCATCATCTCAAATGGACCCTTATGCCAACCAGCAATGACACTGTATGTATTTCCCTGGCTAAGACCATTTGTACACTAGAAGACATTCCATAAGAATGTCCCAACAATTCTCCCTTCTGTCTTTAACTTCATCAATTATTCTCTCCACTGGCTCATTCTTATCAGCATTCAGGCATTCTATTATCTGACCCCATCGTCTCCCATTGTTTTATTTTTCCTTCTTCAAGACTACTTCAAAGAGTTGCTTATACTCAATGTCTCAAATTTCTTGCTACATGCTCTCTGGAATCCATTCTAGGCTCTAGAGCCCATCATTTAATCAAAACTTTTCGAGCCATCATTGTTCTTCACATGGCTAAAACAAATGGTTATCAGACCTTAATTCACCTGACCAATCAATTGCATCTGACACAAATAAACACTTTTCCTACTAGATAAAAACCCTTTCTTAACTTGGTTTTAGGATACAACACTAATCTGGTTTTTCTACTGTTTTCCTGGTCACTCATCTTCATCTCCCAGGCTTCTAAATGCAGAGTGCTCTAAGACTTGGTCATTTTTTTCCACATATACTCATTCCCCAAGTTGTTCTATTCTGGTCTCACAGGTTTAAATTCCATTTATATACTGCAAATTTCCAAATTTCTATCTTTAGTCAGCATACCTCTCTTGAACCCTTCCTGCCCACCTAACATCTCTGGAAGGCTTAAGAGGAATCTCCCAACTAAGCTCCTGATATCCTCACCAAAATTTCAGCAGTCTTGCCCATTTTGTTAGATGGCAACTCCAGTCTTCCATTTGCTCAGGCCCAAATCCTTGAAGTCATTTTCTTTTCCACCTAATAACAGCAAATCCCACTGAAGCTATAAAACATCCAGAATCTGATCTCATGAGTTTGGTGTAAGCTATCACTATCATCTCTTACCAGCATCACTCAAATAGCTTCCTAACAGATCTCTTTGCTTTTACCCTCACCTCTTTCTACTCTAACCCTCAACAGTTCATTCTCAACACAGGAACCATAGGAAGCCTTTTAAAGAGTAAGCTAGATCATGTCACTCCTCTATTTAAAATCCTGCAATGGCTTCATTCTCAATCTGAGTAAATGCCAAAGTCCTGAAAATAATCAATGAGGCATTGATCAGCCTCTGTTAACTTTCTGATCTCATCTCCAACTACTCTAGCTCTTGTATGGCTCCAGCTACATTGGCTCTTTGTTGTTCCTAGCACATGCCAGGCATGTTCTTGCTTCAAGATCTTGGCACTTTCTGCCTGTAATGCTATTCCCCCTAGAGAGTTACATGGCTTACTCCTTTCAATCTTTACTATTTCTCAGTGAGCCTTTTGTAACTACACTACCACAATATACACTACCGAAAAATACACCCAACTGCCTCTTCATCCTTCTTTCTTGCTTTATTTTTCTCCCTAGCTCAACTATATGACATACTATATATTCCATATATATATTTTTTTTATATATATCTGGTGTATATGCACACATCTATCGTGGGTGTGTGTATGTATATTGTCTCTCTACAAACACATACACATTTTTCCCCTCCCCAAGTAGAATGTACTCCATCCATCATGAGGGTAGGAATTTTTGTTCATTCCAGTGGCTGAACCTGTGCCTAGCACACAGGAGATCAAGCATTTCTGCTAAATGAATGAGAATATGAATTTAAATATAGTAAATAATTTTCCTGTAGGTTATAACAACTTTAGAAATCTTGCAAGTTACCAATATTTTATAGTGACAGTTGTCCACTAAACTACATACTGAAAAAAAAAATCATTCAAAAGGAGACTAAATGTTCATGTAATAAGTACAGGGTTATTCCAATAAACAGGTTGACTCTATTCCTCTAAAAACTGGTCCAGGTCTTGTAAAGATTAGAAGAGGAAGAAATTAGATGGCTTGAATTGTCACAAAAAAGCTATTATTCGGGAAATGACAACTTCCTAGGAAATGAAGATTCTTCAGCAAGCTATTAAAACTGGACACCATGCATTCTAATTTAAATACTGAATGCCTTTCTACAATTACTCAGTGAAAGAGCATAATGAATTCCCCTCCAGGGGATAAATCACCACGAAATTGCTTAAACTTTATTTCTGTTAAACTACTAAAATATTTAATTTTTCAAACTATTTTAAAAACCAAAAGACTGTAAAAGACAATTTTTTAAAAAGACACAGGGATCTTGCTATGGTGTCCTGGCTGAGGGCAGTGATCACAGGACACTACAGACTGGGACTCCTGGGCTCAAGGGATCCTCTTGCTTTAGCCTCCCGAATAGCTGGGACTATAGGTGCATGTCACTACCCTGGCTTGATTTTTACAGTAGAATAAAAACATACCAGAAGTGGTTAATAAACTGATTTATATAAAAATAGTGATAAATTGTAATGCATTTAAGAAAAATGAACATGGATTCTTTGTAGAACTGTTAATTAACTGTGTGAACACTTTTAATTCAATTTCTGTATCAGTTTCAATAATTGGGGCAAGGGGATTCCCTACTTGTTTTTCAATAGAAAACCTAGGCACAGTAAAGCTTGGAGAGGAAGATTATAGTTAACAGGCTCCTGCAAACAAAGAAGGATTTGCGGATATTTCAGATTCGAAGACAAAAGTGTTCAAAATTGACACTAGAACAATGACCCTCAGTGTCATTCTTACAGCTGAGAGGAAAAAAGGAAGTGAGGAATACTTAGAAGCATTTACAGTCTAAAGCCAAAATAATTGTAACGCTGTGTAAAAGCATTTCAAAGACTGCTGTTAACTAATGATGTTTAGTATCACATGAAATAGTCTAACCCATGCTTATTGTAGTTTATTAGTCTTACAAAACACGTAGAAGTTAGGAGTGGTACACGGCTCTGATTTCAAAGAGTTTTAAGTTTAAGACATTTAGAAGAACTCTAACTTAATATTGTTTTCTCCCCCTCTCTCCCAATTGTTAGATGCTCTTCCAACAAACAAACAAACAAAAAAACTCCCTTTTTTAAAATAGGGGAGAACTAAGTTCTCAAAAAGCTCACAAACCCCAAACAGCTTTTGGTTCAAATACAGGTTCTGAGCCTTTGGTTACACTAACAAAGTATTAGTGTCAGGTGGCTGGTATACAATGAATATTCTCAGAATATGGGACAAACTACTGCAACATAAATGCCACTATCATAAATGACTAGTTAGCAGTCCTGTTGGGAAAGAGTAAAAAAATAAAACATGTTATTTGGACAGTTCTTCCTCTTATAGATTTTTACCATCAAAAAAGAGAAAATAAGCTTATGTAGTTAATGGGAGGTGGGAATTCGGCTTTGGCTGTCATTCATTCACAATACGTATTAAATGCCTACAATGTACGAAGCCCTGAAGAGATAATAAAGGTATTCTGAGTAAAGACATCAACCTTGATCTCAATGAGTATTAGATACAATAAAAGGAAAAACGGGTAAGGGGAGAAAGTGCCTAGTGCTACAAAAGCGTACCAAAAAAACTATAGGATTTCTACTGGGAAACTACTTGGGACAACCCCAGTCATAGCTGCGTACACGCTGTTCTGAGAAAAGCAGAGTGACATGTGGGCATCATTTCTATAAAGCCTGGGAGTGGACAGCGAGTATTCGACTTCATGGCGGCAAGATGCCATGACTCATTCCACTCAACAAAACGTGGAAGCCACGACTTCCCACAACCAAATATGCACATGTGACAATATATCCATTTTGGGTGCTGGAGGAGTGTGGGGGTACTAGAGAGTGCTGTAAGTTCTAAAGGTGCCTTCCTCTCCAGCAGGTTTAGCTTCAGGGCGGGAGTGGGGTAAAGGGGGAGTGGAGACTACGGCATCTAGGTCCATTCTCGAAGTCCCTCGCGGGTGTGGCAGGCAACAGCGGCGACAGCCGGGTCGGCTGGAGGGGAAGACCGAGGCGCCCCCAAGCTCTCGGCGTCGCCCGCGCTCCATCAGTTCCAGCTGTCCCGCAGGAACCGCTGCCACGCGCTGCTGCTGTCTCCGCCACCTAAGGCCTAACCAAAGGCTCTCGGAGAACGTCCCTACATTCTTTCCAACCTGGCAGATGGCAGCTAACGGCCAAACCTCTCCGGGCTATTCACGTACCTGGAGAAAACGATCCCCTTGCGGAGGGGAGCACAGAGGCCAAATCAGCTCTTGCCTTCACTTTTCAGCCACACAGCGTGTTCTCACGGCCACCGGCCAAAATGGCGGTGCCCAGCCGCCGCACGCGCAAGCCATAGGACGTAGTGCGCGCGCGCGACATAGAGCGTGAGGCGGAACCCTGGAGGTAGGTAGGGAGATATGACGTCATTGAGCTGCGACCCTTGTTCAACGCCGTTGGCGAAGCCAGCTGCTGGAGGTGCCGAGAATCTGAGTTTCGGCAAGCAGCCAGGTCTGGAAACTGTGAGTGTGTGGGCTTTTCTCCGACGTCGAGCGTGGTCCTAGCGTAAACAGATGCATTCGCCTCTCCGGTTTCAATCTTTTTTTACGTTTGCGCTTTCCTCAAGGCCGGTGGGTCAGGAGTGGAGCCTTAGTCATTCTAACGCTGGAGGTGTCAGTAGGACCAACAGAGTCTGGTGCCGACACGGCTTACTGTTGCGCGCTCTTCTAGGCCTCAACTTCCTCTCAACTGTGTGGTCAGTTCAGGGCCGGGAATCCAATCTTTTCCGAGCTCCATATTTTATCCACTTGGTGGCGTCCAGTCCCAAGTCCGGCAGTTGAATTCTGCCCTAAAGATGGGCTTTATTTCTATCTTTTTTTAGGTAACAGGACATTCAGTTAGTAATGATGGTTGCAGGTTGAATAGTCTCGCCCTAGATCTCACCTAACTTGCAGGCAAGTGACAACTAGTTCATAACTGAACCTATTCATCTGTTTATTCATTCAGTAAATTACTTATTGAGCGTTTAAGCCTCAGGCCTTGCCAAAGTTTACAGTCCGTTGTGTCTGCCGTTATTTAGTAAGTATCAAGTGCTTGTGTGCCGATTAAAGAACAACTTCGGATACAATGGGAGGTGTCAAGGAAACGGTATGCAGAACTATTGCACCTATTTTGAATAGCATATATAACAATGTTCAGTAGCAGTAACTGCGCTACCAAAGCAGTTTTACATATTGTTCACGATCCAGTATTGAAGTGTTTTTTCACATATGAATAGACTTAGTAAAATTAACAAAAGATGTGAAAGATGAGGTCAACCTTTTTAGAATGGGCCAGTTATTCACTTCAAAATCTTGAAGCCATTTTCCTGACCTTATCTTCTATGGTAAGAGCATATGTAAGTGAACTTTTAACATTTTTTTCTTATTTTTGTGCTTTTTGGGACAGTGTCTTGCTCTGTTACGCAGGCTGGAGTGCAGTAGCACGATCTCGGCTCACTGCAACCTCCGCCTCCCAGTTCAGGTGATCCTCCTGTCTCAGCCCCCCTGGGACTACAGGTGTGTGCCGCCACACCAGGCTGATTTTTTGGAATTTTTTTAGAGACAGGGTTTCACCATATTCCAGGCTGGTCTCGAACTCCTGGGCTCAAGCAATCCACCTGCCTTGGCCTCCCAAACTGCTGGGATTACAGGTGTGAGCCACCGGGCTGGGTCTTAAATAAAACTTTTGACAGCTAGAGGGCAGGTATGACTGTTCTCTGCATCACTCAATGAATATTTAAAATGAGGATCTTAGTGGGGTGATGGGATCACACCTGTAATCCCAGCTACTTGGGAGGCTGAGGTGGGAGGATCGCTTGAAGCAAGGTGTTCAAGACCAGCCTGGGTAACATAGCTAGATCCTGTCTCTAAAAAAAAAGGAATTAAGTAAATAAAATGAGGATCAATATTTATATATTCCTAGAATAAAAGTATTTCAGTCTGACTTTTCTAGGGCTAAAAGTCATTTGAATTTTCAGGCACAGAATTATAGAACTGCATAGCATTGTAGAAGTAAAAATCATCAAGTGAACCTCTTTAACAGGAGAGGAAATAAAGCCCAGACCTACTCAAAGTCTAGGCTGATTAAAGGAGATACTGAAGCCAAAACTTTGATTCTGTGCTCTTTTGACTACTATAGCTCACTGCTTTGCATATCTGGTCATATGAAACAAAACCTGAATTCCTAAGATTTTTATTTATTTAAAAATAGAGATGGGGTCTTGCCATGTTGTCCAGGCTGGTCTTGAACTCCTGGGCTCACATGATCCTCCTGTCTCAGCCTCCCAAAGTGTTGGGATTACAGGTGTGAGCCACCATGCCCAGCCCCTAAGATTTAAATTACAGTGATTTAATTATATTAACTGCATTCTTCAGAATAAATGATTAATGTCAGGGTATATGAGTTCCATTAAATTTTTCTTGGTAAAAAACTTTTGTAGAAAGATGCCCAGTTCCTGATACAATGTGTGCATTCTTGTTTTCTACATAGAATATTTTAAAAATGACTACACCAAACAAGACACCTCCTGGTGCTGACCCCAAGCAGTTGGAAAGGACTGGAACAGTACGGGAAATTGGGTCACAAGCTGTTTGGTCACTCTCATCTTGCAAACCAGGTAAAAACTAACAAACAAAAAAGCTGTTGGAAATAGTCACTTGCAGTTTCCTTGTACAGGCATCTCCCCTTATCCCAGGGGATACATTCCAGGACTCCCAGTGGATGCCTAAAACCATGGATAGTACTGAACCCTTTCTATATTAATACTATGTTTTTTCCTATACATAAATACCTGTGATAAAGTGTAATTTATAAATTAGGCACAGTAAGAGATTAACAATAATTAATAATAAAATAGAACAATTATAACAATAGAAGTAATAAAGTAATAAAAGTTTTGTGAAAGTGGTCTCTCTCGCTCTCAAAATATTATATTGTACCCTTCCTCCTGCGATGATGTGAGAGATAAAATGTCTATGTGATGAGAGCGAGTGAGGTGAAGAATGTAGGTGTTGTGATGTAGTGTTAGGCTACTATTAACCTTCTGACAATACTTCAGAAGGAGGAGCATCTGCTTCTGGTGATTCTGGATCATCAAGCCACGATGATGTTGATGATTGGATATCAGGAGCAGATGATGTTGATGGCTAACGGTCAGGTAGTATACACAGTGTGGATATGCTGGACAAAGTGGTGGATGTGCTGGACAAAGTGGTGGATGTGCTGGACAAAGTGATGATTTATGTCTTGGGTGGGATGGAGCAGGATGGTGAGAAATTTCTTCACACTACTCAGACAGTACACAGTTTAAAACTTACCAATTGTTTGTTTCTGGAATTTCCCTTTTAATATTTTGAACCATGATTGACCAAGGGTAACTGAAACTGCGGAGATGAAACTGCAGATAAAGATACTACTGTACACTGGTCTGATTTTAATATTCCTTTTGTTTAGATGCTTTATTTTAATTCTAATGCACTGAATTTTTTTTTATCATATATCTCTGTCCAATTTCTTTACTATTCCCTAGTTAGATTTAATTACATATGTCATAAGGTCTTCTCTTTTCCTCCTCTATCTCTACTATGATTCAGTTGTTATTCATTTATTTTTTTTGGCCGTTTCTCTCAATTGGATAAATGAGTGATAACATACGCCAAAATACTTTCCTTTTACTCTTTGTTGGGATAGAATTCTTGGGTGGCAGTCCTTTTCTCTCAAAAATTTATGAATGCTCTTTCACTATCTTCTTTTGCCATGTTGTGGATATAAAGGCCTATGCCTACCTCTCTTTTTTTTTTTTCCTAAGTAACTTGTTTTTTTCTGGAAGCATCTAAGGTTTTTCTCTTTATTCTTGAGTTCATGGCATTTGCCAGATATCTTTTCTCACCCTTGTAACCCATAATTTTATAGGCAGTTTTCACCTGCAGACTCAAGCTTGGAGAAATTTCTTTAGCTTGAGGGACTTTATAATGTTATTAGTTTAGTAGTCATCTTTCTTTCAGAAACTTTTATTATTTGCACATTATGACTCCTGTATCCATCCTCTCAACCAAGCCTCTTCTGTTTCCCCTCAAGATTCCCTTCTCTGTCTTTCTATGAGCACTTTCTTGAGGTATAATTTACATACTATAAAACTTACCCTTTTTAGGTGTACAGTTCTGTGAATTTTACAGACATGTACAGTCATATAAGCAGCATTATAATCGAATATATAACATTGCCATCATCCCACAAAGTTCCCTCATGTCTCTTTATGGTCAGTCTTCTGGGCCTTTCCAAGCCCCTGACAGCTCAGTTTTGGGTCCCTTTGGTTTCGCCTTTCCCAGAATGCCGATATAAATACTGTATGTAGCTTATTGGGTCTAGTGTCTTTCATTTAGCATAATTCACTTGTGGGTTTTGCTGGGGCACATATCTGTAGTTTATTCCTTTTTATTGTTGATTACTGTTCCACAATATGGGTGTACCAGTTTGTTTATCCATTCACCAGATTAGTAGTAGCTAGCTTTCAAAATGGTCCCCAGTTATCCTTGCCTTCTGGTATTCATGCCCTTCTGTGGACCGCTTCCAAATTGTGTCAGGATTGGTTTCTGGGACCAGTAGAATAAGGCAAAACTGATGGTATATGACTTTTGAGACTAGGTTGTAAAAGACATTGTGTCCATTATTTCTTCAATTATTTCTTTTGCCCTATTGCTTCTCTATTATCTTTCTAAGAATCTGGGAATCCAATTATACATATGCTAGACCATTTGTTATTATCCCACAGCTTTTGGGTACTCTATTTTTTTTCACTTTTTTTGGAGTTGTGTTTCAATTCTGGTATTTTTCATTGGCCTGTCTTCAAATCTGCTGCATTCATCTTTGGCTTTATTGAATATACTGATAATTCTGCCTAAGAAATTTTTCATCTGTGATATTATATTTTTTATTTGTAGCTCTTCCATTTGACTCGTAGAATTTTCATCTCTATTGAAATTCCTGTCTGTTAACACATTTCATCTACCTTTCTAGGTTTTTGTTTTTTTTTTTTAACATCTTACTCATAGTTATAGTTATTTAAGATTCCTGTCTGGTAGTTCCAACAACTGGGTCATCTCTGGGTCTGTTTCTGTTTATGATAATTCTGTTTTTCTTTTTGTTTGTCTTTTTTTTTTATTGAGTGCCAAATATGTGCAGATTAGTAGATACTGAGATAAATAGTTTTTACACCTTGAAATGGGTGCCTTTTTTCTATCATTTGTCCTTTATTGTGGGATTTGCATTAGTTAGGAATTGAGCTGAGTTTGAGTTTTGTTATTGCTATGGTTACCTTCAGTGTCTCACAGGCTTCAAATTCCTCTAAAGATGCCCTGTGCTTACTGTGAGAACATTGTGCCAGAGACATTTTCTTATTTTTCTATATAATAGTTCCACTCCAGTTTTCCTGTGCTTTGGCGCACACTTGTGCTACAGAGGGTGCCTCTTGCCATGCTCTTGCCCTACCTCCAGCTGTAGAATACTGTGTTTCATTACTCAGTTCAGGGTATGAGAGGCAGGTTAGTTCTCTGTTTTCCTAGTGCAGCTACACTCTTAGGTAGGCTGTATGTGCCTGGCCTCAGCATTTTGGCCCCTGCTGTTCATGACAGCCTTGTATCTGTGGCTGGTCTTTTGTGGTAAAGAGTTTTCTGCCTCACTCTGAGAAAGGACTGTTGTTTGCCCCTCTCTCAGGTATAGAGAGTTTTTTCTTTTACTCATCTTTCAGCAAGGATGGATTGTATTTGTGTCCTGGGGTCAACAGGGTTGATTCTCCTCCTACAGTAGCTTAAGTCCTTTCCTCTATGGGAGAGAAGGGTTTGGAAGGAGGGTAGAACGTTTTGCTTTCCTTCACTGGTGGTCAGTCCCCTCCTCTGTATCTGTAGCACTGACTTAGGCTGTTTAGTCTCTTCCCCTCTCCCAGTCTTTATGTGTAAAGTGAGGGCCCTTGCAAAAGAGTCTGAGAGTCAGTGTGAATTCACCTTGTGTTTTGGGCTCTCAGTGTTGCTGTACTATTATGCTAGCCTGCATTTGGTCTTTGTCAAATTATTAAAGTTATACTTGGTTTCTTCTTATGTATTTATTTGGTCTTGTTCCTTCCTCCTATGCTCTACTACAGTTGGGACAATCTGTAATCTTTTTTTCTCCTGGGAATGGGGGCTGCCCCATTCCTGGATTTCAGGCTGTCTGGTAGGAGTTTGTAGTTTATCCAGCTTTTTCTGTTGTTTGGATGGAGGTGATTTTTTTTAATTTAAATTTTAAGTTTAAGTTCTGGGGTACATGTGTAGGATGTGCAGGTTTGTGACATAGGTAAATGTGTCCCATGGTGATTTGCTGCACCTATCAACTTATCACATAAGTATTAAGCCCAGCATGCATTAGCTATTTTTCCTAATGCTCTCCCTCCCCCTACCCCATCCTGACAGGCCCTAGTGTGTGATGTTCCCCTCCCTGTGTCCATTTGTTGTCATTGTTTAGCTCCTATTTATAAGCGAGAACATGTGGTGTTTGGTTTTCTGTTCCTGTGTTAGTTTGCTGAGGATGATGGCTTCCAGCTCCTGAAAGGGAGAGGCAGGGTAGTTCTCTGTTTTCCTAGTGCAGCAGCAGTCTTAGGTAGGCTGCATGTGCCTGGCCTCAGCATTTTGGCCCCTCCTATTCAAGATAGCCTTGTATCTGTGGCTGGTCTTTTGTGGTCTTTTGTCCAAGTCCCTGCAAAGGACATTATCTCATTCCTTTTTATGGCTGGATAGTACTCCACGTGTTTACAGTGTTGGTGGAAATGTAAATTAGTTCAACCATTGTGGAAGACAGTGTGGCGAGTCCTCAAAGATGTAGAACCAGAAATACCATTTGACTCAGCAATCCCATCACTGGGTATATACCCAAAAGAATATAAATTATTATTTTACAAAGATACATGCACATGTATGTTCATTGCAGCACTATTCATAATAGCAAAGATGTGGAATCAACCCAAACGCCCATCAGTGATAGATTGAATAAAGAAAATGTACATATACACTATGGAATACTGTAGCGGTGATTTCCCCCTCCCCCCGTTTTTTAAAAGCTTTTTCAGCTTTCTTTTGGGTTCTTTGGAATTCCTTAATATCCATTATTGTATCAAATATTCCTGTAAATATGATTAAATTGAACATCTTTCACTGTTTGATCTATTAGTATGACTAGACTGGTGCCATATTGTGTCAGTAATGAGATACAAATCAGTGCTAGTTGAACTCCTTTGGTAAAGTTTACCTTCCTTGGTAAACTAGCACTGAATCGTACCTCATTACTATCACAATATTGCACCAGTCACTGGTTTGAAGAGAGCAACACATGTCACCAGTTTCCTGAAAATGCCCCACTGCTCTGACATCTTGGAGGTGCAGAAGAGATCAATAGTTACTGCTACTAGAGGAGTGGCAGGATCACTTAAAAATGTGTTGAGTATGAAATTCATGAAGTTCAGTAGTGCAATGTCATATGTCTTACTTCATGTGATTTTGAGCTTTGAGTCTATCAGTGAAATATCATTATATGATTAGCATTTTACATATTAAGAATGACTACTCTTTATAAACAGGAAACTGCATGAGAAAGTGATTGCTCGATCTTTGCTTCTCTAGGGTCAGATATTTTTCAGTTTAAGTCAGCAGATAGTTGCTGAGATTTGTAACTCAAACTTGTTAGAGATTGAAAGACAAAAAAGACACAATCTTTACTGTCAAGGACTTCACAATTTAGTGGAGGAAGTATAGCTTTAAACTATTACTACATAATGTAATAATTAATAACTTTTATTTAGTGCTTACTAAGTGATAGATGCTGTTCTAAGAACTTTACATGCATAAAATAACCAGTTATCTCAGTAAGGTTTTCAAAAGTTATATATGAAGTTGTACTATTTCTTTTACCATTTTCCAAATGAGGAAACTAGTACAGAAAGATTAAGTAATTTGACAAAGATCACATGATAAGCAGGAAATTCTGGAATTCAAGACAGACTCCATTACACAATAGTGCTTTCCACTAAATATGGGCTCAGTGTAGAACTAGCCCAAAGAAGAAAGTGATTTACTTTGCTTGAAACGATCATGGAAGTCTTCATGGAGATGATGCTTATTCTGTATGATGAAGCAAGAATAAGATTTCACTAAGGACATAAAAGCAAGGGAAATGGGACAGTTAGCCTTCCATATCTGTAGGTTCTAATTTCATGGATTCAACTAACTGAGGGTTGAAAATAGTTGGAAAAAACCCACAAAAAATAACAATACAACAACAAAAATAACACAAATAGAAAAACAACACTGTACAACTTTTTACATATTTACATTATATTAGGTATTATAAGTAATCTAGAGATGATTTGAAGTATACAAGAGGAGCCATTTTAAATAAGGGACTTGTGCATCAGTGGATTTCGTTAACCACAGAGGTCCTGGTACCAATCCTCGTTGGATGCCAAGAAATGATAATATGTGCAGAGGTATACAACTTAAACAAAACATGGCTTAGTCAATTAATTTCATGTAGTAAATGAGACTAGAAATAGGGAAATGGCGTATGTGAAGCTGTATAGTTAGGTAGAAGCCTGATTATAGAAGACTTTATTAAACAATTCATACTTTACTGTATAGATAATATGAGCAGTTGAAAAGGTAAGTAACAGAGTAAAACAATCAGTGTTTGTTCATATTTGAGAAGTGTGGAGGATGGATTGAAGTGAGGCAAGATTAGAAATAAAAAGGAAATCAGGAGACGCGATAAATCAGATAGGAAGTGATATAAAGGAGAATTTTAAGAAATTTTCAAAATGTTAATGTCAGTCTTTGGGAGATACAGATTTACTTGCCTGCTACAGGATGGTAGGTGGCACATGGCTTTGCAAAAATCTTTTTGTATCTTTGAAATAATGGTTCAATATTTCATTCAGATTAAAGTTGGAATGTGTTTAGTAGATTCAGCTTAGTTGAACACACACCACAAAACAATCTTACAATTCAGCACAATTGTTAGTCTCTACCTAAGAGACTGGAAAAACAAAAGAACAAATTTGTGTTATGACTGCTACCGTATAATAGGGTCTTTTAAAATAATTTAATCATTTCATAAGCACCAAATTAATCCAATGTTGAAAAACAAATTTAGGGGAAAAATAAGTACATCTGCTGTGCTTAACTCTATATTTGATACAAAGAAGGGATTCAGTATGGCTGTATTTTGTGAACATCTTACAGGGCTTATATGCTATTTGTTCCCTGTTTTTTTTTGAAGACATTGAGTTAATTCTTAGAAGGTTAATGGGATGTTGTAAATTCTGTTTTTCTTAAAATAAAAATCACTAAATTTTTATTGAAGTTCATGCTATAACTGACAATTATGGCCTTTGAGTTAAAGGATTTCTGAGTTGAATAGTGATATTTGCTTTGCAGAAAATAAGACAGCAATATAATAGAAAGTAACTTTAAGTGGGAGGCTACATTAGTTTGTGGGATTATGGAAGGCCTCTTTTATAAGTGAAATTTGCACAGAGACATGAATGTTAAGAAGAATTCATTGTGCAAAGATTTCAGAGAAGAACTTTCTTGACACCAGGAAGTTAGTTCAAAGGCTCTAAGTTAGTTGATTTGGCATTTTAGAGGTTCAGAAAGAAGGCTATAGGGGCTGGAGAGCAGTGAGTAAGGAGGAGAAATGGTAGAGTGGATTGGAAATGTAATTAGACATGGTGGGACAGATTATATGAACTCTTGTAGGCCCTGAAAAAGAGTATTGATTTTAAGTACAAAGGGAAACCACTGGAGGTGTTAAGCAGGAGAGGAAGATGATCTGATACAGAATTTTTAAAAGATGACTGTGTCCACTGTGGATAATGGTTGATAGTGGCATAATGGTGAACACCAATGGAGGAAATGATGTTATAGTAATTTATGTTAGAGATGATGTTGATTTGGACTAGGATTAAGAACTGTTGATATGGAAAGGAATGATGGCTTTGGGATATATTTTTAGAGGTGGAATAATTACGATTCACAGGAGGAAACCTTCAGAGTGACCTTTCTGGCAGAACAACTCATACTGTTTCCTGAGTTGAGAAAGAAGGAGGGAGTGGAGGGAGTAAATAGATTTTGGGTCAAAAAATAAATAATTTAATTTATATATGTTAATTTTGCAATGCCTATTTTTCTAGTTGAAATGTTTAGTAAGCAATTGACTGTAGAGGCTGGGAGCTCTGCTTGAAGTTCTGGGTTGGAGATACAAATTTGAAGGTCATCAGTGTGCCAATGATATTCTAAGGGAACTGGACTAACTCATCTAGGGAGAGAATTTAGAGAAAAGAATAAAGCTTTGGGACACTTGAAGATGAAGAGATCTGGCAGAATAGTGGAAGAGGTGTCAACAAAGGATACTAAGAAGTGGCTAGTGAACTAGGAGGAAAACCAAGAGAGTGAGAAATCATGGATAGAAGTCAAGAGGAAACAAGTGTTTCAGGAAGTTAGTTAATTCTTCATTTCTCTTTTATTTTTATTCTTTGAGGTGGAGTCTCGCTCTGTTGCCCAAGCTGGAGTGCAGTGGTGCGATCTCAGCTCACTGCAACCTCCACCTCCCGGGTTCAAGTGATTCTCCTGCCTTAGCCTCCCAGGTAGCTAAGATTATAGGTGCGCACCACCACACTCAGCTAATTTTTTTTATTTTTAGTTTAGACAGGGTTTCACCATGTTGGCCAGGCTGATCTCAAACTCTTGACCTCAAGTGATCCGCCCACCTCAGCCTCCCAAAATGCTGGGATTATAGGCATGAGTCATTGCGCCTGGCCTCATCTCTTTATTGTTGTACTAATACTTCATATTATAATCTATTTGCTTAAATCTATCAGTGCTGTCCATTAGAACTTAGTGCACCATGCAGTGAGGTAACTACTAGCTACATGAAACTATTGAACATTTGAAATGTTACTACTGTTACTGAGGAACTAAATTTTTAATTTTACTTCGTTTAAATGTATATAGCCACAGTGTAGGTCTAGTGCATGATATGGATGAACTTCTCTACAGAGACCATTTGTATCTATCTTTAGGTCTTCATAGTTAAGACATTTGCCTCAGTTAAAATAGCCCCCTAGCAGAGCCTAAGGAGGTTGAGGCTGCAGTGAGCTGTGATCGTACCACTGTACTCCAGCCAGGGCAACAGAATGAGACCCTGTCTCAAAAAAAAAGAAAAAAACAGCCCCTTAGCAAATGTGAAAGTAGTTGTGTTAATAGATATGCTTGAAAGGAAAATGACTGTTTTATTCATAAAGGCAGTCTAAGCTGGGCTGCTCAAATATGTCTCTAGTGGTGTTGTGTTAGTGCTCTTGCTCCACTAATGCTGCTTAACGAACAACCCTAGTCTCTCAGTGGCATGATCAGCCAAATTTACTTTGTGCTTTGGTGATGGCTCGGCTTTAGGCTGTGAGTCAGGTTCAAGTCTGCTCCATTTGTCCAGGCATATTCTCTTAGTGGAGTGCAGAGCATTCAGAAGACCAAGCCAGACTTTGCAAGCACATTTACCGCCTCTGCTTGTGTCACAGTGTATTGACTGAAGTAAGTCATGATTTAGCCCCGTTATTGACTGGAGTGCAGAATCGTATCCCTCCCATGGAGAGTGGGGAGAGAAGCATGAATATTTACCAAACAATAACAATAACCATAGATGAATACTGATTTTCTTTTCTTTAGGGCAGTTGCTCTCACCAGGGGATGCTTTTACCCTCCAGGGTACAAAGTCTGGAGATATTTTTGATTGTTGTGATTACTGGGGACATGAGGGTGGGGGGAGTTGGGGAGTTGGGGGAGTGTTTCTATTGGCATCTAGTGGGTAGAGCCCAGGGATACAGCTAAATACCTTTCAATGCACTGGACATCCCCTGTACTGAACAAAGAATTATTCAGTCCAAAATATCAGTACTGCCATGATTGAGAAACCTTGCCTTAGAGGAGTAATTCTAACATTTTAGCATGCATCAGAATCACCTAGAGGATTTATCACAACATAAACTCTCAAAAGGGCTGAGCTCTCAAAGTTTCTGATACATGTCTAGAATTCCTAACAAGTTCCCAGGTGGTAATGATGCTGCTGGTTCAGGAACGACACTGTACGAACCACTGCATTAGAGAACCAGTACATCATATAATAACTGCATTGGAGAACCAGTACCTCTTATAAAAGTTTTTTTCTGTGTAATATTGTTATTTGTGTGGATTTTCTGGATACCTGTTAAAGCAGTTATCATAGATACGTCTTTGTTTTAGTTCTTTTGTTTAAATTAAAACAATTCAGGGCCGGACACGGTGGCTCATGCCAGTAATCTAAGCACTTTGGGAGACTGAGGCCAGTGGATCACTTGAGGTCAGGAGTTTGAGACCAATCTGGCCGACATGGTGAAACCCTATCTCCACTAAAAATACAAAAATTAGCTGGGCGTGTTGGCAGGCGCCTGTAATCCCAGCTACTCTGGGGGAGGCTGAGGCAAGTCTTCACTCTTACGTCCTTCATATTTTAGACTTTTATTTTTTGAAGCTCTGCCCCCTGCAAAGGTGAGCTTCAGCCACCTGCAACAGTCACTTCTGGGAATTGCTTGAACCCAGGAGGTGGAGGTTGCAGTGAGCTGAAATCGCGCCACTGCACTGCAGCCTGGGCGGCAAAGTGAGACTCCATCTTAAAAAAAAAAAAAAAGAAAAAAAATTCAAATACAATACTGAGTGGGAAGCTTTGGAAAAGAGGTTGAGACGGGATTGGCACATAAGGAGATGTTTGTAAGAGGTTCCGTTTGTAAGGCATATTGAAGAAGCAAAAGTTGGTAATCATACTTAGTATTTCAGACATAAAGATTTAGACTAATCAGTACTTGAAGATATTAGACCTGCTTAGTTGTACTATGATACTTTCTAAGCAATAAATTAGAGACAAATTTTAAATGATCAGTTTTGAATTATAGGACATTTCTTATTCTGAATAAATTATTCAGATTTGTGTTTAATTTTTTTTTTGCATTTTAAGAACAAATACTATTTTGTTCTTTGAACCTCTTTGAGCACATACATAATAAAGTTGTGAAATGGAGGAGAAAAAAAACCTAGCTGAGGTAGCCAAAATAAAATAACTGAAAAAAAAAACCTTTTAATCAATAGAACATTAAACTGTGGAGCTTTTACGGAAGAATCGTGATTTAGTTATCCTTTACTAGGGAACTCAAAAACTAGTACTAAAAAGAAAAAGAGAGTTAAGACCTATAACTCTTTATATTGGAGGTAAAACAGTTATTTTTATTTTTATTTTTATTTTTTTGTCCGTTTCTCGCACTGTTGCCCAGGCTAGAGTGCAGTGGTACAGTCATGGCTTACTACAGCCTCGAACTCCAGGACTCAAGTGATCCCCCTGCCTCAGCCACATGAGTGCCATCACGCCTGGCTAAGTTTTTTTATTTTTTGTATAGACAGTGTCTCACTATGTTGCACAGGCTGGTAAAACAGCTTTTTATCTTGTAACTTGCATTACCTAATATTCTGGATTAGCTTTAGCAATATTGTGTAAAGAACGAAGCATGATTTGAAGCATGACTGTCCAATAGAATATGTGACGTGAAATATATATACAAGTTTCATGGGGAATTTTATAGTAGCTACGTTTAAAAGGGCTAAAAATAGGTGAAATTAATTGTAATAATATTTTTAAATCTAGTATAACTGGACTACTATTACTAATGACATATTTTACATTTTGTCCTAATCTTCAAACCAGTGTGTATTTTAACACTTACAGCACATCTCAATTTGGACTTGCTATATTTCAAGTAGCCACATGTGGCTAGTGGCTACCGTATTGGACAGTGCAGATTTAAGAGTTACGGAAGAAGTAATAGCCCAATTTTTACATTTTATCGACATATATGGCCCAGGACAGCTTTGAATGCAGACCAAATTAGTAAACTTTTTTGAAACATTATGAATTTTTTTTTTTTTAGCTCATCAACTATTGTTAATGTTAGTGTATTTTATGTGTGGCCCAAGACAGTTCTTCTTCCAGTGTGGCCCAGGGAAGCCAAAAGATTAGACACCCCTGGTCTGTGTGATCTGGCTCCTTTGATATGTCTGGCTTATTTCCTGCTTCACACCAATGTATTGCCTTAGCTCTCAAAGGACCCACTGTTGTTTTCCATGTATGCCATTTTTCTTGATTCATGACATTATATGCTTATCTCTTTGCTGAATGCCCCTGAATCTTACCATTCTACCTCTTTATCTAGCTAACTAGTAATTTGAAATTCAATGCAAAACTCATTTTCTCTGGATAAACTTCTTTTATCCACTAGTATGCACAATAAAGGCAGCAGATGCAAATTTAAGATACAAATCCATTCATGTTTGGATTACGTGGAACAGACATAGTGTTAATATCCATAATAGTGACTGAATGTGGTGGCACATGCCTGTGGTTCCAGCTACCTAGATGACTGAGGTGGGAGGATTGCATAAACCCAGCAGGTCATGGCTGCAGTGAGCTTTGATGGTGCTACTGCATTCCAGCCTGTGTGTCAGAGCAAGACCCTGTCTCAAAAAGAAAAAAAAAAAAGATCTGTAATAGTAAAAGTGTTATGAATAATCAAAAGACCTAAGTTTATTGAAAATATAGGAGGATATGAATAAGCATGAAAATATAAATATTAATAAATGTGAAATACAATTTTTTTAATCTATCAGGTGAGTAAATATTTAAAAGATTAACTGCATTTTTGCCTGGGTGCAGAGCAGTGCTATCCAACAGAAATGTAACACAAACCACATTTGTAATTTAAAATTATCTAGCAACAACGTTAAAAAAATTTTATAAAAGTGCAATTATTCTATTTTTCTCAGTATGTTCAAAATATCCCTTCAACATATAATCAATATAAAAACATTAGATATATATTTAAAGTTTTTGTCATACAAAGTCATCAAAATCTGGTATATTAATTTCAGAACATACCAACTTTTACTAGCCATTGAGAGGGAATAGGTATTCTTTTACATTTTTGGTGAGGAAATGTTTTAGAGGACAATTTGGCAATATTTATCAAATTAAAGATTCAAATGACCCAGGATTCTATTCCTAGAAATCTATTCTCTAGAAATAACATATATTTAAAGATTGTAGACAGCTAGGTGTTTATTGCAGTATTGTTTGTAATAGCAAAACATTGGAAACAACCTAAATGTTCTGCAGAGGTGTGGTGAGATAATTATGATATTTCCAGACAGTGGTAGAATATACAACCTTAAAAAATATGGAAGCTGTTTATGTTGTTATATGAGCTAATAAATATTAGATTATTTAACATATATAAAATGTTTAGAATGCGCCTGGCACATAGTTAATGTGATATCAGTGTTTGTTATTGTTATTATTGTTGTTAATTTATTGATATGGAATAAATATTCGTATGGTAAAAAACTCCAGATATGTTAAGTAAAATTAAAAAACACCAACATGCAGAGCTATTTACTGTATGCTATCATTTGTTTAAAGAAAAGGGAATAGAAAGAATACATATATGACTGCTTGTATATGCATATAGTATCTGTGAAAGGGCATGCAATAAACTGAAAACATTAACTATATTTGGAGAGAAGAATGAGATGGTAGATAGTGACTTTTCACTGTGTCTTGTTCCTTTTGGATTTGTTCCATAATGAATATATTACTTAGTGTAAAACTGAAATGTAAGTTAAACTTATTTCTCTTATTAAAAAGTCTGCATTTTACCATTAAATCAGATTCATTTCTAAAATTAGTATGAATTATTGTGGTTTTAATCAGGAAAAAACACAGGATTGTACAACTTCATTTATGTAGAATGGATGGAGAACATGGGATTCTGGGTAAATTTAATTTTGATTAATCAGAATTTTAATCAGAAGCATTTGGCTTCAGAATATATATGCCTTTTGAAAATATTTTAAGTCATCTTTTTTCTTGTCTCAGTAAGCATGGCATATTGAACTTATTAGAATGTGTTTATTTTTGAGGATTTTGTGCTTAGTCATTTTTACTATCAGCTTGCAAAAAGCACAAGAAACTGAGTTTAAATACATACGTTCTTTAAAATGTATCCGGCTGGGCGTGGTGGCTCACGCCTGTAATCCCAGCACTTTGGGAAGCTGAGGCGGCTGGATCACTTGAAGTTGGGAGTTCGAGACCGGCCTGACCCACATGGAGAAACGCCTTCTCTACTAAAAATATGAAATTAGTCTGGCGTGGTGGCGTGTGCCTGTAATCCCAGCTACTTGGGAGGCTGAGGCAGGAGAATCGCTTGAATCCGGGAGGCGGAGGTTGCAATGAGCCGAGATTGTGCCATTGCACTCCAGCTTGGGCCACGAGAGTGAAACTCTGTCTCAAAAAAATATAATATCTCCTAGAAGATGTTTTTTAAAAAGGTGACAACAAAATAACTTGATCCTAATATAGGGTTTGTATGTGCAAGTGATATTTCTCTAATAAGAGTTGAGCTCTGAATAAAAGGGTAGAAGAATTCTGGTTAATTTAAGTTTCACAGCTGGGTGCTATGGCTTATGCCTGTAATCACTGCACTTTGGGAGGCCAAGGCAGGAGGATCACTTGAGGCTGGGAGTTCGAGGCCAGCCTGGGCAACACAGCAAGACCCTGTCTACAAAAAATAAATAAAAAAAAATTAATATTTCTGACCTTTCTGTTTATCAAAATTTCTGGACAAATACATATGTTAATTTTATGTTTTGCATGTATAGTTGTTTCTTTTTCACAGGGATTTATTGACACTTTTGGTGTTTTTAGGATTTGGAGTGGATCAGTTACGAGATGACAATCTAGAAACTTATTGGCAATCAGATGGTTCCCAGCCTCATTTAGTGAACATCCAATTCAGGTAATTAATACATTTTCAAATTTTTCATCTACTGTAGGTTATAGACAAATAAATCTATTTTATTAACATAAAAATTAAAGATAGAAATTACAATGAAATACACTTAACTTTTTAAACTCTGAAGTCTTATAGATTATTTTTCAGTTCAGTTAGATTATTAGCATTTTAAAGTTACTCTGTCTTATTTTTTATGAATTTTCTTATGGTATGTTGCATAGTTCCTTTTATGTAGATGTTTCTCAAATATACTTTTCAATATAATTTATTTTTTGCGGGTACTTTCAGAAAGATATATTTTGCTTATGGCCCAATACAATACCTTAATGTATCATATTAAGTAAACCTGGAGTGATCGTAAGTTTTTTAGCTGTGGAATATTCATATAACTTCTCAAATTTTTACTTTTATTTGGAAAATTTTTTTTTTTTTTTTTACTTAGAACCTTTAAGGACATTTTCCTTTTTGATAATGCTTTTTGAGGGGAAAGGAAAAACAGCCACATGTTTTTCAATGCTTTGAATGTATTTATTATCAGATTTTTAAAATTTTAAATAAGAGACAGTTGGCCGCTATGTTGGCCAAGCTGGTCTCGAACTCCTGGCCTCAAGCATTCCTCCCACCTCAGCCTCCCAAAATGCTGGGGTTCCAGGCATGAACCACTGGGCCTGGCTGAATTTATTGACATAGTTGGAAACCAGTTAACTCAGCTATCTTGTTCCATTTATACCATCTTTTTTTTTTTTTTTTTTTTTGAGATGGAGTTTTGCTCTTGTTGCCCGGGCTGGAGTGCAGTGGCGTGATCTCGGGTTACTGCAACCTCCGCCTCCCAGGTTCAAGCGATTCTCCTGCCTCAGCCTTCCGAGTAACTGGGATTACAGGCATGCGCCACCACGCCCGGCTAATTTTGTATTTTTAGTAGAGATGGGGTTTCTCCATGTTGGTCAGGCTGGTCTGGAACTCCTGACCTTGTGATTCAACCCGCCTCGGCCTCCCAAAGTGCTGGGATTACAGGCGTGAGCCACTGTACCTGGCCTATACCATCTATTTTAACATTCTATAGCATTGTATTTTTAGTTGTTTGCTTTTATTGTCCTAGAGTACAAATCAGCAAATTTCCAACAAGCCAGATAGTGAATATTTTAGACTTTGTGGGCCATCTCATCTGTTTTGCAGCTACAGTGCTCAGTTCCACTGTTATGGCACAAAGGTGGCCCTACACAGTGCATAAATGACAGAATTTAGCTGTTCTAATTAAATTTTATCTTACAAAAGCAGATGTTAGGCAGGATTTATTTATTTTCCTTCTGACTTTTATTTTAGTTTAAGGGAGTACATGTGCAGGTTTGTTATATGGGTAAGTTGCCTTTCGCTGGGTTTTGGTGTACAAATTTCGTCATCCAGGTAGTAAGTATAGTACCTAATAGGTAGTTTTTGGGTCCTCACCTTCTTCCTTTCCTTCACCTCAAGTAGGCACCCATGTCTATTGTTCCCTATTTTGTATCTGTGTGTATTCAATGTGTGTTTTTTTTTTTTTTTTTTTTTTTTTGAGACAGAGTCTCTCTCTGTTGCCCAGGCTGGAGCGCAGTGGCGTGATCTCTGTTCACTGCAACCTCTACCTCCCAGGTTCAAGTGATTCTCCTGCCTCAGGATCCCGAGTAGCTGGGATTACAGGTGCCTGCCACCACGCCCAGCTAATTTTTATATTTTTAGTAGAGACAAGGTTTCACCATGTTGGCCAGGCTGGTCTCAAACTCCTGACCTCAGGTGATCTAGCCGCCTCGGCCTCCCAAAGTGCTGGGATTATACGTGTGAGCCACTACACCTAGCCATGTATTCAGTGTTTAGTTCCCACTTATAAGTGAGAACATGCAATATTTGGTTTTCTGTTTCTGTGTTCTCTTAGGATGCCGGCCTCCAGCTGCATCCATGCTGCTGCAAAGGACATGATTTCATTCTTTTTTATGATTGTGTGGTGTTCCATGGTGTATGTTTACAATATTTTCTTTATCCAGTCCACTGTTGATGGGCATCTAGGTTGATTCCTTGTCTTTGCTATTGTGCGTAGTGCTGCAATCAACATATGTGTGCATTTGTCTTATGGTGAAATGATTTAAATCCCTTTGGATATATACCCAGTAATGGGATTGCTTGGTCAAATAGTAGTTATGTTTTAAATTCTTTGAGAAATCTCCAAACTGCTTTCCACAGTGGCTGAACTAATTTACATTACCACCAGCAGTGTATAAGTATTCCCTTTTTTTCACAACTTCACCAGCATCTGTTATTTTTTTTTGACTTTTTAGTAATAAACATTCCAACTTGTGTGTGAAATGGTATCTCATTGTGGTTTTGATTTGTATTTCTCCAGTGATTAGTGAGGTTGACCATCTTTTCATATGCTTGTTGGCTGTATGTCTACTTTTGAGGAATGTCCGTTCATGTCCTTTGCCCATTTTTTAATAGAGTTGCTTTTTTCTTGTAAATTTAAGTTCCTTATAGTTTCTGGATATTAGACCTTTGTCAGATGCATAGTTTGCAAATATTTTTTCCCATCCTGTAGGTTGTCTGTTTACTCCGTTAATAGTTTCTTTTGCTGTGCTGAAGCTCTTTGGTTTAATTAGGTCCCACTTGTCAATTTACATTTTTGTTTTAATTGCTTTTGGAGTTTTTGTCATGAAGTCTTTATTAGGTCCTATGTTCTAGGTATTTCTAGGTATTTCCTAGGTTTTCTACCTGGGTTTTTATAGTTGTAGGTTTTACATTTAGGTCTTTTATAAATCTTGAGTTGATTTTTGTATATGGTGAAAGGGAGGGGTCTGATTTCAATCTTCTGCGTATGGCTAGCCAGTTATCCCTGTACAATTTATTGAATAGGGAGTTCCTTCCCCTTTGCTTGTTATTGCCAACTTTGTTGAAGATCAGATGGTTGTAGATGTGCAGCTTTATTTCTGGGTTCTCTAACCTGTTCCATTGGTCTCTGTGTCTGTTTTTGTACCAGTACCATGCTCTTTTGGCTACTGTTGTTTTGAAGTTTAGTTTGAAGTTGGGGGTAATGTGATGCCTCCAGCTTTGTTCTTTTTGCTTAGTATTGCTTTGGCTATTGAGGCTCTTTTTTGGTTCCATATGAATATTAGAATAGTTCTCTAATTCTGTGAAAACTGTCAGTAGTTTGATTGGAATAGCATTGAATCTATAAATTGCTTTGGGCAGTTATGACCATTTTTTTTTAAACAATATTGATTCTTCCTATCCATGAGCATGGGATGTTTTTCCATTTGTTTGTGTCATGTCTGATTTTCTTCAGCAGTGTTTTGTAATTCTTGTAGAGATCTTTTGCCTCCTTGGTTAGCTGTATTCCCAGGTGTTTTATTTTTTTTTTTGTGGCTGTTTTGAGTGGAATTGTGTTCTTGATTTGGCACTTAGCTTGTATGTTATTGGTATATAGAAATGCTATTGATTTTTGTATATTGATTTTGTATCCTGAAACTTTGCTGAAGTTGTTCATCAGATCTAGGAGTCTTTGGGCAGAGACTATGGGGTTTTCTAGGTGTAGAATTATATTGTCTGCAAACAAAGATAGTTTGACTTCCTCTCTTCCTATTTGAATGCCTTTTATTTTTTCTCTTGCCTGATTGCTGTGGCTAGGACCTCTAGAACTATGTTGAATAGAAGTGGTGAGAGTGGGCATCTTTGTCTTGTTCTGGTTCTTAAGTGGAATGCTTCCTTCCAGTTTTTGCTCGGTATGATGTTGTCTGTGGGTTTGTCATAGATGGCCCTTATTATTTTGAATTATGATCCTTCAATGCCTAGTTTGTTGAGGATTTTTAACATGATGATTGTTGAATTTTATTGAAAGCCTTTTCTGCATCTCTTGAGATGATGATGTGGTTTTTGTTTTTAGTTCTGTTTATGTGATGAATGACATTTATTGATTTGCATATGTGGAGCCTATCTTACATCCGAGGAATAAAGCCTGCTTGATTGTGGTGGATTAGCCTTTTTTTGATGTGCTGCTGGTTTCAGTTTGCTAGTATGTTATTGAGGATTTTTGTGTCGATGTTCATCAAGAATATTGGCCTGAGGTTTCTTCTTTTACTGGATCTCTGGCAGGTTTTGGTATCAGAGTGATGCTGGCCTTATAGAATGAGTTAGGGAGGAATTCTTCCTCTCAGTTTTTTGCAATCGTTTCAGTAGGGTTGATACCAGCTCTTTCATATACTCTGGGGTTCTCTGAATTTCCTGAATTTGAATGTTGACCTCCTTAGCGAGATCGGGGAAATTTTCATGGACAGTATCCTCAAATATATTTTCCAGTTTGCTTGTTGTTTCTCCCTCTCTGTCAGGGACCCCAATGAGTTGTAGTTTTGGTCTCTTTACATAATCTCATATTTCTCAGAGGTTTTGCTCATTTTTTCAAAAATTCTTTTTCATTTTATTTTATTCTATTTATTTATTTTTTTTGAGACAGAGTCTTGCTCTGTCGCCCAGGCTGGAGTGCAGTGGCACGATCTCGGCTCACTGCAAGCTCCGCCTCCCGGTTTCACGCCATTCTCCTGCCTCAGCCTCCTGAGTAGCTGGGACTACAGGTGCCTGCCACCACGCCCACCTAATTTTTTGTATTTTTAGTGGAGACAGGGTTTCACCGTTTCAGCCAGAATGGTCTCGATCTCCTGACCTCGTGATCCACCCGCGTTGGCCTCCCAAAGTGCTGGGATTACAGGTGTGAGCCACCACGCCTGGCAAATTCTTTTTTATTTTTGTCTAGCTGAATTGATTTGAAGAACCAGTCTTTGTTCTCTGAGATTCTTTCCTCAACTTGGTGTGTACTGCTGTTAACACTGCTGAATGTATTATGAAATCCTTGTAGTGAGTTTTTCAGCTCTACCAGGTCAGTTTGGTTCTTTCTTAAAATAGCTATTTCGTCTTTCAGCTCTTGATTCATTTTACTGGATTCCTTAGATTCCTTGGATTGGGTTTCAACTTCCATCTGCATCTTAATGTTCTTCACTGCCATCCAGATTCTGAATTCTGAATTCCAAATGTCTGTCATTTCTGTCATTTCAATCCGGTTAAGAACCATTGCTGGGCAACTAGTGTGCTCATTTGGATGTAAGAAGACACTCTGTGTTTTAGACTTGCCAGAATTCTTGCTCTGGTTCTTTCTTATCTGTGTGGGAAAATGTTCCTTTAATCTTTGAAGTTGCTGTCCTTTAGATGGGACTTTTTTGCTTTTATCTTCTTTGATGTCATCGAGGGTTTTACTGTGGTACAAGTTGGGTTTAGTTGACTAGTTTCATTTCTGGATGATTTCAGGGTACCAAGGCTCAGCTCAGTGCTTGTGGGTTGCATGCTGTAATCCAGAGGGCCTTTGAACAGACCCAAAACCTTGTTCTCTGGCCCTTCAAGATAAGCAACTGCTGTACTGGAGGGGCCACAGTGTTTCCAGTGTGCTGGCAACAACACTCCAATGAGGGGTGCAGTCAAAGCAGTCAGGGGAAGTCTGTGGGCAAATGTATGCTGGCAGCAGCCCATCTGCTAAAGCTTTCTGTTGGTTAGGTGGGGTCTGTTGGTGAAAAAGCTATGGCAGTGGCTGCTGGGAAGCACCCAGTAGGTCATCTGAGGCTGTGCTGCAATCAGACATGGCCAAGCAGGGACCCTGGGAGAGACTGGCAGACAAAGTGTTGCTCAGATCAGACTGGCCCCCATCCCATGGGTAAGACAGCCCTATATTGTGCAGGTCCAACAGTCAACAAAGGCCAAAGCCACCTAGAGGTACATGACAAGCCTTAAGGGACAGGCATCCCTGGCTGTGCTCCACTGTAGCCATTTCCATGCCAAACCCTCTGGGCTCCACACAGGCTGGGGTCCTATGCCTG
This sequence comes from Homo sapiens, assembly GCF_000001405.40. NCBI lineage: Eukaryota > Metazoa > Chordata > Mammalia > Primates > Hominidae > Homo > Homo sapiens. The sequence goes on along the minus strand of NC_000004.12, from coordinate 145,075,783 downwards.
CTAACTCTCCAAGCAGCACTCCCTGCTGGTTCAGATGCCTGGGGGGGTTGTGGGGCCTCCTGCCACTAGAATTCTGGAGATACATGGTGAGAGTGGACTACTCCACACCTATTTAGTTAATTCTTCCCCAGGAGCTGCTCAGGGCCAGAAATGAGTCCTGGTGCTCAGCAACCCCATTCACGGTTCCTAGCTTACTCCCCTTTCAGCCCAGGGTCTGCTTGGTCCTCCCTCTGTCCACTCTCAATGCCTTCCTTCTGACAGTCTGCTTAAAGTATGCTTGTCTTCTTGATGGTCTGGTTTCTCGGTGAATGAAGCTCTTCCTGGCCACATCTAGTTGGCCATCTTGGCTCTGATCAACCCTGAGATTCTTTTTAAATAAAAGTTTTATTTAAGATGGTTGCTAAAATTAAAATAAAAGGTACTAGTCTCTTTATTAGTAAATAATAAATGTAATATAAAGTTATAGTTCTACATTTAATCCACTTCTCTTCCTTCCTTTTGAAGAGTGTAAACTCAAGATGGGAAAGGAGGACAAAGCCAGAAGTGTGAAAGATATTTAAGCAGTTTTAGTTGACAGTGAGTTTAGTTTCAATTAACAGTGTGATGTGGTTGCTAAAAAAGCTAGTATGATTTTGGGATGCAATAAGGTAAGCACAGAATCTATGAAGACCTCCTGGTGTGTTGTATTCCATGTCGGCTTCCCCTGCTAACACTGATAAAGAAGGTCTAGGATGTGCTCAGAAGGGAGTAGGCAGAATAGGGGATTGAAGCCAAACAATAATAAAAAAAAAAAATTTGGAACCTATGGTCTGCCGAAAACTTTGGGGGACATGGTAGCTTTCTTTCCGTAATTTGAAGGATTTATACTTTGTGGAGGAATTAGATGTTTTGTATGTGTCATCTCATAAGAAAAAACTTAGCCCAAAAGGTAAGAGCTACACAAAGACCAGTTATGGCTTAGTATAAAGAAAACTTTTAAAAATTGGAACTGATCAAAGATAATTTAACTGCTTGATAGTAATAGTTGCTACCTGTCAGAAAAATTTTGAACCTGGTTATTTATTTGTATAGATGGTGGTTAGATTACATGATCCTCTAAGCTCATGTTTAGTCCTAATGGTTCTGATTAGGTCTAATTAAAATACATTATGCTTCACTTGCTGAATGTTTAGCATGCTTTTTTTGTGAAATAGCTTTAAATGTTAGAATGTGAACATAATTTAAAGTATGAAATATTTCCAAATTCAAGAATAGACACACTAGCAATTAAGTATCACATAGGGCTCATACATTGAAAATCTAATTTGGAAAATTTTCATATTTCTTGGTTTTTCTTTGGAGGAAGGTGCTGTTCTATCAGCCATGCAGAAAACTTACAAAGAAATGATCTTCATAAAAATTTGAATAGAATATATTAAAAACTTACCTATTACATAATTAAATGAAGGGAAAAAGCCCTCTGCCCTCCTCAAAAAGAGAGGTAATTTTTCTTGGCAGTTAGGAGAAATAAGTCCTAACGTAGAGAGGGGGAAGGAAAAAATATAATAAGAAAATGAAATGTTCTTTGAATGTGTAATTTTGTACTTAAATGGAAAATAGAGAAGCTTTTTGCTTCTCTATTTTATATAATATATGTTTTATATATTTTATAAAGTGAATTATTTTCTGTTTGTAAAGGGCTAATTCTCTTGGGAAGAATTTCAAAATTCGTTAATAATTTTTTAAGGAATATTGGGAATAATATTTTAAGGAAAATTGGGGAGTAATTTAGTTTAATATGGATTATAGGGACTAATGTACTTGTTTGCTGATTTAAAAGGATAAATACTGAAATATTAAACTGAGTAGGAACAAAGCAAAATTTGTGCTTTTGTTTGATCTGCCTTCATCAAAATTTCTACAAATTTTATTAAATGTAATCTTGCTATTTTTATCATGGTAATAACATTATACAACATTTTTAATTATATTAAAATGATTTCTGTGTCGCAAAGAAATTTATTGAAATAGAAAAGGACACAAGAATGCTGAGAAAAATATTGAAAAGTTGTGCTGGTTTGCTTCATTTTAAAGAGAAATTTTGATAGTTTAATAATGAAAGATAAATTATAAATTTTAAAAAACCTGTATTTACTAAAGCCTGGGTTGAATGAAAACATTGATAGTAATAAACTCCATTGTCATGTAAAGCACTTTGAACAGAAAGTACTTTATAAATTTAATAAAATCCTATATATACTTTAATACCAATATATGTATGGATGTAAATTGCTTAAGCCAAATCATACAAATTAGTTTATTTACCCTCCTCCCCAAATTACACTGTTCATAAATTTTAAACTTTATAATTTTGTGACATTTATACTTTTGCTTAATCATCTCTTTGGATTAATTTTAGGTTTTTAAAAAATATCAGGTAACAGGTGAACAACAGGACCTATTGCCTGGTAGCACTACAGTTTCAGCAGCTTAGGTATCTTTGTAAAAAAGCATTTGTGCAATTATAGAATACTTTATTGCATTTTCCCCTTATTTTTAAAAGTAGAGCAAATGGAAAAATTAAAGTGCTGATGTCATTTAAAAAATAGTAGATTGGGTGCAGTGGCTCACGCCTATAATCCCAACACTTTGGGAGGCTGAGGTAGGAGGATTGTTTAAAGCCAGAAGTTCAAAACTGGCCTGAGAGATAAAGCAAGATTCTGTCTCTATAAAAAACTTAAAAAATTACCTGGGTGTGGTGGTACACACCTGTAGTCTCAGCTATTCAGGAAGCTGACATGGATCGCTTGGGCCAGGAGTTTGAAGCTGCAGTGAACTATTGTCATGCCACTGCACTCCAGCCTGGGTGACAGAGCGAGACCCTGTCTCCTAAAAAAAAAAAAAAACAGATACGTAATAGATACTAGGCTTAATCACAGTGTATTAATACTTGTGAATACATTAGAAATCATTAGACTCAACTAGATATTCATTGGACTTTACTAGTCACCTACATATTGAATTATGAACACCAAAAGGAAATGTTAAATATTTATTGTCAAAGATTGTGACTGAACCATCTGGTATAATTTAGGATTGTGATTTAGGATTGGGTAGATTTTTTTAGCACTTGAGAGCTAACTTTCCTACCTCTATTGGGTAGATTTTTTTAGCACTTGAGAACTAACTTTCCTACCTCTATTATATAAGTTCAGGGTTCAGCTTTCTTCCATTTGATCTTCATCCATGTTTTCATGAAAACATTATGTACTAATGGAAGAAATTCCTGTATTCAAAAAATTATATTACAAACAAGTTTGAAAGAGGTTCAATTTGGAGTTTATATTTTGTTAAACTATTTGGTTCCTTAGATGTTTTTTCTTCACATAGAAAATAAGCAACTCTCGATTTATGTAGCAGTTTCTCAGCTAGTTGAGAAATAATTTGTATGTATTACTGATCTGTTAAGGTGAACATATATTGTAACATATATAAAGCAACATTATTTTATATCTCATTGTGTTTTAAAATTAGAACAAGCTCTTTCTCTGCTCTGGATGAGAACTTGGTGGGGAGCATATAGCACACTTTTTGGTAACCTACCCAGTTTTATGTTTATTTCAAATGGCAAAATATATTTTAGAAATAGAAGTGTTCAGTTCTAGTGAGTAGTGAAAGCCTCAATCTTGCTTTAAAGTTTCTTTAAGTTTTATTCCTCTCCCTAAACTTGGGCTTGTTGCAAGTTGGGTGTAGTTTGCTTCTCTTACCCTACCTAGTTTTTTTTTGTTTTTTTTGTGTTTTTTTTGTCCTTTCACATTTCTGAATTTGTTAGATCTGCTAGTATGGGAACGAAGAAGAGGTAAGAAAAGAAGGAAAGTCTGTAATTGCCATTTGTATCTTGGTGATATAGCATTGATGTTCTCTGTACTTGGCTGTATGTTTAAAGCTGACTATTATCTTATGGATGCTTTTGTGGGTTGAGAGAATCAGCCACCCACATTCACTTAATGCTATGGATGATTTATCTGCAGTTCTCTTGTTGAGGGTATATTAATCATCTTCTTTTTTACATGGTAGTACCTCCAGCTTCCTGATGAGGATTATTCATCCTTTCTAGAAAGAAACTAAGATAACCCTTCAGGTTATCAGGTTATAAAGTTCCCTTTTCCCAGTTTCTTGAGACATTTTTGGATTTTCTCAAATGCCTTTTCTGTATCTGTTCATACGGATCATATGGTTTTTCTTTATTCTGTTGAGATGGTGAATAATAAAATTCAATATTATTTATTTAATATTCTGTTGAGATGGTGAGTAATAAACAGTAAAGATTTTTTTTATTTGTAGTGAAATATAAATATAAGTTTACTGTTATAGCCTTTTTATTTATTTATTTATTTTGAGACGGAGTTTCACTCTCGTTGCCCAGGCTGGAGTGCAATGGCACGATCTTGGCTCACTGCAACCTCTGCCTCCCAGATTCAAGCAATTCTCCTGCCTCAGCCTCCCAAGTAGCTGGGATTACAGGCATGCATCACCACGCCTGGCTAATTTTGTATTTTTAATAGAGATGGGGTTTCTCCATGTTGGTCGGGCTATTCTCGAAATCCCAACTTCAGGTGCTCTGCCCTCCTCAGCCTCCCAAAGTGTTGGGATTGCAGGCATGAGCCACTGTTCCTGGCCAGCCATTTTTAAATGTACAGTTAAGTATCCTTAAGTACATTTACAGTGTTGTGCAACCACTACCACCTCCATCTTCAGAACTTTTCATCATCCTGTGTGGAACCCATTAAATAATAACCACCCAATTTCCTTTTCTCTCCAGCCCATGATAATCGCTGTTTTATTTTTTGCCTCTGTGTATTTCACTGTTCTGGGGACCTGATATAAGTGGAATTATATAATATTTGTCCTTTGGTGTCTAACTTTTCTCACTTAGCCTAATGTTTTCAAGGTTCATTCATGTTGTAGCATGTGTCAGAATTTCATTCCTTTTTAAGGATGAATAATATTCCATTGTATGACTGTGCCACATTTTGTTTATCCATTCGTCAGAGGACATTGGGTTGTTTCTACCTTTCGGCTGTTGTAAATAATACTGTTATGAACATTGGTGTGCAAATATCTGTTCAAGTACCTGATTTCACTTCTTTTGGATATATATCCACAGGTGGAATTGCTGGATCATATGGTAATTCTATGTTTAAGTTTTTGAGTCACCTCCATACTGTTTTTCACAGTAGCTGTACCATTTTACCTTCCCACTGGTAATGCCCAGAAGTTCCAGTTTCTCCACATCCATGCCAACATTTGATAATAGTCATCCTAATGAGTCTGTCTCATTATAGTTTTGATTTTCATTTCCCTAATGTTTTGTGCTATCAAGCATTTTTTTCATGTGCTTCCTGGTTATTTGTATATCTTCTTCAGAGAAATGACTGCTTAAGTCCCTTCCCTCTTTTTACATTGGGTTGTCTTTTTGTTGTTAAGCTGTAAGACTTCTTTATATGTCCTGCTGCAATTGCTCAACTTTGCCATTGTAGTATTAAAGCTCCCATAGACAATGTGTATATGACGGAGTGTCACTTAGTTTCAATAAAATTTTATTTACAAAAATAGGTGGCGGTCCACATTTAGCCTGCAAGCTGTAGCTTACCAAGCCCTGCTTTAGAGCAGAAGTTCTTAAACTTTTTAGTCTCAGTACTGCTTTAAACTTTTATTGAGGACTTCAGAAATCTTTATATATGTATCTCATTATTTACTATTTTAGAAATTATAGATTAGGGACTTTAAATTATTTAGTTATTCACTAAAAATAAACAATAATTAACCTATTATGTGTTAACAACATAAATAACAATTTTATGAAAAATAACTGTCTCTTCCCAAATGAACAACAACAAAAATAGTGAGAAGAGTGTCATTGTTTACATTTTTTGTGAACCTTTTTGGTTCACAAAAAATAGCTGGAGTCTCATTTCTGCTTGTTCATTAAATCTTTTACAATATCCCATGTCAGCCTGTGGAAAACTCTACTACATACTCATAAGAGAATGATTCTGAAAAAGGCAAATTACATCTTAGTAATATTAAGAAAATAGTTCTGACCTTGCTGATCCTCTGAAAGAGTCTTGAGGTCCTCTGTAGGTCCCCAGACCACTCTTTAAGATCATTTCTCTTGGGCAAGATTAGCCTCATTACTAAGGCTTGACTCATCTGGGATCTCAAACGAATGTCTTAGGTATTTGAAGAGGACTTACCACTTCGGTTATTGGGAGCTTTAATGATTCCCAGTCCTCTGTGCCCACTGGAAATTGTTTGGCTTACTGCTTTCCAGTAATTGTTCTTTCCCCAGTGCTTGTTCTTTGCCTATCCTTGTGAAGTTTTGCTGTATGCATGTTCATATTGTGTTCAGGCATAGAATGAAGGGGACCCCACGCATATTTCTGGAGTTTTTTCTTTGTGTAGCTTATTCCTTATCAATTCAGTAGACTACTAGATTCTCTTTGGCATCTCCCTCTTCACATTGCAGTCCCAAAATTGCCTGCAGCCAGAAAACTCAGTTGTTTGTAGGGCTCACCTCATTTATTTTCTTTCTCTCAGGACCTAGAGGCCTGTGCTGCCTGTTGCTCAGCATCTCTGGATGCTTCAGATATGTTCTCCAGTATTCTAGTTGTCTGTAGTGGGAAGGCAAGTCATGTAGCAGTTAACCTTCATGAGCAGATGTCTCGGACTTTCTTGTTTTATTTTATTTTAAGACCGTATCTGCTGAAAATTATGCATTAAGGTCTCATATATCCTTTCAAAACATGGTCTTTGTTGTTGTAGTCTTCCGCGAAAACTTTCATCTTAGCATCTAGTTAACATTGATACAGAGGACATTTTTCACTTCTTATTTTGAGATGGAGTTTCGCTCTGTCACCAGGCTGGAGTACAGTAGCGCAATCTTGGCTCACAGCAACCTCCACCTCCTGGGTTCAAGCGATTCTCCTGCCTCAGCCTCCCAAGTAGCTGGTACTACAGGCACATGCCACCATACCCAGCTACATTTTGTATTTTTAGTGGAGACGGGATTTCACCATGTTGGCCAGGATGGTCTCGATCTCTTGGCCTTGTGATCTGCCTGCCTCAGCCTCCCAAAGTGCTGGGATTACAGGCGTGTGCCACTGCACCCGGCCCCCATTTTTCACTTTTATACCAGGAACATATATGGAAGAATATAGTTATTTATAAATATTTGCTTCTGATTTAAACAACTATGTGGACTGTGTTTATTTTGTCTCAACCTCCTGGTAATATATCTAGCACGTTAAGAAGAACGATTTTAAAAACATGTTTTATAACTATTTTGTTTTTTACATTTAGCTTTAAATGTAAAGCTATCGTCTATCACATATATTTAGTTTTAAGTTTTGTACCTTAGGGTTTATTAGTTACTCTTATATAATGTAGTCACATAGACCTGGATTAAATTCTGGCTCTGTGCTTTACTAGATGTGTAAACAAGGACCACTTGCTTAACCTGATGTGAACCTCAGTTTCTGCATCTGTAATACAGACACAGTAATGCTGTATTAATTAGAAATCAGAACATATAGTAGCAGAGCTTTTGATAATGGTGTTTTCTACAAGGTGGAAATTTATTTCTTCTACCTCTTCGTGTAAGAGGAGCCTGGCAGTCCAGGAGTGGTATGGCAGCCTCACAGTGTGTTTGTGGACCCAGTTTCCTTCTCTTTACATTCCTTCATTCTTAGCTTGTAGATTTTATCCTCAAGGTTGTCTTATGGTCCAAGATGCCTACTGGAATTCCACCTATCATGTCCATATCCCAGGCAGCAGGAAGGAGTAGATGAGAAAGGTAAAAGGGGCATGTTTTTCTTTTAAAGAAACTTTCTTTAGTACACACCATCATTTTGTTTAAATCTTACTGGCCATAACTTAGTCATATGGCTCTACCTAACTTTAAGGGAAGTTGGATCTTTTAGCCAGATGTTATGAAGAAAGAGGGGATAAAGGGATTTTAGGTTAGGCAACTAGGAATATGTCACTAATGTCTTCAATCAGAATTTCATGGGTTCCAAACCCAATGAGAAATTATTCAGCAGATGCTCGTATCTGTGGTAGCAGGAGGCGGCCAAAATATCAACTTTATAAAACAGACAGAACTGATATTTGAGAAATATAACTGCATTATATCTTAGTCAAGTGTGTTTCCTAATATTGAACCTTAGAATTAAACAGTCTTACCCATCCAGTTATACCACTAGACCAGGTAGCATGTGCCTCTATTAAATTAGTGGCCTGAAGGAACAAAGCAAATGTTTGGTTCCTGCCAGAAGCTCTTTCTCAGGAGAAAGCGTGTAGTGAGTGAGGGGATAGAGAGTGTCCAGGAGTGTTACTTATGTCATCAGAAATAGGAAAGTATTGCCCTCTTCCTTCCCCACTCTTGTAATATCTTATGCTACGAATATAGCACGATGCCTGGCGTATAGTGAGCATTCACTATGGAGTGATTATTATTATAATGATGGTTTTGAGCAGTTTGAGCTACTGCCTCTATGTGTAATAGTCTGTATGTTTAATCTTATGACATGCATTGCTATTTGAAACATAGCATGCTTTTCCATGAAATATTATTTTTAAAATTCATCATGAGATAAAATTGATAAATGATTTTAAAATTTTTTACTCTACCTTTTAATTATTTTAAACTTTTGGTGAGGTCACAGTTTCCTATGCAAATTTAATGAAACTATGTATATAGCAAATTATACGTACGATTTCTGTGGGTACGTGAACCTTACGATAATAACTCATGGCTTAGAAAAAATTTAAAAAACTACAGACACCTACCTATTACTGTAAACTCGTATCAATGACTATTGAATGAGCTAAGCACAATTAATTAAAAGGAAGTTTTGGTTAAAATCATGTGAGGTCGACAGACACATTTTTTAATTTCAACTGTTCCCTCCTACTAGCTTTTTGACCTTAAGCCAGTTATTAACCTAAGTGTTATGTTTTTTTTTTAAATCAGAAAAATGAAGAAATAAAAGTTCCTATTTGACAACACTGAGAAATAAATGAGACAATATGTATAGAGCATTACTTCTGGGCCAGACACAAAATATTCACTTGCTCTTTGCTGTTACTGTGTTTATTATCATTAGTGTTTTTAGTATTCTTTGCTTTTCTAAACTTGCCCTGATCATCTTGAAGGCAGTGAATAAGTGTACCTGAATTTCACAATTTAGAAACGTAATTATTCTGAGCAAAACACTTGATCCTTTAGATCTGCCTTTCTTTTCTTCCTTAAAAAAAAAAAGTTCTTAAGAGCCATCTTCGTGATCTTTGATCTCTCCATAAGAAGAAAGACCATTTACTTCCTGCTTATGGCTCATCAAGGAAAAAGGTCTTCAAAAATTTCCTGTCCTTCTTTGCTTCCTCTCCTGTCTCCTTTCTGGCTCAGCAGAGAGAAAGATGTCAGTTTGATACCTTTGGCCTCTTTTAAAAACCTAATAATGGTCTTTATCCTGTCAGCAGTTCCTGGGTATTTAGTGTTTTACCTCTTGATCCGAGGAAAAGTGCTTAACTTTCCCTATTCCTTTCTAATGAATAGCTTAGGCTACAGAAGTTTGGTCTCCTTACTAAGAGCTACAGAGCCCCTGCTGTTTTTATAGGCTGACTTTTGACACAGAGTACTTCTGTTCAAGGAGCTCATTGTTACAAAGTTAGTGCCAGTTTATACTAGAACTTAACTTTTAAAGCACATGTAAATAGATTTCTTAATGGGTTTTTGGGTTTTTAAAATCACCTAGATTTTTTTTTTCCTGGTGGCCAAATAGCACATGCTCATTCTGAAAAATTGTTCAGAAACTTTAAAAATCATAAAGAAGAAAATAAAGATCTCCTATGGTCCCATCCCACGAAAACAGTTAATTTTACTATTTTTGGGTAATTCCACCTAGGTCTTTTTCTATATACAAATATAGATTTACATGCCTTTAAAAAATTGTTGTTTTCCCCCAAATGTGATTCTTCTGTATATATTGTTTTATAATCTTTTTTCTACTGTAACTATATATGTACATGATTATTTTAAATAGTTCTATAGCAGTTCGTTGAATGGCTATATTGTAATTTATTTAACCAATTCTCTATTGTCATGGATATTTAGGCTGTTTTTAATTTTCTAGTGATTTAATCACAGGACAAGATTTTTCTGCATCCATTTTTTTCTCCAAGGCCAGCCTTCATTAGACATCAATTTTTGAGTGATTGTGTTACTGTATTTTAATGCATTCTCAGAAGTTTGAATTAGTAGGTCAAAGGTTGTGTTTCTACTAACTGGTGATGAAAGCACCTTTTTCTAATCAAATTTGAGTACTATCAGTTGTTTAAATATTTTCCAATATGATGATAAAACTAATATCTCTGTGTGTTTTAATTTCTCTTTCTTTGATTATTAGACGTTGAACACATTTTCATGTTTTGTTGGCCACTTGCATTTTTTCTGAGGTTCGTTTTCTATTATGTGTTTCTTCTTTCCCTAGGATATGTATATTTTAAAATCAATAGCAAAAGAAAGAAAGAAAGAAAGAATCAGCAGCAGAATTCTATTTCTTGCATTAAAACTAGGTTGTTGTATTTTTTAGGAAAGGTAGTTTTCTCTTTGCTGGACCCAGTTCCTCACTTAGCTAGTTATTTTCAAGTATTTAATATAGGAAATGAAGTAAGTACTTAGTAAAGGAAACCAAACTTATGAGAATAATTTCTTTGTCTAAAATACAAATGAAGAGGATGGAAATCCTTAATGCTTGTTTGCATGATAAAGTACCTAATTTGGCTTAACTGATCCTTCTTTGCTTGCATCTGGCTCTTGACCATGTTCTACATAGGTGTCTGTATAATTAACATATTATCTGGGCCTATATTTAACATACTATCTGGACCTATATTTTTACATTTTTCATTTTTGTTGAAATTAAAAGATATGAAAATGTTGATTCAAATACTCCTTTTAGCAAACTATGATTTTTAAAATCAGAAGATAAGATGCATTGGAAATCTTTTCATATGATGAAGTGCATGTTATTTTTACTTTATTGCTTTTAGAAGAAAAACAACAGTGAAGACATTATGTATTTATGCAGACTACAAATCTGATGAAAGCTATACTCCAAGCAAGATCTCAGTCAGAGTAGGAAATAATTTTCACAACCTTCAAGAAATTCGGGTATGTCTTTCAAATTTTTAAAAATATGTCATCCTTTAACTTTTACTCATTAGAAGATAGTCACAGTTGACATTACATTAGACAGGTTAAAATGTTAATATATAAGAGAAAAATATTGGAGAAAACATGTTTGAGTGTAAAATTTTTTTCTTCTGAATTCTGATTGTTCTCTTTATTTTTTCCACAATATTTTATTATTGAAATTTTCAGACATACAGAAAAACTCAAAGAATTGTACAGTGAATGCCAGTATACTCACTTCCTAGATTCTTCAGTTGTTAATATTTTGCTATATTTGCTTTATTACAATCTGTCCATCTAATTTTTTTGTGCATTTAAAAATAACTTGTGCATATTTGTCCATTTCACCCCAAATACCAGTGTGATATATTGGTAGAGTTATCAACATTTGCTTAATTTTCATTTTTTAAGATAAAATTTATGCACAATTTTGCATAATCTTAAGTATATTACTTGGTGAGTTTTGACAAACACATACATTTATGTAATCCCAACTCCTGTTAAAATATAGAACATTTCCACCACTCCAGAGAATTCCATCATATCTGTTCGCAGTTCAGTCTTCATCTCTATCCTACCCTCAGAAATAACTATTATACTGATTTTATTGATTGATTGATTTTTTATCATAGATCCATATTGCCTGTTTTACAATGTCATATGAACAGAGTCATACAGGATATAACTTTTATGTATGGCTTCTTTCACTCAGCCTAGGGTTTTTGAGATTTGTCCACGTAGTTGAATGTGTCACTGCTTCATTCTTTTTTACTTCTGAGTTGTATTTCACTGTTTGAATATACCACAATATATTTATCCTGCATGAAGTTATTAGGACAGTGCTTTAGTCCTGAAGTATTTCAGAGGTATTTTCAATGACTTTGAACTACATAATTGTGAAGCTGTGGCTGTTGACATTTTTTGGTCAGAAAATCATTAAGCCCAAATAATCATTAAAATCTGGTGGTTCTGAGAGATTTGGGAAGCACTTGTGATCTTTGAAAGGCCTCCAGTTAATTTGTGGTCTTGGCTCTTATTTGACTTAGTGTTTATATTAAGACCGTGTCTCTAAATTTATGTTTAATCTGAGTTAGTAATAAAATACTTAATAGAAATCACATGTACTTTCATTGTTTTCTTATTAAGTAAGTGTTGTTCTCGTAAAACTTGCATATGTATTGACAAATAAGAACAGGTGAGGATATTGTCCAAGGTATTTTTGTTGTTGTTTTGTCTTTTGAGATATTCATTGTTTTTAAAAAAATTATTAAATATTGTATGTATCATGTACAGTATGATGTTTTGAAATATATATACTTTGTAGAATGACTGAATAAAGCTAGTTAACATATGCATTACTTCACATACCACTTTTTTGTGGTGAGAACTCTCAAAATCCACTCTCTTAGCAATCTTCAAGAATATAACACATTGTTTATTAATGTAGTCACTGTTATATACTGGATCTCTTGATTTTATTCTTCCTATCTAACTGAAATTTTGTACCCTTTGACCAACATCTCCCCAATCCCTCCTTCCATTATAGCCCCTAGAAACTATCATTCTCCTTCTGCTTCTGAGTTCAACTTTTTAATATTCCATATGTAAATAAGATCATGTGGTATTTGTCTTTCTGTGCCTGGCTTGTTTCATTTAACAATAGTGTTCTCCAGTTCCATCCACGCTGCTGCAAATGACAGGATTTCCTTCTCTTTAGGGCTGTATAATATTCCATTGGGTATATATACCCCACAGTTTATTTACCCATTCATTGATGAATACTTAGGTTGATTCTATATCTTAGCTATTGTGAATAATGCTGCAGTGAACATGGGAGTGCCATCTTGCTGACATCTGAACTCAGGTTGTTTGTTACTTTGAGATAACTTCTTGGTCTTGTTATAGACAATTATCTTAATTTACTTTTTTTTTTTCTTTTCTTTGGAGACGGAGTCTTACTCTGTCACCCACACTGGAGTGCAGTGGTATGATCTTGGCTCACTGCAACCTCCACCTCCCAGGTTCAAACAATTCTTAAACCTCAGCCTCTTGAGTAGCTGGGATTACAGGAATGCGCCACCATGCCCAGCTAATTTTTTCTATTTTTAGTAGAGATGGAGTTTCGCTGTTTTGGCCAGGTTGGTCTCGAACTCCGGCCTCAAGTGATCTGCCTCTCTCGGCCTCCCAAAGTGCTAGGATTACAGGCGTGAGCCACCATGCCCAGCCCTTACTTTTAAGAAACCCTTCTTGAAAACTAATTTCAGCTTCTGAAAAATTGAAAAATTGTTGTAAATTAGTTTTCTTTTAATTTAAAAACATTTCTTCTTTTGTCTGACAGGCCATGCTGGTTGATGTGTACTTCCTGTGCTTGAATAGATTAATAAATAAATCAGCTCTTAGTCTTCTTAAGTTTTTCTATTCACCCAGTGCTTCTTAAATTCAGAATATTTTAAATTTTTTTATCATAATCTTTTTTTTTTTTCTTTTTTTGACAGAGTCTTGCTCTGTCACCCAGGCTGGAGTGCAATGGCCTGATCTCAGCTCACTGCAGCCTCTGCCTCCCAGGTTCAAGTGATTCTCCTGCCTCAGCCTCCTTTGTATTTTTAGTAGAGATGGGGTTTTGCCATGTTGGCCAGGCTGATCTCAAACTCCTGACCTCAAGTGATCTATCCACCTCGGCCTCCCAAAGTGCTGAGATTACAGGTTTGAGCCACCGCGCCTGGCCTCTTATTTTTGGACCAATTGACAGCCCTTCTTTTAGTCACATATCTGATACATTTAATCAGTGTTTAGTTCTCTGATGACTTGACGTATTAAATTGTATTTTATTAAAAATTTCACATTACCAAATGATTGGATCACTCATATTGGTAAGCCTTTTATAAGTAGAGTTGGCTTGTTTTGATTTATAACTAAAGATTTATCATATAGCTCCTCAGGCAGTTGTGATAAGTGAAACACTAGCAATAAAATGTTTTGATTTGATATACGTGGTATATATTTGAAACCTCCTCTAGATGTCACTGTTGTCCTTTATTTTCTAGTTTCGTAGCCTATTTGTACTAAGTTCAAGACCTCATGTAATCTTAGTTGTACTTGTTTTTCCTGGAGAATATATATTCAAGAACTCTTTGATGCATTTTTGGGAAGTGTACATATTCATATGAAATTTCTAGGTATCTGTATTAAAGATGTTTTGTATTCTATTGTAAATTTTACTGACATTAAATAAGGATTTTGAGAAGTTAACAGGAGAAACTTTAAGCGATATTTGGACCTTGTAAAATACTTTTAATCTAGTCTTTGCTTCTATTATGTCATCTAAGTGCTGAAACATTAGCCATATAGAAAAAGAGCTCTTATAGGTAGTCTCTTAATTTTTTCTAAGTGTGTTTATATTTCTATTTAGTGACCACATAGCCTCATGAGACCAGTAATACAAAATATTATCAGGTGATAATGTGAGTTGTTTTCCTGGAAAACTTAATGAACATACTACTTTTCTGCCATAGTTCTCACTCAGGAACTACAATTTTTGGATGTTGCTTTAAATTGTTAGTGCCTAGCTTTTGCAGCTCGTGATATGAATACTTTTATCTTTTAATTATACATCTTTGTATGAGATTTATACTGTTTACCTTTTTTTCTTTCTAAGTTAAATAGGAGCCTGATAGCACTTTGCTTTTTAAGGAAAGATGAAGCAGATCATGATTTTATTTTTTCTGTTATTCTACCACAATATCTAAATATATAAAAAAAACTTTGCTGCTTCTGACTCATATACTAAAACAAGTTATTAAAATAGTGTGAATTTTTATGAGGTTTTCAGAGTCATCATTTCATTAGTTATAGTACTGATTTAACTGAGTGGAAAATCCACCTAAATCTTTTTTATTTTTCCGTGGATGTTTGCCCACTGGAGGGTGTAGTGTAGTGTGTATTGAAATGTTTTAATAGATTTTCCTTTTTTTTTCACTAGAAATTATGAATTTGTTTACTTGAGATGCTTATTTTTTGTAATTGTTGATTTGAAGTAGTAACTTAAAAAATAGTCTAAGTTGAGAAAAGCATATAGCTGCCTTATTTAGCAATAAATTATTCTTTTTCTATCCTATTTATTTTCCTTCATTTTAGTTATGAAGCATGTATTGTATCTAGATCTTTGTTACTTCTATTGATAACTCTCTACAAAGGCATCAGACCCTTCCTTTAATACCCTAGAATGTGTATTTTAACCACTATACCTGAGGACTTAAATTGAACTTTCTGCTGAATAGTCACAAGATACTAAAACTGGATTTGGCCAAACAGAATATTTTTAATGACAAAATTGAAATTATTTATGCTTCTCGTTCTACTTTCTTGTATTCAAAATATCCTATTCCACATAAATTGAAAACCAACAATTTAAGAACACTTTATAAGATGTTTGCAATTTATTGCTTCTACACAAGAGACTATTTCTATATAGAAGTGATAATTTAGCATTTCTGAGTCTACACTGTCTTTCTTTGCAGAATGCTTCATCTCAGTTGGGTTACTTTTGTGCATGAATTCATGTTATTCAAGAGAAATTTTCAAATCAAGATGGTAGTTTTTAAATTCTTAAATCCCTTGCGTTTTAGCATTATGTTTTGATTTAATGTTGTTCTTTTCTTTTGCTCTCAGAAGGAAAAATAATGTGTGAGATTTTTTTTTTATCATTTAGAGCAATGGACCAAAGAACATTATATTTTAGATGTGATCATTATAGCATTTTAGAAAATATCTCTAGCTGAAATTCAAGGATACTTAAAGTCCTTTTCAGTTTGCTAACTAGTTATTGTTGTTTTTAAAAATTATTGTAGAATATTTTGTACTTAAATATGAAACTAAAGTGTTTTTTAGACACACTGTGACAGTTCTCAAATTATTTCTATATTGTTATATGAGAAACAACTTGTTAAGGTTAAGTAGACACTTTCAGCATATGTGAAAGTTGTCCTTTGGTTTATTGCTTCTAAAATTTGTGGCCATGAAAGGATAAAATATTGATAGAGCACAAGAGCACAAGATCGAGTGCTTAAGTGAATTTTAAGCTCTGTTTTTGTCTTCAGATAATAAAGCTGTTACCAAGTGATTTTTTTTAAAAGGAGGCTTGAAATAAGTCTTCAGTGTTAGAGAGAGCTGTAATGTTTTCCCATGGTTTCATGTGGCCTTTCGCTCTCTACTTGTGTCTTATTTCAGTAGCACAACCATGTGAGTCCATATATGGTACTTTGACAGAAGTGGTTAGTATGTCAGTTCTTCTGATAAAATAATATTTCCTATTAAAATTTGAGTTCCCCTAATGTATGTGATAGAGTAAGAAGATGCAGACAAAAGTTCTGGCTCTATTTGTTGATCCCAAAATCTACTTATATTTGCTTTCTTATGAGGGGCCTATTTTAAACAATTTGATATAAAGTGGAATGGCTTAGGCAGTATCTATAAACATAAATTGGTTTGATAAGACAGAAAGTGTAATTTATCAAGTCTTTGGAAAAATAGTTTTTGTTGAATTTAGCTAGTTTAAAAGATTTTTTTAAAAAAGTAGTTTCATAACTAACTTTAGTTCATCTTTGAAGTCATTGTAGAATGTTTTGGTGTGATACACATAATTTTTAGGCCAAAAAATGTTACCTTCTAACCTTCTCTAAAAGCAATATATAGAATTTTTGAAAACTTTTATTTATTATTGTATGCATCACTTATTTCCAAAATGGAGTTGAGGTAACTATGCATTTGGGGCATATTTCCTTTTGGAACTAAAATATGTTATACAGAAAAGTAACATCTGTATTTTTAAGAAGAAGTATCATCTATATTTTTTAGAAACTTAATTGTATCTTGTTTTTGTTTGACCACAAACTTATACTGTAGATTATTTAAGAGATGTAGTCTGGCATTTCATACAAAACAGATTCATGCTTTATTCTGTGAATAATGCTGTAGGGCCTGCTAAGTGCCAGGTACTGTGTTAGATACTGGGGATACAATAAAGTCACAGTTTCTGCCTTTGAGCACTTCATAGTCTCATGGAAGAGATATGCAAAAAATTCTCAGTTGCCATTTAGTATAGTAAGTACCTGGAGGTGGCTATGGGAACACAATATTGTTTTGTGGTTTTTAAAGCCCAGTGGTTTAAAAAGCTGAAGAGGTTGATGGTTCAACTGACTGTTTAGGATAAATACAAAGCCTATTCAGGTGCAAAATCAAGTGGAGGCATTCTAGCAGGGTCATGATGTACATAAAGGTATGGAAGCACAGTAGCATGGTATAGTGACAGAAGTGCAAGTAATTCAGTCTGCCATGGAAGCTGGATAGGTCTGAGGGAGTGGTAAGAAAGACTGGAGAAGTATTTATTCATTCAACACATATATTGTGATGTAACATGGTTCCCATACATAAGTTTACATTCTTGTAGGGAAATAAATATAGTATATAATTGTTTCAGTGAAAATGTATAGTCAGATTGTACGTAATGGCAGACATTAAATGAGGAAACATCAACACAGCTTAATCATGGGAATGGGGGAGCTGGAGCACCTAGAGACCAGGTAGATATAATATTAGCCAGGTAAAAATTACGAGGATTTAATTAAGGCTATGGCAGTTGGGTTCCCTATATTTGAAATAAATTAAAAGGACTTGTGACTGATTGCTACCTGGGGTATATTCAGAATATTGGGTAGGATTTGAATAAGCAGAAAGGGGCATCTGGAATTCTCAGCTTAGGCAACTGGTTGAAAGTTGGCATTTACTAGTAATGGCATACAGAGAAGGAACATTCTGAGGGGGAGGGGCAGAGAGAAAGGGACTTAGATAATGAGATTAATTTTGGTCACTGATATCTGGTATCTCTTCAAATGGAGGGATTTTCAGTAGGTAGTCCATGGATAGTAGGGTATGGTATATGGATCTGAACCTAAGGAAAGAAGTCTGGGTTAGAGATACAGATTTTGGAATCATCAGTGTGTAAATAGAAGCTTAGATATGAAAGAAGAGTGCTAGGGCTGGAACCATGAAGATGCCAATATTCGAGAGTTGGATAGGAAAAGGTTATCCAGTGAAGAAAGCTGAGAGGAACTCTCAGAAAGATGAGAAGAAAATTAAGAGAATATGTTGTCATATTCTCATATGAAGTCATATAAAGTCAGGATTATCTAGGCAGATAGGGACTGAAACACTTCCTGTATTTCATGTTTTAATAGGCAGTTTACTTAATGTAATTTACTTAATGCAATTCTGAACTAAGGTAGTTCTTAAAACTTGTTTAAGCACTCTTTGGAGTAATTGTTTCTAAATTTATAGATTGGGGACTAATGAAATGATTTAATAGCAGGAATTCTATCTTTTCTTATTATAATATTTGTGCCAAATAAGATGATTCTGAGGAGGATTCTTGTTTGGTTTCATAATGTGTTGATTTGGAAGGTTCTGTACTGCTAATGCGTACTTAAACTTAGAAGTTGATGAATTTTCTTTCAAGAGCATTGTCCTGTAAGGTCACTTTTTTCAAGTGATCTTTTGCAGCAGTTATAGAAGACCTGCACTGTTTCTTTTAGGCAAAGTGGCAATGGTAACAGCCTAGGGCAAAGAAGACAAAAAACCCACAAAATCTAAAAACCCTTTATTTAACCATATGACAGGATATGATTCAATAGAAATATGCATTTTACTTATGAAAATGAAAATGACATGGTTTTAGAAATGCAGATTATCAATCCCTCTTATAAGGAAAACATACTGGGAATATAGCCTGCTGGTCAGAGCAGGGGTGAGCATTTGGCTGAGAGCCTAGCATAGTGTCTGAAACAGTAGGCATTTAATTAAAAAGTTGTTAAATAACCACACTGTTACAGGACCCCACCACTTACCCAAACTTGTTAACCTTTGGGTCGGGGATTTCCACACTATAGTCCCTTCAGTGGTCGCCAGAAAGATGTTACAAGGAAAGGGGTCCCAATCCAGACCCCAAGAGGGGGTTCTTATATCTTGCGCAAGAGGGAATTCAGGGCAAATCCATAAAGTGAAAGCGAGTTTTTTAAGGAAGTAGAGGAATGAAAGAATGGCTACTACATAGAGCAGCCCTGAGGGCTGCTGGTTGCCCATCTTTATGGTTATTTCTTGATGATATGCTAAACAAGGGGTGGATTATTCGTGCCTCCCCTTTTTAGACCATATAGGGTAACTTCCTGACTTTGCCATGGCATTTGTAAACTGTCATGGTGCTGGTGGGAGTGTAGCAGTGAGGACTACCAGAGGTCACTCTCGTGGCCATCTTGGTTTTGGTGGGTTTGGGCCAGCTTCTTTACTGCAGCCTGTTTTATTAGCAAGGTCTTTATGACCTGTATCTTATGCTGACCTTGTATCTCATCTGGTGACTTAGCATGCCTTAACCGTCTGGGAATGCAGCCCAGTAAATCTCAGCTTCATTTTACCCAGCTCGTATTCAAGATGGAGTTGCTCTGGTTTCACACGCCTCTGACAATACCAGAAGTTCATAGGCTTGCCATTGACCCATGCTTGTGTAGTTTGCTTCAAAGAGATTATCTGGGCAAATCAGATTCCCTGTCTCAGACATTTTAAAAACTTTTTTAATTGCAAAAAACATATACCACAAAATTTACCACCTGAACCATTTTTTATGTAGTTAGTTCAGTAGTGCTACATATATGGTATTCACGTGGTTATGAATACACATTTCCAGAACTTTTTTGTCTTTCAAAACCAAAAATCATAGTCATTAAATAACAACTCCCAGTTTCCCCCTTCTCCAGGCCCTGGTGAGCACTGTTCTAGTTTTTGTTTCTATGAATTTGACTGCTTTAGATACCTCATATAAGTGAAATCATACAATATTTGTCCTTTTTTGACTAGCTTACTTCACTTAGCATAATGTACTCAAGGTTCATGTTGTATCATGTGACAGGATTTCCTTTTTTTTTTATTTAATTTTTTTTTTATTTATTGAGACAGTGTCTAGCTCTGTCACCCAGGCTGGAGTGCAGTGACGTGATATTGGCTCACTACAACCTCTGCATCCTGGGTTCAAGTGATTCTCATGCCTCAGCCTCCTGAGTAGCTGGGACTACAGGCACACACCACCATGCCCGGCTAACTTTTGTATTTTTAGTGTAGACAGGGTTTCACCATTTTGGGCAGGCTAGTCTCGAACTCCTGACCTCAGGTGATCTGGCCGCCTCGGCCTCTCAAAGTGCTGGGATTACAGGCCTGAGCTACCTCACTGGCCTCCTTTTTTTTAAAGACCAAAGAATATTCAGCAGGTGCAAAAGGTATGTATTTCATTTTGCTTATCTATTCATCTCTCAGTGGTCACTTGGGTTGTTCCCACCTCTTGCCTAATGTGAATAGTAGTGCTGTGAACAGTGGATGTACACTTATCTTAAGATCCTTTATTCAGCTCTTTTGGGTATATATGCAGATGTTGGATTTCTGGATTACAAGTTAGTTCTATTTTTAATTTTTTTTGCCTTAGAAATTTAACTCAGAAGAAACAGAAGCAAAGTTAGCATCGGCAAGATCTGATACTGAGAGATAGTGATATGGAAAAGGGTGGGTAAGGTGAAGGGCCATGTGCAAACTGAAGTTATAAAGTAGAAGAGTACAACTATAAGATACGGGAAGACACAGAATGGTGTAGAATGAATAAAATAGATGCGAGGGTAGATACATAACAAGGAGAAAGAACAATAAACTTGAGCAAGTGGCTGGGGTCTCTTATAGTCTTCATTTACTGACCTCTTTCATACTTGACCACTTTTTCCTGAGTTCCATGGACACATGCACACACACACATGCACACACACACAGGCACACACACAGGCACACACACACACATGCGCTGCACGCACGCGCGCGCGCGCGCACACACACACACACACACACACACACACACACACACTATTCAGTATGTCCCCTCATCCTGTGGTAAGTTTTTTTTTTTTTTTTTGAGATAGAGTCTCTCTCCATTGCCCAGGCTGGAGTGCAGTGGCGCGATCTCGCTCACTGCAAGCTCTGCCTCCTGGGTTCACTCCATTCTCCTGCCTCAGCCTCCCAAGTAGCTGGGACTACAGGCGCCTGCCACCATGCCCGGCTAATTTTTTGTATATTTTTTTTTTAGTAGAGACGGGGTTTCACCATGTTGGCCAGGATGGTCTCGATCTCCTGACCTCATGATCTGCCCTCCTCGGCCTCCCAAAGTGCTGGAATTACAGGTGTGAGCTACCGCGCCTGGTGTGGTAAATTTTGCGTAAATATTTCTGGCGACTAACATGTTGCTGATTAAAACAGTAGTAATCAGGCTGGGCACGGTGGCTCAGGCCTGTAATACCAGCACTTTGGGAGGCCGCAGCGGGCAGATCACAAAGTCAAGAGATGGAGACCATCCTGGCCAACATGGTGAAACCCCATCTCTACTAAAATTAGAAAAATTAGCTGGGAATGGTGGCGAGTGCCTGTAATCTCAGCTACTCAGGAGGCTGAGGCAGGAGAATCGCTTGAACCTGGGAGGCAGAGGTTGCAGCGAGCTGAGATTGCACCACTGCAGTCCAGCCTGGTGACAGAGAGAGACTTCATCTAAAAAAAAAACACACACACACACAGTAGTAATCAGCTGAAAGTGCTGCAGTAAATCTTGCTGAAACTACCTGCTGAAGCATTTTATCATAATTTAAAAGTATATCTTAATAGAGGTGAGCCTAGTCAGGAACCTTTTTTTTTTTTCAGCCTCATGTTTTACATGTGAATGAAGAATCAATGAATCTTCAAGTCTCAGGATAAAGGAATGAGAATATTGAAGCAGAAACTGCAAATAAAAGACAATGCATACTTTTCTGTGTCCATTTCTCCTTCATAAAGGAATTAAGAGAATTCTTCCTACAAGGATTTGTAGATATTTGGGAATCTTTCCTCTTGTATTTGAAATTATAGTTGATGGTACAAAACAGAAACCGTAGCTTAGCCATCTCACCACTTTTTTAGAATCTGTTGCCTACTTTGTAATTAGATAGCTAATTAATAATGATAATTAGCTAATTGGATGGCCTACAGCTAGTCTTGATTTCTTATACTTAATTAAGTAGGACAGAGGCAGTACGTAGAGGAAGCTTTCTAAGCACTTACCATGAGAAAAGATCTAGATTTAGACTAAGTGGTACCATAAGTATGAGGCAATAGTAGGGAAATTGTTCAGATAATATGTTAGCTATCTATTTTAATCTTTATTGAGCCTAAAGTCTTTAGATTTAATCTTGTTCCAAATTAACATGTTTCCTGAGTAGCTATGTGAATTTTCTGTTACTTATTTTTGATAATGAAAAGATTAAATTCTTGTTCTGGTTCTTATATATCTCCTAAGTTCCCATTCTTTGCCACTACATAAACAAAACATAAGGGCAAGTCCCTCATATTGAAAATATATAATCTTCTCTGAATCTTCTTCCTCATCAGTCAGGATAAGGTTTCTTAGGGTTTGCCTGGCACACTTAGCTAAAATAATAATAGTATTTATAGTACACTGGCAACTGCTGTTTTTCCTACTTCTTCCCTGAGACTGTATATATGCTGCTAAAGAAATGTGATTTTTATAATAAATGAGTATCCCTTTTTTTTTTTTTTTTGAGACAGAGTCTCGCTCTGTTGCCCAGGCAGGAGTGCAGTGGTGCAATCTCGGCTCACTGCAACCTTCGCCTCCCAGGTTCAAGCGCTTCTCCTGTCTCAGCCTCCCGAGTAGCTGGGATTACAGGTGTGCACCACCACACCTGGCTAATTTTTGAGACGGGTTTTCACTGTGTTACCCAGGATGGTCTCAATCTCCGGACCATGTGATCTGTGCCCGCCTGAGCCTCGCAAAATGCTGGGATTATAGGCATGAGCCACCGCACCCAGCCCCCGATATTTTTTTTAAATAGGAAAACCTCCCTAATTTTACAATAGAAATCAATATAGTTATTTATAATTGAAACTTATAACCAGTAACAACAAAAATACTATTTTATTGTATTAGTATATCTATTTTATCTGTGAGAACAACTAAAATTAGAAAATACGCGGATTCCACCTCTGTAAACTGGTTAGGCTAGTGTTATTTTACTAATTTTTAAATTTAGTTTTTTAAATTGACAGAAAATTGTGTATATTTATGGTGCTTATAATGATGTTTTGATATTTTTATACATTGTAGACTGACTAAATCAAGCTAATTAACATAGGTAATACCTCACATATATGTCATTCTTTGTGGTGTGAACGCTTAAATCTGTCTTAGCAATTTTCAAGTATACAATATATTATTATTAATTGTACTCATAGTGATGCACAGTAGATGACTTGAACTTATTTCTTATGCCTCACCGAAATTTTATGTCCTTCGACCAACATCTCCCAACTGTCCCCCTTACTCCCAGCCCCAGGTAACCATCATCCTACTCCCTGCTTCTGTGAGTTCAACTTTAGATTCCGTGTATAAATGAGAAGATGCAGTTCTTTTTTCACTCCAATTTTTTAAAATGTTACTTAAAATCATATTTTCTTTAACATACAGTTTTTCAATTTTGTAGGAGTTAACCTAAGTAATCAGACTATGTGAAATCCTCTGAGGTTGACTAAAAGGTACTCTGCGATTATTTAATAGATAGTGTCCTTAGACTAAATTAAATTTTTCAGGAAAATTATAATATTCTTCAAAGTCCTGTTGGCTCCTTCTCTCATTTCACTTAATTATGGTGAATCTGGCCAATCCATATATATAGTTTATATAGAATGTCTCTTTACAATAACTGTATGCAATAATAACTATGTGGCTGTTGGCTTATTCCTCTAACTGCATGAATTTTTCATGAATTCTTTGAGATTCATGAAAAAAAAGAATAGTTCTTTAAAAATTACTGCATCCATTTTCATTGTATACTAAGTACTATACAGGCCTACCTCATTTTATGCTTTTCACCTTATTGCACTTTATAGATAACTGCATTTTATTACAAATTGAAGCTTTGTGGCAACTGTGTCAAGGAAGTCTATTGGCACCATTTTTTTTAACAGCTTGTGCTCAATTCCTGTTTCTATCACATTTTGGTAATTCTCACAATATTTCAAACCTTTTCATTATTATTATATCTTTTATGGTGATCTGTGATCGGTGATTCTTAATGATACTATTGTAATTGTTTTGGGACGCCATGAACCATGCTCATATAATATAGCAAACTTAATTGGTAAATATTGTGTTCTGACTACTCCACCAACTGGCTGCTTTTTTATCTCTTTCTCTCTAATTGTGTTTTCCTGTTCCCTGAGACACAACAATATTGAAATTAGGCCAGTTAATAACCTAATTAATTGGCTTGATTCAATTAGGCCTCTAACTAATGATGATGGTCTCTAACTATTTAAGTGAAAGGAAGAGTTTCACATCTCTCACTTTAACTCAACAGCCAGAAAGAATTAAGCTTAATGAAGAAGGCATGTTGAAAGCCAAGATATGCTGAAAACTAGGCCTCTTGCTCCAAACAGCGAAGTTGTGAATATAAGGGAAAAGTTCCTGACGGAAATTAAACGTGCTACTCTAGTGAACACATGAATAATAAGAAAGCAATACAGCCTTATTACTGATATGGAGAAAGTTTGAGTAGCCTAGATGGAAGATTAAACCAGCTACAACATTCCCTTAAGCCAAAGCCTAATCCACAGTATGGTCCTAATTCTCTTCAATATTAGGAAGGCTGAGAGAGGTGAGGAAGCTACAGAAGAAAAGCTTGAAACTAGCCGAGGTTGGTTCATGAGGTTTCAGTGAAGAAGCCATCTGCATAACATAAAAGAGCCAGGTGAAGCAGCAAGTGCTGATGGAGGAGCTGTAGGAAGTTACCCAGAAGATCTGGCTAAAATAGTTGATGAGGGTAGATACACCAAGCAACACATTTTCAATGTAGACAAAAAGCCTTCTACTGGAAGATGCCAGCTAAGATTAGAGAGGAGAAGTCAATGCCTGGCTTGAAAGCTTCACAGGACAGGCTGGCTCTTTTGTTAGGGGCTGATGCAGCTAGTGACTTCAAGTTGAAGGCAGCCCTCACTATTCTAATAATCCTAGGGTCCTTAAGAATTATGCTAAATTTATTCTGCCCATGTGCTATAAATGGAAGAACAAAGCCTGGATGACAGCACATCTGTTTAGAGCATGGGTTCCTGAATATTTTAATCCCACTGTAAAGACCTACTGCTCAGAGAAAAAGATTTATTTCAAAACACTATGCTTGTTGACAATGGACATAGTCACCCAAGAGCTTTGATGGAGATGTACAAGGAGGTAACACAACATGTATTCTGCAGCCCATGGATCAAGGAATAATTTTGACTTCCAAGTCTTATACATTTCTTTAGGCATTAGCTGCCATAAATAGTGGCAAATGATCTGATGGATCTAGGCAAAGCAAATTGAAAATCTTCTGGAAATAACTTACCATTCTAGATGTTACTGAGAATATTTGTGATTCACATGAAAAGGTCAAAATATGAACATTAACATTAGTTTGGAAGAAGTTGATTCCAAGCCTCATGAATAACTTTGAGGGTCTGAAGGCTTCATTGGAGGGAGTAACTGCAGATGTAGTGGAAACAGCAAGATAACTACCATTAGAAATGGAGCCTGAAGGTCAGGTGCATTTTGGGAGCCTGAGGTGGAAGAATCTCTTGATCCCAGGAGCTCAAGACCAGCCTGGGCAACATAACAAGACCCCCATCTCTACAAAAGAAATTCAAAAAAATTAACTGAGTGTGGTGATGCACATCTGTAGTCCCATCTACTTGGGAGGCTGAGGTGGGAGGATTGCTTAAGCCTAGGTGGCGGCGGTTCCAGTGAGCCATGATCATGCCATTGCACTTCAGCATGGGCTACAGAGAGAGACCCTATCTCAAAAAAACAAAAAGAAATGGAGCCTGAAGATGCGACCAAATTGCAGCAATCTCATTATAAAACTTGAACAGGTGAAGAGTTGCTTCTCATAAATGAGCTAAGAAAGTAGTTTTTAGTGTGTGAAGGTGCTGTGAACATTCTTGAAATGACAACAAAGAATTTAGAATATTGCATCATCTTAGTTGATAAAAGAAGACTGACTCCAATTTTAAAAGAACTTCTACTGTCAGCAAAATGCTATTAAGTGGCATTGCATGCTACAGAGAATATTTTTCATGAAAGGAATATTGAATAAATGAGGTAAACTTCAGTGTTATTTTAAGAAATTGCTTCAGCCACCTCAGCCTTTAGTAACTACCACCTTAATCTGTCAGTAGCCGTCATCATTAAGGTGAGATACTCTGCCTCCAAAAAAAATTACAACTTGTTGAAGGATCAGGGGATTGTTAGCAATTTTTAGCAGTAAAATATTTTTTTGTGAGGATATGTACATTGTTCTTTAGACATAATGCTATTACACACTTAATAGACTACAGTAGAGTGTGAGCATAATATATGCACTGAGAAACCAAAACATTGTATGACTGACTCACTTTATTGTGATACTCACTTTATTGCTGTGGTCTGGAACCAGACCCACAATGTATCTGGGATATGCCTGTACTTATTTTAGATATAATTGCTAAAACTTTAAAACTTTATCTCAAAGTTGTATTTTCCTATTTATAAATTAGAGCAAAGAGGTATTACACACAAAACTTGCATAAGAAATAACTGAGATACTGATAGTTTCAGTTATTCCTGTATCTTTGGACTATTCCTCCAATGGTTGAATTTCCTTTTTTTTTTTAAATTGGGGCTGCTTGAAAAACATACATGTTCTTTAGCAATTTTGAATATTATTCTTTGGCAGCATTGTTTTAGAAAATTGTTTTCATAGAATTTCTTCTTAGTATCCATGGACCTATATTGAGGGAGGTGGTTGGGGGAGAAATATGTCAGCGCTGTCAACTACCAGTAGATGGTATTAGTAGTTGCTTCTATAGTTAAAAATCGACACATGTGATTAAGTAGACTTAATGATGACCCTTTGGAAATGAATCTGTAAGTAGAAGAATCTCTATACTGTGTCAGAACCAGTAATGATACCCACTTCGTGTTGACTGTCAGGAAGCTTAGAACCAAATTTGTGACCCATGTGGTAACAATTGTATATATTTATTTCTATACACTAATCTTGGCCCTCAGTTATTTATTTTGTCATATTATGGCATATTTCTTTTCAGGGCCCACAAATCTTTGATGGCTTTGGTTAGCACAAGGACATTACCTGTCTTGATCATCTTGATCACTCATGTAGCTGAGTACCTACCACATAGGTGCTCAGTTAATATTTGTGCAATTTATTTCTGCAGTGGCCTTTGATATTTATTTTAAAGATAGTGGAGGGGCGTCCGTTTTAGCTTTACTGAGGAAAAGAATCCAAGGCAGATTAGTTCTAAAATTGATTCGACTCTAGCAGCCTACTTTCTGATATAAGCATGTGATCTTAGAGAAGATAATAATGACTAAAGGGAATGTAATATAGCTTTGGGGAATATAGGGCAATCCTAATTTGCCTCTTATCATAGCCCAGAGGTTATGAGCTCTGGCTAAATATGATAAGCAAGGTACTTTAGGGAATAAAGAGAGACTGAGGAATGAGAAGAAATCTCTTTCTGCCTTCACTGTTCTACCTTAGTATTTAGGTAGCCACTTCACATTTAAGATAATAAAAGGGTAAAAGTTGAGTCAAAGTTACTGTCAGCCAGTTTGTAAAATCTAGTTGAACAATAATCTCATCAATTTAAAAATTTTATCATTTCTCTGAGGAAATTTAATGAAAGGCATTGAGAAGTGTTCCTGACTTTAAGAAACTTATTGTGAATGAAGAGTTGCCTTGTGTTGAGAGGGAATTGTCTCTGAGGAAATTTAATGAAAGGCATTGAGAAGTGTTCCTGACTTTGAGAAACTTATTTTGAATGAAGATTTGCCTTGTGTTGAGAGGGAATTGTCTAAGGCAGATATGGAATTCAAATTTGAAACTTTTCTGTTGACCAGGTTCAGGATTATCGGTAGCATGGAATTATCATGACTCACTGAACTCCATTTAACCTGAAGTTATAGTCATTTGAAACTTGCTGATATTCCCCCAGAGTCATATTGTACTCGCCATTGAACGCAGAGTTCTCTAACCTTGGCTTACAGACGGAAAAACCCAGTCTGTTTCATAACCTGCAATCTGGGTTTTAAATATTGTTTTCAGAGTAGGACAGAAGGGTGAGACCTAAGCCAAATAAAGGAACATGTTTCTAGATTGTCTTTGCCACATGCTGCTTTAATCATGGGGTTTGGAGCCTGTCAGATCAGAGTTGGAATCTTGGTATTATCACTTCCTTGAGAGAGAGTACAATTTCTCTGTTTTTTCTGAGCCTCTGTTTATTTACTTTAAAAAATGAAAATTACAATGCCTGTCTTGTTTGGGTGGTTGTGAAAATTAGATAAGCAGTGTAAAAACATCTACCATGAACCTAATATGTATAGATTCTTAGTCAATATAACTTTACGCCCATCCATACTACTTTTCTCTGTTAGCTTTGTAATGGCTGCTTGCTTTATCCTTACTCGTACATGACTGTACAAGGTTGGAAAGTGCTAGATAAATGTGTCTTATGTATATTAAGACATGCTCAAGTTATGGAAAATGGATAGGTTGTCTTGGATTCAATTCCTTACTATCAGATCTAAGCATGAAGTGTTTTTTTTAAGGTTGATATTTGGCATTTCGATATCAGTGTTTTCTCTGTTGCAACTGGACAGAGAGAACAACCTATGTAGGTTATTTGGATTTTTAAAAAAATTATTTTAATGAAATTTCCCCTGGCATTCGAGTAGATATACAGATTTAATTCTTTGAAACTACAGCATCAGTGGCATTATTTTTTGTGGCATATGTAAAGCAAGAATTTAGCAATTTTAAGCTTCCTAGTATTTAGCTAATAACTTCACATACTGGAGCACATCTTTATCCGTTGTGTCAAAATATTAGATATTTTCTAAGGTAATAGTTTTACTAACGTGGATACTTCCTTTGATTTTGTTCTCTGTTCTTGAAATTGTTTGTGCTTATGGAATTTATTTTGTTATATTTAAAAAAGTAAAGCTGACTTTATAATATGGATGACTTTGAATTTTACTTCTTAGCCCTTATACTTTCTATGCAGGATGTATTTTTAAAAAGAAATACAATATTTACAGGAACAAATTTATAGAGTAGGGAGTATAAATGGGCATTTTAAAAGTTATTTATATACATCTTAACTGCCATGACTTTTAGCCAAGCCAGTATTTTCAAGAAAGCGCTGTCTATCCTAATTGCACAAATATTTTTGCAGACTTTTCCATTAAGCAGTGAATGAAGCCCTGAAAGTCACTGTAGCCAATGTGAAGGCAGAGGATTTGAGAGTAGTAATGGATTTTTAGAAATGCTTAGGGTGCGCTCCTGTAACAGGGCATTTGCTTTTAGGGCAGTTTGGCCCAACAATTGAACAAATTAGTTATGTTTGAAAATTTATAAAGCAAAAGCATAGATAATCATAATATAATTTTTGCTAGAACATATGTTAAGTTGGCTTATTAGATCAGATCGTTTTTTAAAATTACAGTATGAAAAAGTTATTCAACTTATTTTAAAAATTCTTCTTTGCAAAGAAATTGATACCTTGATACCCATGGCATTAAGACAGCTTTTTACTTCTTTGTGGGCTGGCATAATGGACAGACAGTACTTTAGCCTTGGAAATCAGGAGTATTGACGTGTGACATTTTAGATGAGTATGTGTGTATGTGAACAGGTACATGTGGATGCAAGCATGTGTGTAGAAGATCACGTATACATTCATATATGTGAGAGTGCATTTGGGTTAGAAGTGATATGAAAAAAAGTGGAGTATTGTATCTTAGTAAACTTTTACTTCATTAATCTCCTTCAAGTTGTTGATCATTAATAATTGGATATTCTTTTGTAGAATGGCTTTGGAACTTGGCAGTATTCTGTAATCCAGTTTTACAAGATGACATGGGGAGATGACCAGGGAATTTACTCATATTTTTTTTAGGCCGAGTGATGTTGATAGACCACAGTTTGGCAAAGTAGACAGATCTGGTTTCAGATCTTAGTTTTGCTACTTACTAGCTGTGTGAATCTTGGAGATATATTTGGCTCTTTTGAAACCTCAGTTTCCTCATATATAGAATAGGTGAACAATGTCTGTCTTATTGGATTCCAGAAAGAATTAAGTAGGATAAAGTTTGCAAAGTACTTATTCACATTACCTGGTCACATAGTAAACAGTCAGTTAATGCAAATTCTCTTTTTGGGTGTGTTTTTAAAAAAATAAATAATATTTTACAACTTAAGCCTTTTTTGAATATTTGAAGTAAAATGCAAATTTATTTTTACATTAGCTTTTGGAGAGTATTAGTGCTTTCTGCATCTTGGGAGAAATCTTATTCTTTTATTTAGTTGTATAAACATATAAGCAAAAGTAGGCATAATAGCTGATTATTGTTTTAAAAAAAAACTTCCGAATGTTTATAGTGAACTTCTATAAAATGAAAATTACTCTGTGCAACTTATGTGGCATAATTTACAAATCAGTTCAATTTGGGGAAAATATAATTTATATCAAATAATATACCACCAATTTGGGGGAAATTATATTACTATAGTGTAATATAATTATAGTGTGTTATTAACTATAGTGTGTCACTAAGATAAACTAAAAAGCCCATTAGTTAGCCAGTATTGTCATGTTTCTGAGGTTAATTGGCTGCATTCAGTTATAGGTTATGAACGGTACCACTTGAATGATCCACCAAGCTATCAGGCAGAAAGACCAATAGTTCACAAGACTAATTGACCCTGTCAGTATAATAGAAACACTTACAAATAAAATTCTCTTTGCAAACAACATTGCGAATGAAAACCCCAGAAGAAACTGTTATGTCCTGTAACTGTCCTGGAATGCTATGATTCAGTTAGCAGACTGTGGGTGGAGGTGGGTCATGGTGGGTGGGAGTTGGGGGGAAGGAAATGCAAAGGATAGAAAGGAGAATTTTGGAGGGAAATTAATCAGACAAAACGTTAGAGAGAAACACACATTTTTTGAAATGATTTTAACCTTCTTGAATCTCTAAAAAGTACTGTCTTTAAATTTTTCATTTTTTTACCCTTGTTCTGTATCTTAAGCCCTTTTGTTAGATTTGATAGTCATTGTTGCATTGAGCTCTTTTCTGAAAGGTAAGAACGTATTTTTGTCAAACACATTGCTATAATGAGTATGATGTGTGGCTGCCATTCTTCAGTCTTTCTTCATTTACATGTATCATCAATATAATGCAAATACTGTCAAGGGCAGCATTATCTCCTTGAATCTATTTTTTGTTTTGTTTTTTAGTATAGGTTTGTATTTGTGCTGGTGCAGGAGGAAGGGGGAAAGTGTTGGGAAGAAACATAGAAAGAGAGAAAGAACATTTACTTTCTAACAAATTTTGACAATTTGTTTTTCTCTTTTTTTGGTAATGATCAAAATTATATATTAAAGAACTTCCCAAAGCAATATATCAGCTTTTATTAAAGAAAGCAAGTATTTTCAAATGCTTTAAGAAACTTGGTGAACTCTAGTATAAGGGTTTGGTTTTCAAAGGGAAAAAAAAGAATTTTATCTGGAAACATTTTAGGTAATATGGATCCTCCAGTTAATCTATGGGAAATTATGCAGCAGATATCAGCCTTCATTTGTAATACTGTAGGAGGGTGATAACTTTCCTGTTGCATTTTCTTTTTGTAAAAGACATCTTTTACTTTGTCAGAAAACAACAGTCAAGTTGTAAATGGTCTTCAAAAATAGTAATAAAAAAAGATTTATAATGGAAAGAATTGATGGTATATTTCACCTAAAGTAAGAAAGACAATGTGTAATAAGGGATTTTGCGGTTTTACAGCTCAGTGCATGTGTTTGAAAGCTGTTCTCTCAGCAACGTGGGTGGCAGGTTATGCTACCATATAATGTATTGTAGTTGGCTCTCCACACTTGTCAGGGTTAGTGTTCAACCATTCGGAAAATTTTCCCATTGTTCTATCATGTGAACCAAGACTAGTGTAGAATTCCCAATAACTTACAAAAAAAGGATTAATTAGAAAGTTTGAAATTTGATTACTTATTGTTTTAATACAGTACTATGTATTTTAGTATTTTATCTATAATTAGAATTGTTTTTTAGTCAAAATAATGTATCAAAATCAAAACTTCATCTTATTTTTTAATAGATTTTACAGAAATTTGTATACTGAATCCTGCCTCTTTTTTTTGTATTAACACTGTTTCCATCTTAAGCATTTTGCTTTAGATGGACCATAGCTCTTGGCAGCTAGTGCATTTTTAGCAAATAATACTGTTTCTAGTAAGAGTTGCAGAGAAAAAAAAAAACTTTGTGTGAGGTCCTTGTAAACTGAACCTTTGGAACATTACTTTATTTCTTTTTTCCCCTCTTTTGTGCTTCTTCGCTATTTGTGTAATGGTTATAAATTACATCGTTTGAAAAGAAGAATTAAAAACACTTTATTTTGTTTTTTTTTTAGACAATTTTTTCTTTACCTGTTATTTTAAAGATGTACAGAGAAATAAGCAGTTAGGGTATTGAAATTCCATTGTGCCAGCACCTCCAGAGCATAATCCAAAAAAAACAGAAAACCGCCTGCTGGGTTGTCTGCAGTATGCTTGTGTGAACATCAGTGTCTGCTGTTCACACATCATTTTTTTTTTACTGAAAGTTCCTCTTGGAATAAAGACTCTGTGTTTTCTGAGTGTAGTGAAACATTTGTTGGTTCTTATATTTTTCAATTTGTGAGGGATTCTGTTTATAGGATAAGTTGTCATGGCTATATGTTGCACTAATGTTATTGGCACATCAAAAAAGTAGAGAAAAGGCTTGTGTATTTATATACTATAAAATAATGAAAAAATGAAATTAGAAAGTATTGAAGGTGAGAAATTTTGTTGAAGATATATGTGAAGAAGGATTGATTTAAATATTGATGTTTGCCCTTTAAAATCTATTTTATTTATAAAGTATATCTTGGCTGGATTATACATCTGAAAATATCATAAATGTCTTGTATTTCACTTGGAATTCAGATTCTTAAGTATGTTGGCTTCTTGATAGTATTGTTATGAGTTAGTCAAATTTTTCAACTGACCCTACATAATCAAGGAACGTTCAGGAAGTATATTTATGGGTGCTTAGAATAATTTTTAATTTTTGATTATGTTTCATATCATTTATTTTTACTCTTATGCTACTGAGTATCACGTTAGATACAGGCAGCAAACTTGTGAAATGTAGTCTAGTGTGTTGGCAGTCTCAACCTTCATTCAGATTCATACAGCATCAAAACAAAAAATTATTTACCAGATAATAGGGAACTTAAGGTTAAAATTTGGTAAAATGGATGTTGTGATCCACAGTCTCCCCAAAGGTTTATTGGAATTATTCAACATTTTTTGTTTTTAACTTTCTATATAGAAGTTAATAAAGGAATAAATATACATATCTGAAACTGGGTTTTTACCATTTTGACTATTTTTTATAAAGATATAATTTCAGGTTTGTTTGTCTCTGAATTTCACTCTGAGTTTCTTGATCAAAATTCAGATGCACGTTTACATTTCATAATTGTTGTATGAATCTTTTAATTATTGTTTCTTGTGGTTATTTAGGATAATATTGCTGTATATCTGGAACCAGTTATTAAATTTTAGTCAATAGATCCAATAGTCAATGAATGATTCTTGCTCCTCAATTTGCTTCTTATTAGTTGTCTTATTCTCTCACTGAATCCAGAATATGGAAGAGATTGTCATCTAAGCAAGACATATCTTGCATATGCCTTCTAGAAGGGGAAGTGAAAGCACCAAGTCCTTAATGTGTCAGTTTTCTAAGGGCCTACGATGTCTGAGTTTCTTGATTGCCAAGAAGCCTAATTCTTCACAGGGCAACCTGGCATACAGCCATTTCCACACTGGGCTGTTCGTTGGTACTTGTGAATAGAACAAAAACGGTCTTTGCTTTTTCTCCTCAGTTATCAATGATTATCATTTTTGGAAACAAGTTAAAACATTTTTCTCAAAATGATGATTATTCATGTCAAGATGAAGTCAAACTTCATGCTATCTAAGCTGTAAGTAATAGAGTTAGTTCAGTATTTTAAAAATTCATGTAAAATAAAATTTGTTACTTCTCACTCCAAAATATTCATTTTGTAAAATTTCACCTTAACTATTGTTAGACAGATGTTCTAGATTTAGCTAAACACTTTTGAAAGTAAATTATGAGGTGGGTTTTTGGCTAATTTTTATACTTCTATAAGTAAAATCTGTTATATATGAATTATGGGACCACTAGAAGTCATAGATCCTACAAGCAAAGTGTTTGTGGGTCATTGGGTTGGGGAGCTACTTCAGTTGTTTTTTTTAATATAACTGGAGGTGTATATTGGATTTTTACCTCTGCGTAGATCTGTAGTAAGAACTTTGTTCCCATTGTCATGCATTATTTCTGTGCATATTAACTAATAATATAAAACAATAAGTATTATGAGACTTTCACCCAGTTGAATTAGTTTCTTCCTTCTCAGTCCCCTTCAAAGTTCCACATCTCTTTATAGCATATGTAGAATTATGGCTTTTTGAGTTGTCGGTATTTATTCACTTGTACTTATCTTAGAATATGTTCTTTTATTTTTATTCTAGGCATACATACATACTTTAAGGTTATTACTTCGGTGATGTTCAGGATTTTGGTTGGGTAATTACTTTCAAATCCTGGCTAGCTAGGTCACTAGCTAGGTGACCCTTGGGCAGATTGTATAACCTTTCTATGAACTTCAGTTACCTATAAATTAACTATAAATTGGAGATATGATGTTGGGATGATTGCAACAAATGTTTTAAGTGCCTGGAACATACTAGCAGCTCAGTGAATGGTAGCTGAAAGGAGCAAAGCCATTAAAATTTGTTATGTTTTTATAGGTCTTAAAAGCATACAATAGGCTGGGCATGGTGGCCCACGCCTGTAATCCCAGCACTTTGGGAGGCCAAGGCGGGTGGATCACCTGAGGTCAGGAGTTCGAGACCAGCCTGACCAACATGGAGAAACCCCGTCTCTATTAACAATACAAAATTAGCTGGGTGTGGTGGCACATGCCTGTATCCTAGCTACTCAGGAGGCTGAGGCAGGAGAATCGTTTGAACCTGGGAGGCAGAGGTGCGGTGAGCCCAGATCGTGCCATTGTACTCCAGCCCGGGCATCAAGAGCAAAACTCCGTCTCAAAACACACACACACACACACACACACACACACACACATACACACACACTAAAACAAAAGCATACAATAGTTTGCTTTTCTATATAATCTCATGAAATTAAGAGTTTTCATTACATCTAACTGTTTATTTCTTTGGGTTGTTAAAGATCCAAGAGCATGGGCTTTGGAGTCATCTGCTGGAGTTTGAATTCTTGCTCTGCCATTTAACCATGAACCTTGGAATGTTAGCCTCAGATTTCTAGTATCTAAAGTGAAGATTAAAAGAATGTACCTTGGCTGAGTACAGTGACTTACGCCTGTAATTCCAGCACTTTGGGAAGTCATGGCAGGCAGATCACAAGGTCAAGAGATCGAGACCATCCTGGCCAACATGGTGAAACCACGTCTCTACTGAAAAATACAAAAATTAGGTGGGTGTGGTGGTGCGTGCCTGTAGTCCTAGCTACTCAGGAGGCTAAGGCAGGAGAATTGCTTGAATCCGGGAGGTGGAGGTTGCAGTGCTCCAAGATCTAGCCACTGCACTCCAGCCAGGCGACAGAGCGAGACTGTGTTTCAAACAAAAAAAAAAGAGTATACCTCATAGGGCTATTGCAAGGCTGGAAAAAAATCAATACATCTATAGTTCTTACAACTGTGCTTGCCAAAGAAAAAGTGCTTCCAAAATGTTTATTGTTATTTATTATTATCTCATAGAAAAGGAAAAATCTAAAGCAAGAAAACTTGAATGGAGTCAGCCTTAATCATGTCTCTTTCATCCACTCCTATATAATTCACACTACTTTTCTTCCCAATCTCTTTCAGAATTCCACATTTCCACAAAGCATATTTAGATTATATTGAAGTCAGAATTGTGCATCTTATTCATTACCTACATAGGATTGCGATAACCTTGCAGTAAGAATCGCTTAGCTGTGGAATTCTAGTTTGAAAATAATTTTCCTTAGAATTTTAAACACATTTTCCACTTCCTCATTGTTTTTATTGTAAATGTTGAGAAATACAATGCCACTTTTGATTTCTGATGCTTTGCATGTGACCTATTTTTCTCTGTAGAAAGTGATGTCTCGTCATCAGAAGTATCTGTTGAATTTGTTGCCTGCTTCTTATAGGTTTTGCCTTAGTTAGCCTTTTTTTTTTTTTTTTTTTTTTTTTTTTTTGAGACATTGTTTTTATTGTAAATGTTGAGAAATACAATGCCACTTTTGATTTCTGATGCTTTGCATGTGACCTATTTTTCTCTGTAGAAAGTGATGTCTCGTCATCAGAAGTATCTGTTGAATTTGTTGCCTGCTTCTTATAGGTTTTGCCTTAGTTAGCCTTTTTTTTTTTTTTTTTTTTTTTTTTTTGAGACAGAGTCTCACTCTGTCTCCCAGGCTGGAGTGCAGTGGTGCGATCTTGGCTCACTGCAACCTTGGCCTCCCAGGTTAAAGCGATTCTCCTGCCTCAGCCTCTTGAGTAGCTGAGATTACAGGCATTCACCACCACACCCAGCTAATTTTTACTATTTTTAATAGAGACAGGGTTGCATCATGTTAGGCTGGTCTCGAACTCCTGACCTCAAATGATCCTCCTGCCTTGGCCTCCCAAAATGCTGGGATTACAGGCATGAGCCATTGCGCCTGGCTGCCTTAGCTTTTTTCTTCTTTTTTTTCTTTGAGACGGAGTCTCACTCTGTCATCCAGGGTGGAGTGTAGTGGCACCATCTCGGCACTCTGCAACTTCTGCCTCCTGGGTTCAAGCAGTTCTCCTGCCTCAGTCTCCCCAGTAGCTGGGATTACAGGCGTGCACCACCATGCCTGGCTAATTTTTGTATTTTTAATAGAGACGGGGTTTTGCCATGTTGGCCAGGCTGGTCTTGAACTCCTGACTTCAGGCAATCCACCTACCTTGGCCTCCCAAAGTGCGAGGATTATAGACATGAACCACCATGCCCGGCCCTAGTTAGCTTTTTAACCGTCCTTTTGAATGACCTTTTATCTATTATTTATTTTTATTTTGTAGAGATAGGGTCTCACTATGTTGCCAGGCTTGTCTGGAACTTCTGGCCTCAAGCTATCCTCCCCTTTACGCCTCCTAAAATGTTGAGATTACAGGCGTGAACCACCAGGCCCAGTCATAAAATGGCCTTTTAAAGGCTTCATTGTTATCAGTTGTTTAAAAGGTAGGTTGGTGTCCATGTATCTTTCTGCTTCAACTGGATTTTTTTTTTTTTTTTTTTTTTGAGACAGGGTTTTGCTCTGTCACCCATGCTTGAGTGCAGTAGCGCAATCATGGTTCACTGGGGCCTAGACCTTCTAGGTTCAATCGATCCTCCTGCCTCAGCCTCCTGAGTAGCTGAGACTACTGGCATATGCTACCATGCTCTGCTAATTTTTGTGTTTTTTGTAGAGACAGGGTTTTGCCATATTGGCCAGGCTGCTCTGAAACTCCTGGGCTCCAGGGATCTGCCTGCCTTGGCCTCCGAAAGACATGGGATTATAGGTGTGAGCCATTGTGCCTCGCCTTCATCTGGATTTTTAAATAAGCAATTGTTTACTTAATAGTTAAATGATTTATATAAAAAGTGTTTTATAGTGACTTTTTGGCATTTTGAATTTATGATGCCCCCACCTGTTTCTCAGTGGGTTGTAATCCAGTGGCATGATATCAAATAGCCTGTTTTCTTAGATATATTTCTGACACGTTTACTTAAAGGCTAGTTTTAACCTTTCTTTCTTTTCAATATTTATTTACTGTTAAAATTTATGGTGATAGGGCTGGGTGTAGTGACTCATGCCAGCATAATAAAACATTTAAAAAATTATGGTAATAGAATGATAGTGTACTTTTTAATTTAAAAATTACTCATACATGTGAACAGTCTAAATTTCTATATGTTTGCATAAGATTTTCTCATACCTGCCATACATACAATTCTGTTTCATTTTTGTTCTAAGATAAAAGATACGTTTCAATATCATGTAGCAGCAAATCGTGATGTTACCTGGAGTATGAAGGACTTGGAAAAAACTAAACCTCATGGATAGCATGAGGAGCTCCGCAACTGTGTTCTGGAGTTTCTGTTGGGTCCTTAGTGTTTCCCTGCTCTCCAGAGTCCATAAAACACACATTCATGCATGCACACACATACACACACACACACACACACACACACACACACACACACACACACGTTATCTATTTGGTATAAGAAATAGAACATTATGAGTATCTCAGTTCCTGTCACAAACCTTCCCCTACCCTTTAGGGAAAACTATGATCCTTCCTTTTTATGTTAACTTTCTTAATTGTCTTTATAGTTTTACCACTGTGAATATGTACCTCAGCATTAATTGAGTGCTTGTTTTTGAACTCGAAGTAGTTTAGACTTGGTATTGTTAAGTTTCTGCCTTTCTTTTTTTGTTTTGCTAACTTACTAAGTCATAGTTTTTTATTTTCAGTTATACTAACTTTGAGTTTTTGTAATTTAATGTTTCTTTTTACTACAGTAAAACATGTATGTAGGTTAAAAGCGTGAAAGAGCTGGGTATGATGGCATATGCTTATAGTACCAGCTACTTGGGAGGTGAAGCAGAAGGATTGCTTGAGCCCAGGAGTTCAAGGCCAGCTTGGACAACATAGTAAGACCCCAATCTCTTAAAAAAAATAGTGTGAAATATTTGCAGTAGCACTTGCAACAATCATACTTCTCACCCTGTCCCACACTCTTGCCTCACTCTTTGGGAGCAATCCTGTTAGCTATGTTAGCCAATTTTTGTTAAAAAATTGTAGAAATATTTACTTTCATATTTCTAAATGCATGTACGTAGATACCTGTATTAGATGTGTACAATTCTAAATAACGTGTACGTATCTATATTTAAAGCTGTGATCTAATCATATCTGCTATAACACATCAGGATTTAGCTCTATAATCCCATTCCTTCTCTCATCTACTTCCCTTATCTTCATCTTACTAGTGTAGGTTTTTGTGGTATTTGCTGAAATCATTATGCATGTTTTCATTATTATGATCGCATAAGTATTTTTATGCCTGAATCATACCATGTCCTAATGCTTAAATTTTTTTTAGGCATTATTTTGTTTTCCTGGAATTAATACTTTACCTTGTTTCTTAATTTTTAAAATGTTGGTTACCAACATATGTCTAAATTCTCTGACAGATTATAAACTCTTTCTTGAAACAGCAATACGTAACTCTCAGTTCCACATTTTTTCTGGGTAACATCCCTCCTGGACTTCCAGCTCATCTGCTACCAGTGGAAGGTCCATCAGAAAAGCAGAGAGTGCTGAGGAAGACCAGGGGTGTATAGTAAGGGATTTACTACAGGGATTTTACCTTTCCCAAGTAGAAGTTGGTTAAATAAATTCTGTAAGACTGTTGTTTTCACATCTGATGTAAACAGATGAGCGTGAAGTCCATAGGGCAGGAAGTTGAAAGTGAAGATTTATGTAAAGTGGTGGGGAACAAAAACAATCTGGAACCTATGAGCACAGGCTGGAACCCATGAAGATGAACTGGAATCATTCATGTTCACTGCCTCCAATCTTGTGACAAGTGTCCTGCAGAAGAAGTTGATTTCTTTTTTCTTAGAGCTAAACACTCACCTGACCTAGGAGTTGGAGAGCCTGCAGGAAGATCTAAGGGAATGAGGGTCAGTTGTAGGCCTGGCTCCTGCCCCATGACAATGGTGTGAAGCAGTAGATAATGACAATGTATATGATCTATAAAAGCGCCTGCTTGTCTTGAATGTAAAAATAAAATGGCTGCTGCCTCTCTTTTGCTCTCCAAAATCTTGAGAGCTTGTTTGGGGATTCTGTGAGGGAAGCACAGCTACTCGTATATTCTTGACCAAAGAGTGGTCCTCCTCTATTAGGGAGGGTCGTCCTCTTTGACCAAGCACACAGCTTTGGGAGAGATGCACACAGAGCAGTGAGGGAGGAAGTTAATACCAATCTAGCCAGCTAGATCAGCTGAAATCAACTCTGGTGATTAGTGGGGTGACAGATGTCGCAGCCGGATTGCCCTCACATCCTGCTTTCCAAATCTTGCATGAAAAGAACTCTTGTGTCTCACCTAACCAGAATTGTGGGTAAGGGAGTCTTGAGAAATGTACTTTAGACTAGCTTGAGTTGACACATTACAAAGTCGCCACAGGTGTCCATGAGAATGTTCCTCTCAGATCTCTGCCCACAAACAGTAACTGACTGATGGCTCCAGCTGCTGCTCTCTGAAATCCATCACCATGTTTGTTCCAAGGCCATGCTTCCCACATTCTGACCCAGTCAGTGGCTGAGCACAACAGGGACACTAAAGCAGGCTCATTCCTGGGAGACGTTGAGTCATCTGACAGACAGTTTCATCAGATTTTCCTTAGACCGGCACTGCAGCCTAACACACATCCACCCAGCCTGCCTTCCTTCCCTGTCCCCTGGGTCGAACCTGCATCACCATCTGTATTAGTCAGGTTTCTCTTAGAGGGACAGAACTAATAGGATTATATACATATAATTTTTATCCTGTATATAGGATATTATATATAATACATATCCTTGTTATAATATATATAGGATATGTATGTGGGATATATACACACACACACACACACACACACACACACACATATATATATATATATATATAAAGGAGAGTTTGTTAAGTGTTAACTTACAGAATCACAAGGTCCCACAATAGGCTGTCTGCAAGCTGAGGAGCAAGGAGAGCCAGTCAGAGTCCCAAAACTAAAGAACTTGCAGTCTGATGTTCAAGGGCAGGAGGCATCCAGCTCAGGAGAAAGATGCAGGCTGGGAGCCTAGGCCCATCTCTCCTTTTCATATTTTTTCTGCCTGCTTTATATTCACTGGAAGCTGATTAGATTGTGCCCACTAGATTAAGGGTGGATCTGCCTTTCTCAGCCCAGTGACTCAGATGTTAATCTCTTTTGGTAACACCGACACAGGCATACCCAGGATTAATACTTTGTATCCCTCAATCCAATCAAGTTGACTTTCAGTATTAACCATCGCAAGTCTACCCCTTGTCAACTTGAACCTATATGTATCTGCTGAGATCCTACATAATCTTCATATAAAGACAATATTGGGTCATAATTATGCCTAACATAATACAACTATCCTTCGTACAACCAGAAATGCATCAATCCCCAACCCAAATACTAGTACATACATGAAGTTAACAATACTTAAATGCTGATGTGAAGTCTGTAAATCTTACGTCACTTGATAAAGGAAAAGGAAATAAAATGAAGATATTTTCTTAGTACAAGTCTATACATGCATAAACATGTTTTTAACAAAAGCAGAAGGAACTCATGACAGTTACAGTCCTCATTTCTGCAGCTGGTCACAAGATTGTAGCTGGTATTGATGACTGCCTTCTTCTACTACCCGTTCTGTATTCCCTTTGCCTTCAGCAAGCACCTCATCAGGTCATGGATTTTTTTTCCTGGTGGAGTGACCCAAAGCTTTGTTCCTGAAGGGTCTGGGTCATTTGTAGTCCTGCCTGGATTGGGCTGTTGTAGTTTCC
The DNA here is from genome assembly GCF_000001405.40 of Homo sapiens. Lineage (NCBI taxonomy): Eukaryota > Metazoa > Chordata > Mammalia > Primates > Hominidae > Homo > Homo sapiens. Next base: position 145,033,620 of record NC_000004.12, on the reverse strand, counting down.
CATTGACCTTAATCACAGGGCATAGTAATATTAAGAGATGTCCTAATGGATCTCCTGTATTCCATGCATATTCTTCCTTACTTCCATTGTGGAGTAGTAGACTGATTTCATCTTGATAGTCCAGGTCAGTCATCCCAGCCAACACTGTAACTCCCTTTTTAGCCTATTGACTTAAAGGTAAGAGGAGCCCAAAGTGTACAGGTGGCAATCTTAACTTCCAGTTTAATGGAATCGTTGTTGTGTCTCCAGGTGGCAGCGTTCCTCCCTCTGAAACTAAGACGTCTAGGCCAGCAGAACGTAATGTCGTGGGAACAGGAAGCAAAAATGTTGCCAGTGGATCACCAGGGGTGATGGTGGTACCATTTTCACTTCCACCCCTTGATTCCTGGAACTGTGAATCCTGGCTATGGGAGAAACTGTACCATATATTGGACCCTGATTCAGAGCATACACAGCCTTCTGGAGAACTTTGCCCCAGTCCTGCAAAGTATTGTCATCTAGTTGGCATTGTGATTGTGACTTCAAAAGGCTATTCCACCATTCTGTCTATCCAGCTGCTTCAGGATGATGGGGAACATGGTAAGACCAGTGAATTCCATGAGCATGTGCCCACTGCCATACTTCTTTAGCTGTAAAGTCAGAGGCAATGCTGTGTGGAATACCATGACAATGGATAAGGCATTCTGTGAGTCCACGGTTGGTAGTCTTGGCAGAAGCATTGCATGCAGGATAGGCAAAACCATATCTGGTAAGTGTCTATTCCAGTGAAGACAAACCTCTGCCGTTTCCATGATGGAAGAAGTCCAATATAATCAACCTGCCACCAGGTAGCTGGCTGATCACTCTGAGGAATGGTGCCACATCAAGGGCTCAGTGTTGGTCTCTGCTGCTGGCAAATTGGGCATTCATCAGTGGCCGTAGCCACGTCAGCCTTGGTGAGTGGAAGTCCATGTTGCTGAGCCCATGTGTAACCTCCATTCCTGCTACCATGGCTGCTTTGTTCATGGGCCCATTGGGCGATGACAGTGGTGGCTGGGGAAAGAGGTTGTGTGGTGTCCACAGAACGGGTCATCCTATCCATGTGATTATTAAACTCCTTCTTTGCTGAGGTCACTTGTTGGCGAGCACTCATATGGGATACAAATATATTCAGCTTTTGACCACTCAAGAGAGGCCCATCCACATACCTCTTCCCTAAATTTCTTGGTCACCAATTTTCCAATCATGATTCTTCCAAGTCCCTGACCATCCAGCCGATCCATTGGCTACAGCCCATGAATCAGTGTATAATTGTACATCCGGCCATTTCTCCTTCCATGCAAAGTGCATGATCAGGTGCACTGCTCGAAGTTCTGCCCACTGGGAAGATTTCCTTTCACCGCTGTCCTTCAGGGATGTCCTAGAAAGGGGCTGTAGTGCTGCAGCTGTCCACTTGCAGGTGGTGCCTGCATATCATGCAGAACCATCTGTGAACCAGGTCCTGGTCTTCTCTTCCTCTGCCAGTTGATCATAGGAAACTCCCATGAGGCCATCGGTGCAGGCTGGGGGAGAGATGTCAGGGTGGCAGGAGTGGAGAACATGGGCATTCGAGCCACTTCCTCATGTAACTTGTGCCTTCCGGACCTGCTCGAGCCTGATCACGTATATACCACTTCCATTTGATAATGGAATGCTGCTGTGCACAACCCACTTTATAGTTAGATGGGTCAGAAAGCGCCCAGTTCATGATAGTCAGTTCAGGTTGCATGGTGACTTGATGACCCATAGTCAAACATTCAGTTTCCACCAAAGCCCAGTCAAGAGATGTCTCTCAAAAGGAGAGTAGTTATTTGCAAAAGATGGCAGGCCCTTGCTGTGAAATCCAAGAGGCCTCCACTGTGATTCACTATGGGGGCCTGCCAAAGGCTCCAAACAGCATCCCTATCTGCCACTGATACCTCAAGCACTATTGGATCTGCTGAGTTATATGGCCCAAGTGGCAGAGCAGCTTGCACAGCAGCCTGGACCTGTTGCAGAGCCTTCTCCTGTTCTGGACCCCACTCAAAACTGTCAGCCTTTCAGGTCACTCGATAAGTGGGCTGGAGTAACACATTCAAATGAGAAATGTGTTGCCTTCAGAATCCAATTAGACCCACTAGGTGTCGTGCCTCTTTCTTGGTTGTAGGAGGGGCCAAATGCAGCAACTTATCCTTCACCTTAGAAGGAATATCTTAACAAGACCCACACAACTGGACCCCTAGAAATTTTACTGAGGTCGACGGTCCCGGAATTTTAGTTGGATTTATTTCCCATCCTCTGGCATGCAAATGTCTCACCAATAAGTCCAGTGTATTTGCTACTTCTTGCTCACTGGATCCAGTCAGCACAATGTCATCAATGTAATGGACCAGTGTGATATCTTGTGGAAGGGAAAAGTGATCAAGGTCTCTTCGAATAAGATTATGACACAAAGCCAGAGAGTTGATATACCCGTGAGGTAGGACAGTAAGGTAAATTGCTGGCCTTGCTAGCTGAAGGCAAATTGCTTCTGGTGGGCCTTATGGACAGGAATGGAGAAAAAGGCATTTGCCAAGTCAATGGTTGGATACCAGATACCAGGGGATATATTAATATGCTCAAGCAATGAAACCACATCTGGTACAGCAGCTGCAATTGGAGTCACCACTTGGTTAAGCTTACGATAATCCACTTTCTCCAGGATCCATCTGTCTTCTGCACAGGCCAGATGGGAGAGTTGAACGGGGATGTGGTGGGAATTACCACCCCCACGTCCTTCAAGTCCTTGATGGTGGCACTAATCTTTGCAACCCCTCCAGGGATGTGATACTGTTTTTGATTTACTATTTTTCTAAGTAAAGGTAGCTCTATTGGCTTCCATTTGGCCTTTCCCACCATGATAGTTCTCACCCTACCAGTCAGGGAGCCAATGTGGGGGTTCTGCCAGCTGCTAAGTATGTCTATGCCAATTATGCATTCTGGCACTGGGGAAATGACCACAGGATGAGTCTGGGGACCCACTGGACCCAGTGTAAGTCAGACCTAAGCTAAAACTCCATTAATTACCTGACCTCTGTAAGCCCCTACTTTAACTGCTTTAACTGGAGGACCGAAATGACTCTTTGGGTCCCCTGGAATCAATGTCAGCTCAGAGCCAGTGTCCAGTAGTCCCCAAAATGCCTGATTATTTCCCTTTCCCCAGTGCAGTTACCTTGGTACAAGGCCAGAGGTCTTCTTGGGGAAGGATGGGAGAAAGATTCACTGTATAAATTGTTGGTAATGTAGTGGGGTCCTTCCCCAAGGGGACCTGGCCTCTCCTTCATTCAAGGGGTTCTGGTCTGTAAACTGGCTCAAGTCTGGAAATTGAGAGGCTGTGATTCTCTGTTTTTATAATTCAGATTAGTCCTTTGTCCATTCGACCTAGAAGTTTTCTGTTTGTATAAGTTAAGTAGGAATGCAGTAGGCTTCCTATCAATTTCACTTCTAGGAACACCATGATTAATTAGCCAATGCCAAAGCTCTACACAAGTCAGACTATTCTGATTGCTGCTTTGCCTCTGCTGTCCATTACAGTAGCTATGCCTACCTTGCCTTTGATGATTGAGTGCTGCCACTTAGCGCCTGCCACCTTGGGATTCAATTATTCCCATTTTATTTAAATTTTGTAGTTGAGTGACCGTGGTTCTCATCGTTAGATCTGACATACAGAGAAGAGCAATTATAGGGCTCTTCAAAAATGGGGGTGCTGCCCTCACAAATCTGTTTTGCAAGGCATTGGTCAAGGGTATATCTTCTGGACCCTCCCAGCTGGGATGAGTAGGTCTAAAGTGACTAATCCACTACCCCATCCCAATCTCCCTAAGCTTTTGGATCCCTTCCTCTACATTAAACAAAGGGAGATCAGGTATTTCCACCTCTCTCACAGTGGGCCATTTTTTAATCCATATTTCAGCTAACCAAGGAAATAACCTATTAGAACCTTTTTTAACTCCTTGAGCTGCAACATTAAAAGCAGAGTCCCTACTTACTGGGCCCAAATCAATAAATTCAGCCTGATACAACTCTTATGTTCCTTCCACCATTATCCATACCTTTAATATCCATTCCCATGCTTGTTCTCTAGATTTCTGTTTATATTAATTAGAGAACTCAAACAGTTCTTTTCAGTTGTAGTGCACCTCCTCATGGATCACACTCTCAACTTCACCTCCAGGGTCCTGCCAGGACTTTAGTCTAATTATAGGTCTAGAAGCAAACAAGGGTGTCGGGGGTGGCTCCTGAGGAGAATCAACATTTTCTTGCCTGGCAGCTACCTCAGATCATAACTGTTGCTTCAGGCAGCACAGGGTTTATCTTCTCAGACAAAGGTGGAAAGACTGATGGCAGTGTGGGTCGGGGAGGGGATGTTGCCACTACTGGGGATGGTGAAGCTCTTTCTTCTGGCAAAAAACCTCATCAGAGTTTACGAACTCAGTGTCCCCAGCTTCATCAGAGTCCTCCCACTCTTCCTAATTCCAAGTTTCAGGGTCCCATTCTTTTCCAATCAATGCCCTCACTTTAACAGTAGACACCTGGCGAGGCTGTACATGCATCTTTCGTTGCAGGTCAGCCACTCACATGGTAAGAGATTGTGTCTGTTTTTCCACAATTTCAGCTTTTTCTCTACAGGAGTTAAGACTCCCACTTAGGGCAGTCTTAGCAGATTTGAGGGGTTAATACCTGCTTCTGAAGCCAGGAGTTAGAATCCCTGAGTTCATCATTTTCTTTCATCACTTTGTCCACTGAACTTAGGAGCAACCAACCAGCTTCATTATGTTCCTTGGTTCTCCACATATGGTCAAAGGTATTATGTGTAGTGTCATTAAACTCCTTGCCGCTCAAGAGTGGTGAATCAAGTGTCAAACACATTTATTTTGCATAACTCTCTAAACAGTTTACACCAAGGACTATCAGTATTTTCCATACTATTTGAAGTAGAGTCCTTAGCAGTTTTGGGTCTAATCATATTAAGCAGCCAACTCCAGAAACCTCAAAACCAATGAAACAACCCCATCCTTAATATTCTGTTCCTCTAGAACCACTCCTGGTACCAAAAGCTGTATTAGTCATGGTTCTTTTTGAGGGAAAGAGCTAATGGGAGATATGTATATATATGATATGAGTTTCTTAAGCATTAAGTTACACACAAGGTACCACAATAGGCTGTCTGCAAGCTGAAGAGCAAGGAGAACCAGCCCAAGTCTCAAAACTGAGCAACTTGGGAGTCCTATGTTCGAAGGCAGGAAGCATCCATCATGGGAGAAAGATGCAGGCTGGGAGGCTAGGCTCGTCTCTCCTTTTCACATTTTTCTGCCTGCTTTATATTCGCTGGAAGCTGATTAGATTGTGCCCACCAGATTAAGGCTGGATCTGCCTTCCTCAGACCACTAACTCAAATGTTAATCTCTTTTGGCAACACACACACAGGCACACCCAGGATTAATACTTTGTATCCCCCAATCCAATTAAGTTGACACTCGGTATTAACCATCACACCATCTAACAGCTCTTTCAGCTTCCCCTGGCTCCCTCCCCATTTTCTCTTACAGATATTTCCCCTACTAAATTTCTTGTATTTCTAACCCTGTCTTGGTGTCTGCTTCTCAGACACAGCTGTATTCTTAAGACATCCCTTTAAGATCATCCTGGGAATTTCCTTCACTTTTTCTTTTGGGAGACCTCTTATTTCTGGATCCCAGGTCTTCATCATTCTTGGTTTACTTCCTTTATTGGTGGACTACATCCTCCACATGGGAGGTAAATTGTTGAAACCTTGCATGACTGAAAACTTTATTTTAATCTCACCCTCAAGGGATGATTTGGCTAGGTATGGAATTCTAGTTTGGAAATAATTTGCTCTCAGAATTTTAAACACATTCTCCATTGCCTCATAGTTTTGGCGTAAATGTTGAGAAATACAATGCCACTTTTAATTTCTGATGCTTTGCATGTGATCTATTTTTCTCTCAAGTAGCTTTTATAATCTCCTTATCCTTGATATTCTGAAAATTCATGATGCTGTGCCTTATTGCATATGTGTTTCCTTTATTGTGCAGGGTGCTCAATGGTTTCTATCAATTTGAAGATACCTGTCCCTGAGTCCTGGAGACACTCTTGTGTTCTTTGATAGTTTTTAATAGTTTTCTCTGTGCTCTCTATCTGAATTCACATTTATTAGCTATGATAACCTCCTGCATTAGACCCCTAATTTTCTCATTTTCTACTTCTTTTGTTTTCCTGTCTTCCAATTCATTTAACTTCTATTAAATTAAGAAGTTTTTGGCCAGGTGTGGTGGCTCACGCCTGTAATCTCAGCACTCTAAGAGGCTGAGGCGGGCAGATCACCTGAGGTGAAGAGTTCAAGACTAGCCTGGCCAACATGGCAAAATCCCATCTCTACTAAAAATACAAAAATTAGCCGAGTGTGGTGGCACTCGCCTGTAGTCTCAGCTACTCGGGAGGCTGAGGCATGAGAATTGCTTGAACCCAGGTGGCAGAGGTTGCAGTGAGCCAAGATCATGCCACTGCACTCCAGCCTGGGAGACAGAGTAAGACTCTGTCTCAAAAAAAAAAAAAAAAAAAAAAAAAAAAAAAAAATATATATATATATATATATATATATATATACACACACACACATATATATATATATATATATATATATGTATGTATAGGCAAAAACTTCATTTGTATATATAAATTTCTAAGACTTCTTCTTGTTCTTTGACCATTTTAAAAATTAACATTCTGTTCTTGTTTCATGGATGCAATATGTTATATCACTGAGGATATTAATGATGCTTTGTTTTTGTTTTTTAAATTCTTGTACTTCTTCACTGCCTCTCTTTGGAGTTCCTTTTTTTGTCTTTGTTTGCTTGCTGCTTTCAATTTCTGTCTTATTTTGTCTTGTTTCTTACATACCAGGAGATCCTTGACTATTTTCTCTTATTTAAGAGTGAGGCACAGATAATAAGTTTGGAACCATTTGTGTTCATAGAATTTGTTCTTGGTGGGCCTCCTATAGTGTAGCCAGTCTGGAAGCCTCACCTCCTTCCAGTCTTTGCACACATCACTTTCTCATTGAGGCCTATTCTGACCACCTTATTTAAAGCTGTACACATCTGCCCCTAATACTTCAGCTCTGTCTTTTCCTGCTCTGTTTTTTTCCCATGCACTTTTTATACTTATATGCTATGTAATCACTTATCGATTACGTTTATTACTAGAACATCACTTACAAGAGAACAGGGATTTTGTTGTTGTTCTTGGTTTCACTGATATATTCCAACCAATGAGAATAGTGCCCTGCACAAAATAGTCATTCAGTCAATCAATAAATGTTAAATTGAGGACATTCACACATCATTATGTATAGGTCTTTTCTTACGGATTTTCATTTTGCCCATAAAATAATAATGCATTCTCTGGCCTGGGGCACGTGGCAAGGGATGGGAGGTGAGATTTGTAGGAAACTACAAAGTGATCTGCCTAGGAGTCAGTGTTCTCGTAGCTGAGCAAGAGGAAGGGAGGTGAGATTTTACTGTTAAATGTCCAGTTGTACAGTTCGCTTTATATTCAGGTGCTGCCATCTAGTCTTGTTTTACCTGAATCTAGACCCTCTTTAATCTGTCTAACTGGTAAGACCTTAGTTTTCTATAAGAGTGGGAAAGGAAACCATCAACTGCCTGCTCACACTGGGGGCAGGTAAGAATCTAGGGCTTTAACTATTCCTTACACTACAGACATACCTCATTTTATTGCACTTCTCTTTGATAAATACTGTGTTTTTACAAATCGAAGATTTGTGGCAACTCTGCATTGAGCAAGTCTATCAGTGCCATTTTTCCAGCAGCATGTGCTCATTTTATGTCACTGTCATATTTTGGTAATTCTTGTAGTATTTCAAACTTCAAACTTTTTCACCAATATTATACCTGTTACGGTCATCTGTGATCAATAATCTTTGATGCTACTATTGTCATTGTTATGGGTCCCCACGAACTTAAGCCCATGTAAGATGGCAAACCCAATCGATAACTGTGTGTGTTCTGACTACTCCAGCACCTAACCAGCCGTTTCCCATCTCCCTCCCTCTCCTTGGGCCTCCTTATTGGTTGAGACACAACAATATTGAAATTAGGCCATTTAGTAACTTGACAATGGTCTCTAAGTGTCCAAGTGAAAGGAAGTGTCTCACATCTCTCACTTTAACTCAAAAGCTAGAAAGGACTGAGCTTAAAAGGGGGGGGGGGCGTGTTGAAAGCCAAAATAGGCCAAAAGCTAACCTCTTGTTCTAATGGAAAAGTTCCTGAAGGAAATTAAAAGTGCTACTCTAGTGAACACATGAATGATAAGAAAGCAAAACAGCCTTATTGCTAATATGGAGAAAGAATGTTCTGGATAGAAAATCAAACCAGCCACAACATTCCCTTAAGTCAAAGCCTAATCCACAGTAAGACCCTAACTCTTGAATTCTATAAAGGCTAAGAGGTGAGGAAGCTGCAGAAGAGAGTTTGAAGCTAGCAGAGGTTGGTTCATGAGATTTAAGGAAAAAATCCATCTTCATAACATAAAAGAGCCCAGTGAAGCAGCAAGTGCTGATGGAGGAGCTGTAGCAAGTTACCCAGATCTGGCAAAAATAGTTGATGAGGGTAGATACAGTAAGCAATACATTTTCAGTGTAGACAAAACAGCCTTCTGCTGGAAGAAGATGCCAACTACGACTTCCATAGCTAGAGAGGAGAAGTCAATGCCTGGCTTGAAAACTTCACCAGACAAGCTGATTTTGTTAGGGGCTGATGCAGCTGGTGACTTTAAGTTGAAGGCAGCACTCACTATTCTAAAAATCCTAGGGCCCTTAAGAATTATGCTAAATCTGTTCTACTCATGTGCTATAAATGGAAGAACAAAGCCTGGATGAGAGTACATCTGTTGAAAGCATGGTTCCCTGAATATTTTAATCCCACTGTTGAGACCTACTGCTCAGAGGAAAAGATTTATTTCAAAATATTACTGCTCATTGACAATGTACCTAGTCACCCAAGAGCTTTGATGGAGATGTACAAGGAAATTAATGTTTTCATGTTTGCTGATACAACATCTGTTCTGCAGCTTATAGATGAAGGAGTTATTTTAACTTTCAATTCTTATTATTTAAGATATACATTTCATAAGGCATTAGCTGCCATAGTGATTCCTCTGATGGAACTGGGCAAAGTAAATTGAAAATCTTCTGGAAAAGATTCATCCCAGATGTCATTAAGAACATTTATGATTCATGTGAGAAGGTCAAAATACGAACATTAACAAGAGTTTGGAAGAAGTTGATTCCAGTCTGCATTGATGACTTTGAGAGGTTCAAGACTTCAGTTGAGAAAGTAACTGCAGATGCATTGGAAATAGCAAGAGAACTAGAATTAGAATTGGAGCCTAAAAGATGTGACTGAATTGCTGCAGTCTCATGGATAAAACTTAAACTGATGAGGAGTTGCATCTTATTGATGAGCAAAGAAAGTAGTTTCTTGAGGTTGAATCTACTCCTGGTAAAGATGCTGTGAACACATTGTCAAAATGACAACAAAGGATTTAGAATATTACATCAACTTAGTTGAAAAAGTAATGGCAGGGTCTGAAAGGACCAACTCCAATTTTGAAAGTTTTGCCTTAAGTAAAATACTACTAAACAGCATTGCATGCTACAGATGAATTTTCCATGAAAGGAAGAGTCAATCATTGTGGCAACCATCATTGTTGTCTTATTTTAAGAAATTTCTACAGCCACCCAAACCTTCAGCGACACCACCCTGATCAGTCAGTAGCCATCAACATTAAGGCAAGACCTTACACCAGCAAAAAGGTTATGACTCACTAAAGGCCCAGATGATTGTTAGCACTTTTTAGCAGTAAAACATTCTTAAATTGTTTTCTTAGATGTAATGCTATTGCATACTTAATAGACTCTAGTATAGTGTAACACAGCTTTTATTTGCACTGGTAAACCAAAAAATTTGTGTGACTTGCTTTATTGCAAACTGGTTGAAAGTCTACAGGGGCCTTCCCCGAGAGAATTTGAGGGTTCAGTTTGAAACTGTCACAACAAATGAAATCTTCATCGTGTAAATTTATTTCTGCATTACTACAGATTATATAGGTAAAATATAGTTAGTGAGGCAAAGGACTGTTCAAGATAAAGCTGAGGAGGTAAGCAGAGACCAAAATCATGCAGGACCGTGTCAACCATTTTAAGGATGTGTTATTTTATAACAAAAATCCTTATACTTCCTGAAGGCTAACGGTTATTCTGACTCTAGGATAGATTACTTTCACTAAAGTTTTGTTTGCCTGTTGTTATTTGTTGGTTTTTTTTCACTTTGCATAGATGGAATCATATTGTGCATACTCTTTTGTGTCTGGCTTCTTTTATTCAGCCTTATGTTTGTGACAGTCATTGGTACAATTGGGTAGTTAACAAATGGTTCATCCTCACTGCTATATAGTATTCCATGTTGTAAATGTACTCCAATTTATCCACTTGACTATTGGTGTGTATTTTGATAATCTGGCTGTTATAACTAGCATTAGGAGATATACCTAATGTAAATGACGAGTTAATGGGTGCAGCACACCAACATGGCACATGTAAACATATGTAACAAACCTGCATGTTGTGCACAGGTACCCTAAAACTTTAAGTATAATAATACAAAAATACATAAAAGAATGACTCATATATTAATCATCCTAAAATATAAAAAAAAGATGCTGTTTTTAATTTTTTTTTTTTTTTTGGTTTGGCAGTTTTTTATAAAGTTAAACTTGCCTATGACCCAACAATTCCAGTGTTAGGTATTTATCCAAGAGAAATGAAAATACATGCTCACAGAAAGTTCTATATATGAATGCCTATATATGCTTTTTAATTAAAAAAAAATTTTCCATAGGTTATTGGAGTACAGGTGATGTTTAGTTACATGTGTAAGTTCTTTAGTGGTGATTTGGGTGCACCCATCACCCAAGCAGTATACATTGCACCACCCTGTTTGTAGTATTGTATTCCTCACCCCCCACTTTCCCCCAAGTCCCCAAAGTCCATTGTATCATTCTTATGCCTTTGCATCCTCATAGCTTAGCTCCCACATATCAGTGAGAATATACGATGTTTGGTTCTCCGTTCCTGAGTGACTTCACTTAGAATAATAGTCTCCGATCTCATCCAGGTCGCTGCGAATGCCGTTAATTCATTCCTTTTTATGGCTGAGTAGTATCCCACCATGTATACTGTGGTATACATACCACAGTTTCTTTATCCACTTGTTGACTGATGGGCATTTGAGTTGGTTCCATGATTTTGCAATTGTGAATTGTGCTGCTATAAACGTGTGTGCAAGTATCTTTTTCATATAATGACTTCATTTACTCTGGGTAGATACCCAGTATTGAGATTGCTGGATCAAATGGTAGTTCTCCTTTTAGCTCTTTAAGGAATCTCCATACTGTTTTCCATAGTGGCTGTACTAGTTTACATTCCAGCAGTGTAGAAGTGTTCCCTGATCACTGCATCCCCAGCAACATCTACTGATTTTTTGATTATGGCCATTCCTGCAGAAGTAAGGTGGTGTCACATTGTGATTTTAATTCGCATTTGCCTGATCATTAGTGATGCTGAGCATTTTTTCGTATGTTTGTTGGCCATTTGTATATCTTCTTTTGATAATTGTCTATTCATGTCCTTAGCCCACTTTTTGATGGGATTAATTTTTTTTGGCTGATTTGATTGAGTTCATTGTAGATTCTGGATATTAGTCCATTTTCAGATGTATAGATTGTGAAGATTTTCTCCCACTCTGGGCTGTTTACTCTGCTGACTGTTCCTTTTGCCATGCAAAAGCTCTTTAGTTTAATTAAGTCCTAGCAATTTATCTTTGTTTTTATTGCATTTGCTTTGGGGTTCTTGGTCATGAAATCCTTGCCTAAACCAATGTCTAGAAGGGTTTTTCCAACGTTAATCTTCTAGAATTTTTATAGTTTCAGGTGTTAGATTTAAGTCCTTAAGCCATCTTGAGTTGATTTTTATATAAGGTGAGAGATGAGGATCCAGTTTCATTGTCCTATATGTGTCTAGCCAGTTATCCCAGCACCATTTGTTGAATAGGCTGTCCTTTCCCCACTTTATGTTTTTGTGTAGTTGTTGAAGATCACTTGGCTGTAGGTATTTGGGTTTATTTATGGGTTCTCTACTCTATTACATTGTCCTATGTGCCTATTTTTATACCAGTACCATGCTGTTTTGGTGACTATGTCCTTATAATATAGTTTGAAATCAGGTAGTGTGATGCCTCCAGATTTGTTGTTTTGCTTAGTCTTGCATTGGCTATGTGAAATCTTTTTGTGGTTCTTTATGAATTTTAGTACTTTTTTTCTAATGCTGTGAAGAATGATGATGGTATTTTGATGGGGATTGCAGTGAATTTGTAGGTTGCTTTTGGTGGTATGGTCATTTTCACAATTTTGATTCTACCATTCCATGAACATGGGATGTGTTTCCATTTGTAGGTTGCTTTTGGTGGTATGGTCATTTTCACAATTTTGATTCTACCATTCCATGAACATGGGATGTGTTTCCATTTGTTTGTGTTGTCTATGATTTCTTTCAGTGGTGTTTTGTAGTTTTCCTTGTAGAGGTCTTTTGCCTCCTGGGTTAGGTATATTCCTAAGTTTTTTTCTTTGTCTTTTTTATTTTTTTTTTTGCAGCTATTGTAAAAAGGATTGAGTTCTTGATTCGATTCTCTAGTTGGTTGCTGTTGGTGTATGGGAGAGCTACTGATTTGTGTACATTATTCTTGTATCTGGAAACTTTACTGAATTCTTTTGTCAGTTCTAGGAGCTTTCTGGAGGAGTCTTTAGGATTTTTGAGGTAAACGATTATATTGTCAGTAAACAGTGACAGTTTGACTTCCTCTTTACTGATTTGGATGTCCTTTATTTCTTTCGCTTGTTTGATTGCTCTGGATAGGACTTCCAGTACTATGTTGAAGACGAGTGGTGAGAGTGGGCATCCTTGTTTTGTTCCAGTTCTCAGAGGGAATGCTTTCAACTTTTTGCCATTCAGTATTATATTTGCTGTGGGTTTGTCATAGATGGCTTTTATTACATTGAGGTATGTTCCTTTATGCCGATTTTGCTGAGTTTTAATCATAAAGGGATGCTGGATTTTGTCAAATGCTTTTTCTGCATCTGGTGAGATGATCATGTGATTTTTGTTTTCATTCTGTTTATGTGGTGTATCACATTTATTGACTTGTGGATGTTAAACCATCCCTGCATCCCTGGCATGAAACCCACTTGCTCGTGGTAGTTTATCTTTTTGGTATGTTGTTGGATTCAGTTAGCTAGTATTTTGTTAAGGATTTTAGCATTTATGTTCATCAGGGATATGGGTCTGTGGTTTTCTTTCTGGTTATGTCCTTTCCTGGTTTTGGTATTAGGGTGATGCTGGCTTCATAGAATGAATTAGGGAGGGTTCCCTCTTTCTCTGTCTTGTGGAATAGTGTCAGTAGGATCGGTACCAATTCTTCTTTGAAAGTCTGGTAGAATTCTGCTGTGAATTTCTGGGCCTGGCCTTTTTTTTTGTTGATAATTTTTAAATTACCATTTCAATCTTGTTGCTTGTTATTGGTCTGTTTAGGGTATCTAATTCTTCCTGATTTAAGCTGGGAGGGGTGTACACCTCCAGGAATTTATCTGTCTCTTCTAGGTTTTCAAGTTTATGCCCATAAACATATTCATAGTAGCCTTGAATGATCTTTTGTATTTCTGTGGTGTGAGTTGTAATGTCTCCTGTTTCATTTCTTATTGAGGTTATTTGGATTTTCTCTCTTCTTTTCTAGGTTAATCTTGCTAATGGTCTATCAGTTTATCTTTTCAAACAAGCAGCTTTTTGTTTCATTTATCTTTTGTAATTTTGTTTTAGTTTCATTTAGTTATGCTCTGATCTTGGTCATTTCCTTTCTTCTGCTGGGTTTGGGTTTGGTTTGTTCGTGTTTCTCTAGTTCCTTGAGGTGTGACCTTTGAGTGTCAGTTTGTGCTCTTTCAGTCTTTTTGATGTAGGCATTTAGCACCATGAACTTTCCTCTGGGCACCACCTTTGCTGTATCCCACAGGTTTTTATAGATTGTCACTATTGTCATTCAGTCTGAACATTTTATAATTTCCATCATGATTTTATTTTTGGTCCAGTGATCATTCAGGAGCAGGTTATTTAATTTCCATGTATTTGCATGTTTTGAAGGTTCCTTTTGGAATTGATTTCCAGTTTTATTCCACTGTGGTCTGAGAGAGTCCTTGATATAATTTCAGTTTTCTTAAATTTATTACAGCTCATTTTGTGGCCTATCATGTGGTCCATCTTGGAGAAAGTCCCATGCGCTATTGAATAGATTGTGTATTCTGTGGTTCTTGGATGGAATGTTCTGTATATAGCTGTTAAGTCCATTTGTTCCAAGGTCTAGTTTAAATCCATTGTTTATTTGTTGACTTTCTGTCTTGATGACCTGTCTAGTGCTGTCAGTGGAGTATTTAAGTCCCCCACTGTTATGGTGTTGCTGTCTATCTCATTTTTTAGGTCTATTAGTAATTGTTTTATAAATTTGGGGACTCCAGTGTTATGTGCATATATGTTTAGGATTGTGGTATTTTCCTGTTGGACAAGGCCTTTTACCATTATTTAATGTCCCTCTTTGTCTTTTTTAACTGCCATTGCTTTAACGTTTGTTTTGTCTGACATAAGAATAGCTACCCCTGCTCACTTTTGGTGTCCATTTACATGAAATGCCTTTTTCCACTCCTTTACTTTAAGTTTATATGATTCCTTGTGTGTTATGTGAGTCTCTTGAAGGTGGCAGACAATTGGTTGGTGAAATTTTTTTTTTTTTTTTAGATTTCGAGATTTTGAGATGGAGTCTCGCTCTGTCACCCAGGCTGAGTGCAATGGCACGATCTCGGCTCACTGCAAACTCTGCCTCTCAGGTTAAAGCAATTCTCCTGCCTCAGCCTCCTAAGTAGTTGGGATTATAGGTGCCTGCCACCATGCCTGGCTTATTTTTTTTTGTATTTTTAGTAGAGATGGGGTTTCACCATGTTGGTTAGGCTGGTTTCAAATTCCTGACCTCAAGTAATCTGCCCGCCTGAGCCTCCCAAAGCCTTGGGATTATAGGTGTGAGCCGCGGTGCCCGGCCAGTTGGTGAATGCTTATCCATTCTGTAGTACTGCATCTTTTAAATGGAGCATTTAGGCCATTTACATTCAATGTTAGTATTGAGATGTGAGGTACCATTCCATTCATCATGCTATTTGTTGCCTGTATACCTTGATTTTTTGGTTTTTGTTTTTGCTTTTTAAATTCTATTTTTGTTTTATAGGTCCTGTGAGATTTGTGCTTTATTTTATTTATATATATATATATTTTTTTTATTATACTCTAAGTTCTAGGGTACATGTGCACAACGTGCAGGTTTGTTACATATGTATACATGTGCCATGTTGGTGTGCTGCACCCATTAACTCGTCATTTACATTAGGTATACCACCTAATGCTATCCCTCCCCCCTCCCCCCACCCCACAACAGGCCCCGGTGTGTGATGTTTCCCTTCCTGTGTCCAAGTATTCTCATTTTTCAGTTCCCAGCTATCAGTGAGAACACACGGTGTTTGGTTTTTTATCCTTGAGATAGTTTGCTGAGAATGATGGTTTCCATCTTCATCCATGTCCCTACAAAGGACATGAACTCATCCTTTTTTATGGGTGCATAGTATTCCATGGTGTGTATGTGCCACATTTTCTTAATCCAGTCTATCATTGGACAATTTGGGTTGGTTCCAAGTCTTTGCTATTGTGAGTAGTGCTGCAATAAACATACGTGTGCATGTGTCTTTATAGCAGCATGATTTATATTCCTTTGGGTATATACCCAGTAATGGGATGGCTGGGTCAAATGGTATTTCTAGTTCTAGATCCCTGAGGAATTGCCACCCTGTCTTCCACAATGGTTGAACTAGTTCACAGTCTGACCAACAGTGGAAAAGTGTTCCTATTTCTCCACATCCTCTCCAGCACCTGTTGTTTCCTGACTTTTTAATGATCGCCATTCTAACTGGTGTGAGATAGTATCTCATTGTGGTTTTGATTTGCATTTCTCTGATGACCAGTGATGATGAGCATTTTTTCATGTGTCTGTTGACTGCATAAATGTCTTCTTTTGAGAAGTGTCTGTTCATATCCTTCACCCACTTTTTGATGGGGTTGTTTTTTTTTCTTGTAAATTTGTTTGAGTTCTTTGTAGATTCTGGATATTAGCCCTTTGTCAGATGAGTAGATTGCAAAAATTTTCTCCAATTCTGTAGGTTGCCTGTTTACTCCGATGGTAGTTTCTTTTGCTGTGCAGAAGCTCTTTAGTTTAATTAGATCCCATTTGTCAATTTTGGCTTTTGTTGCGATTGCTTTTGGTGTTTTAGACATGAAGTCCTTGCCCATGCCTATGTCCTGAATGGTAATGCCTAGGTTTTCTTCTAGGGTTTTTATGGGTTTAGGTCTAACATTTAAGTCTTTAATCCATCTTGAATTAATTTTTGTGTAAGGTGTAAGGAAGGGATCCAGTTTCAGCTTTCTACATATGGCTAGCCAGTTTTCCCAACACCATTTATTAAATAGGGAATCCTTTCCCCATTTCTTGTTTTTGTCAGGTTTGTCAAACATCAGATGGTTGTAGATGTGTGGTATTATTTCTGAGGGCTCTGTTCTGTTGCATTGGTCTGTATATCTGTTTTGGTACCAGTACCATGCTGTTTTGGTTACTGTAGCCTTGTAGTATAGTTTGAAGTGAGGTAGCATGATGCCTCCAGCTTTGTTCTTTTTGCTTAGGATTGACTTGGCAATGTGGACTCCCTTTTGGTTCCATATGAACTTTAAAGTAGTTTTTTCCAATTCTGTGAAGAAAGTCATTGGTAGCTTGATGTGGATGGCATTGAATCTATAAATTACCTTGGGCAATATGGCCATTTTCACAATATTGATTCTTCCTATCCATGAGCATGGAATGTTCTTCCATTTGTTTGTGTCCTCTTTTATTTTGTTCAGCAGTGGTTTGTAGTTCTCCTTGAAGAGGTCCTTCACATCCCTTGTAAGTTGGATTCCTAGGTATTTTATTGTCTTTGAGGCAATTGTGAATGGGAGTTCACTCATGATTTGGCTCTCTGTTTGTTTGTTATTGGTGTATAAGAATGCTTGTGATTTTTGCACATTGATTTTGTATCCTGAGACTCTGCTGAAGTTGCTTATTAGCTTAAGGAGATTTTGGGCTGAGACGGTGGGGTTTTCTAAATATACAATCATGTCATCTGCAAACAGGGACAATTTGACTTCTTCTTTTCCTAATTGAATACCCTTTATTTCTTTCTCCTGCCTGATTGCCCTGGCCAGAACTTCCAACACTATGTTGAATAGGAGTGGTGAGAGAGGGCATCCCTGTCTCGTGCCAGTTTTCAAAGGGAATGCTTCCAGTTTTTGCCCATTCAGTATGATATTGGCTGTGAGATTTGTGCTTTAAAGAGGTTCTGTTTTGATGTGTTTCCAGGATTTGTTTTAAGGTTTCGAGCTCCTTTCAGCAGTTCTTGTAATGGTGGCTTGGCAGTGGTGAATTTTGTCAGCACTTGTTTGTCTGGAAAACACTGTATCTTTCCTTCATATTTGATGCTTAGTTTCACTGGATACAAAATTCTTGGCTGATAATTTTGTTTGAGGAAGCTGAAGATAGGGCCCTAATCTCTTCTAGCTTGTAGAGTTTCTGCTGAGAAATCTGCTGTTAATCTAATAGGTTTACCTTTATAGGTTACCTGGTACTTTTGTCTCACAGCTCTTAAGATTCTTTCCTTTGTCTTAACTTTACATTACCTGATGACAGTGTGCCTAGGTGATGATCTTTTTGTGAGGAATTTTCCAGGTGTTCTTTGTGCTTCTTGTATTTGGATGTGTAGGTCTCTAGCAAGGCCAGGAAGTTTTCCTTGATTATTCCCCCAAATACGTTTTTTCAGCTTTTAGATTTCTCTTCTTCTTCAGGAACACCGATTATTCTTAAGTTTGGTTGTTTCACATAATCCTGGACTTCTCGGAGACTTTGTTCATATTTTCTTATTCTTTTTTCTTTGTCTTTGTTTGGTTGGGTTAATTCAAAGACCTTGTCTTCAAGCTCTGAATTTCTTTCTTCTGCTTGTTCATTTCTATTGCTGAGACTTTCCAGAGCATTTTGCATTTCTATAAGTATATCCAATGCGTCCTGAAGTTTGATTGTTTTTTCTTTATGCTATCTATTTCCTTGAATATCTCTCCTTTCACTTCTTGTATCATTTTTTGGATTTCCTTGCATTGGGCTTTGCCTTTCTCTGGTGCCTCTCGAAATAGCTTAATAACTAACCTCCCAAATTCTTTTTCAGGTAAGTCAGGGATTTCTTTTTGGTTTGGATCCACTGCTGGTGAGCCAATATGATTTTTTGGGGGGTGTTAAGGAGCCTTGTTTTGTCATATTACCAGGGTTGGTTTTCTGGTTCTTTCTCATTTGCATAGCCTCTGTCAGAGGGAAGGTCTAGGGCTGAAGGCTATTGTTCAGATTCTTTTGTCCCATGGGCTGTTCCCTTGATGTAGCACTCTCCCCGTTTTCCTATGGATGTGGCTTCCTGAGAGCCGAGCTGTAGAGATTGTTGTCTCTCTTCTGGGTCTGGCCATCCAGCAAGTCTACCAGCCTCCGGACTGGTACTGGGCATTGTCTGCACAGAGTCCTGTGATGTGAACCGTCTGTGGGTCTCTCAGCCATGGATACCAGCACCTATTCCAGTGGAGGTGGCAGTGGGTGAAATGGACTCTGTGAGGGTTCTTAGCTTTGATGGTTTAATGCTTTATTTTTGTGCTGGTTGTCCTGCCAGGAGGTGGCGCTTTCCAGAGAGCATCAGCTGTGGTAGTATAGGGAGGATCAGACGGTGGGCGGGGGGCCTAGAACTCCCAAGAGAGTATGCCCTTTGTCTTCAACTACCAGGGTGGATAGGGAAGGACCATCAGGTAGGGGCAGGGTTTGGTGTGTCTGAGCTCAGACTTTCCTTGGGTGGGCCTTGGTGCAGCTGCTGTGGGGGATAGGGGTGAGGTTCCCAGGTCAATGGAGTTGTGTACTTAGGAGAATTATGGCTGCCTCTGCTGAGTCACGCAGGTTGTCAGGGAAGTGGGGGAAAGCCAGCAATCACAGGCCTTACCCAGCTTCCACACAATCCAAAGGGCCGGTCTCACTCACACTGTGCCCCCCACCAACAGCACTGAGTCTGTTTCCAGGCAGTGGGCAAGCAGACCTGAGAACTTGCCCCATGGTACCCACCTCCGAGCTATGAAATAAAAGGATTTTAGTTCTTCCTCCACCTGTGGAGGCTGCACACTGGATGCTGGATTTGGGCTCTCCCCTGAGTTCTGGCCAGGAGCCTTCTTGACTAGTTCAAATTGTTACAAAATTCAGCTGGAGACTTCCTTCTCCCTGTGGCATTTTCTCCGCACCGCTGGCCGCCCTCCTGAAGGATCCCTGTGATGCCAGGCAAGAATGGCCTGCCTGGGGACCCAGCAAGCTCCCAGGGCCTTTTCCACTGCTTTCTCTACCCCTGTATTTCACTCTGCTCCCTAAATTGATTCAGCCCCAGGTAAGGTCAGAATCTTCTTCCTCAAATGAGACCTTCAGTTTCCCCAGTAGGAGTGTGTGCTTGGGGGTGGAGGATCTTCCTTTTCTGCTTCTGCAGTTTGGGTACTCAGTATTTGGGCTGTCTCCTGGGTCCTGCAGGAGCAGACCGCTTTTTTCAGAGGGTCTGTGGGTCCTCTTGGGATTCCTGATTTATTCCTGCAATCACTCTGGAGCTAAAATTCACGATATGAGCCTCCACATGCTGCTCTGTTCATCCGAGTCAGAGCTGCAATCTACTGCCTCCCATCCACCATGATGAAGTCTCTGATTATATATGAAAAGATGCTGTTTTTTATTAATGATTGCATTCTGTTTCCAATTTGCTAAGAGTTTTAAAATCATAAATGAGTATTGAATTTTGTCACATGGGTTTTTTTCATATAATGAGATGACAGTATGAGTTTTCTCTTTTCTACTATTAACAAAGTCATTACATTGGTTAATTTTCAAATGATAATCCAGCCATACATACCTAGAATGATATATTATCCTTTTTATATATTGCTGGATTTGATTTGCTAGTATTTGTTCTAGGTTTTTTTCATTTGTGCTCATGAGAAAGATTAGTTTGTAAAGGTTCTTTCTTATACTATCCTTATCAAATTTTGGAACAAAAATTATGCAGGCCTCTGTTATTCTGTTCTTAGATTGCTGTAAAGAAATTCTTGAGGCTGGATAATTTGTAAAGAAAAGACACTTAATTGGCTCACAGTTCCACAGGCTGTACAGGAAGCATGTCTGGGGAAGCCTCAGGAAATGCTGAATCATAGCAGAAGACAAAAGGGAAGCAGGCACATTTTACATGGCTGGAGTTGGAGGAAGAGAGGGAAGAGGGAGGTGTCACACACTTTTAAACAAACACATCTTGTGATAACTCACTCACTATCATGAGAACAGCACCAAAGGGGAAATCCATCACCATGATCCAGTCATTTCCCACCAGGCCCCCCTCCATCATTGGGGATTACAATTTTACATGAGATTTGGGCAGGGACACAGACCCAAACTATATCAAGGCCTTATAAAAATAGTTAAAAAGTGTTTCTCCCTTTTCTATTCTCTGTGTTGGCGGAAAATTTAGGTTATTTTTTAAATATTTAGAAGAAGCCAGTCCAACTGATAAAGCCATCCAGGTCTGAAGTTTTGTTGTAGATTTTAAATTATGAGTCAGTTTCCTTAATAAATGTCATTCTATTCAGATTTTTCTACTTCTTTATGTTAGCATTGATAAATTGTATTTTTCAAGGAATTTATCCATTTTGTCTTATGATGTATGTATAATCTGCTGTTAAATGAATCTGATGAATTCTTAGTTACAGATATTTTAGTTTTCAACTGTAGAATTTTTATTAAAAGTGTATTCTAATTCTCAGATGAAATTCTTTATTTTTTCTTTTTGTTTTTGCCTCATTTCTTAAGCATGTTAATCATAGTCATTTCTGATTGTCAGACACTGGAAAAATCTTTTTTACACTTTAAAATATCTTCTTAACAACCTTGTGTATTCAAAACATGTTCAAGTGACAATATTTTCAATATGTTAAGTATAAATTTAATATCACTCATTTCTTTTTAATTTTAATGTAGCTACTAGAAAATTTATATATATGTATATATATGTGTGTGTGTATATATATATATATATATACACACACACACATATACATATAGCTTGTAATTGTGGCCCACACTGTTTTTCTATTAGAGCTGCTCTAGGTGATGTTTTCTTTTTCTAGGGAAAGTTCACTTTTTCTCCCGCTAAGCAGATAGACTGAGATGCTTTACTCCTCTCAGTCCCTGAGTGGAAGCTGCTTTGCAGTGGAAGCTGCTTTGCAGTTCTTGCAAGGTTCTCTCTAGTTCTGTTCTTTAACACTTCTGGGGCCTAGCCCCTCAAGGCTTTCAACTAGGAGCCTGGTATTTTCATGCTCCTTCCCCTTGGCAAGTTCTAAACTCTAGTGCTTCCCTCCTTAGCCCTGAAAAATTGCCAAAAACTCTGCTGTGCTTCTCAGAGGCCTCTTGCTTAACCTTTCAGCAACCTATCCTAGGCAACTTCAGAATGTGGCAAATATTGTGAGGGAAAAATAGGCCATGTATTTGAAGCCCTTGAAGTCTCTAATTTTGTCTTTTCTGAAAGACCCTAGTAATAGCTCTGCATGTTTCTCTGACTTCAAGAAACAACTCTCTACCTGGGCAAAGCCATAGTTTTTAGCCTCTCGCCCTTTACCAGCATCAACAAATGCTCCTGTTGTTAAAATGGGTGCAGAAAGACCATTCACCTCCCTGAGGCTCTCTCCTCCCTCGAATCCTGGTCTCCATTAGTCTTCATTGCTTTTTGCTTGTCTCTGATACCTATAAAATGATAATTTTTATGTTTTACCTATAAGCATTCTCAGCAGGGGCATTGGCTTGCCACAAACTACTCCATCCTCTTGAATTTTATTTTATTTTATTTTATTTTATTTTATTTTATTTTATTTTATTTTATTTTTTAAGACAGTCTCATTCTGTCATCCAGGCCAGAGTACAGTGGCGCAATCTTGGCTTACTGCAACCTCCGCCTCCAGGGTTCAAGCAATTCTCCTGCCTCAGCCTCCTGAGTAGAGTAACTAGGATTACAGGCATGCACCACCAAGCCCAGCTAATTTTTGTATTTTTAGTAGAGATGGGGTTCCACCGTTTTGGCCAGGTTGGTCTCGAACTCCTGACCTCGGGTGATCCACTTGCCTCGGCCTCCAAAAGTGCTGGGATTACAGACGTGAGCCACTGCGTTCAGGCAATCCTCTTGAATTTAAAAGAGACATTTTAAAAGTCCAGACCTTCTTCATGTGACTTCTATTGTGGAAGCTTTCTGTCTTGCCGTGCCTTCCGTGGATACCTGGTCCCTTGCTGGTGCCTTCAGAAAGTTGCCTTCTAAAAAAGAGATGTATATTTTTGTTTTTTTTTCCCCATATACCTCTCCTTTTATTGGTTAAAGATCAAGCGATTTATTTATTTATTTTTTATTATATTTTAAGTTCTAGGGTACATGTGCACAACGTGCAGGTTTGTTACATATGTATACATGTGCCATGTTGGTGTGCTGTACCCATTAACTCGTCATTTACATTAGGTATATCTCCTAATGCTATCCCTCCCCCTCTTTCCCCACCCCACGACAGGCCCCAGGGTGCGATGTTCCCCACCCTGTGTCCAAGTGTTCTCATTGTTCAATTCCCATCTATGAGTTAGAATATGTGGTGTTCGGTGTTCTGTCTTTGCGATAGTTTGCTCAGAATGATGATTTTCACCTTCATGCATGTCCCTACAAAGGACAAGAACTCATCCTTTTTTATGGCTGCATAGTATTCCATGGTGTATATGTGCCACATTTTCTTAATCCAGTCTATCACCGATGGTCATTTGGGTTGGTTCCAAGTCTTTGCTATTGTGAATAGTGCCACAATAAACATAAGTGTGCGTGTGTCTTTATAGCAGCTTGATTTATAATCCTTTGGGTATATACCCAGTAATGGGATGGCTGGGTCAAATGGTATTTCTAGTTCTAGATCCCTGAGGAATTGCCACACTGTCTTCCACAATGGTTGAACTAGTTTATAGTCCCACCAACAGTGTAAAAATGTTCCTATTTCTCCACATCCCCTCCAGCACCTGGGGTTTCCTGACTTTTTAATGATCGCCATTCTAACTGGTGTGAGATGGTATCTCATTGTGGTTTTGATTTGCATTTCTCTGATGGCCAGTGATGATGAGCATTTTTTCATGTGTCTGTTGACTGCATAAATGTCTTCTTTTGAGAAGTGTCTGTTCATATCCTTCACCCACTTTTTGATGGGTTTGTTTGATTTTTTCTTGTAAATTTGTTTAAGTTCTTTGTAGATTCTGGATATTAGCCCTCTGTCAGATGGGTAGATTGCAAAAATTTTCTCCCATTTTGTAGGTTGCCTTTTCACTCTGATGGTAGTTTCTTTTGCTGTGCAGAAGCTCTTTAGTTTAGTTAGATCCCATTTGTCAATTTTGGCTTTTGTTGCCATTGCTTTTGGTGTTTTAGACATGAAGTCCTTGCCCATGCCTATGTCCTGAATGGTATTACCTAGGTTTTCTTCTAGGGTTTTTATGGTTTTAGGTCTAACATTTAAGTCTTTAATCCATCTTGAATTAATTTTTGTGTAAGGTGTAAGGAAGGGATCCAGTTTCAGCTTTCTACATATGGCTAGCCAGTTTTCCCAGTACCATTTGTTAAATAGGGAATCCTTTCCCCATTTCTTGTTTTTGTCAGGTTTGTCAAACATCAGATGGTTGTAGATGTGTGGTATTATTTCTGAGGCCTCTGTTCTGTTCCATTGGTCTACATCTCTGTTTTGGTACCAGCACCATGCTGTTTTGGTTTTAGTATATTTTGAAGTGAAGTAGCGTGATGCCTGCAGCTTTGTTCTTTTTGCTTAGGATTGACTTGGCAATGTGGGCTCTTTTTTGGTTCCATATGAACTTTAAAGTAGTTTTTTCCAGTTCTGTGAAGAAAGTCATTGGTAGTTTGATGGGGATGACATTGAATCTATAAATTACCTTGGGCAATATGGCCATTTTCATGATATTGATTCTTCCTATCCATGAGCATGGAATGTTCTTCCATTTGTTTGTGTCCTCTTTTATTTCGTTGAGGAGTGGTTTGTGGTTCCTGAAGAGGTCCTTCACATCCCTTGTAAGTTGTATTCCTAGGTATTTTATTTTCTTTGTAGCAGTTGTGAATGGGAGTTCACTCATGATTTGGCTCTCTGTCTGTTATTAGTGTATAGGAATACTTGTGATTTTTACACATTGATTTTGTATCCTGAGACTCTGCTGAAGTTGCTTATCAGCTTAAGGAGATTTTGGGCTGAGACAGTGGGGTTTTCTAAATATATAATCATGTCATCTGCAAACAGGGACAATATGACTTCCTCTTTTCGTAATTGAATGCCCTTTATTTCTTTTTCCTGCCTGATTGCCCTGGCCAGAACTTCCAACACTATGTTGAATAGGAGTGGTGAGAGAGGGCATCCCTGTCTCGTGCCAGTTTTCAAAGGGAATGCTTCCAGTTTTTGCCCATTCAGTATGATATTGGCTGTGGGTTTGTCATAAATAGCTCTTATTATTTTGAGATACGTCCCATCAATTCCTAGTTTATTGAGAGTTTTTAGCATGATGGGCTGTGTTGAATTTTGTCAAAGGCCTTTTCTGCATCTATTGAGAAAATCATGTGGTTTTTGTCTTTGGTTCTGTTTATATGATGGATTACGTTTATTGATTTGCATATGTTGAACCAGCCTTGCATCCCAAGATTGAAGCTGACTTGATCGTGGTGGGTAAGCTTTTTGATGTGCTGCTGGATTCGGTTTGCCAGTATTTTATTGATGATTTTTGCACCGATGTTCATCAGGGATATTGGTCTAAAATTCTCTTTTCTTGTTGTGTCTGTGCCAGACTTTGGTATCAGGATGATGCTGACCTCATCAAATGAGGTAGGGAGGATTCCCTCTTTTTCTATTGATTGGAATAGTTTCAGAAGGAATGGTACCAGCTCCTCTTTGTACCTCTGGTAGAATTTGTCTGTGAATCCATCTGGTCCTGGACTTGTTTTGGTTGGTAAGCTATTAATTATTGCCTCAATTTCAGAGCCTGTTATTGGTCTATTGAGGGATTCAGCTTCTTCCTGGTTTAGTCTTGGGAGGGTGTATGTGTCCAGGAATTTATCCATTTCTTCTTCATCTTCTAGTTTATTTGCATAGAGGTGTTTATAGTGTTCTCTGATGGTAGTTTGTACTTCTGTGGGATCGGTGGTGATATCCCCTTTATCATTTTTCATTGCATCTATTTGATTCTTTTCTCTTTTCTTCTTTATTAGTCTTGCTAGCGGTCTATCAATTTTGTTGATCTTTTCAAAAAACCAGCTCCTGGATTCATTGATTTTTTTTTTTTTGAAGGGTTTTTTTTGTGTCTCTGTGTCCTTCAATTCTGCTCTGATCTTAGTTATTTCTTGCCTTCTGCTAGCTTCTGAATTTGTTTGCTCTTGCTTCTCTAGTTCTTTTAATTGTGATGTTATTGTGTCAATTTTGATCTTTCCTGCTTTCTCTTGTGGGCATTTAGTGCTATAAATTTCCCTCTACACACTGCTTTAAATGTGTCCCAGAGATTCTGGTTTGTTGTGTCTTTGTTCTCATTGGTTTCAAAAAACATCTTTATTTCTGCTTTCATTTCGTTATGTACCCAGTAGTCATTCAGGAGCAGGTTGTTCAGTTTCCCTGTAGTTGAGCGGTTTTGAGTGAGTTTCTTAATCCTGAGTTGTAATTTGATTGCATTGTGGTCTGAGAGACAGTTTGTTGTGATTTGATTGCATTGTGGTCTGAGAGACAGTTTGTTGTGATTTCTGTTCTTTTACATTTGCTGAGGGATGCTTTACTTCCAACTATGTGGTCAATTTTGGAATAAGCGTGTGGGGTGCTGAGAAGAATGTATATTCTGTTCATCTGGGGTGGAGAGTTCTATGGATGTCTATTAGGTCTGCTTGGTGCATAGCTGAGTTCAAGTCCTGAATATCCTTGTCAACCTTCTGTCTCGTAGATGTGTCTAATATTGACAGTGGGGTGTTAAAGTCTCCCATTATTATTGTGTGGGAGTCTAAGTCTCTTTGTATGTCTCTAAGGACTTGCTTTATGAATCTGGGTGCTCCCGTATTGGGTGCATATATATTTAGGATAGTTAGCTGTGACCTGTGCACTGGAGCTGTTCTTATTCGTCCATCTTGGGACCCGCGCCTCCCAGGAGATGTATATTTTTATATCTTCAGCATATAGCCACTTGAGGTACCAGAAGTGATGGACCTGGACAGTTATATACATTAAAGCCTGTATTGTGGGACTAATTTTAGGACAGAACTATGAGGAATGCAACATTTAAGGAACATACAGAGGAGTCTCTGCAGAGACAAGGGAGAAGTGAGAGAGGTGGGAGGAATACCTGAAGAAGGTGGAATCACAGAGGCAACAAAACAGGACATTTCAGTAGAGATTTTGCACCAAATACTGACAGAAAAAAGGCTAAGAAGGTTCAAACTGAAAAGGATCCCATGGATTTAGCAATAATGAAATTTATGTTATCTTACTATCTTAAATTTCTGAGGAAAGTATAACAATTATACAGAAATAAAATTATCGTCGTTTTATTTTTGACCTACAAAAATGACAATTTGATATGATTCATCCTAATAGATGGAGAAATAAAGGTTAGCTAGCATAAGTAATTTGCTTCAATTCCTGATCAGAAGTGAAATTCAAATCTAGGTCTTCTTGTATCATCTGGTCTGATGTTCTTTCTACTGCCCTACATTCTTTTATTCATTGCTATCGTTCCTTTCTTATTCCTTATTTGAAGACATGTATTCAGGAGACCCATATCTCATGCAATGATACCCATAGTCTGAAGGTAAAGGGATCTGCCCAGCAAATCCCTTTATGTTTGCCAAACAAATTCCCTTTATCTTTTCCACTTGATTGGCAGATTTTTCAGATAAAAAGTCTGGGTTGCTATAATTTCAGACAAAACAACCTTTAAAACAACAAAGATCACAAAAGACAAAAAGGGCATTACATAATGGTAAAGAGCTCAATTCAAGAAGAGGACTTAACTGCCCTAAATATATATGCAGTCAACACAGAAGCACCCAAATTCATAAAGCAAGTTCTTAGAGACCTACAAAGAGACTTAGAAAACCCCACAATAATAGTGGGGAGACTTTAACACCACACTGTTAGTATTAGATCATTGAGGCAGAAAACTAACACAGATATTCAGGATCTGAACTCAACACTTAACTAAATGGGCCTAATAGATATCTACAGAACTCTCCACTCCAAAACAGCAGAATATACATTTTTCTCATCTACATGTGGCACATACTATAAAATTAACCACACAATCAGGCATAAAACAATCCTAAGACATTCAAAACTGAAATTATACAAACCATGTCCTTAGACTACAATGCAATAAAGATAGAAATCAATACTAAGAAAATCACTGAAAACCATGCAATTACATGGAAATGAAACAGCCTGCTTCGAGTGACTTCTGGGTACACATGAAATTAAGGCAGAAATCAAGAAATTATTTGAAACTAATGAAAACAAAGATAAAATATACCAGAATCTCTGGGGCACAGCCAAAGCAATATTAAGATGGAAGTTTATAGCACTAAATGCCCACATCAAAAAGTTAGAAAGATCTCAATTTAACAACCTACGATCATAACTAAAAGAACTAGGGAACCGAGAGCAAACCAACCCCAAGTCTAGCAGAATACAAGAAGTAACCAAAATCAGAGCTGAACTGAAGGAAATTGAGACATGAAAAACCATACAAAGGATCATTGAATCTAGGAGCTGGTTATTTGAAAGAATAAGATAGACTGCTAGCTAGACTAATAAAGAAAAAAAGAGAAAAGATCCAAAATACAGTCAGAAATGACAAGAGGGATGTAACCACTGACCCCACAGAAATCCAAAATCCCTGAGAGACTATTATGAACCCCTCTTTGCACATAAGCTAGAAAACCTAGAAGCAGATACATTCTTTTTAGCCAGGTATGGTGGTTCACGCCTGTAATCCCAGCTACACAGGAGACTGAGGTAGGAGGATGGCTAGAGCCTGAGAGGCAGAGTTTGCAGTGAGCCTTCAAAAAAAGAAAAGGAAAAAGAAATGGATACATTCTTGGAAATATAATCTCTGAAGATTGAACAAGGAAGATATTGAATCCCTAAACAGATCAATAATGATTTCTGAAACTGAATCAGTAATAAAAAGCCTACCAACCAGGAAAAGCCCAGAACCACACATATCCATAGCCAAATTCTACTGGTTGTGTAAGGAAGAGCTGGTTACTAATCCTACTGAAATTTTGAGGAAGAGGGACTCCCCTAATTCATTCTGTGAAGCCAACAGCATCCTGACACCAAAACCTGGCAGAGACACAACAACAACAAAAAAGAAAACTTCAGGCCAATATCCTTCATGAACATAGATGCAAAAATCTTCAACAAAATACTAGCAAACTGAATCCAGCAACACATCAAAAAGCTAATTCACCAACATCAAGTGGGCTTCATCCCTGGAATACAAAGTTGGTTCAACACATGCAGATCAATAAATGTAATGTAATTCACCACATAAACAACTGAAAACAAAAAGCATGTGATCATTTCAATAGATGCAGAAAAGGCTTTTAATAAAATTCAACATCCTTTCATGATAAAAACCCTCAACAAATCAAGCATTGAAGGAACATACTTCAAAATAATAGGAGACATCTTTGACAAACCCACAGCCAACATCATACTGAATGGGCAAAAGCTGGAAGCATTCCTCTTGAAAACTGGAACGAAACAAGGATGCCTTCACTCACCACTCCTATTCAGCATAGTCCTGGAAGTTCTAGCCAGAGCAATCAGGCAAGAGAAATAAATAAAGACATCCAAATAGGAAGATCGGAACTCAAACTAACACTGTTTGCAGATGATATGATGCTAGACCTACACAAACACCATAGTTACTCTGCCCCAAAGCTCCTTGATCTGATAAATGACTTCAACAAAGTTTCAGATACAAAACCAGTGTACAAAAATCAGTAGCATACCTATACTCCAACAACATCCAAGCTGAGAGTCACATCAAGAATGCAGTTCTATTCACAGTAGCCACAGAGAGAAAAACCTGCCTAGGAATACACGTAACCAAGGAGGGGAAATGAGAATTACAAGATACTACTCAAAAAAAATAAAATAAAATCAGAGATGATACAAACACATGAGAAAAACCTTCCAGGCTCATGGATAGGAAGACTCAATATTGTTAAAAGGCCATACTGCCCAAAGCTATTTACAGATTCAGTGCTATACCTATCAAATTACCAATGACATTGTTCACAGAATTGGAAAAACCTGTTTTGAAATTCATACGGAACCAAAAAAGAGCTTAAATAGCCAAGATGATCTTACACAAGAAGAACAAAGCTAGAAGCATCATATTACCTGACTTGAAACTGTAGTATAAGGCTACATTAACAAGACAGCATGATAGTGATACAAAAACAGACACATACACCAATGGAACAGAATAGAGAGCCCAGAAATGATGCTGCACACCTGCAACCATCTGATCTTCAACGAAGTCGACAAAAACAAGCAATGGGGGAAGGACTTCCTATTCAATAAATGGTGTTGGGATACCTGGCTAACCAAAGGCAGAAGATTGAAACTGGATCCCTTCCTTACACTGTATACAAAAATCGGTAATACTGCTGTTGGGAATGTAAATTAGTTCAGCCATTTTGGAAAGCAGTTTGGCAGTTTCTCAAAGAGATTAAAAATGGAATTACCATTTCACCCACAAATTCCATTATTCGGTATATACCCAAGGGAATATAAATCGTTCTACCATAAAGACATATGCACATGTATGTTCATTGCAGCTAATAGTAAAGACATGGAATCAACCTAAAAGCCCATCAGTAGTAGAGTAGATTTTTTAAATGTACATATATCACATTTTGGAATTCCAAATTTCACATAATGGAATACTGTGCAGCCATAAAAGAGAATGAGATCATGCCCTTTACAGCAACATGGATGGAGCTGGATGCCAGTATCCTAAGCAAACTGACACAGGAACAGAAAACCATATACTGCATGATCTCACTTTTAAGTGGGAGCTAAACATTGAATACACATGGACACAAAGAAGGGAACAATAGTGGCTGGGACTTTCTTGAGGGTGGAAGATGGGAGGAGGGTGGGAATGGAAAACTACCTATCGGGTATTATGCCTACTACCTGGGTGACTAAATAATCTTTATACCAAATCCTCATGATATGCAATTTACCTTTATAATAAACTGCACGTGTGCCTCTGAACCTAAAATAAAAGTTAGAAAAAGATATTTAGCCTTTTACAACAAAAATAATATTATGTATATAATTTTGTAAGTTTAAAAAATTTTTACTATGTACATATGTATGTAACTTTTTAATGATAGTTAAATATGATTAATCTGGAAATAGTTTTACTTTTTTCAGTCCAAAGATTTTCTGTAATTTCTTCTTAAAATGTGTTTACTATCTTGGGCTTTTGATAAAATTGTTCTTTTTAATTGACATTGGCTTCACATTTATTCAGAATTGTCATGCAGATGAGTAGAACACTCTATCTAGTTGTTCTTTTGTTATGCGTCTTTTTTAAAAAATAAGTTACTTTAAGACTAGTTAAGCTATATAATCTTAACTCTCCAGGGACGACTTCTGGAGCAGTTTCTCTGTATAGAAACTTTTCCGATTTTCTAGTCTAAAATGAATGATTTGACCATGTTTAGCAGGGGGACTGATTTTGACTTTCAAAGTCATCTTCTTAGGTGGTCGCCTTCTTCACTAGGGCAGAAGAGCTTGCTTTCCATAGTGAGCCTTTTGAGTTGGAGTCTGTCTTTCTTCTTAAGCTGCTTTTGTGGTAGCTGCTTCCTTTTAACACATTTGGAACTTCTGAAGTTTCTTTTGGATCATATTAGACCTTTTTTCTCCAGAACTAGGTCATCATTAATGTTAACTTGTTCAGTTTCTTTCTAAGTGAAAGGATGGTTAAAATTCTAGAATCTGCTGCTTCATGTGTTGACAGTTCTCGTAGTAAGATTCTACAGAATTTCATTAAGTCACAGATATGGTTAGTAAAGGAGAAGTAGTGAGAGTAGGGAGAAAAGAGCAACTACTGAAGCAACTATCAAGTAGTTTTTCCTTCCTTCTTTTATTTTCCATGGCAGTAGGAAGACATGTAAACAGTTTTGTACTTAATATTTGACATGTTTTTTATTGATGAATTACTTCCTTTTTTTAATGTAAGCTTTGTTTATGCTGCAGTTAATACTGTAAATCAGTGCATGCCTAGCGGGTTACATCTGCTCTTAAGTAAGTCACAGCCAGAGTAGATAGTGACTTAAAGGTTGCTAATAGGAAGCAGAAGATCCAGAAGCCAGACTGAGAGATGTCGATGTCTTCATAGAGAAACTCTAATGGATCCTGTTTACACCACTGTAGGTTTCATACCATAGCAGCTGATATCAACGAAAGAATATTGAGTGATGGGAAAGGTGGTGGGTGGTTCCTATTCAGAAGTGACCTGGCAGTCTTTGGGTTGGCAGTAGTGCTGATTTTGTGACCCATTACATAACTTCTCCTAATGTTAGTACAATAGTATTTAATCTTACAGTATTTAAGAACTATACATCGTCAAAACTCTTCATTTTGTAAAACTTTAACTCTCTACCATGTAAACAATAAATTTCAATTTCTCTTTCCCCTTGGCAACCACTATTCTACTTTCTGTGTCTATGATTTTTGACTACTCTTAAGTACCTCATCTAAGCAAAATCATGCAGTATTTGTCTTTTTGTGGCTGGTGTATTTCACTTAGAATAATGTCCTCAAGGTTCATCCATGTTGTAGCACATGTCAGAATTAATTTCTTTTCTTTTCTTTTCTTCTTTCTTTCCCTCCCTCCCTCCCTCCCTCCCTCACTCCCTCCTTCCCTCCCTCCCTCCCTCCTTCCTTCTTTCTTTCTTTCATTCATTTATTATACTTTAAGTTCTAGGGTACATGTACACAATGTGCAGGTTTGTTACATAGGTATACATGTACCATGTTGGTTTGCTGCACCCATTAACTCGTCATTTACATTAGGTATTTCTCCTAATGCTATCCCTCCCCCTGCCCTGCACCCTACGACAGGCCCCGGGGTGGGCCCTGTGTCCAAGTGTTCTCATTGTTCAATTCCCATTTATGAGTGAGAACATGCGGTGTTTGGTTTTCTGTCCTTGCGATAGTTGGCTTAGAATGATGGTTTCCAGCTTCATGCATGTCCCTGCAAAGGACATGAACTCATCCTTTTTTATGGCTGCATAGTATTCCATGGTATATATATGTCACATTTTCTTAATCCAGTCTATCACTGATGGACAGTTGGGTTGGTTCCAAGTCTTTGCTATTGTGAATAGTGCCACAATAAACGTGTGCATGTGTCTTTATAGTAGCATGATTTATAATCCTTTGGGTATATACCCAGTAATGGGAATGCTGGGTCAAATAGTATTTCTAGTTCTAGATCTCTGAGCAGTCACCACACTGTCTTCCACAATGGTTGAACTAGTTTACAGTCCCACCAACAGTGTAAAAGTGTTCCTATTTCTCCACATCCTCTCCAGCACCTGTTGTTTCCTGACTTTTTAATGATTGCCATTCTAACTGATGTGAGATGGTATCTCATTGTGGTTTTGATTTGCATTTCTCTGATGACCAGTGATGATGAGCATGTTTTAGTGTGTGTTGGCTGTATAAATGTCTTCTTTTGAGAAGTGTCTGTTCATTTCCTTTGCCCACTTTTTGATGGTTTTTTTTTCTTGTAAATTTGTTTAAGTTCTTTTTAGATTCTGGATATTAGCCCTCTGTCAGATGGGTATATTGCTTTTCTCTCATTCTTTAGGTTGCCTTTTTTGCCTTTTCACTCCAATGGTAGTTTCTTTTGCCGTGCAGAAGCTCTTTAGTTTAATTAGATCCCATTTGACAATTTTGGCTTTTGTTGCCACTGCTTTTGGTGTTTAGACATAAAGTTCTTGGCCATGCCTATGTCCTGAATGGTATTACCTAGGTTTTCTTCTAGGGTTTTTATGGTTTTAGGTCTAACATTTAAGTCTTTAATCCATCTTGAATTAATTTTTGTATAAGGTGTAAGGAAGGGATCCAGTTTCAGCTTTCTCCATATGGCTAGCCAGTTTTCCCAGCACCATTTATTAAATAGAGAATCCTTTCCCCATTTCTTGTTTTTGTCAGGTTAATCAAAGATGAGATGGTTGTAGATATGTGGTGTTATTTCTGAGGCCTCTGTTCTGTTGCATTGGTCTATATCTCTGTTTTGGTATCAGTACCATGCTGTTTAGGTTACTGTAGCCGTGTAGTATAGTTTGAAGTGAGGTAGCATGATGCCTCCAACTTTGTTCTTTTTGCGTAGGATTGTCTTGGCAATGCGGGCTCTTTTTTGGTTTCATATGAACTTTAAAGTAGTTTTTTCCAGTTCTATGAAGAAAGTCATTGGTAGCTTGATGAGGATAGCATTGAATCTATAAATTACCTTGGGCACTGTGGCCATTTTCACGATATTGATTCTTCCTATCCATGAGCATGGAATGTTCTTCCATTTGTTTGTGTCCTCTTTCATTTCATTGAGCAGTGGTTTGTAGTTCTCCTTGAAGAGAAGTGGTTGTGTAGTTCTCCTTCACATCCCTTGTAAGTTGTATTCCTAGGTATTTTATTTTCTTTGTAGCAGTTGTGAATGGGAGTTCACTCATGATTTGGCTCTCTGTTTGTCTGTTATTGGTGTAGAGGAATGCTTGTGATTTTTGCACATTGATGCTGCATCCTGAAACATATTGGTCTAAAATTCTCTTTTCTTGTTGTGTCTCTGCCAGGCTTTGGTATCAGGATGATGCTGGCCTCATCAAATGAGGTAGGGAGGATTCCCTCTTTTTCTCTTGATTGGAATAGTTTCTGAAGGAATGGTACCAGCTCCTCTTTGTACCTCTGGTAGAATTCGTCTCTTAATCCATCTGGTCCTAGACTTGTTTTGGTTGGTAGGCTATTAATTATTGCCTCAATTTCAGAGCCTGTTATTGGTCTATTCAGGGATTCAACTTCTTCCTGGCTTAGTCTTGGGTGGGTGTATTTGTCCAGGAATTTATCCATTTCTTGTAGATTTTCTAGTTTATTTGCGTAGAGGTGTTTATAGTATTCTCTGGTGGTAGTTTGTATTTCTGTTGGTTCAGTGGTGATATTGCTTTATCATTTTTTATTGTGTCTATTTGCTTCTTTTCTCTTTTCTTCTTTATTAGTGTTGCTAGCGGTCTATCAATTTTGTTGATATTTTCAAAAAACCAGCTCCTGTATTCATTGATTTTTTGAAGGTTTTTTGTGTCTCTATCTCCTTCAGTCCTGCTCTGATCTTAGTTATTTTTTGCCTTCTGCTGGCTTTTGAATGTGTTTGCTCTTGCTTCTCTAGTTCTTTTAATTGTGATGTTATTGTGTCAATTTTAGATCTGTCCTGCTTTCTCTTGTGGGCATTTAGTGCTATAAATTTCCCTCGACACACTGCTTTACATGTGTCCCAGAGATTCTGGTATGTTGTGTCTTTGTTCTCATTAGTTTCAAAGAACATCTTTATTTCTGCCTTCATTTTGTTATGTACCCAGTAGTCATTCAGGAGCAGGTTGTTCAGTTTCCATGTAGTTGAGCCGTTTTGAGTGAGTTTCTTAACCCTGAGTTTTAATTTTATTGCCCTGTGGTCTGAGAGACAGTTTGTGAATTTGATTGCACTGTGGTCTTAGAGACAGTTTGTGATAATTTCTGTTCTTTTATATTTGCTGAGGAGTGCTTTACTTCCAACTATATGGTCAATTTTGGAATAAGTGCAATGTGGTGCTGATAAGTATGTATATTCTGTTGATTTGGGGTGGAAAGTTCTGTGGATGTCTATTAGGTCCGCTTGGTGCAGAGCTGAGTTCAATTCCTGGATATGCTTGTTAACTTTCTGTCTCATTGATCTGTCTAATGTTGACAGTGGGGTGTTAAAATCTCCCATTATTATTGTGTGGGAGTCTAAGTCTCTTTATAGATCTCTAAGGACTTGCTTTATGAATCTGGGTGCTCCTGTATTGGGTGCATATATATTTAGGATAGTTAGCTCTTCTTGTTGAATTGATCCCTTTACCATTATGTAATGGCCTTCTTTGTCTCTTTTGATCTTTGTTGGTTTAAAGTCTATTTTATCAGAGACTAGGATTGCAACCCCTGGTTTTTTTTGTTTTCCATTTGCTTGGTAGATCTTCCTCCATCCCTTTATTTTGAGGCTGTGTGTGTCTCTGCACGTGAGATGGGTCTCCTGAATGCAGCACACTGATGGGTCTTGACTCTTTATCTAATTTGCCAGTCTGTGTCTTTCAATTGGAGCATTTAGCCCATTTACATTTAAGGTTAATATTGTGATGTGTGAATTTGTTCCTGTCATTGTGATGTTAGCTGGTTATTTTGCTCCTTAGTTGATGCAGTTTCTTCCTAGCATTGATGGTCTTTACAATTTGGCCTGTTTTTGCAGTGTCTGGTACTGGTTGTTCCTTTCCATATTTAGTGCTTCCTTCAGGAACTCTTGTAAGGCAGGCCTGGTGGTGAACTCAGCATTTGCTTGTCTGTAAAGTATTTTATTTCTCCTTCACTTATGAAGCTTAGTTTGGCTGGATATGCAGTTCTGGCTTGAAAATTCTTTTCTTTAAGAATGTTGAATATTGGCCCCCACTCTCTTCTGGCTTGTAGAGTTTCTGGTGAGAGATCTGCTATTAGTCTGATGGGCTTCCCTTTGTGGGCAACCCGACCTTTCTGTCTGGCTGCCCTTAATATTTTTCCTTCATATCAACCTTGGTGAATCTGACAAGTATGTATCTTGGTGTTGCTCTTCTCGAGGAGTATCTTTGTGGTGTTCTCTGTATTTCCTGAATTTAAATGTTGGCCTGCCTTGCTAGATTGGGGAAGTTCTTCTGGGCAATATCCTGAAGAGTGATTTCCACCTTGGTTCCATTCTGGCCGTCACTTTCAGGTATACCAATCAGATGTAGATTTGGTCTTTTCACATAGTACCATATTTCTTGGAGGCTTTGTTCATTTCTTTTTACTCTTTTTTCTCTAACCTTCTCTTCTCACTTCATTTCATTCATTTGATCTTCCATCACTGTTACCCTTTCTTCCACTTGATCGAATCAGCTATTGAAGCTTGTGCATGCGTCACATAGTTCTCGTGCCATGGTTTTCAGCTTCATGGGGTCATTTAAGGTCTTCTCTTTGCTGTTTATTCTAGTTAGCCATTCGTCTAATCTTTTTTCAAGGTTTTTAGCTTCTTTGCGATGGGTTCGAATATCCTCCTTTAGCTCGGAGAAGTTTGTTATTTCTGATCATCTGAAGCCTTCTTCTCTCAACTCGTCAAAGTCATTCTCCGTCCAGCTTTGTTCCGTTGCTGGCGAGGAGCTGCATTTCTTTGGAGGAGAAGAGGTGCTCTGATTTTTAGAATTTTCAGCTTTTCTGCTCTGGTTTCTCCCCATCTTTGTGGTTTTATCTACCTTCGGTCTTTGATGATGGAACTAGAGAGGGTGGGTTCCTCCCAGGCAAGCAGCATGGACAAGAAGCTGTGGGGAGTGTGGTCTTCTCATTTCTGTCTCAACAACAGCCTGCAGCTGGTCAGTTGGGACCTTCCCAGGGGTGCATGGGAGCGCCAAGTCTCCCTTCTCCCTCCTTAGACCAGCACAGCAGCAGCAGCCGTGTCTCTAGATCTCCAGTATCTAGATTCTCCAAGTGGCGCCCAGCTGAGGTTGCTCCAGGATCTGTGGGATGCCTGTGAGATTCTGAGTTTCCTTTCTGGAGTAACGTCTCTTTACAGTCTGTAGACAGCTTATTATGTCAGGCCCAAGGCCCTAGTTGGTAGAGTGTTTCTGTCATCACTAAGATCCTATAAGCCTGTTTCGGAGTGTAGAGCCGTGGGGATATCTCCATATCTCTCATATTGTTTCCCCACATCCAGGAGCCTCTCCTGGCTGTGAGTGAGTTCCCTGCCTGGGCAAGCTACCTCGAACCCTGTCGTTAATTACTTCTGGTACTTCCCATCTCTTCCCTGATGAATCCTAGCCTTCTTTCCTAGATTATCTGTTCAAAATATGAGTATCTACTTAGTATTCTGGTTCCTTTTCATGGAGGAGGCACATACTACTTGTGTCTAGTCAGCCATCTGTGTTTCACATATTTTTAAAAGTTGTGAGACATGTACTTTCTAGTGTATTTGTTTTATTCTGGCAGAGAGTACAAGTTGTATAAATTGTACGAGTTCAGTAAACATGAAGCACATCTATTTTTATTTTGTCTACTAAGATGGTACATCTAAAGTGCTTAGCAACTATAAGTAGACCATGGTAAAAGTGTCCAATAACTGGTAGTGATTATTATCATATTGTCATTCTTTCGTTGAGCAAAATGTTAATTATAAGTTATTTTATTATAGAATGCATTCATTGTTATAAATTATATTTGTTGAATAAAAGCATAATCTGATTTTTTTTCCCTTGGCAGCAACTTGAGTTGGTGGAACCAAGTGGCTGGATTCATGTTCCCTTAACTGACAATCATAAGAAGCCAACTCGTACATTCATGATACAGATTGCTGTTCTAGCCAATCACCAGAATGGAAGAGACACCCATATGAGACAAATTAAAATATACACACCAGTAGAAGAGAGCTCCATTGGTAAATTTCCTAGATGTACAACTATAGATTTCATGATGTATCGTTCAATAAGGTGACTTTAAAATGAGACGAAAATCATTAAACGTATCTTTGTTTTATCCTGTATTTAAATAATATATCATGTACCTTTATTGAACAAGGCATCCGTTATATCTAATTTTGTATATGTTTAAAAATATTTTATTGTAACTTTGACAAATAAATTTGGGGTCATATTATCTTTATTTTCTTTAACATGTAATAAAGCTCACATATTTTACATTACTAAAAATGGATTTGAAGCCAATCATTTTATTTTCCCTTGTATCAAAAGAAAAGAGTTCCTTGTATCAAAAGAAAAGAGTTGAACTGAAAATTTCAGTATATACACAATTATAATAGCTAGGTGATTATTTCATTAGTGTTCATACATTAGAGTAATGGTTTATTGCATATTTGAGAACAAGACTGTGTTTTATCAATATATATCATCTTTAATAGGTCAAAATTACTATTTTTTCTACCCAGAGGAAGGTTATTCTTTTAATACTGGATCTTTTAAAAAACAGTGTCAAATAAGCTTAGTGTTAGGTTGTCTGATGAGAACCAATCTAATATGGGGAGTATAATTAATTGTCTCATATTCACCTTCACGGAATACTTACAGCCCTAGGGTTGTCTGTATCCTAATGATATTATGTAAAGATTGCCTGTATAATCTAGCAGTACTTATGGAAGAGTTCTAGCAGTACTTATGGAAGAGTTATTTTCAAATTTGTGTCTGACATTGTAGCATTCCCTGGGCAGTCATATATCCCATAAAATCGTAAAAGTATGTGAAATTTTTTATATATATTAAAAGATTTTAAAGAAATACATGGAAATGTGGTTTTTTCCATGGTTTAAAATGAGTAGATTTGATTTTGTATGCTGTTTTCTCTAGATGTATTACTTTTTTTCGGGGGATGGTTATTTAGCCACAGAATTTACCTAGATTCACTCTTGTTTGGAAAAGATTGCTCTCTGTGGTTCATGCATTGCTGGGTACACTAAAGTATTAAATAGTGAATATTATTTAAAAAATAGTGTGTTTGCTTTATTCTGGCAGAGAGTACTAATTTATTTGGATACTATAGAAAATGGTTTCACTTTTTCACTCATTAAAAACTCTGCTCTTCTTCCTGTAAGTTCTGGGAAGAATTGTATTATTACTTTCATTTTGTTGTCTTTGAAGTAAAAAGCATGATAGGCAATCTGTGGGATCACCAAAAAGTCTGTAGCCAAAACTTATTTGGAATCACCAAATTAAGCACATTATACTTGTCAGATGCTGGGTAGGGTAGAAGAGAGGATTGAAGGAGAAGACCAAGAATAAGGACTAAAGGAAATGGAGAGAATGAAGGAAATAAGAATAGAAATATACACTAGGCACTGATGTTTTCCTTTAGTCTGATAAGGAAAACAGTCAAGTAAACAACAGGGTCTTAGTCTTAGAGATAAAAGAAATCTAATTTTTTTAAAAGTACAGGAAGTTTTATTAATAATGTTACTTCTTACTGACTGCTTATTTATTAAGTTTGCTTAAAAGAAAAAAGGAGGAAGACTAATGATCACATATACTATCTAGTGTCTTATCTCCTACTATTTATTAATAGTTTGCCAAGAGACTCCTAAAATCAGGAGGTATTAGAAGGAGTTGAGAAAATCAATATGTTTTCTACTTTTATTCTCCTTACGTATTTTTCATATGCCAGCTGGCTATCTTATTAGGTGTGGGAAAACTTGGTAGCTGAGGATTATGAAGATAATGCTTCCCCTTAATAAGAAAAATTTAAAATACAGATAATGCATTATATTAACAAAGCATAATTATCTAAAACAGTTGCATTTTACTTTCTAAAGTGCAAATTATATATTTGACCAAGATTTATATTTAGAATATATAAAAATCCCTTACAACTCAACAGTAAGGAGAAAAATCCAATTTAAAAATGAGCAAAATATTTGAACAGTCACTTTACCAAGGAAGTTATATGATTGGCAAGTAATTGTACAAAAAGATGCTCAACTTCATTAGACACTAGTGAAGAGCAAATTAAAACCACAATGAGATACTACTACACAGCCACTAGAATGACTACAGTGAAAATGATTATTCCACGTGTTGACAACAATGTGGAGAAAATGCACTTCGCACTGCTGGTACAGGCATATCTCAGAGATGCTGCAGGTTCAATTCCAGACCACCACACAATGAAGTGAATACCACAGTAAAGTGACTATCACAATAAAGTGGGTCACAGAAACGTTTTGGTTTCCCAGTGCTTATAAAATTGTTTACACTGTTGTAGTCTAAAAAAAAACAATGTATGTATACCTTTATTTTAAAATACTATTGCTAAGTGCTAACAATAATCTGAAGCTTTAGCCAAGTTGTAACCTCTATGCAGGTGGAGAGTCTCATCTAGGTGTTGATGGCTGCTGACTTATCAGGGTGGTGGTTGTTGAATGCTGACAGGGCTGTGGCAATTTCTTAAAATAGGACAGCAATGAACTTTGCTTCATTGATAGACTTTTCACAAAAGATTTCTCTGTAGCATGTGATGCAGTTTGATAGCATTTTACTCACAATAGAACTTCTTTCAAAATTGGAGTCAATCCTCTCAAGTCCTGCTATTGCTTTATCAACTAAGTTGATATACTCTTCTAAGTCCTTTGTTGTCATTTCAACAATGTGCACAGTATCTTCACCAGGAATAGGTTCCATTTCAAAAAACCAATTTTATTCCTCATCCACGAGAAGCAGCTCTACAGTCATCCAAGTTTTATAAGATTGCAGCCATTCAGACACATTTTTAGGCTCCATTTCTAATTCTTGTTCTCTTGCTATTTCTACCACATGTGCCATTACTTTTTCCACTGAAGTCGTAAACCCCTCAATGTCATCCATGAAGGTTGAAATCAATTCCTTCCAAACTCCTGTTAAAGTTGCTATTTTGACCTTCTCCCTTAAATCATGAATGTTCTTACGGCATCTAGAGTGGTAAATCCTTTCCAGAAAGTTCTCCGTTTGTTTTGCTGAGATCCATCAGAAGAATCACTTACCTGCTAATGCCTTATGAAATGTATTTCTGAAACAATAAGACTTGAAAGTCAGAATGACTGCTTGGTTCATGGGCTACAGAATGGATGTTGTGTTAGCAGGCATGAAAACAACATAACTCTCCATCAGAGCTCTTGAGTGACCAGGTATATTGGCAATGATAAGTAATATTTTGAAAGAATCTTTTTTCCAAGCAGTGGATCTCAACAGAGGGCTTAAATCATGCAGTAAATTATGCTCTAAAC
Organism: Homo sapiens; assembly: GCF_000001405.40. Classification (NCBI taxonomy): domain Eukaryota; kingdom Metazoa; phylum Chordata; class Mammalia; order Primates; family Hominidae; genus Homo; species Homo sapiens. The sequence continues at coordinate 144,992,101 of NC_000004.12, read as the reverse complement.
AGTGGTACTGTCATCCAGGCTTTGTTGTTCCACAGGCAGAGCACAGGCAGAGTAGGTTTAGCATAATTCTTCAGGGCCCTAGGATTTTCAGAATGGTAAATAAGCATTGGCTTCAACTTAAAGTCACCAGCTGCATTAGCTGCTAACAAGAGTTATTCTCTTCCTTGAAACTTTGAAGCCAGGCATTGACTTTCCTCTAGCTATGAAAATCCAAGGTGGCATCATCTTCCAATAGAAGGTTGTTCATCTACATGGAAAAATCTATTGTTTAGTGTAGCCACCTTCATCCCTTATGTTCTAGATTGGGGTGTTCAATCTTTTGGCTTTCCTGGGTCACATTGGAAGAACAATAATTGTCTTGGACCTCGCATAGAATACACTAACGATAGCTGATGAGCTAAAAAAAAAAAAAAAAAAAAAATTCCTGGCCGGGCATGGTAGCTCACTCCTCTAATCCCAGCACTTTGGGATGCCGAGGCGGGTGGATCACAAGGTCAGGAGATCGAGACCATCCTGCTAACATGGTGAAACCCCATCTCTACTAAAAACATAAAAAATTAGCCGGGCGTGGTGGCGGGTGCCTGTAGTCCCAGCTACTTGGGAGGCTGAGGCAGGAGAATGGTGTGAACGCAGGAGACGGAGCTTGCAGTGAGCCGAGATCGCGACACTGCACTCCAACCTGGGTGACAGAATGAGACTCGTCTCAAAAAAAAAAAAATGCAAAAAAACTCTTTGTGTTTTAAGAAAGTTTACAAATTTTTATTGAGCTGCATTCAAAGCCATCCTGGGCCATATGCAGCCTGTGGCCTGCGAATTGGACAAGCTTGTTCTAGATCTTCTGGATAACTTGCTGCAGCTTCTCCACCAGCACTTCCTGCTTCACCTTGCTCTTAGCAAATCTTTACCATTAGGTTGATGCCTCCTTTTTGTCTCTGTGGTTCCTTAAGCCCAGGTTCTCCTCTGCTCTACTAAATTATTAGAGTGCTGCCTGTCTTGAATGGGGGAATTCCCAAAAGGATTATTCTGGCAGTGTGGGAAGGCAGGTAGTGGTTTGTGCCCAAGGGACCTGTGGAACATAACAGCATGGTGCTGCTGAACAGCCACTCTGATGTGGCATCTCCTTTGGCTGAGTTACAGAGCAGAGTTTCCAGGGCTGGGGATGGTAGTCCTACCTCCCTAGTTTGTCTCTGCTTGTCCTCACAGATATTTATACCTTCAGGCAGTCATGATGCTTCCTGTGTGTTAAGGCAGGTACAGGTCTCTTGCAAGGGAATCCAAGATGATGGGAAAGCTGATTGACTACTGATATGGTTTGGATGTTTTTTACCTCCAAATTTCATGTTGAAACATAATCCCCAGTGTTGGAGGTGGAGCCTGGTGGGAGGTATTTGGATCATGGGGGCGGATTCCTCAGGAATGGCTTGGTGCCATCCCGTTGGTGATAAGTGAGTTCTCACTCTGAGTTCACAGGAGATCTGATTGTTTTAAAAGAGTGTGGCACCAAATCCCTCTCTTGCTCCTGTTCTCACCGTGTGATGCTGGCTCTCCTTGACCTTCCACCACGATTGTAAGCTTTCTGAAGCCCTCACCAGAAGCAGATGCTGGCACCAGCTTCCTGTACAGTCTGCAGAACCATGAGCCAATTAAATCTCTTTTATTTATAAATTACCCAGTCTCAAGTATTTATTTATAGAGAGGCAAAAACGGACTAAAACTTCTACCTCAATCTCATTTCTTTCCAGTGTAGAAATTGTGAGCTGGGGGAAGGCTTTTTGCAAGCTTGTTGCAGGGCAGAATTTTCAGGAGGGGCATTATGGATGTGGAAGTCTGATTCTCCTATCATCTGCTTGAAGTTTTTTCACTTCTCTGTGGTCCTGGGATCTGTCTCATCCTCTTTTGTGATTTCTGGATTGTTACTGGTAAAAATCTTGGCACTGTGTATTTGTATTTGGTTTTCTGTTGAGGGAGTGAGGCCAGCTTGCTCCTATGCTACTATTTTTTTTTTTTAATTTTTCAATTGTTTTCTTCAAAGGTAGGCATGACAGAGATATACTGCCATTTTAAAACCCCTTCACCTCACACTTTTATAGAGATGACTGCTGTCCTTAAACCTTCTGAAGCAATCTCTGCTAGCTTCAAACTTCTGTAGCTTCCTTACCTCTCTCAGCCTTTCTAACATTAAAGAGAGTTAGGGCCTTACTTTGGATTAGGCTTGGCTTAAAGGAATGTTATGGCTGCTTTGATCTTCTATTCAGACCACTCAAACTTTCTCCGTATCAGTAATAAAGCTGTTTTGCTTTCTTATCATTCATGGGTTCACTAGTGTAGTACTTATAATTTCCTCCAAGAACTTTTCCCTTGTATTCACAACTTTGCTAACTGTTTGGAGAAAGAGGCCTAGCTTTCGGCCTATCTCAGTTTTCAATATGCCTTCCTCATTAAACTTAATCCTTTCTAGCTTTTGTATTAAAGTGAGAAACTGGTGACTCTTCCTTTCACTTGAACACTTAGAGGCCATTGTAAGGTTATTAATTGGCCTAATTTCAATATTGTTGGGTCTCAGGGAATAGGGAGGCCTGAGAAGAGGGAGACAGATAGGAACAGCTGGTCGATGGAGCAGTCAGGGACATATGATATTTATGGAGTAACTTTGCAACTGTATGTATGTGGATGCAGTTTGTGGAGCCCCAAAACAATTGTAGTGGTATGGAACATCAGAAATCACTGATCACAGATCACCATAAGAGATATAAGAATAATGAAAAAGTTTGAGATAGAGAATTACCAAAATGACACAGACACAAAAGTGAGCACATGATGTTGGAAAAATAGCATTGATAGACTTGCTTAATGCAGGATTGCCAGAAGCCTTCAATTTGTGAAGAATGAAGTTATCTGTGAAGTGCAATAAAATTAGGTATGCCTGCAATTAATATATAACTACTTTGGAAAACAGTTTGGTAATTTTAAAAAAATTAAACATCCACCTACTATGTGTACCAGTCATTCCACTTCTACGTATTTACCCCCCAAAATATAAAACATATATCCATACAAAGACTTGTATGTGAATCTTCATAGCAGCTCTATTTGTAATACATCAAAACTGTACAACCTAAATGTTGATCAACAGGAGAAGGTCTAAACAAATTATGGTATATACATATAATGAAATGCTACTCAGCAATAAAAATGAACGATTGATATGTGCCACAGCACAGCTAAATGTCCAAAATAATTATTTTAAGAGAAGCTGTACAAAAAAGAGTACATATATGTGGTTTCATTTTTTATAAAATTCTAGAAAATATAAACTAAGTGACAGCAGATCAGTTACATAGGATGGGGAGTGGGGAGAAGTAAGAAGGGATGAACTATTTGGGGGGATGACAGAAATATTCATTATCCTGATCATAGTCATGGTTTTATGGGTCTGTACATATGCCAAATCTCATCAAATTATACACTTTAAATAGGCACAGTTTATTGTATATGAATTATACCTCAACAGAACTGATTTTAAAAATAACTTATTGTACTTGTTTTACATAAGAATCACCTAAAAGATGCTAGATTTGAAGTAACTATATTTCTTAACTGTATAGGACCTGTGAATAAAAAACCAAGATTGGAAAAGCCATTTTAACGGTTCAGAAAACAATGACAGCAAATTCACTGATTTATTTGCAGTCAGTCAGTGCTTTTGAGTATTGGACAAACTGCAGTTATATGAAAAATTTTAATTTCACATATAATCTGGGTATAAGACACTTTCAAAATCAGTTTATGAGCTGATTACTAGAAACTTTATGTAAAAATTGTGGGGTCTGGGTGCAATGGCTCACAGCTGTAATAGCACTTTGGGAGGCCAAGGTGGGAGGATTGCTTGAGCCCAGGAGTTTAAGACCAGCCTGGGCAACATAGCAAGACCTTGTCACTACAAAAATTTAAAAAAATAATTAGCCAGGCATGGTGGCGTGCACCTGTAGTCCCAGCTACTCAGCAGGCTGAGAGCAGGAAGATTGTTTGAGCTCAGGAGGTTGAGGCTGCAGTGAGCTATGATTACACCACTGCACTCTAGTCTGGGTGACAGAGACCCTGTCTCAAAAACAACAACAACAAAAAAAAACAAAAATTGTTGAATTTAAAAATACACAGTCACAGAACACTAATAAATACACAACTCTAAAAGGACTTATTCATTCAATTGTGTTTTGGTGTGTGTGCATATCTATTGGGTTTAGTTAAGAAATATAGTAAGGAAACAAAGATGAAAATGTAAACCTTGCCTTCCAGTTGCTTACAGTCTACTGAGGAAACAATAGGTCTCTAACCAATCAAGCCAGAAATTAGAAAGTCGTGAGCTCTCTAATCAGTGAATGAGAGTGTAGAGGAGATGTAAGTTTACTTCCTGCTGAAGAAGATAGAGGTGAAGCTAAAGAAGACATTTTTTTTTATTATACTTTAAGTTTTAGGGTACATGTGCACAATGTGCAGGTTAGTTACATATGTATACATGTGCCATGTTGGTGTGCTGCACCCAGTAACTCATCATTTAACATTAGGTATATCTCCTAATGCTATCCCTCCCCCCTCCCCCCACCCCACAACAGGCCCTGGTGTGTGATGTTCCCCTTCTTGCGTCCATGTGTTCTCATTGTTCAATTCCCACCTATGAGTGAGAACATGCGGTGTTTGGTTTTTTGTCCTTGCGATACTTTACTGAGAATAATGGTTTCCAGCTTCATCCATGTCCCTACAAAGGACATGAACTCATCATTTTTTATGGCTGCATAGTATTCCATGGTGTATATGTGCCACATTTTCTTAATCCAGTCTATCATTGTTGGACATTTGGGTTGGTTCCAAGTCTTTGCTATCGTGAATAGTGCCACAATAAACACACGTGTGCATGTGTCTTTATAGCAGCATGATTTATAATCCTTTGGGTATATACCCAGTAATGGGATGGCTGGTCAAATGGTATTCCTAGTTCTAGATCCCTGAGGAATCTCCACACTGACTTCCACAATGGTTGAACTAGTTTACAGTCCCACCAACAGTGTAAAAGTGTTCCTATTTCTCCACATCCTCTCCAGCACCTGTGGTTTCCTGACTTTTTAATGATCGCCATTCTAACTGGTGTGAGATGGTATCTCATTGTGGTTTTGATTTGCATTTCTCTGATGGCTAGTGAGCATTTTTTTCATGTGTCTTTTGGCTGCATAAATGTCTTCTTTTGAGAAGTGTCTGTTCATATCCTTTGCCCACTTTTTGATGGGGTTGTTTTTTTCTTGTAAATTTGTTGGAGTTCATTGCAGATTCTGGATATTAGCCCTTTGTCAGATGAGTAGATTGCAAAAATTTTCTCCCATTCTGTAGGTTGCCTGTTCATTCTGATGGTAGTTTCTTTTGCTGTGCAGAAGCTCTTTAGTTTAATTAGATCCCATTTGCCAATTTTGGCTTTTGTTGCCATTGCTTTTGGTGTTTTAGACATGAAGTCCTTGCCCGCCTATGTCCTGAATGGTATTGCCTAGGTTTTTTTCTAGTGTTTTTAAAACACCTCTACACAAATAAACTAGAAAATCTAGAAGAAATGGATAAATTCCTCGACACATACACCCTCCCAAGACTAAATCAGGAAGAAGTTGAATCTCTGAATAGACCAATAACAGACTCTGAAATTGAGGCAATAATTAATAGCTTACCAACCAAAAAAAGTCCAGGACCAGATGGATTCACAGCCGAATCCTACCAGAGGTACAAGGAGGAGCTGATACCATTCCTTCTGAAACTATTCCAATCAGTAGAAAAAGAGGGAATCCTCCCTAACTTATTTTATGAGGCCAGCATTATCCTGATACCAAAGCCTGGCAGAGACACAACAAAAAAAGAGAATTTTAGACCAATATCCCTGATGAACATCGATGCAAAAATCCTAAATAAAATACTGGCAAACCGAATCCAGCCACACATCCAAAAGCTTATCCACCATGATCAAGTGGGCTTCATGCCTGGGATGCAAGGCTTGTTCAACATACGCAAATCAATAAACACAATCCAGCATATAAACAGAACCAATGACAAAAACCATATGATTATCTCAATAGATGCAGAAAAGGCCTTTGACAAAATTCAACAACCTTCATCCAAAAAACTCTCAATAAATTAGGTATTGATGGGACGTATCTCAAAATAATAAGAGCTATCTATGACAAACCCACAGCCAGTATCATACTGAATGGGCAAAAAGAGGACATTGTTGAGAAGCCAGAATGTTGGAAAAACTATTTGTAATATCAGCTAGTTATTTGCTTCTCAAGCCTAGTCTTGAATCCAGACTATCATTGTTTTTATGTGAGTAACAACAATTAATTTGAAACAGATGATTTTTGTATTCAGAACCAAGTGATGTTTTGTACATTTATTCTCATTTGAAAGTGTTCAATGACTAAAACACTGACAAATCTTGAAAAGTAATTTTAGCAACCATGCCTTCTGCTCCTTTAGTCATTATGACTAGTAATTTAGTAGAAATTAATATATTACAATATAAATTTTTATCAGTGAAATATATGAAATACTTGATAACTTATCTAGTGTTTTAGAAAATTGTTACTGCTATAAAATTCTTAGTAAAATATTTATTATATTTTATTTTTAAGTGAATTCTAGGTTATTTTAATTCATCAATTAGCTTTTTAAAGAGATAAAATTTGCAAAATATGTTACATAAAACAGGGAATATAATTAATGTAGTTATGGTTACATGTGAATATTTTTGCTTTGCAGATCTTTTAAAACCAGGATTATCTTCTTTTGCCCATATTATTTTGGCCTTCCAGTCTTCTACTATGACTCCCTGGGGTATGGTATTTGGAAGTTTTTGCAATACAAGGCTGTTTACCAGTCTTCTACAAGGAAGCTGCCTGTGTTTCATAGTCTGCCATTTAGTTGGGATTGTTTTTGTGCAGTTTTATCCAGAAAGCCTTGGAGAGAGGGAGATGATGAGAAAGAAAGCCTCACAGATCAGTTTATTAATTGTTCATGATCATGATTTATCCTATCAACAGGAAAAATCTTAAGTCTAATAATTAGAACACTCCCCACTATAAAATCTAAGAGAATGTCTATAATCCATGGCAATTTTATGTGAAAAGTTAAGGTTATTTTTTACTACTATTAACCAATCTATTTTTTAATATTATATATTCCATGATTACCTCCACGACCATTAAGTGTCCCTCTTGTCTTTTCTGCCGAGTAGAACCAGCTTGCTATTTTGCAAACAGAAGCAAAATTATAATCGGACCAATTTAAAATTGTTCTGTATTCTTGTGAAACATTTTGAGTGAATTTTTATTTCAGGAAATGGTATTTCACATTATTATGTTTGAAGCACTAGCGTTTGCCACCTCAATTATTTTGATTACTGAGTTTGTAGCCATGAGCTTTCCACTGATGCAGTTCAGTGATCACTATAAGATGTTCTTCCACTATGTATTCACTTTTTCAATGTTGAGGGCAAATTACGGTTTTCTCCCTGTGGTCCCAGAAATAATGGCCCAAACTGTTTTTCATAGATTTTATTCTTAGACTAGCTCTCCTTTTTACGCTGGCATTCGTCTGTGGCTAGAGATCCAGATTTTAACAGATCATTTCCTGTTATTACTACAACAATATCAAAATACTGATCACTTACCAAGAAGCAAAGTATCCAAAAGACTGAAGCAGAGAGTTCAGCCAGCTATTTGTTTTTCAACTGTTGAAATTTATAACAATCACATGTTAAATGGATATGGAGACAAAATCAAATAGAGAGTAGCCTTGGCAAAAGGAGGATAACAAGCCATCAGCTACTAAGTTATAACACATTCAGGTGTTTACCAAAGACAAGGGAAAGGGATTTTACTGTTTATCAAAAAATAGTGCCTATTTTTTTTAGAGTAGCATTCAGCAACTAATAGAATATGCAAATAACCTATTCTTCAGAAATTTTCTTCGAAGTTCTCTGGGCAGATTAGAACAAAATTTATTTCTGTCTTGAAATTTTTAGTTGCTAGATTGGTAACTGGGTGTAATTTTGACTCCTCTCCTTCTGTACTCAGTAACTCTGAGTCCTGCAGATATTTTCTCCACATTATCACTTTTAGTTTCACCCCTTTCACATCATTCTAGGTCAATTGCAGGAAGCTCCTAGCTGGACCACTAGCCTTTAGTTTATGCTAAAATAGTTATTCAAATGATATTCCATCCTATGGCATTCTGTAATTATTGATATCAGTACTAATTCCATATTACCTATATAAATTAACCTATGTAAGTAAATACAAAGTCCTCTGGCATCCCTTCAAGCCCATATACCTTTCCTGACTTTTCAAAAACTGTTTTTCATTATTCTCAGCCTTTTTGCTGCAGCCAAGCAAATACAGTTGTCTATTTTAACCACATAACTCCCTCATTCTTTTACTTTTTAATGTGTAGCATCTGATGGCCTGTAATTTTGTCACTTTTCTAACAGTTTATGTCACTCAAAAGTCACTCCCTGGGAGCGTTTACTTGCCTGACTTTAATCCTGTATATTTTAATTTTTTTTATTCTATATCTCTTCAGCATTTGTGTAATCCGCCAGTACTATGCAGGTTGAGTATACCTTATCCAAAAATCCAAAATCTGAAATGCTCCAATGAACATTACCTTTGAGCATCATGTTGGCGCTCAAAAAGTTTCAGATTTTGAAGCATTTTGGATTTCAGATTTTCTGCTTTGGGATGCTCAACCTGTGTTAATTTATGAATATTTTACTGTGTATATTGTTAACTCTTGAAGGCAAGGTATTAGTCTTATTTATCTTCTATATTTGTTTTATTACAATTCTCAGCATCTAGTAGGCATGCAGTAAATAATTATTTTTATTTGTTTTTATTTTATTTATTTATTTTGGGATGGATTCTCACTCTGTTGCCCAGGCTGGAGTGTAGTGGCACGATCTTGGCTCACTGCAGCCTCCACCTCCCAGGTTCAAGCAATTCTCCTGCCTCAGCCTCCCGAGTAGCTGGGACTACAGTTGCTTGCCACCATGCCTGGCTAAGTTTTTGTATTTTTAGTAGAGACGGGGTTTCACCGTGTTAGCCAGGATGGTCTCGAACTCCTGACCTCGTGGTCTACCCTCCTTGGCCTCCCAAAGTGCTGGGATTACAGGCATGAGCCACTACCTCTGACCCAATACTTATTTTTAAATAAAATCGTTCACTAACAAATCCTTTCTCATATCTCATTTTCACAAAATCACTGTTGGGATTGCATTTAGCTATCAATAACAGAAACCCCTACTACACTGACTTAAGTAAGTTTCTATATTTCTCATATATTAAAAAATCTGGAGGTCTGTGGTTACTTCATTGGTCCAGCAGTCTCCTAGAGGCTTTCTGATAATTTTTAGATCATTATGTCATGGTCCAAAGATAGTTGATGTAACTATCACATTGGCACTTGAGAGAGAAAGAAAGGAGAAGAGTGATACTGGCCACATCTGTCCTCTTGACAGGAAGGAAAACGTTTCCGGAACCTGGAAATATTCAGCATACTTCTTATGTCTCATTGGTAAGAACTGGGTCACACAACCACCTCCATCTAGAAGGAAGCAAATGTGTCTGAAAATCAGGGAACAGGATTGTCATTGTTGACTTAGGCAAATCACTGTTTTCTGGGGCTAAACACATAGCCTACTTGAAAACAAACAGACAAACAGTATTTTTTTATGCAAGGAAGAAGGCAGCATGGGTATTTGGCAGACAGTGAATAATATCTGCCACGCATAGCCTCTCTAAGCCTTGGCATCCTCATTTGCAAACTGGAAATAGTAGCAATATACCTCAGAGGACTGAGTGAGATAACAACTGTAAGCACTTAGCGCAGTGCCTGGCAAATAGTAAGTATTCAGTAAAAAGTAGCTGCTGGCCGGGTGCGGTGGCTCACGCCTGTAATCCCAGCACTTTGGGAGGCCGAGGCAAATGGATCACCAGGTCAGAAATTCAAGACCAGCCTGGCAGCATGGTGAAACCCAGTCTCTACTGAAAACAAAAAAAACCCAGTCTCTACTAAAAAAAAGAAAGCTGTGTGTGGTGGCACACACCTGTAATCCCAGCTATTTGGGAGGCAGAGGCAGGAGAATTGCTTGAACCTGGAAGACGGAGGTTGCGGTGAGCCAAGATTGCGCCACTGCACTCCAGCGTGGGTGACAGAGCAAGACTCCATCTCAAAAAAATAAAAAAAATAAAAAATAAAATAAAGTAACTGCTATTCCATTTATGACAAACCCACAGCCAATATCATACTGAATGGGTAAAAGCTGAAAACACTCCCCTTGAAAACCAACACAAACAAGGATGCCCTCTCTCACCACTTCTATTCACCATAGTATTGGAAGTTTTGGCCAGGGCAATCAGGCAAGGGAAAGAATAAAGGGTATTCAAATAGGAAGGGAGGAAGTCAAATTGTCTTTGTTTGCAGATAACATGATTCTTTATCTAGAAAACCTCATTGTCTCAGCCCAAAAGATTCTTAAGCTGATAAGCAATGTCAGCAAAGTCTCAGGATACAAAATAAATGTGCAAAAGTCACAAGCATTCCTATACACCAACAACAGGCAAGCAGACAGCCAAATCATTAATTAACTTCCCATTCACAATTGCTACAAAGAGAATAAAATACCTAGGAGTACAACTAACAAGGGAAGTGAAGGACCTCTTCAAGGAGAACTACAAATCACTGCTCAAGGAAATCAGAGAGGACACAAATGGAAAAACATTCTATACTCATGAATAAGAATAAGTAATATTGTGAAAATGGCCATACTGCCCAAAGTATTTTATAGATTCAATGCTATTCTCATTAAACTACCATTGACATTCTTTATAGAATTAGAAGAAACTATTTAAAAATTCATATGGAACCAATAAAGAGCTCATATAGCCAAGACAATCCTAAGCAAAAAGAGCAAAGCTGGAGGCATCATGCTACTGGACTTCAAACTATACTACAAGGCTACAGTAACCAAAACAGCATGGTAGTGCTACAAAAACAGACACATAGACCAATGGAACAAAATATAGAACCCAGAAATAAGACCGCACACCTACAGCCATCTGATCTTTGATAAACCTGATGAAAACAAGCAATGGGGAAAGGGTTCCCTATTTAATAAATGGTGCTAGGAAAACTGACTTGCCATATGCCGAAAATTGAAACTGGACTTTGTCCTTACACCTTATACACAAATTAACTCAAGATGGATTAAAGACTTAAATGTAAAACCCAAAACTATTAAAACCCTAGAAGAAAATCTAGATAATACCATTCAGGATATAGGTATGGGCAAAGATTTCATGACAAAAATGCCAAAAGCAATCACAACAAAAGCAAAAATTGACAAATGGGATCTAATTAAACTAAAGAGCTTCTGCACAGCAAAAGAAACGATCATCAGAGTGAACAGACAACCTACAGAATGGGAGAAAATTTTTGCTATCTATCTATCTATCTATCTATCTATCTATCTATCTATCTATCGATCTATCTATCTATCTATGAAAGGTCTAATATCCAGAATCAACAAGGAACTTAAATTTACAAGAAAAAACAAACAACCCCATTAAAAAGTGGGCAAAAAGTATGAACAGACAGTTTTCAAAAGAAGACATACATGCAGCCAAAAAACATGAAAAAATCTCAACATCACTGATCATTAGAGAAATGCAAATCAAAACCACAATGAGATACCATTTCATGCCAATCAGAATGGCTATTATTAAAAAGTCAAAAAGCAACAGATGCTGCTGAGGTTGTGGAGAAAAAGGAACATTTTTACACTGTTGGGAGTGTAAATTAGTTCAACCATTGTGGAAGACAATGTTAGGAATAACGCTCAAAATCCTAAAGAAATTGAACACTCGAACAAAGGATTCTTAGCAAAGCAATTTTACTTCTGCCCAGAGGGGTGCTGCCTTGGCCAGTCGCCATGACAGCACATCTGAACAAAGGGCACGAGAGCCTTTATTCCTGATGCAAGTCATGCCCCTGTACCCTTTCCCCATTGGCCAGGGTCGGGTTGTACAATCTAAACTAATCTCGGTTGGCTAAACATTTGAATTTTTTTTAGATAAGGTGGAACGTAAAAGAAAGTGAAGAGGAAGGGGAAGCGGTGTCTGTAATGAGCTAGAAAGTTAGTCCTCTTTCCAAATAAGGAAAGGAATGTGAGCTGGTACTGATAATGCCTGGTACTATGGCATGTCTGGGCATCTAACAAAGGCAAAAAAGATAAAAGGAGAAAAAGGAAAAAGGGTGGGTGTAACTATGAATTAAAGAATAAAAGATTGATCAGATTATTTGAAAAGAAACTTTATCATATCCCATAACAATGTGGCGATTCCTCAAAGACCTAGAGGCATAAATACCATTTGACTCAGCAATCTCAATACTGGGTATATATCCAAAGGAATATAAATAATTCTATTATAAAGATACATGCACACATATGTTAATTGTAGCACTATTTACAATAGCAAAGACATTGAATCAACTTAAATGCCCATCAATAATAGACTGGATAAAGAAAATATGGTACATAATCACCATGGAATACCATGCAGTTATAAAAAGGAACAAGATCATGTCCTTTGCAGGGACATGGATGGAGTTGGAAGCCATTATCCTCAGCAAACTAATGCAGGAACAGTAAACCAAACACCACATATTCTCACTTGCAAGTGGGAGTTGATCAATGAGAGCACGGACACATGGTAGGGGGAACAACACACACTGGGCACCTATAGAGGGGCAGGGGGAGAGCATCAGGAAGAATAGCTAATGGATGCTTGGCTTAATGCTTGTGTGATGGGATTATCTGTGCAGTAAACCACTATGGCACACATTTACCTATGTAACAAACCTCCACATCCTGCACAGGTACCCTGGAACTGAAAATAATAGTTGAAGGAAAAAAAGTTTATAATTTAATATTCAAAGAAAACCCCAAAACCCTTTATTTCTTGAGTTTTCAATCTTACTTTTTAGTAAGATCAAAGAATACCCAATAAAACTTGCTAATGTTGCAATCTGGAATAGATTATGAGCAACCCTGTAAATTATTTAAGACACATGCTCATTCCCAGAAATAGGCACTGAGCAGCATGCTAAAAGGACACTCTAGCAATTCTTACTGTATCTAACTTTAGTTCTGAGCCACTCTGCGAGAACCATTTTTTATTCTTTTTTTCCTGTCTATTTTTTTTTTGGAGATAGAGCCTCACTTTGTCACCTAGGCTGGAAGCAGTGGGATGACCCTAGCTCACCACAGGCTCAAACTACTGGGCTAAAGGGATCCTCCCAAGTGGCTGGGACTACAGGTGCAAACCACCATGACCACATAATTTTTAAATTTTCTTTAGAGATGGAGTCTCACTAGGTTGCCCAGGCTGGTCTTGAACTCCTGGGCTCAAGCAATTCTCCCACCTCGGCCTCCTAAGTAGTTGAGATTACAGGCATGAGCCACCATGCCCAGCTGCAATACAGTTTATAAATATTTACTTAAAAGGGGAATGATCAAAAGTGTCCATTTTTAATTATTAAAAATAATATAAAATTATTGCTCATCCCTATCAAATAAACAAAATGTTTACAACCCTGTGATCAATTGTATTACATATAGTTCCAGGAGGAAAACATTGCAGCTTTTTTCAAACAATCAATGTGTATTATTGAATTTCTTAAGTCCTGTGTAGAACATACATAAGTAGAAAACATATTCTCTACTCAGAAAGAACTTAGAGTCTAGCTTATGAGATGGCTAGGAACACACAGAGACATTTACACATACTCAATGTAAGGTGACAGTGAGTGAAACAGATAATAAGTATTATTTTATTTTAATAAGGACAGATATTACCAGTGCCCAGTGTAGTCAGTAAGGTTCTTATTGGAAAGATAGAAATTTATGTATGTAGAGGTATATGAAGAGACCCCCTTCCTAGGTTCTGTACAAGTTGAGAAATGAAATAAATAGTGAAGATGAAGGCCAAAATATTACCTTCCTTCCTAATAGACAACACATTGTTGGACATATTTTTAAGTCTTAGCCAAGATGGGCTTCTAATAATGAATTCCTGAGAATCACGTTATAGCTGGTTGCATTGACTAGGGCAGGAAGCTTCCTAGAAGGAGGGTAGTGCTGAGCCATGTATTCTCTGTTTTTCTTTCCATACTTTCATATTAGATAATTTTACTCCTCAGGGATGGGGTGAAGGGGTGAGAGAGGCTCAGGGCAAAGAAATTGAGCTTCCTTCCAGTTGGGAATCATCAGGAGTGGGGAAGAAGTGTTCTTAAGTTTACATTCTGGTTCCAGAACAACGTGCAGATTTAAGTATAGATAAATAACACAAGAGGGTATTTTAGGCATGGAAAACAAGTGTGGAGTGTGAAGGTTATATTCAGACTGCACTGCAGCATGGTGTTAACACGAGTAATAGAATTAATGATATGGGAAGAAGAGAAGGGTAGAGCGAGGTGAAATTTATCTTACCCTGTTATATATAGAGGAGCTGTCATTTTATAACCAGACCCTTATAAAATTTGTATATATTATATATGCTATACTAAAGCATTGGAGGAGAAAAGGGGCAGTAAGGGTGGCCTATCACACACCACCCATTATTATATGTTGTGAAAGAGACTCTGGAATAACAACTACATTTTTTGAGGCAATAATGTTGTGTAAATCAAACTATTTAGTTAATATTTGTCGTATATAAATTATCTGTGGTTGGAGCATGGAGAAGGCGATCAGAAGTTTGCCTGGGATAAAAAGGTGGGTGAAAATTGATGCTCTTCTAAAGGACATTCTCTAGAGGATGATACTTGTGGAATCATAGAAATGTCCACCCAGTTTTGATCCATTATTCCAGGTTTCCTTTCCCCATTCCAGAAATTTAGATAATAAATGAAATTCTTAGAAAAATTCACTTGTAAGCGAGACCATCAGAAATTGTACACAGCTCCAAATAAGTCTCTCAAGTGGTCATCACAAAAACATTTGAGTTAAAAAAAAAATTTGAGTTTTTGAAATATGGCATGTTGTGTGTTGAAACAAAAACGTCATTAGTAGGAACACAATTTGATTCCTTTGGGTCCAATTCATACTCTCTCAAGTCAAATTACTTTTTTTTGGATTCAAAATAAGAAAATTTTCTTTTAAAACTGAAGAAGTGTTTGAAACAATATTATTTATACTATAATCCTTTTTCATGGTGTGTCTATTGAAGCATGAAATATACTAGTGATATGGAAGAATCAAGAATATAGTGTAAGCACAGTTTCCCATTTTAAATAATACTAATCATTTTCCATATGCTCTTTGTAGAGTTAGCAATTATAATAAGAGGAAATATTATTTTAATGAAAAGATTCTGTATATGAATAATTTTCTCTTTATTACTTGCAAACTAAAATGAAGTAACTTGGTAGCAGAGGAATTATATGAGTCCTGTCTACTGTAATCCTTGGCTGATTTTGTCGGTCTATTTTCCTTTTAAGTGTGTGTGTGTGTATGTATGTAGCATAATATATATACAGAGCACCAAACACCAGCTCAATGAATTTAGTCATTGCACCTGGCAAAGACTAGAGCACATCAGTACCCTGGAAGCCCTCTTTGTGTCCCCTCTCAACCACTATTTCCTTTATCCTCTCCAAGATTAACCCGTATCCTGAATTAAATGCTGTTGTTTAGTTTCACCAGTGTTTAACATAATAAACATTAGGTACATATGTACAAAATATGTTTTTTTGTGTTGGATTTCTTTTATTCAACATGATTTTTGTAATATATATTCAAGTTACTTTCTGTAAATATAGTTTGTTCATTTACTATTGCATATATTTACCCTTCTACTTGTTTGTAATTGGAGTTGTTATTACAAATAATGGTGATATAAAATTCTAGTACCTGTCTTTTGACTCATATTGCATGTGCATTTCTGTTAGATACACATATGGTTAGATCGATTGATAGACAGATAGATAGATATGCTCATGTTTTGTGGATATTGCTAACTCATTTTCCAAAGTGGATGTACCCATTCACATTTCAACAGCCGGGTATAAAAGTTGCTGTTTCTCCACATTTTCACCAATCTTTAGTATTGTTTTTCTTTTTAATTTTATCAATTTTTGTGAGTATAATATTAACTTTTTGTAGTTTTAATTTTCTTTTCCCTGATAACTAATGAAGTCAAGCCACTTTTCATATGTTTGTTGGCAATTTAGATAGCCTCTTTTGTGAAATATCATTTTCTTTCACTCATATTTTAAAAGTCTTTACTTTATTGATTTATAAAAGTGCTTCATATATTCTGAATATAAACTCTTTGTCAGTTTGTAGTCAGTATCCTTTTCCACTCTTGTGGGTTGAATTTTCATTGTTTTAAAGATGAGATCTTTTAGTATTCTCACCACAAACACACTGTATATGAGGTGATGGATGTATTAAGTAACTTGATTGTGGTAATCATTTCACAACATATATGTATGTCAAAACATCACATTGTTTACCTTGAATATATGCAATTTTTATTTAGTCATTATATCTCAATAAAGTGAAAAAGAAAGATCTTTAGATGAACAGAAATTCTTACTTTTAATGTAAACCAATTTATTGGTCTTTTTATAATGTTTTGTGTTTTTTGTGTGCTAAAAAATTGTTTTCAACCTGAACATCATGAAGATATTCTCCTGTATTATATTCTAGAAGGTTTGTTGAACAGGTTATATCTGCAATTCACCTTAGATGATATGGGTTAAATTTCATGTTTTTCCCCATCTATGGATAGTCAATTGACTCATTACCATTTGCTGAAGTTCCATCTCCCATTGTTCTGTAATGCCTTATTTATTTGAAATCAAGTATCCATGTATGTGTGATATGTATTTGAGCTTCCTACTCGGTTCAATTTGTTTGAACCTCTTTATCGATTTGTTTGAACCGAGTAGGAAGCTCCAATCATCAAGACTACACTATCTTAATTAGTGTTGAATCGTAATACATTCTAATGACTGGTAGATCAAGTTCTCTCAGCTTGTTCTTTCTTAATAGTGTCTCAACTATTCTTGGCCTTTAAATCAGCATACATGTTGCCCACACATGTACACACACAACCTGACAGAATTTTTATTGGGATTATTTGACCCTATACTATAGATCAATCTGAGGAAAAATGATACTTTTACAATATTGAGTCTTTTAATTCATAGAATATTCCATGTGTTTGAATCTTTAATCTTTCAATAATGTTTTATTGTTTTCTAGAGAGATATTTTATGTGACTTTTGTAGATTTATTCCTAGGAATTTGATAATTTTGATGCTATTATAAATAGTGCTTTTACAAATTTGTTTTGGTAAGTGGAAATAAAATTTATTTTTGTGTCTTGACTTTGTATTGGCAATCTTTAACTTATTGTTTAATTAGAATAATTTAAATTTTTACATCTGTAAATAAAGGCTATGTTGTTCCTTCTTTTTCTTTTCTCGTGTCTTTTATTTATTTTATTTTCTTATTGTACTCGCTAGGCCCCGCAGTAAGGTATTAAATAGAAATCTGAGATGTCGTATTAAGCAGCCATTCTTGTTTCTGATCACAATGTGAAAATTTTCAGGATTTCATGATTTTGTATGATGTTTGCTTAGGTATTTTGGAGAAATCCTTAATCAAATTAATGCTATTTCCTAGTTTACCAAATGTCTGTCTGCTTGTTAATCATGAATGAATATCGAGTATACAAAACTTTCCTTGCATCTACTGAAATTACCATATGTTTCCCTTTATTATTATGTTGAATTATATTGGTTGATATTTGAATGTTAAATCAACTATCGATCCTGGAATAAATCCAGCTTTGTTATGGGCAGTATCCTTTTGTGGGAATCACTTAATTTTGTTTGCTAATAATTTGCTGAGGAATTTTTTATCTATGTGTATCACAGGATTTTTGCATTATGAGTGAGATTGACCTGTGATATTCCTTTTTTTGTATTTTTCTTGTCACATTTTTGTATTGAGATCAGTTTGGCCTCAAAAAATAAAAAACGTTTTAAATTTTTTTCTATTTTCTGGAAAAATTTGTGTGAGATTAGAATAATTTCTTAAATTATTTGTAAAATTCACTGATGAAGACATAGATTGAATTGATATATCTATATAGAAAACTATTTAGATTTTTGTACATCTTCTTGTGTAAGTTTTGGAATTTATATTTTTCTGAGAGTTTATCCATTTCCTATACATTTTCAAAATTATTGGCATAAATTTATTTATATTATCATTTTATGATCTTTATAATGTCTGTAGAATATGTAGTGTTAGACTCCTCATCGTTCCTGATATTGGTTATTTGTGACTTCTCTTTTTTCCTCTTTATCAATCTCATCAAAACCTTATCCATTCTTTTGGTCTTTTCTAAGAACAAACTTGTGGGTTTATTGATCCCTTCTGTTGCATATATTTATTTTATTGTATTAATTTCTGCTTATTATAATTATTAGTTTATATTGAAGAGGTACATGTGTAGGTTTGTTACATAGGTATATTGCATGATGCTGAGGTTGGGGCTCCTAGTGATTCCGTCACCCAGGACATAAACATAATACTCAATAGGTGGTTCTTCAACCCTTGCATTCCTCCCTCCTTCCCCGCGTTTGGAATCCAGTGTTTATTGTTACTATCTTCGTGTTCATGTGAATCCAGTGTTTAGCTCCCACTTCTAAGTGAGAACATGCAGTATTTGGTTTTCTATGTCTGCCTTAATTTGCTTAGGGTAATGGCTTCCAGCTGCATCCATGTTGCTGAAAAGTACATGGTTTGGTTATTTTTTATGGCTGCACGCTCTTCATTATTTTCTTCTATTTTCTTTGGGCTTAACTTACCTTATTTTTCTAACATTTTGAAATGGATACTTAGATTAATGATTTTTAGCATTCTTTTCTAAAATATATACTTAAAGGCTGTAAAGTTTCCTCCAAGTGCAGCTCTAGTTTATCTTATATGTTTTGACACTTAATTATTCATAATTATTCAGTTACAATATTTTCTAATTTCTATAAGAATGGCTTTTTTTGACCCACAGTTTATTTAGAAGCATGTTGCTTAATTTTCTCCTTAAATATATAGAGATTTTCAAGGTATCCTTTTATCATTGACTTACAGAATAATTGCTCTGTGGTCAGGGAACATTTTTTGAAATTTGTTGAAACTTGCTTTAATATCCTAGCATATGCTCAATTTTTATTAATGTTTCATGAAAATAGTATTTACCCTTGAGTTTTGGGGTGCAGTGTTCTATGTATGTCAAGTAATTAGGTTTTTTAGTGTATCATCCAATATTTTAATACTACTGATTTTTGTGTCTGCTTGGTCTATCGGTTAATAAGAAAGTTGTATGAAACTCTTCCATATGATTGTGGATATGTCTGCTTTTCCTTATAATTCTGTCAATTGTCTCTTTATATGTTTTGAGGCCATATTTGTAAGTACATACATATTTAGAATTATTGTATCTTTCTGGCAGATCAAACCAGAAATTTTGAAGTATTTATGAATTATACTTATGAAGTATGCTTATTTTCAAGTGTACATTTTTAAATCTGTAGTCATGTTTTCTGCTATAAAATCTACTTTGTCTGATTTAATAAAACTATACTAGTTTCTTTTGATTAATGTTTGAATGCTATGTTTTTTTCCATTCTTTTATTTGCTACCCTTTTGCATTCCTGTATTTATTATATGTTTTCTGTAAACAAAATATAATTAGGTTTTGTTTTTTACTCAGTCTGACTCTGATGAGACAAAAATTGATATGGCTTATTTGGAAGACACTGCCTCCCAAACCAATACAAGTAAACATCTAGGTGACAGAAAACTTTAGAAAGATAGTTTGAGGCCAGATTTTGGAGAGTCTTTCAGTATCAAAGTAAAAATTTCTGTTTGTATCTTCTAAGTTCCAGGGAACCATTGAAGGATTTTTATTTTTTTATTGTTATTATTTTCATTAAAGGGTTTTAAACAGGTGAACAATACGTCTTTTAAGAAGGTTAAGTCAACAAGATTCAAATGGAGCAGCAAGCACTAGAGACAATAAAGGTAGGGACTGAAATTCTTTTAATAAGGTAGCACTTAGGACAATAGTACCTGATACATAGTAAGCTTGCAATAAAATATTTGATAACGAAAGGAAAAATCCATGTGTGATGTGATGACCAGCCAACCCAAACAGGGGTGTGGCAGTGGAAGTGGCAAGGAATGACTGGATATATACAATACAATAGACAGAACTCATTGACTGCTTATGTGTAAGTGAGCAGAAATTTCAAGTTTATGTTAAAGTTAATTAACAGATATGAATATCATGCTAAGATATTTATATAGGTGTCTATTACATGGGAGCCTCAGAAGAATAAGTAATGGAACAGTGGTGAATATATTGATCATTAATCTATAAGGCATTACAAATATATATAAGAAAACATGTAAAGATGAATATATCCTATTTCTTTACCACTGCCACCCCTAACTTTAAAACTATCACGTGAGCTTTGGTGTGTAGAGCAACATCCTCTAGATGCTATATAGGGTAGTAACTTGCTCTACGTCTGTGTTTTTGTAGGCCCTTTTGATGAAAGAGCATCAGTTTACACATTTCTGAGAGGAGGTGTTTTCCTGCAGTAGCTAAAATGTGCATTTACAACTTTATATTTATTATTACACGGTGCCAATGCAAGCCAGTGGCAAATAATTCAATGTTTTCTATTTCTGATTTTGCCTTGATCGTCCCCAAAAGTGCAGTTATTAATCCTTCTCTTAACAGTGGCTCTCCATTTTTTATTTTTATGTATATTAAGGAATTCAGAATTTGTAGTAGTTATCAAATTTTTAGATTTTAGACTCAGTGAAAATATGTGATAATTCTTTTTGTCATAATTATTTAGTAATCTCTGTAAGACACTTTCATTATGTGAATTTCTTGGGTATTTCTATGGGTTTTTCCACCCAGTGTGGATTGTTTTCTCTTTTGTTTTAAACCTTGCATTGTGAGCTTATCTTCAGCAGGGCTTTGTCTGTAAAACTCCTGTGCAGCCTGGGTTAAGAATTGTCTTTCAGAATAGTTTTGGGTTTACTTCTGCATGTACTCTCTAGAGATCCCTGGCTTGGGACCTATTTCTTTGTAATTTCTTGACTTGTGGCTTTCTAGGCCACATTTGAGATAATTTCAATCCTGTATGAGTTCAGGCTCATATTATGGATTCTCAAGAGATTTCTTTTCCCCACCTAGAGCCCAAGCATAGAAGAACCAGTTTCACTATTGTCTATTGTCTTCTTTTGCTGGTGGCCAGAGAGTTTAGCTCTTCGAGTTTTATACAGAGATCTTAGTTTCAGTATGCCACATTGCAAGAGTTAAGTTCTCATCTCCTATGTTTTTTCTTTTTCACATTCCCTGAAAAATCAAACTCCTAGATGACAACTCCTACTCACCACCCACCATCGAGGCAAACACAGGATAGACTACTCATGTGCCAGTCCGGTTTTCAGTTGCTTCATTATTCCTGGCATCTGTATATTTTTCTTTTATATGAGCTCAGCTAAGCATTATAAGTTCATGTATTTTTTCCCAGCATTTCCAGTTTATCTAGCAGGAGAGTTTTTATGTATAGTTTTCCATATTACTGAAACTCAAATCTGGAATTCTTTCCACATCTGTAAAGTCTTTTTTCACATGTTTCTAAATATCCTTGACTTGATTTTTTTTTTAAAGAACATTACATTTCACAGTTGTTGTGGCCTTAAAATGGTATTTCCCATCTTTTGGATTTAATTTAAGAAGTAGGACCTAATTCTAATATCATTAAACCTTGCCACTTCATAAATTCTACTCAAAGGCACAAAGGGAATAATTAAGTCTGAAGATTGATAGAAGACTGGCTGTTTTAACTTAGCCTGAGGAAGTAACCCTGAAGAATGCACCCCATGTGAATAAATAACAACAAATTCAGTGTGATTACCTTGAGTTCTACGAAACAGGGGAATTGAGAAATGAGAACACAGGGGGGTTTCAATTACATTTGTAATGTTTCATTTCTTAAGCCGGTAGTATATACCCAGGGGTTCATTATATGCTCTACCATTTTTAAAAATTTGAAATATTTGATAATAAAAATAATTGTTAAAGAAATTATCACCATAATGCAAACAGTACCACATCTTTAATTTCATATAACATAAGATATACAGGGCATTTGGCATTTGTCATGTGTGCTTGTCAAGTGAATAGATAATTTTTCATCCCAAAGACGTCAGAGAGTAAGTTGTTCTTTCAGCAACTGTTAAGATTTAGTTATCCCCATACTAGACTCTCTTTTCTCCCATGCCTGTTGAAAATATCACACGACTGACAACAAGATCCAGTCTATCCAGCGAGTATGCTATTTCCAACTTGGGAAGTAATTCCAGCATTATCTGGAATAGTAATAGGTTGAATTTGAATCGTATTCTTTGCTAAAAAGGTCCTTTTAAGTGTTTTTGCAATAAAGTTATCTGCTGATTTTATTTTTTTGTTCATGTGAATTACAAGTGTTGTTATTTGGTGATCTTGTTCACTTACATCTTTTAATACTAAAATATGAAAAAGGAAGAAAAGATTGCCATTTAGAGGGACCCAGGTCCCTTTGAATGTCTACTTAGGCCTGACACCCTGCTTGATTCCTTGCATAAACTGTTTCTCATCCTCACAACATTAAAAATAGTTAACATTTACTGAGCACTTTCTTTGTGCCAGTCACATGATATTCTTTATGTAATATTTAATTCCTACAACATTCCTACAAAATAGGTCTTATTATCTCTCTTTCAGATTGGAGAAAACAGCTTAGATGAATTCGACTAAGTAATAGAACTACTAAATAGAATATTTATCTTTGAGTAACTCTGAAATAACTCCCCCTATATACGTATGCATGTATGTACGTGTATGTGTTAGACTATCTTTCTATCATCTCTTCTACATAATATTGTCTAGTATCGAATACCTCATAGCAATAATTTGACATCACTTGGGCATCAGAAAGATTCATGTCACTGTTACAATACGTAGGTAGGATGTAGCTGCTTCTTATTTACAAACAGTAGCTAAGACAAAAATATAAGGAATGGATGAGCAGTCGAAAGAAAGCTGGGTGATTAGGACAGAGGAGTGGTTGGAGGGCAGAATGCTATAAGAAATCAGCTGCCTGAGGCTAGGTGGTAGAATACTTATTGATGTTGATGGTATGTGTGGATAAGTTAGGTATGTAGCCTCTGGTTTTATGTTTTCTGCCATACCAAAGACAAAAGGACAATGTTGTCCTGGGATCCTCACCTTTGACCTAATCAAATAAAATCTTCTCTCTTCACTTCACTTGTTAGGGAAGAGGGGTGATGCAGGAAGGAGACAAAAAATTAAAAAATGAAAAGAAGGCCAGGCTATATTGTTTCCTATTTATTTGGCAGATAAGCTCATTGCTTTTCAGAAAAAAGAGGAAGGAAGGATGGAGGGAGAGATAAAAGGATGGAGAGGTGGAGAGGAGGAGATTGATTTAATACAGAGAAAAGTATTAAATTGTATTTCTGTGACTTCTTAGTGAATATTAAGACATTTTGTGACTTTACAACTTTGTTTAGAAAATATTAATGTGATTTAATCTAAACTGAGCCGTGTAAAGCATGATGTGTCTCTTTTTCCCCCGTCCTTCTTAGAGAAATTCATGTATCTCCAAACTTCATCTTGAACTATTGAATTTACTTCATACTGAGGCTTGTGTTTAATTATTTTGGCCTTGTGTAAGTAACTTTGGCTCTGAGGCACTTAGACAATTAGGGGTCCTTCATTGGATTAGCAAAAATTATAAATGAATTAGTATAATCTCAATTAAAATAATATTTCATCTATCCAATTTACCATTGCTGTTTACATGTGGTCTAATCTAAGTCCTACTCTGATAACACCCTTAATAATAAAATTGACTCATAAGACTCAGAGGCATGAGTGTGAGCAGATGTTTTGTTTTGCCTTCAGAATTTCACAGGTGTCCAAAAACATTGTAAAGATGCAAGAAGGGGCCAATCTAAGGACAAATGCCCTGGGGTGGCCAATAAATAACTCTGCTTGTATGAATATTTTGCTGATTTGTAGTGTAAAAATCAGCTATTAAATTTAAATTGGTTCTTGTGGAAAATTGTGAATCCCTCTTCTACAGACTTTCTTAGAAAGATTTAAGTATTTTTAGAGTTCTCCCTGATGCCAGATTTTGAGCTTTCTGTTGTCTTATTCCTTGGGTAGCTGCTGTCTTGCTACCCCTACCCCTTATGTTTATGATAAGAACTAGAAAATTTTATTAAGAATCTTTTAGAAGACCTTTTGAAAGATTTTAATAAAAATTTCTTTTAAAAATATATTTCATTTTTATACACATAAAATGAAAGTAAATTATTCAAATATTTTGTAAAATATTTTATTGTTTACGAAGAACATCCATGCCCATTTTTTCGCAAATTCTTAAAGCAACCCTGTCAGGTAAGTAAAGCAGGTGTGTCACCCCCACAGGACAGACGAAACTGAAACCACAAGTAGTAAATGACTCAGGTCTTCTGACTTCTGAACTAGAGTTATTTTCATGTTTCATCTTGTTCCTTGACCAAATGGCAATGAAAGGATCCAATTTTTATATGGATGCTTGGGTTTTTGTATCTGATACTGCCTTTTGGAAACTTTATGGAATCATAAGGCCTATAACTGTTAATGGTTGATAAATTCTATCTTAGTTAACTAACTTTGATTCTTCTCGCCCTGTGTTCTGTATCTCAGAAGTGAAGAATCAAGTGAGAATGGAGGAGGTGAAGCTCTTATCACTAAAAAAATGTTTAAGTTACTGCTGCAGATGGTAAGCATGTAATAAATGGCAGCTTTAAGGACTATTTCAACATGGTATGGGAGTAGATTCTTATTTCAGGGTTATAAGATTTAATTAAACACCCTCTTCATTAATGGGAGCTTTGTGGGGCTGCACACACAAGTCACTTCTTCCTAGGACTTTAGTGCACTGTATATGCTGTGTCATTCATTCCTCAAGAGCAGTGTTAGCTCCAAGTAGGCAACTGTGATGCCTAAATGTTGAAAACTCTAACACCACTGTATTTATTTTTATGAGAATTAGGTCAAAATTAGCCTAAGCAGAGACACCAAATAACTTAGGATCATGAGCAAAATGGGAAATAAAAGGTGTTTTATACTGAATCTTTACAGATGGATTTGGCAAAGAACAGTTAATTAACCATGAGCCCAATTGGGGATACATTTTTAATGGTTTGCAGGTAGTCTAGAGTAAAAGCTAAATAAGAAATTCCAGCTCAAACTGCTCTTCTAAAATGGGATAAGAACTATAGCAGTGAATTAAAATAGCCTGTGAATGTTTCTAACCAATATAAAAATACCAGTTATGAAATATTTCTTTTACTCTTTGCCAATTCTTTAATAGTCCATTAGGTATTTCTAAAGGGTGGAGTATTTGAAATGAGAATTTGGGCTCAGAAGGCTGAAGGGCTAGAATCTTGAATAAACTGACTGAGGCTAGATAGAACAGGATGTGAAAGGGGACTTTTTTAGTGGTGGATTTGCCTTCAAACTGGGCATGTGTTGCATTTGGATAAGTGCTTGAAAATTCCAGGAATCACTGAAAAAGGAACTTAAAGAAATTAGAAAATTACTGGTTTAATTCTGTGCTACTGCATTAGAGCTGTCTGCTTTTTTAATTTTTTTTTTTTTTTTTTACTTTAAGTTCAGGGATACATGTGCAGATATGCAGGTTGGTTACATAGGTATACATGTGCCGTGGTGGTTTGCTGCACCTATCAACCTGTCATCTAGGTTTTAAGCCCCGCATGCATTCGATATTTTTCCTAATGCTCTCCCTCCCCTTGCTGCCTACCCCCTAACAGGCCCCAGAGTGTGATGTTCCCCTCCCTGTGTCCATGTATTCTCATTGTTCAACTCCCACTTATGAGTGAGAACATGTGGTGCTTGGTTTTCTGTTCTTGTGTTAGTTTGCTGAGAATGATAGTTTCCAGCTTCATCCATGTCCCTGCAAAGGACATGAACTCATCCTTTTATATGGCTGCATAGTATTCCATGGTGTATATGTGCCACATTTTCTTTATCCAGTCTATCATTGGTGGGCATTTGGGTTGGTTCCAAGTCTTTGCTCTTATAAGTAGTGCTGCAATAAATGTATGTGTTCACATGTCTTTATAGTAGAATGATTTATAATCCTTTGGGTATATACCCAGTAATGGGATTGCTGGGTCAAATGGTATTTCCGGTTCTAGATCCTTGAGGAATAACCACACTGTCTTCCACAATGGTTGAACTAATTTACACTCCCACCAACAGTGTAAAAGCGTTCCTATTTCTCCACACCCTTGCCAGCATCTGTTGTTTCCTGACTTTTTAATGATCACCATTCTAACTGGCATGAGATGATATCTCATTGTGATTTTGATTTGCATTTCTCTAATGACCAGTGCTGATGAGCTTTATTTCGTATGTTTGTTGGCTGCATAAATGTCTTCTTTTGAGAAGTGTCTGTCCATATCCTTCACCCACTTTTTGATGTTTTTCTTACAAATTTGTTTAAGTTCCTTGTAGATTCTGGGTATTAGACCTTTGTCAGATGGATAGATTGCAAACATTTTCTCCCATTCTGTAGGTTGCCTGTTCACTCTGATGATAGTTTCTTTTGCTGTGCAGAAGCTCTTTAGTTTAATTAGACCCCATTTGTCAATTTTGGCTTTTGTTGCAAATGCTTTTGGTGTTTTAGTCATGAAGTCTTTGCCCATGCCTATGTCCTGAATGATATTACCTAGACTTTCTTCTAGGGATTTTATGGTTTTAGGTTTTACATAAGTCTTTAATCCATCTTGAGTTAATTTTTGTATAAGGTGTAAGAAAGGGATCCAGTTTCAGCTTTCTGCATATGGCTATCCGGTTTTTCCATCATTGTTTATTAAATAGGGGATCCTTTCCCCATTGCTTGTTTTTGTCAGGTTTGTTGAAGATCAGATGGTTGTATATATGTGGTATTATTTCTGAGGTCTCTGTTCTGTTCCATTGGTCTATATGTCTGTTTTGGTATTAGTATTATGCTGTTTTTGTTACTGTAGCCTTGTAGTATAGTTTGAAGTCAGGCAGTGTGAAGCCTCCAGCTTTGTTCTTTTTGCTTAGGAGTTTCTTGGATTTACGAATAGGGCTGTCTACTTTATGAAGAAGGTATTCAATTGCTTCTACATGACTTAGCTGAGCTCTTCTGTCTTTTTATCCTCATGACACCATTATTATAAAACTGATTTTATTTTATACTACCTCTCCTTTGCCTGACCCAGAAATTATTGGTTGAATGTGTTGTTCTTTACACCACTGATCATAGGAAAAGCCAGAAAGAAAATCTAACCTTTACGTTGTCTTTCATTTTAGCCTAATATGCCAATGTTTAATGAATTTAATCTTTCTGTTAGTTGCACTAAAAATGCTGGTAATTACATGTTCAGTACTTAAATGATATGTCCAACAATGAAGCTGAATATAGTTTTATTCTTTTAGTAGCTTTATTAAGGTTTAACAAAATTATATATACTTATGCTGTATAATGTGATGTTTTGATGTGTATACATTGTGAAAGAATTAAGTCAAGCAAATTAGTATATTCATCAGCCCACATACATTTTATTTTTTGTGGTGATAACATTTAAGATCTAGTCTCCTTGCGGTTCTCAAGTATACAATATTATTATTAACTATACTCACCATGCTGTATAATGAATGTCCAGAACACATTCCTCCTGTCTTACTAAAACTTTGTATCTTTTGACCAGCATCTTCTCATTCCCCAACCCACCCTCAGCTTCTGGTAACCACCAGTCTGCTCTGCTTCTGAGTTCAGCTTATAAAAATTCTATGTATATGTGAGTTCAGTAGTATTTGTCTTTCTGTGCCTGGCTTATTTCACTTTACATAGTGTCTTCCAAGTTCATCCACGTTATCACAAATGACAAGATTTCTTGCTTTTTAACAGCTGAGTAGTATTCCATTGTGTATGTGTAAATATATATGTGCTTGTGTGTGTGTGTATGCACACATTTTAAAAATTCATTCATCCATCAGTGGACACTTAGGTTGATTCTATAGTGTGACTATTATGAATGCTTCAGTGAATGTGGGAGTGCAGATCTCTCTTCAACGTACTGATTTTTTGTCCTTTGGATATATACTCAGATGTAAGATTGCTGAATGATATGGTAGTTCTATTTTTAAATTTTTGAGGAACCTCTACACCATTTTTCATAATGGCTATACTAGTTTATATTCCCACCAACAGTGTGCAAGGTTTCTATTTTCTCATCCTCACCAATACTTATCTTTTGTCTTTTTGATGAAAGCCATTCTAATGGGTGTGAAATGATATCTCATTGTGGTTTTAATTTGCATTTCCTTAATGATTAGTGATGTTGAGCATTTTTTTTTTCCCCACATACCTGTTGACCATTTGTATGTCTGCTTTTGAGGAGTGTCTATTCAGGTCCCTTGCCCATTTATAAAATTGGATTATTTGTTTTCTTGCTATTCATTCTCTACACTTTTACTCCTCCTTCATTTTATGTGTTTGATGTTATAATTTACTTGTTTCTTTTTAAGACAGTGTTTTGCTCTGTCACCCAGGCTGGAGTACAGTGGTGCAATCTTGGCTTACTGCAGCCTTGACCAACTTCCCAGGCTCAAGGGCTCCTCCCTCCTCAGGCTCCCAAGAAGCTGGGACTACAGGCATGCACCACCATGCCTGGCTGATTTATTATTATTTTAATTTTTATTTATTTATTTTTTTTTTTAGAGACGAGTTCTCACTATATTGCCCAGGCTTATAACTTATATTTTTTGTGTTGTGTGTCCTTTAAGAAATTAATATAACTATGGTTATTTTTTAATAGTTTTCTCTTTTATCTTTACACTAGAAATATTTGATTTACACACCATTACAGTATTAATGTAGAACTTTGTTCTTTAGTTCAGCTAAAACCAGGTTCTTGTCATATGAACAGGAAAGATTAGGAATAGGGAGACCTTGGAGGGTGAGGGGAATGAAATTTATTGGGTAAAAAGGAAAATGAAAAAAGAAAAAAACTCTCAGCAAAGCAAGAGGGAGTCCTTCTGACAGGCTCTCCACCTCACAGATTGATTCCAGGCCACACACACAGGCACTGAAGAGGCCAGGCTCTTCCCTCCTGGACACAGTGTGAACTTCTCATGGCAACCCACCTGCGCACTTCATTCTCCCAGTGCACAGGTGGGTTGGAGATTCTCCAGGAACCCTCACCCTTATCTGCCTCCCACATCTATCATTCCTCCCTCTAAAGAAGTACATTTAACTGCCATTAAAATAAGGATAAGGATAAGGATGAAGACTGATCTTAACTGCTTCCTGCTGACAGGGGGCACTGTTTTGGGGAAAATGGCAGTCAGATCTCTGTCAGAGGCCTATCTGAGGGTCCCTGGCAAAAGGGTCCATTGTCCGAGGCTCTGGTTGCATGACGTTTGGAGTTTGATGGCCTGAAGGTGAAAAGAGACAAACTGGGTTATTAGAAAACATGTATCAAAACAAAACAAGGTGGAGGTGACGGCTCAAAAATCCCAAGACCTTTTACCAGTTTGCACAGGGAAAAGGAGGACAAAAGCCCAACTGATAAAAAAAACTTTTACCCTTTTGCTGGCATGTCGGGCTTCCGGGTTCTCTTCCCCTAAGCCCAATCCTAAGGCAACCAGTTTAAGGTTTGGGAAATTAACTTTTCCCGGTTTGGAGGATGTATCCGAGGGGAGTGTCCCATAGTACAGAGACACAATTACCTATCAGTGAAGGGAGGACAGAGGAGGAAAAAGGAAAAAAGTTATTTTTTTCAAAGGCATGCCAGGGGTTCAGGATGCATTCAAAAAGAGTGCAGACTGAAGATGAATGTCTACTTATCTAGAAAGAGGAGAGAGAGGCATCCCAAGTTCCCTTCTCTTCCTAGAAAATACCTGGGGTACATGAGGGAGAGAAAGTGAGGCATCCTTCTTTCTTTCTTCCATTTTTATAACCCCCAGTCCCAGAGACTGCGAAAGAGTGCAACCCATGGGTGGCTTTCACCCATGTTAATGGGGGTGGGGTGGGGGGGGTGCGGACAGGGGATGGGAATATTCACTCATACCCATCTATGTGCTCTTTCCCCTGCTGTCAGTAGCCTTTGAATTCCTTAGATCTAAAGGCCAGGCCAGGTGGCTCACTCCTGTAATCCCAGCACTTTGGGAGGTCGAGATGGGTGGATCACGAGGTCAGGAGTTCAAGACCAGCCTGGACAAGATGCTGAAACCCCATCTCTACCAAAAATACAAAAATTAGCTGGGCATGGTGGCACAAGCCTGTAATCTCAGCTACTTGGGAGGCTGAGGCAAGAGAATTGCTTGAACTTGGGCAGCAGAGGTTGCAGTGAGCTGATATTGCACCACTGCACTCCAGCCCAGGCAACAGAGCAAGACTCTGTCTCAAAATAAGTAAATAAGTAATAAAAAATGAATTCCTTAGACCTCATTTATGCCATGGATACTAGCATGACCTTTATTCATGAAATGGGAAGCTGAAAAGAAATGAACAAAGCCTCCAAGAAATATGGGACTGTGTGAAAAGACCAAATCTACGTCTAATTGGTGTACCAGAAAGTGATGAGGAGAATGGAACCAAGTAGGAAAACACTCTTCAGGATATTATCCAGGAGAACTTCCCCAACCTAGCAAGGCAGGCCAACATCTAAATTCAGGAAATACAGAGAACACCACAAAGATACTCCTCGAGAAGAGCAACCCCAAGACACATAATTGTCACATTCACCAAGGTTGAAAAGAAGGAAAAAATATTAAGGGCAGCCAGAGAGAAAGGTCGGGTTACCCACAAAGGGAAGCCCATCAGACTAACAGCAGATCTCTCAGCAGAAACCCTACAAGCCAGAAGAGAGTGGGGGCCAATATTCAACATTCTTAAAGAAAAGAATGTTCAACCAGAATTGCATATCCAGCCAAACTAAGCTTCATAAGTGAAGGAGAAATAAAATCCTTTACAGACAAGCAAATGCTGAGAGATTTTGTTACCACCAGGCCTGCTTTACAAGAGCTCCTGAAGGAAGCACTAAACATGGAATGGAATGAACAGTACCAGCCACTGTAAAAACATGCCAAATTGTAAAGATCATCGACACTATAAAGAAACTGCAACTCATGGGCAAAATAACCAGCTAGCATCATAATGACAGGTTCAAATTCACACATAACAATATTAACCTTAAATGTAAATGGGCTAAATGCCCCAATTAAAAGACACAGACTGCCAAATTGAATAGAGTCAAGACTCATCGGTTTGCTGTATTCAGGAGACCCATCTCATGTGCAGAGACACACGTACGCTCAAAATAAAGGGATGGAGGAATATTTTCCAAGCAAATAGAAAGAAAAAAAAAAAAAGCAATGGTTCCAATCCTAGTCCCTGATAAAACAGACTTTAAACCAACAAAGATCAAGAGAGACAAAGAAGGCCATGACATAATGGTAAAGGGATCAATTCAACAAGAAGAGCTAACTGTCCTAAATATATATGCACCCAATACAGGAGCACCCAGATTCATAAAGCAAGTTCTTAGAGACCTACAAAGAGATTTAGTCACCCACACAATAATAGTGGGAGACTTTAACACCCTACTGTCAATATTAGAGCAATGAGACAGAAAATTAACAAGGATATCCAGAGCTTGAACTCAGCTCTGGATCAAGAAGACTTAATAGACATCTACAGAACTCTCCACCCGAAATCAACAGAATATACATTCTTCTCAACACCACATCTCACTTATTCTAAAATTGACCACATAATTGGAAGTAAAACACTCCTCAGCAAATGCAAAACAAAAAACAAACAAACAAAAAAACAGAAATCATAACAAACAGTCTCTCAAACCACAGTGCAATCAAATTAGAACTCAGGATTAAGAAACTCACTCAGAACTGCACAACTACATGGAAACTGAACAACTGCTCCTGAATGACTACTGGGTACATAACAAAATGAAGGCAGAAATGAAGATGTTCTTTGAAACCATTGCGAACAAAGACACAGCATACCAAAATCTCTGGGCCACAGTTAAAGCTGTGTGTAGAGGGAAATTTATAGCACTAAATGCCCACAAGAGAAAGCAGGAAGAATCTAAAATCGGCACCCTAAAATTACAATTAAAAGATCTAGAGAAGCAAAAGCAAACAAATTGAAAAGCTAGCAGAAGACATGAAATAACTAAGATCAGAGCAGAACTGAAGGAGATAGAGACATGAAAAACCCTTCAAAAAATCAATGAATCCAGGAACTGTTTTTTTTAAAAAACATCAGCAAAATAGACCACTAGCCAGACTAATAAAGAAGAAAAGAGAGAAGAATCGAATAGATGCAATAAAAAATGACAAAGGGGATATCACCACCGATCCCACAGAAATACAAACCACCATCAGAGAATACTATAAACACCTCTATGCAAATAAACTAGAAAATCTAAAAGAAATGGATAAATTCCTGGACACATACACCCTCCCAAGACTACAGCAAGAAGAATTTGAATCCCTGAATAGACCAATAACAACTTCTGAAATTAAGGCAGTAATTAATAGCTTACCATCCAAAAAAAGTCCAGGACCAGATGGATTCACAGCTGAATTCTACCAGAAGTACAAAGAGGAGCTGGTACCGTTCCTTCTGAAACTATTCCAAACAATAGAAGAAGAGGGAATCCTCCCTAATTCATTTTATGAGGCTAGCATCATCCTCATAACAAAACCTGTCTCAGACACAACAAAAAAAGAAAATTTCAGGCCAATATCCCTGTTGAACATTGATGTGAAAATCCTCAATAAAATACTGACAAACCAAATCTAGCAGCACATCAAAAAGCTTATTCACCACAATCAAGTTGGCTTCC
Organism: Homo sapiens; assembly: GCF_000001405.40. Classification (NCBI taxonomy): domain Eukaryota; kingdom Metazoa; phylum Chordata; class Mammalia; order Primates; family Hominidae; genus Homo; species Homo sapiens. The sequence continues at coordinate 144,958,935 of NC_000004.12, read as the reverse complement.
TCCCTGGGATGCCAGGTGGTTCAACATACACAAATCAATAAATGTAATCCATCACCTAAACAGAACCAATGAGAAAACCACATGATTATCCCAATAGATGTAGAAAAGGCCTTTGACAAAATTCAACAGCCCTCATGCTAAAAACTCTCAATGAACTAGGTACTGATGGAACATATCTCAAAATAATAACAGCTATTTATGACAAACCCACAGCTAGTATCATACTGAATGGGCAGAAACTGGAAGCATTCCCTTGGAAAACCGGCACAAGACAAAGATGCCCTCTCTCACCACTCCTATGCAACATAGTATTGGAACTTCTGGCCAGGGCAATGAGGCAAGAGAAAGAAATAAAGGTATTCAATTAGAAAGAGAGGAAGTCAAATTGTCTCTGTTTGCAGATGACATGACTGTATATTTAGAAAACCCCATTGTCTCAGCCCAAAATCTCCTTTATCTGACAAGCAACTTCAGCAAACTCTCAGGATACAAAATCAATGTGCAAAAATCACAAGCATTCTTATACACCAATAACAGAAAAACAGAGAGCCAAATCATGAGTGAACAATTGCTACAAAGAGAGTAAAATACCTAGGAATACAACTTCCAAGGGACGTGAAGGACTTCTTCAAGGAGAACTACAAACCACTGCTCAACAGAATAAGAAAGGACACAAACAAATGGAAAAACATTCCATGCTCATGGATAGGAAGAATCAATATCGTGAAAATGACCATACTGCCCAAAGTAATTTACAGATTCAATGCCATCCCCATCAACCTACCAATGACTTTCTTCACAGAATTGGAAAAAACTACTTTAAATTTCCTATAAAACCAAACAAGAGCCCAGATAGTCAAGACAATCCTAAGCAAAAAGAACAAAGCTGGAGGTATCATGCTACTTGACTTCAAATTATACTACAAGGCTACTGTAAGAAAAACAGCATAATACTAATACCAAAACAGATGTATAGACCAATGGAACATAACAGAGGCCTCAGAAATAACACCACACATCTACAACCATCTGATCTTTGAGAAACCTGACAAAAACATGCAATGGGGAAAGGATTCCCTATTTAATAAATGATGTTGGGAAAACTGGCTAGCCATATGCAGAAAGCTGAAACTGGATTCCTTTCTTACACCTTATACAAAAATTAACTCAAGATAGATTAAAGACTTCAATGTAAGCCCTAAAACCATAAAAACCCTTGAAGAAAACCTAGGCAGTACCATTCAGGACATTGGCATGCACAAAGACTTCATGACTAAAACACCAAAAGCAATGGCAGCAAAAGCCAAAATAGACAAATGGGGTCTAATAAAACTAAAGAGCTTCTGCACAGCAAAAGAAACCATCATGAGTGGACAGGCAACCTTAAGAATGGGAGAAAATGTTTGCAATCTATCCATCTGACAAAGGGCTAATATCCAGAATCTACAAAGACTTTAAACAAATTTACAAGAAAAATAACAAACAACCCCATCAAAAAGTGGGCGAAGGATATGAACAGACACTTCTCAAAAGAAGACATTTATGTGGCCAACAAACATATGAAAAAAAGCTCATGATCACCAGTCATTAGAGAAATGCCAATCAAAACCACACTGAGATACCATCTCATGCCAGTTAGAATGGCAATCATTTAAAAAGTCAGGAAACAACAGATGCTGGTGAGGGTGTGGAGAAATAGGAATGCTTTTACACTGTTGGTGGGAGTGTAAATTAGTTCAACCATTGTCAATGTGTCGATTCCTCAAAGATCTAGAACTGGAAATACCATTTGACCCAGCAATCCCATTACTGAGTATATACCCAAAGGATTATAAATCATTCTACTATAAAGACACAGGCACATGTATGTTTATTGTGGCACAGTTCACAATAGCAAAGACTTGGAATCAACCCTAATACCCATCAATGTTAGCCTGCATAAAGAAAATGTGGCACATATACACCATGGAACACTATGCAGTCATAAAAAAGGATGAGTTCATGTTCATTGCAGGGTCATGGATAAAGCTGGAAACTATCATTTTCAGTAAAGTTACACAAGAAGAGAAAACCAGACACTGTATGTTCTCACTCATACCTGGGAGTTGAACAATGAGAACACATGGACACACGGAGGGGAATATTATATACCAGGGCCTGCTGGGGGATGGGGAGCTAGGGTAGGGATAGCATTAGGATAAATACCTAATGCAGATGACGGGTTGATGGGTGCAGCAAACCACCATAGCATGTGCATACCTATGTAACAAAGCTGCATGTTCTGCACATGTACCCCAGAACTTAAAGTATAATAATAATAAAAAAGAATATGGATTCTTATTGCACTGCTGCAAACAACTATATTACCATAAATTAAGAATATTCACAACTAGTTTCCAAATTCTGGAGAAGCCAGGCAGGAGAGAGAGGGAGAGAGACAAGTATGCTCCAAATTTTGTTCACAGGAGGATATCTTAATTTTTAAAGGCCATAAATAGCTCAAAATATGTTTCCTTGACTCTAAAAAACAAAGTAAGGATCAGCAAGTTCCAAACAAAAGTCAAAAAAATTGATTCAGTTATCAGAAACCTACATTTGAGAGCACCTGTGAAAGTTCTATAGCTGATGATAAACCATCATTTGAAGAGGATCAAAATAAAACAACAATTGTCTGTGAGTAACAAAATATCCAGGATAGTTACAGTCTGAAACATGATGGACAAAGAAATTTGGTTATCTTCGTAGTTTACAATAACTTAACATAACAACCTTAATTGTGATTAATAGCATATACTCAGACATTAGAATTTTAGAAATCCCACACAATTTTGGAACATATACTAATATTATTCACTAAAATATAACCTGAAGAAAATTTAACATCTCTTTGGCAAACCCACGTACCTAAACATGTCAAACATTCATGTTTACCTCTCTTCTGGATGTTCCAGGGGCCCTCTGTAGCATCCAAAAAGCCATTTTGGGAAGCCTATTAAATGTTAGAGATTTAAAACACTTGATGTCATGAAATAAAATTCCAGATTACTATAGTTACTTATTTTGCCAAAATGATGACTCAGAAATTTAAAAAAAAAAAACATAACTCTTTTATAACCCTTTACAAATTTTGCAGAGGAGCAGATTAGTGCCTTAAGAGTACCTTGTTTTGCCTTTATTTCAATGGTTAATTTATAGGAAAACAATGTAATATCCTTTTGAATTTAGTTAATATGTTCACATACAGAATTTCTTTTGCAAGATTAATTTTTACACTCCTTCCACAGCTTGTTTGAACTTTCAGCTTTATCTTACATAATTCAAAACAATCCTTTAACCCTAGGCAAATATTTACATTTTGACAACATCTGAATTTTACCAATAATCTTTAAGGCTGTTTTTATTTCTCAAAGATTAAAGTCATGTGAACTGAAAGGTACCACAGCTTTTATCTCACCTTTAAAAAATATTTGATCCAAGCACTTATCTTTCTTTAAGTCAATTTATTAGAGCTCTTTTTTATAGACATCACACACACAACACATATATAACTTCATAGACAGGCAGAAGAAGACTCAGTATCCATAAGATGTTTTTGTTTGCCAATCTCCTAACTGGATGATTGGCCTCTGGGTGGAGCCCTTTAAGAGACAGGGCTAGGAAAACACGCAGCTTCTAAGGCCTAATGAACAGGCATAACTTGGAGGCAAAAACAGATTTTGAGAGGGATCCATCTGCTTTTAATTCCTGGGGTTCCATGAGGAAAATAGAGGTTTCCCCCCTCTCATGCATGCATGAAGGGTGGCAAGGCAAAATGAAGAAAAATAATTCAGTTGACTGAGGAAAAAAACCTTTCCCAGCAAAACGAGATTCAGGAAGAGAAAAACATAAAGGCCTTTTAAATATACCTATAACTGGGATATCCACTTTTAATTAAGCTGAGTGCTCTTTAAGAAAATCCTTTGAAATCCCTTATTATCTTACTTTAGCCAGGCCAAGCAGCCAATATTTCTGGCTTTCAAGCTTTACTAAAGGCTTAGAGAAAGGAAAAACAAAGGCAGTCCGTGGAAGACAAGAGAATCAACAAATGGCAAAGGTCACACAGATATCAAACCATAAAGGACCTATTCCCTAAGTCAGAATTGAGCCTGCACCACCATTTTAAAATGGCGGAGGCTAAATAAAGCATTGCCACATGGTTACAGGCCACACTTCCAAGGATGTAAAACAAGATGGAGGCCTGCAGCAAATTTTGCTACTGACCAGACAGAAAGACATGCAAAGCACACCAGATTGGCTACAGCTTAAGAGAATATAAACAGTGAAACTTATTCCTGGCCTAGTAAAATCTCTTTATATATATTTTTAAAAAGCCTCACTGCTAACCCAGTGGAGAAAAGGAAAAGACAGCTTAAATGCACAGCTGTGTTAGCTGCTGACAGGGTGGAGAATAGAAAAAGATGCCTGAGGAAGAACCTCTCATTCTTATGCAAATGAGTTCCTCCAACTGGGGGAGAAACTTGATTGCTCTCTGACAGAGGCAGATCCCTTGGCCCTGTGAGGGGAAGACTCCATGGATATGTGGTGGTGGATGCTGGCCAGCCTGCTCTGGGACATCCTTGAGCCGTGTGCACCAGCCCTGGCCAGGAGGGAAGCAGGGGAGCTGCTGTTCACCTGTCCATCCTGAAAAAAGAAGAAAAAGGCCAACATTCACGACCTCTGTGAGCAACAGTGAGGAGGGAGGGATAATTTCCTCTACCCTCAGAAGACGTCTGAGGACAAAAATGCTTAGAAATGAAAGGGAGAAAGATTTTTTGGTTTGCATGTTACCCTTCCTCATGCCCCAAATTCGGGTGCCAAAATGATGTAGAACTTTGCTCCTTAGTTCAGCTAAAACCAGGTTCTTGTCACACGACCAGGAAGGATTAGGAATACAGACACATTTAAGGGTGAGGGGAATGGAACTTATTGGGTGAAAAGGAAAAAGAAATAAAGAAAAAAGACTCTCAGCAAAGCAAGAGGGGGTCCTGCTAATAGGCCCTCCACCTCACAGATTCCAGGTCACACACACAGGAACTGAAGAGGCCATGCTCCTACCCCCCTGCACACAGCGTGAACTTCCTATGGCTCCGCCTTGTTCTCCCAGTGCACAGGCCGGTCAGAGACTCTCTAGGGACCCTCCCTTTTATATGCCTCCTGTATCTATCTGTATTAGACCATTCTGAATTTGACCATGGATTTATTTTTTACCAGTGAGTTTTATACACCCCTGTGTTTTTATATTACTAATTAGCATTCTTTCATTTTAGCTTGAAGAACTTCCATTAGCATTTCTTGTAAGGCAAATATAATGGTGATGAAGTCCATCAGCTTTTGTTGATCTGGTAAAATGTTATGTTTTTTTTTTTTTAATTTTTGAAGGATAGGTTTCTTAGGTAAGATATTCTTGGTTGGCAGTTTTTTTCCTTCAGTGCTTTGAATATATCATCCCACTGTCTCCTGGCCTGTAAAATGTCTGTGGAGAAATCTGCTGATAGTCTTATATAGGTTTCTTTGTATGTGAGGATTTATTTTTCTTTTGCTGCTTTTAAGATTCTCTCTGTCTTTTGCTTTTTCCTCCTTTAACCATATATTTTCAAATAACCTGTGTTAGAGTCCACAGATTCTTTCTTTTGCTTAAGTCTACTGTTGACACTGTCTGCTGTATTTTTAATTTCACTCATTGTATTCTTAAGCTCAGAATTTCTGTTTGATTCTATTTTATGATTTCAATCTCTGTTAAACTTCTTATTTTAGTCATGTATTATTTTCCTCATTTTGTTGAATTATATCTCTGTGTTCTCTTGCAGCTCACTGAGCTTCCTTAAAACAACTATTTGGAATTCCTTTTCACCTGATTCATAGATCTCTGTTTCTTAGAGGTCATTTACTGAGAAATTATTGTGTTCTTTGGATGGTGTTATGTTTTCTTGCCTTTTCATATTTTTTATTGCCTCTCATTGATATCTGCATATTTGATGGAAAATTCACCTCTTCCAGACTTCATGGTTTCAGTGGGGAAAGATCTTATCCTACAAGTGGTTACAAGGCTGCCAGTTGGGTGGGATGTGATGGTTCTGGCTCCAGAGAGGGAGCAGGATTCTAGTCTTTGTGCAGCTCTGTTTGCTGAGGTTGACATTGACAAGTATTGCTGAGATCCTCAGCAGCCAAGGTTGTTGGAGTCTGCAGTAATGGTGAAAGCTGTTAGGGTCTTAGATGGAAAAGGCTTCTGGGGTCCTCCTGACCTTTTTTTCTCTCTCTGGGGAAGTTTTGGTGAGGTGATCCCTTTTGTGCTAGATTCAGCTTTTAGGTGTGCTTGTGGCAGAGGCACAAGTGTTTGATATGTTGTACTTGTGGCGTGGCCATGGAGCCAGCATCTGAAGCATGGGCATGCATAGAGGGGCCAAGGCTCCAGAGCCTGCAGTGGTAGTGGCACTGGTGTCTGGGGTATAGGTTTTCATGATAGTTCATTGGTAATGTTGTGCAAGGCTCAAGTGGAGCAGCTGCAGACCAGGGTCTGGAGTGTAGCCATGCAAGGAGCTGCAACAACTCCAGGGTATGGGGAATGTGCTAGCTCTCCGTGACAGTAACTCAGGTGTTAGATGTTTAGGCACTCATAGAATGGTTGCAGAACCAGGGTGTGGGTGTGAGCATGCACAGGGTAACTGAGGCTCTGAGACCTGGGGTGGAGCAAGCCTCTATCAGTGGTGGCTCTGGTGATTGAGGCATGGCTGCACATGGTCTGGAATGGAGGCAAGAGTGAAGTAGCTGCAGAGCCAAGGTCTGAAGTGTGGGCATGCACAAAGTGGCCATGACTCTGGGGTCACGGGTGCATGTGGGGAAGAGGGTTGGTGATTCTGGTTCAGGAGCAGCATACCAACGGCCCCTTCTTTGCAGGAGGTCACAATAATATCTACCTCTCTGGGGGTTCATGGTAGGATGGCTGTTGGTTATCTCAATGGGGAAAGATGCCTGTGTTCTCTGCAGGACAGGCCCCTGGGGACCATGGTGGCACCTGCTACATGGCTGATACTGACGGCCCTCACCCATCTTGTTTCTAGTCATCTCCAGGTGTCTCAGGTGTGCTGATCTCCCCAATGATTCATCCTATGTGGTTATTCTCTGTTTCTTTTTTCTTTTGCTACACTGTGTCGCTGCAGGTTCTTAAACAAATGCTTGAGTCTTCTTAAGGCTATTATTCATAGATATGTGTTTGTTTGTTGTTTTTTGTTGGAGGGGGAAAAATATTTGTTTCTCCTACTCTGCCATCTTGCTGATATCACTCTGTATAGTTTTATTCTTATATATTTTCTTCTAGGTGGTATAAAGGAGTGATTTTGAATTCCCAGGTCCCTTTCAGAATTAGCCCTTTTTTCCCCACTTCTTATATTAACTACAATAAAGATAGTTTATTTAAAGGGGCCTCTTCCTTGGTGAAAAAGTTTACAATACAGGGTTGCTGGCATGTTATTCATACCTATATAGATAGATTAAAGAAAATACACTCATATTTGGCATTATTTCATTGAAAAGCAATTCTATTCCAAATTACAACTTTTGTCTTCTTTTCATGATGACTGCTTCTTTAAAGCCATTCCTGGTTTTATTATTTAAATATCGTCCTTAAAAATAAAGCTAAAATAGGTACCTTCAACTTTTTGTACCATAGAGATTATTTTGAGGAAAAAAGAAAAAAGAAAGAAAATTGCTTTTAGGTAAAAATTGGACATTTAGCTTAATTCAGCGTTCTTCAAACTGCTACATACCCCCTGAAAAAAATGAGTAGAATTATGGAATATTAGTTCCGAAAACCATTTAGCTTAATCTCTTTATTTGATGGACAAATAAACTGAGGCCCTATTGGCCAGCCAGTATCTAATAGATCACACAAATGGGTGGTGAGGAAGGCTGTGGTGATGTCTCTCAACTCAGAGTGATTCTTTTGAGCCTTGCATATTTGGTTGGATTTGGCTTGGGAAGTGATGAAAAAATGGAAACTAAAAACAACAACAACAACAACAACAACCCATGACAGGTTTATAGCCAGTTTGTTAAATTAAATCTTTGGCTTGATACTGTATTGCTTTCTTTACTGGGTGTGGATTGACAGGTATTGACAAAATGTCTGAGGTTCTAATTCAAAATGCCTTGTGACAAATTATAAATTTGACATGTTGAGGTTATCAATGAGCCAGAGAGTGAGTCTGTGGACTCCAGCCTGCAGCAGCCATTATACTGTCTCTAGCAAGCCTCTGTGATTTAACAGGGATACACTTGATCTCTTCACCCCCAAGGAATACATTAAGTGCTTCAGTAAATATGCCATTAAGATACTTCATTATACTAAGCCATTAATACACATCTCAAATACGCTGAAAGCTGAGGGTCTTTAGCCACCCAAGAAGATACACGTGGCCTAGAGAAATACCAAAGGATATTTCTACTTTGATATATCATTGAACACAACTCAAAAATTGCTTTGGAAGTAATTTTTCTATTGGTTTGAAAAAAACCAGAATGGAGAAAATAGCAAATTCCTTTCCAGTTTACTCTAAATGATTCCTTCTGCCTCTATGCCTAATTTGCTGTGGTTTTGACCACATCAATTTCTTGACTGTGGGCCTCAGTCAGACTATAAGTTTCAGAGCACCTTTTTGCCATCAGATAAGACTCTTTGAGATTTTACTTTCTTATTGGGAGAAGGTAAATTGGAAAAGTCTTAGAGATGTTTACTTTGGATGTAGTATCTATGTTTGTTGTCTGCTATTTTTTTTCTTACCTCTCTGGATATAATTCTCTTGGTAATAGAATAACATAGTTACAAAATTTTCATACCACATTGGAGCCAAGAGATCATTTAAGTCAATCTTCCATTTTAAAGGTGAACAAATTATAGATAAAAAATGTGAAAGACAGCCATTTTTGTTGACATTGTTATCTTAAAGGGGTTTGGTATCTGTAGCTTATTCTTTTCTGAAAAACAAACACATTTATCCTTTAAATCTTTAGTCATAATTTGGTTTTCATCATCTTTTAGTGATATGGAATTTTGGGTGAGAAAACAGGTACAAAGAGATAACTTGACCAAAGTCAGAGACCAAGGTAAGGTGAGGCAAACCTGGTGTTGAATTTCAGTGTACTAGTCCTGCGGAGAAGCCCAGATTATTTTCTAACTCATTTGTCTTTTTGGAGTGGTTGGAAGGAAGGGGTGGTTATGACTGATTTCCATGAAAAACTTTAGCTTGAATTCACAGAACCAGTAATAAATACAAATGTAGGAAATATGTTTCCAGGGAAGGCTTCTTTAAGATAAACCATAATAGTACTAATCTCTAGTAGTGCAAGAAGTTATCTGCTTCAGCTGTAGGGTCATATGACAATCGCTTTGTATTCTGTAAATTCAAATCTTTTACTAAATGGGATCTAGTAACTCATGATCACTTTAAGCTTAAAAACACAACAAAATTAAGTTCACTGCTCTTAGGCAAACACTTTTTCCTAATTAGCTCTAACAATATGTCTTACATATCTTAGATGAAGAATGAGCAGATTTTAGGTGTAATCTAATAAGCATTGTTACTCCTTAGGAAGAAATTATTAAGAATAATGAAATGATGGGATTGTGGATAATTTTTTAGGATATACATGCACTGCTTTATTTTTCTATTAAAAATATGAGGAGTGAAAACAAAATATGACTTTTCTTAGTGTTTTAATTTTCTGATCAGATTACTTTTTAGTGTTCCCCTTAAAACCATGTGTCATAATACCACCACTGAATTCCATTTCTGTTCAAGTTTTAATAAAAATCCAGGAATCCTAGACACCAGGAATATACCAGTGACCAACAGTGATGTCCTAACACTGTGAAAATGTAATATTCATTTGCACTGTCTTCTCCACTTTATCTTAAATTCCTCTAAGATAGAGACCATGTCTTATTTATCTATCTCCAGTTTATAGAACAATGGGTTACTCAATGAATGTCTTTTGAATAACTCACGAATTAAGCTCCATAATCCTGGTGTATATTCTGAGTTTCTCATGAATAGGATAAAATTCCAATTCTAAATGTATAAAATAGGGCAGTGTCCTAATTTGGCGTCATAGCTCACACATATATAACTTGATACAGCTTTCAATAAATGGGAAGAATGCTTCAAGGCATAATAAATAGTATGCCCTTCTTGATGCCGATGACATGGTTTTATTAACACAAACCAGGATTTTTCTTTTAAAGCTGCTGAACCTGTTGGCTACTTACTGTCAGAACAGTTTAACATCAACCATGCTACAACGAAAACCATTGTGTTTGACAGACATTCTCCAGTATTTAAATGAACAATACTAAGTAACCCTATACAACAGGTCAGCTCATTCAGCTATTTGAATGTATATTTTGCTTCTAACTTACTCGGGTGGGTCCATCAGGATATAATTCTACTTAAAAAAAGAAAACCAGACATTCACCGAGGCCAGGCTGAACTGCTTTTATGGTCAAGGCAGCCAATTGGTAGTTTTTAGAGCGCCTGGTCATCTAGGAACCACCCCTTCTGTTTAGAAGGGATGCTAATCCCTCCCCCAGCCTACTTGCTCAGGATTATATGAGTCTTTAGACTCTGAATAAAGCTGTCAGCTGCCATGAACAGGAAAATAGATAAGAGAAACATTCCTGAGAAGAAGGAGTGGCCTGGGGCAGGAGAGAGTGGAGTGGAGCTCCTGGAGGGATCGGTGGGGATGAAACAGAAAGAATGGATACACCCACACAACAAGTTCAGATACAGGAACAAAGACTCTTCAGTGCCTGGGCTGAGATAGGATAATAAGGCCAGACCACCACAGTGGTGCCAGAGGATGGCCAAGGGGTGAGGTCACTGTGTGTGGCAGGAGGGTGACTTGCAGGGAAGAAGGGCTCGGCAACCTAACAAGCTTTCTGCCTCAGTATTTAGAACTTAACTTGCAGGAATAGCACTTTGCTTCTGTGAATTGGGCAAGTGAAATAAAAGAGTAAGAACCATGGAGAGTGGTTCTAAAGCTGTGGAAAACGCTGGTTCATCAGGGAGGTTCTGCTCCCGAAGAAACTGTTGCAAGTATGAAGCCTGATAATACCAGCCTTCAAAACTTTTCAGACCTAAATTTATCTTCCCACTTCATGGCACAGACCCTGAGAGTCTCAACTCAATACTCACCTGAGCATTTGAACAGTCAGCATTCCTTATTGGGAAAATAATTTGGCCTTGTTTATAAGCAAAACCTCTGTGTACTGTTTCTGCACTGGGACAGAGAATGTCAGGTCCCTCGGAATTTTAAAGGCATAAGGTCAGCTCCATCACACATAGATCCCTAATATGAAAAAAGTGTCTCCTTTTTAATGGAATACTGGCATCTCAGATACCAGTAGAGAGTGTAAGTATCAAACACAGCAATTTGCTTATCAAAGCATGGCTGAAACATGCATGATTGAAGAGATCTGTTGGGCCTGAGAGTCAAGTAAACTGTAGAAAATATTGTATGTTTCAAGGAAAACTGCATCATCAACAGTACAGGCTTCCAGATGATCCAATTCTAGCCCTGCACATTGTCTTTGAGCTATTTTTCAGTGCTTTGTAGATTTTAGGTAACTAATAAATATGTACCTTGTGGCTGTTCTAGTAGTGATTTTAATACACCTTCTCCTCGATGTGGAAAAACTAATTTTAGTCCCTCTTTGCAATTCATCTCCTCATCTTTTACTCCTTATAAATTTGTACTGTTTTGACTTTCTCTTTGAACTGGTTATAACATCTGCCCAGTTCCTTCATATCATATGACATGGGAAAGTTTTAACACGTGTTCATTTTTATATATGTATCACAGTCGTGCTTTTACATTTTTGTAAAACTTATTTTTTAACAACTCTCTCTTCTGCTATGCTCTCAAAGCATTGTTTCTCCACTAGGGGTAACAAGGAAAACTAGTATGTATATATTTCATAAAATGTTTTTCATGGGACCAAAGAAATCTCTGGGGCAAATTTTTCAGGATGAAAATGATTCCACTGTAGCTCAAACTCTACCATGTCTGTTATTTACCTTAAGGTTCTGGTGCTTTCTCTGTGCCTCTGCTCATCCTTATCATCTACATTTTTATGTAGCTTCAGGGAATCTGAGCATCAATAAGATGAAGCTTGCCAGTTCTCGCATCCTCTGGCATGTTGTAAATTGCCCTACGTTCTTTCTGAAGGTGGATCATATTAATCCATACAATAATTGCTTTTTTCCCCTCATTTCCTACTATTGAATAGCCAAAAAAGCTCAAGGTTCCCCTGATGAAGTTAAATATGCCTACTTTTATCTAAAAATATTTTTTTCAGGATGTAAGGAATAGTTAAGAACTATAAAGAAAACTCAGACTTTGCAAGTTTTGCTTAAGTGTGGAGTGTTTGGTATATAGTGTTGTAACAAGTTGTTCATGTTGCAGTTCAATCAGTGCTTATTGAAGCTTACTGTGAGCAAATGACCATATATGACACCCAGATACAAGGAGTAAGTGAAACAAAATCCCCATGTTGAAGGAACTCAAAGGAGAAAAACTCATATGACAACTAACCATACAACACTGTGCGATCACTGCTGTCCTTAGTTACATAAGCATTATTGGGGGGTGGGGGGAAACAAGATGGGTATAAAAAGTGAAAATCATTGCTTGGTTAAAAAAAAAATTACCTAGGCTGGGCGCGGAGGCTCATGCCTGTAATCCTAGCACTTTGGGAGGCCGAGACAGGCGGATCACTTGAGATCAGGAGTTCGAAACCAGCCTGGCCAACATGGTGAAACCCCATCTCTGCTAAAAAAAAAAAAAATACAAAAAAATTAGCCAAACGTGGTGGCGGGCACCTGTAATCCCAGCTACTTGAGAGGCTGAGGCAGGAGAATTGCTTGAACCTGGGAGGCAGAGGTTGCAGTGAGCCGAGATTGCACCATTGCACTCCAGCCTGGGCAACAGAGCGATACTCCATCTCAAGAAAAAAAAAATTACCTAGAATTTTAATTGAAGAGACTTGATAGTTGTCTAATCACTTTCCAGGTGAGGAATCTGCTTTATGATTGACGTTCATTTATAATGTAAGAATAGATATCCATTCAAGTGTGTGATTGCACCATGATTGAATAGCAAAGACTTCTTACCTCTCACTTAAACTATGGCTGCTATTGTGTCATTGCAGTGAATTAAACTGCAAAATGTGTTGCTGTGTTTGTAGTCTACCTATGAATGTAAATAAGTCATTTGCAGGCTCAGCTCAGTGGCTCCTGCCTACAATCCCAGCACTTTGGGAGGCCAAGGCCGGAGGATCGTTTGAGCCCAGGAGTTCAAGACTAACATGGGCAACATGGTGAAACTCTATCTCTACAACAGAATAAAAAAATTATCCAGGTGTGGCATGTGCGTGTAGTCCTAGCTCCTGAGGAGGCTGAGGTGGGAGGATCACCTGAGCTCAGAAAGTCAAGGCTACAGTGAGCTGAAATCCTGCCACTGCACTCCAGCCTGTGTGATGGGAGTGAAACCTTGTCTCAAAAAAAAAAAAAAAAAAAGTCGTTTTCAAAAGGCTTTTGGCAGGCTAATATCTCAGGTTTTGTGGATTATCCCATTATCTGAGTGTGTTGCTGAGAGGTCTTTTTGAGTTAATGCACAAATATCTAGTAGCTGAGGAAATTTAGGATGGTAGTGGTGATGGTACCACTACGGGGTTTGTGTCCTGAACTGGCAAGAAGTCAGTAGAGCAAGGGCTATAACTTTTTGGCTGGGGTTCAGGGCTGGGCTTCTATCCCAGCAGGGAAATAGAGTGAAAACCAGAAGCTGGGCACAAGGTTTCAATTCACCCGGAAGGACACTGGATAAACTACTTCCAGATTCTACTTACTCATGGGAAGGAAACTTCTTAGCTTTGCTTGGTCCAGCTTATATTCTTTTGATTACTCAGCTATGGCCAAGGTGCAGGGTCAGACATGGTCACTGCAACTCCAACCCTATCGTCATAAGCCATTCCCAGAAATGGAGGATCATCATGAGGCAGGAACCAACTCAAAAGTTGCCTGCTGTAATTTTTAAACTAAACTTGTCACGTTTTCTGCTAATAATTGGGCATAGAAGTATGAGAAGAGCCTATTTCTAGCCTTGTTCCCCTCTGCAGCCCTGTTCCTGTGATTTTCTTTGTTGTAATTTCTCCATCAAAGAGTTCATACGTTCTAATAATTGCAGCAATTGACATTTTGCTGGTGACACAAATGTACTTCCAGCTTGAATCTCTTTTCTGAGTTCCAGCCTCATATCTCCAAATGTTCCATCATTATTTAAAGTTCATTGTGGCCAAAATTGGGTTCATCATCTGTCCCTCCCCATTTGCTTATTTCTATCAAGATGCTGCTATCTTTGATGATAGCTAGCATCTGCGTCTCCTTCCTTGTTTTTTAAATGCAGTTACCAAATCCTGAACTTTAACTTTAAAATGTGAATTTCTCTAATATTTTCCTTCCATCCTAACTGCCGACCAGAGTTCCAATCCTCATCCACACTCATTTAGATCACCACTTCTTACTTTGCTGTGTGCTTCCTTTCTGTGATATCATTGCCATGTAGATCTTCCTTAGACTCCACTTGTATCATCCCACTGCCTGCCTCAGAAAACATTCAGTGATATTTCAGGACATTTTATATATGCATCTGAGGTGGTCACCCTGGGACAGCACTGCTAATTCAGAGATCCCCATTGTCAGTGATCTACTTAAAATTATTTGAGAAAAATATTTTTCTAGAAATATTCTGAGATAGATAGCCAGCTCTATTAGAAATGCATAGCATACTGTTAACACAAAGAACAATATGTTAACATAACCATTAACCAATTAACTTTTAAAACTTTTTATTGCTGGGCACGGTGGCTCATGCCTGTAATCCCAGCACTTTGGGAGGCTGAGGCGGGCAGATCATGAGGTCAGAAGATCGAGACCATCCTGGCCATCATGGTGAAACTCCATCACTACTAAAAATACAGAAAAACATTAGCTGGGCATTGTGGCACGTGCCTGTAATCCCAGCTACTTGGGAGGCTGAGGCAGGAGAATAGCTTGAACCAGGGAGTCGGAGGTTGCAGTGAGCCGAGATCGTGCCACCACACTCCTGCCTGGTGACAGAGTGAGACTCCATCTCAAAAAAATAAAAGAAAGAAAGAAAAAAACTTTTAATTTATTTAAATTATTACTATAAAAATATATTTATCATCCAGCCCAAAATGCCACTAAGCTTTTTATTTTGAAATAAGTTCAGACTTCCAAAATATATACAAAAATAGTAGAAAATTTCCATATGCCCTTTACTCAGCTTCCCCAAATATTAATGTCATAATCATAGTACAATAATCATAACCATAGTACAATAATCAAAACTAGGAAATTAACATTGATAGAATATTATTACCTAATCTATAGATTTTATGCAAATTTTTCCATTTGTTCCACTAAAGTCTTCTTTATGGTCCAAGACCAAACCAATATTCTACACTGCATTTAATTGGTATGTCACTTTAGTTTCCTCTAATCTGAGACAGTTCTTGAAACTTTCTTTGTTGCTCTGACCTTGAAACTTTTGAAGAGTTCTGGCCATTTATTTTTGCAGAATATTTTTCCATTTGGGTTTATCTCATGTTTCCTCACATTGAAACGTACATGTTGAATCATGCATTTTTGGCAAGAATACTGCTAGAGTGATGTGATATCTTTCTCAGTGCATCGTATCAGGAGGTACATAATGTAAATCTGTCTCATTACTGATGATGTTAATTTTGATCACTTGGTTCAGAAGGTGTTCACCAGGTTGCTGCATTTAAAGTTCCTTTTCCCCTTTAACAAGTATTTTATAGGAAGTTATGTTGGGATCATGCAAGCATCCTGTTTCTCACTGTATTTTTGCCCACAATTTTAAGTGCCTCAGTTGTCAAATCAACAATCTGCTGATGATTATGGCTCACAATAACTATTAACTCAAGTATTTGCAAAATGATGATTTTATTATTTTTACCATCTCTTTTACATTTATTAATTGAAATTCTACTGTATAAAAGAGCTTTTTCTTCTTCCACATTGATTTTTTTATTCAATTACTTATATCACCATGGACTCACGAATGTTTACTTTATTCTACTGGTTATAATGTATTACTATCATTATTTATTTTCATGTTCAAATTGTCACAGAAGTGGCCATTGAATACTCTTGCAAGTTGGCTCCTGTGTCCTTTCAACATGCCTACCTCATTCAAAAAAAACACTTCCTTACTTACTGACAGGAAAGTTCCAAGCTCAGCCTGTATTTTCCCTGCCTTAGCTCTGGAATCAACCATTTCTCCTCATAGAACCGATTCCTTGTATTGCCATGAGAAAAATGGAATATGGAAGTCAATATTTGGGTTCTACATGCATTCACTGCTGCTAGAGTGTCATTGCTTCCAGGCTTTTCAGTGGCCAGAGCTAGGAAATATGTATGTGTGTGTGTGTGTGTGTGTGTGTGTGTGTGTGTGTATATACAGAATATATATAGAGAATATACACACACACACACACACACACACACACATACATACCTTCTATAACTTATTAACTTTTAGTATGTCTTCTGTGCCCCCAGCAAGAATCATAAATAGGTGGCTTGCTGGCTAGATACTGACCACAGATCTTTTTTTAACTGGTTCATCTTGTACTTAAAAAGAAAATGTAAAATAATAGAATTGATTTAGTTGCATAAAACAAATGCCTCTCCCCAAACAGTATTTGAAATAAGGTAAAGGTTGATTTTAATTTTTAAAGTTTTCTATAAGAAACGTTTGGAAGTAGGCAGTCAGGGTGGTATGGAAGCACCAGAGTCACCAAGGACTGAGGCTTCCTTCATGTTTGTATTCTACTATCCGTAACTCATAGCTTCCATCTTCAAAGCTGCCTCAGGTCATGGTCCAATATGTCTGTTAAAGCTCTAGCCATTATCACCACAGACCAGGCTGGAAGAAGAGAAGAGGGGACAAGGGCAAAAACAGCATCCCTCCCAAGTGACTCAACCCTCTCCAGATGTCCCCTAACACCACTGCCTATATCTCATGGGCACCCCATCAACAAACAAGGCTAGGAAATGTTATTATGTAATAATAACAAGAAATTTAAAATTAGCTAGAATAAAATTGGAGTTCTACTAGTAAAAAAGAAGAAGAGAATGGGTATTGAGGAGGCAAATGTACAGTTTGTTTTCCAGCGTCAACATTTAAACATCAAATGGTTTCATGTAAAGTCTGAATTTATGACTTCTTGTGAAAACTTGCAAAATTGGGCAATGCTGAGCCCACATTCGGGTGACAGCTATCAGCTGAAGTTGCCCTCTCTCGATAGAACATTACTTCTTCTTCTTTTTTCTTTTAATTGAGATGGAGTCCTGCTCTGTTGCCCAGGCTGGAGTGCAGTGGTGCCATCTTGACTCATTGCAGCCTCCACTGCCTGGGTTCAAGCAATTCTCCTGCCTCAGCCTCCTGAGTAGCTGGGATTACAGGTGCGTGCCACCATGCCTGGCTAATTTTTTTTTGTATTTTTAGTAGAGACTGGATCTCACCATGTTGGTGAGGGTGGTCTTGAACTCCTGACCTCAGGTGATCTGCCCGCCTTGGCCTCCCAAAGTGCTGGGATTACAGGCATGAGCCACTGTGCACTTTGGGAGGCTGAGGAGGCTATTTGGAGACCTAAGCAAGGGACAGTGGCAATAGGTCTAAGACAAAGGTGAAGGGAAATAAAGGGACAGGAAGATAGTTGAGTAATAATTAAGGGACTGATGTTTGATTAGAAGTAGAAGTAGAAGTAGGATTGCTAGATACAATATGGAGTACTCAGTTAAATTTCAATATTTTGGAAATACTAAACTAAAAAAGAATATGCTGTTTGTCTGAACTTAAAATTTAGTTGAGGGTCCTGTATTTTTAATCTGGTAATCCTATGTGTAGAATAAAGGAAAGAGAGAGTCACTGATGACATCTAGGTTTCTGGCACCAGCACTTGGGTAGGTGATAGCACTTTTTACCATGGTAGGAAACCCTGGAGGAGGAACTGACTTCTCTCGGAGAAGGGAAGCATCATGCCTTCAATTTGAATTGTAACCATACAGTTGGTAGATTAAGATTGATAGAATCACTCAGAAAGTATTTGCAGCATGGAAAGACAAGACTATACAGGATGATATGGGATCATCAACAATTAAGAGATGCTCAGAGAAATAGTGCAAGAGACTGAGAAGGGGCTCCAAGACGGTAGAATAGGAATGAGGATGGTTAGGATGTGGAAGCCTAAGGAAGAGAGAGTTTCATGGAGGAAGAATTGGTCTGCAAGCTAGAAGTTACTTAGAGTTCAAATCAATTGAGGACTGAAAAGAGGCCAACAATTTTGGCAATTAGGAGATTTGGGGGGATTTAAACAAGAACTCTTTCAGTGTAATGTGAGTGGGGGAGAGGATTGTCCAGATGCTAAATTTAATGGGTTATGGAATAATGAGGTAAGAAAATAGAAGCAGCTACAAATTTGGTAATTAAGGGAGTTATGCTAGAAAATCTAGGCAGAAAGTGGTGGTGGTAAAGAGGATGAACTCTTAATTCTTTATGTTGTCCTTACCTATTAATTTTTTTCTGCTGAGTGATGAAGCAGAATATTAAAAATCCATAATCTAGACTCTACAAAATGAAGGAGTATTTTTCATTTCTTTCCAATATTTTCCTTTTGTTTTGCTGTAGAAGACTACTGATTTTTGTTTCTGAACCAACATTGATGTAAGTAGTAGTACTACAGCTAGACTCTAGATGATTGCAAAATGAAAGGTTTTCTTTTCAAGACTTGTTTACTTTTCAGCCCCAATGATCTTTTATAGTCATTCTTTTGAATATCAGCAGTTAACTGTACTTATCACTTTATAATATGGAGGGCAGGTGTGTTTGTGGGTGTATGACCTAGAGATAGAAGAGCCTGTCTAAATGCCAAGTCAGTTAACATTGATTTGGTACATAGTGAAGCATACCATGTTATAAGAAAATAAATATAACTTAAAGGCAAAGAAACACTAAACACCCAGTTAATTTATGGTGAAGCATACTTAGTTTATGATTTTGGCTAATACATACTTTAACTAGAACAGTGTTCTACACTCATTTTTAATAAATACTGTAGGTGTTTGCTGGGGCATGAGGTAATAACCCAAATACAATTAAAATGACCATAAAATTAAGGGTCTCCACATAGGCTCCCAAGGATGGGTCTGTTTGAGGCTTCTAGTCATCAGCATTGGGTGGTCTGCTATTGGTGTATGATACTTAAACAGAGCTTTTTCCCCCTTAGGTCTGTAAGGTGTTAAGGTGTTTTTATAAAACCCCATAAACCCTTGTTAAACACTTTTTTTTCATAAAGAAAACTTAAATCTTTATTTGACGTGTTTTCTGTGGCACTATTTTGGCATTTTAACAAGTCCTTTAAAGAATCACTCAAATTGCATACAGCTCTGGGGGTGGGGGTGGGAGATATTTATTCAGGTTTTGTACATTGAACTGCCTGATCTGCTAAAGAACAGGCATTGCATTTTGGTACATTTTAATTTAATAAGGAAAAAAGATCAAAAGAATATCCAGGTGGAGAAAGTTAGGCTAATTTAGGTATTGCATATTTTTTTTTTTTTTTTTTTTTTTTTTGAGACGGAGTCTCGCTCTGTCGCCCAGGCTGGAGTGCAGTGGCACCATCTCGGCTCACTGCAAGCTCCGCCTCCCAGGTTCACGCCATTCTCCTGCCTCAGCCTCCCGAGTAGCTGGGACTACAGGCGCCCGCCATCACGCCCGGCTAAATTTTTGTATTTTTAGTAGAGACGGGGTTTCACCATGTTAGCTAGGGTGTTCTCGATCTCCTGACCTCGTGATCCGCCCATCTCGGCCTCCCAAAGTGCTGGGATTACAGGCGTGAGCCACCGCGCCCGGCAGGTATTGCATATTAACAGATTGAACGGAAGGTTTGACTATGGACTGAATTAACTATGATTCAAATATATTAGATTATTTATTATAGCGAGTTTGGTCTTCCCTAAGCACTCTATAAGAAATAGCAGTACTTTTCTCCACCCTGTCACTCATTCCCTTTCCCTGCTTTATATTTTCTCCATAGCACTTACCACCTTTGAACACAGTGTATAGTTTATTGGTCGTGCCTACTATTTTTTGTCTATCTGCATGTAAGCTCCATGAGAAAGAGACTTTGTCTTTTTGTTCACTGCCTAGGATAGTGCTTGGGACATAATGTCACACAACAAATATTTATCAAATAAGTGAATTAATTAAGTAATGAATAAGTTATATTCCATATGTGTTCCATGGTGTAGCTTGAACTTCAGTACTCCCAGAGTCCAGATTTCAACAAGTGGCTAACTTTCTTTTGCTTAAGGATCTCATTTTTGTCCTTTTCTACTCCACATCTTGAATCAGAAAATCTTGGCTTCCTTAGAAATAATATTTATATGATATAGTAATGATGTGAGGTCAGACCATGATTTTTTGGTGATGTCATGAAGCAGTATTCCATTTAAATGCATTTGCGCTCTAGAGTTTCTTCCAAGTAGAAACAGGTGGTTATGTTAATCTTTTTTTTCCTTTTTCCTTAAAAAAAAAAAAAAAAGCAACACCTCAGTTCACAGCAATGTTGGTGTTTGCAGACTCTGCATTCCTTAAAAATATTTAACCAGAGAGGAGGATTCAGAGAATATGGCAGAGTAGAAAGCACCAGAAATCCATCCCCCACAGCCTCACTGATAGAGATGTGTCTGATATAACTATTTTTGAATTCTGGAGTCCAAAATAGCTGGACTTGGAAGATTTGGTTGTTAATTTGGAGTTAAATTCAGTAAATTTTAGCTTTTAGCACAGTGCTAACTACCCACTCCCCACCCCTGGTCCCATAGTGGGCACCTGTGTTCCTGGAGCAGCTTGCATATCACTTGTGGGAGCTGGGATAGGCAACAAGGACCCTGTCATCCAAATTTTGAGGATTTGTGTTGGTTGCTGATTGTTGCTTCTGATCACTGAGGTGCGGACATAGAGGAAGGCAGCCATTGTTTGCACCTCCTCCTTCCGCCATTGTTGCAACACGCTTTAGCTGAAGTGACTTCAAGGGGATTTTTTTTTTTTTTTTGAGATGGAGTCTCGCTTTGTCACCCAGGCTTGAGTGCAGTGGCACAATCTTGGTTCACTGCAACCTCTGCCTCCCAGGTTCAAGCCATTCTCCTGCCTCAGCTCCCCAAGTAGCTGGGACTACAGGTGAGCACCATTATGCCCAGCTAATTTTTGTATTTTTTTTTTTTTTAGTAGAGATGGGGTTTCACCATGTTGGCCAGGCTGGTCTCAAACTCCTGACCTCAAGTGATCTGCCCACCTCGGCCTTCCAAAGTGCTGAGATTACATGTGTGAACCACCGCGCCTAGCCACTTCCAGGGGATTAAAGGGCTGGTAACTCCTTTTACTAATTCCCCTTTATTTATTTATTTTTCCCCTTTTGGGAGCAAGATACTCAAAATCTCTCATCAAAGAAAAGCCTTGGACATGATGGCTTCGTTGGTGAATTCTACTAAGTATTTAAAATAAGCTAACACTAATCCTTAAACTTTTCCAAAAAATTGAAGTGGAAGGCCTCGTTCTCTGAGGCCACTGTTACCCTGATACCAAAGCCAGAGAGAAACACTACAAGGAAAGAAAATTACAGACCAATATTCCTTATGAACATCAATATAAAAATCTTCAACAAAATATTAAATTCAACAACATATTAAAAGGATTATATGCCATGACTAGGTGGGATTTATTCCTGCAATAGACTGATGATTTAACATATGAAAATCAATCAACAATATATCACTTTAACAGAATTAAGAAAAAAATCTTAAATGATGCAGAAAAACTATTTGAAAACCTCAATACCTTTTTATGATAAAAACACTCAAATTGGGAATTGAAGGAAACAACCTCAACATAGTAAAAGTCATATGTGAAAAACCCAGAGTGAACATCATACTAAATCATGAAAGACAACTTTCCCTTTAAGATAAGAAATAAGGCAAGGATGCTAATTTTCCATACTTCTATTCAAAATATTAATGGAAGCTCTTGCCAGAGCAATTTGGCAAGAAAATGAAATAATAGGCCGGGCGCAATGGCTCATGCCTGTAATCCCAGCACTTTGGGAAGCCGAAGCAGATGGGTCACCTGAGGTCAGGAGTTCAAGACCAGCCTGGGCAACATGGTGAAACCCTGTCTCTACTAAAAATACAAAAATTAGCAGGGTGTGGTGGTGCGTGCATGTAATCCCAGCTACTTGGGAGGCTGAGGCAGGAGAATCTCTTGAGTCCAGGAGGCGGGGATTGCAGTGAGCCAAGACTGCATCATTGCATTCCAGCCTGGGTGACAGAGCAAGACTCTGTCAAAAAAAAAAAAAAAAAAAAAAAAGAAAAGAAAAGAAAAAAAGAAATAATATGGATATAAATTGGAAAGGAAGAATTAGAAAATCTCTGTTCACAGATGATGTGATCTTATATGTAGAAAACCCTAAAGATTCCACACACAGAGACAAAATTAGAACTAATAAATTCCCCTAACTAGTTGGATACAAAGTCAACCCACAAGATTGAGTTGAATTTCTATATACTAACAAGGAACAATCTGAAAAGGAAATTAAGAAAACAATTTCATTCACAAACAGCATCAAAAAATATATTTAGGAATTAAATTAATCAAAAAGTAAAAGACTTGTACAATGAAAAATATAAAACATGGTTGAAAGAAATGAAAGAAGATATAAATAAATGGAAGGATATCCCTTTCTTACATGGATCCTTAATGGATTGGAAGATTTAATATTGTTTAGATGTCAATACTACTAATAGTGATCTATGGATCACTATTGATGAATAGTGATGAACCTATCAAGAATAATAATTACAGCTTTTCAAGACATAGAGAGTATAAGATATAAATAGAAATAAAAAAGTTAAAAGTGGGGGGATGAAGTTAAAATGCAGCGTTTTTATTAGTTTTCTCTTTGCTTTTTTTTTTTAATCACTGTTAAGGGTCATCAGTTTAAATAATGGTTTATAAGATGTTATTTGCAAGCCTCATGGTAACCGCAAATAAAAAAACCTACAACAAATATACAAAAAGTAAAAAGCAAGAAATTAAAACATACCACTAGAGAAAATCACCTTCTCAAAAAGGAAGACAGGAAGTAAGGAAGGAAAGAAAGAAGGAAAGAGAGAAGGGAGAAAGGAAGGAAGGGAGGGAGGGAGGAAGGAAGGAAGGAAAGAAGGAAGGAAGGAAGGAAGGAAGGAAGGAAGGAAGGAAGGAAGGGCAGTAAAACAACCAGAAAACCAGTAACAAAATAGCAAAATAGAATATCAATAGTAAGTGAATTCTTACTTATTGATACTAACATTGAAAGTAAATGGACTGAATGCTTTAATCAAAAGACTAAATGGATTAAAATATAAGACTCAATAAACTGTTGCGTACAAGAAACACACTTTGCTTATAAAGACATATACACTGAAAATAAAGGGATAGAGAAAGATATTTCATGCCAACGAAAACCAAAAAGAGCAGAAGTAGCTACACTTAGACAAAATAGATATCAACCAAAAAAGTATAAAAGGAGACAAAGGAGGTCATTATGCAATGATAAAGGGGTCAATTCAGCAAGAGGATATAACAATTATAAATATATATGCACCTAGCACTGGAGCAACTAGATATATAAAGGAAATATTATTAAAGCTATAGACAAAGATAGACCCCAATACAATAATAAGTGGAGACTTCAACACTCCACCGTCATCATTGGACAGATCATTCAGATAGAAAATCAACAAAGAAACGTAGGACTTAATCTGCACTATAGATGAAATGGACCTAATAGATATTTACAAAACATTTCATCCAATGGCTGCAGAATATACATTCTTTGCCTCAGCACATGGATTATTCTCAAAGATGGATCATATGTTAGGCCACGAAGCAAGTTTTAAAAAATTTAAAAAAAAATTATATCAAGTGTCTTCTCTGATCACAATGGAATAAAACTAGAAATCAGTAACAAGAGGAACTTTGGAAACTATGCAAAGACTTGGAAATTAAACAATATGTTTCTGAATGACCAGTGGGTCAATGAAGAAATTAAGAAGGAAATTTAAAAATTTCTTAAAACAGATGAAAAGGAAACACAACATATCAAAACCTACCAGATACAGTGAAAAGCATTATTAAGAATAAAGTTTATCGCCATAAGCACCTACATCAGAAAAGTAGAAAAACTTCAAATTAACAACCTAACTATGCATCTTAAACAGCCTAGAAAAGCAAGAGCACACAAAACCTATAATTAATAGAAGGAAAGGAATAATAAAGATCAGAGCAGGAATAAATAAAATTTAAATTAAAATAATCACTTATTTGGTCTTCTGTCGCCTGTGCACCTAACTTGGTTCTTGTCTTTATTGTTCCATGTCCTCTGCTCCATGAGGCTCAAGCAACTCTGTCAAAGACCAGTGATTTTGTCCTCCTGTGACCTCCAGGTACTGAGAGATACTTGAGGGGGTGTTGTAAGGACATCCAGAAGCTGGGAAATGAAGGCTGACTAGATGCAGCCAGGTGAAACAGCTGTCAGTGAGGCACCAAGACGACTGGAGTACTTCTAACAGATCTTCAGAGGGAAGGCACTGAGAGTGGATGAAGGGAAGACACAGAAGCTGGGCTGAAGGGGAAGAAAGCTGGGAAGCCTACCTGGGGCTACTGGACACCTGAACTCATTCCTGGCCCCCAATGGCTCTGGGGAAACGGATGAGTTGAACTGACAAGCAGTAACCTTCTCTTGCTATGGGCCTCTGGAATACTGGCAGGAGACTGCCCAACCACCTTGGATACTCAAGGTGGCGGGGAGAGCTACTTAGAGAAGTGGTAGGAGCAGCAAACTAGTTGATGTGGAGCCCAGAGGGTTTGGTGTGGAAGCATCTGTAGTGGAGCATGACTAGGGATGGCCATCTCCCTAGGCTCTACTTGCTCCCACAGGAGACTTTAGCCCTAGAGGAACTATTGGTCCTGAACTCTGCAGGGCAGTCTAGCCCATCAGATGGGCCAGTCTGACCTAAACACCACTTGTTCTGCTGTCTCTCTTGGGGCCCCAGCTGGGCCACACCTGCCCATAGGTGGAAGTCTCCACCTATGGAGACCATGCCTAACTGGCAGAGTGCACCACTGGGGCAGCACCCACGGCCCCTCCCAACACTGCAGCTTCTGCAGGGTCCACGGCAACTCCCCACATTGCTTTGCTGGTGCATGTCTGCATGAGTAGGTTTTGCTTATTTTGCCATCAGCAGCAGAAGTGCAGCCTGTTCCCCATCTTCTTGCAGACTGCCATTGCAGATGGAGACTTAGTGAGCACAGAGGCAGCCAGCTTTGTCTGCACCAGCACCCTGCCCTTGCGCTAACACTGCTGTGGGAGTGAAACTAGGCACAGAGAACAGTAGATCCTCCTCTACCCTGAGTGACCACTTCTGCTTGCAGGACACATAGAAGGCACACAGACTTGTGCCCACCAGCATCCTGTACCTGAGTCAACACCAACGACAGCAACACTGTGCACACAGTCACTAGCAGGGGCTCTCCACCCACACCGCAGCTGCATTACCTCTGCCTCTGTGATGAATGTCCACAGGAAAGCAGGCCCCCTGGCATACACTAGCACCCTGCTGCAGCTACCACTACTGCTGCTGCTGGCACTTGCAAATGAGGACAGATACTGCTGTCACCACACTACAAAATGCTTTAGCTGAGACCACCCATAGAAGTGTAGTGACCAGCAATCTGAGAGCATCTTGGCCTCTCCAGCACAGTGGATTCCTAACCTTGAGGAACCACAGAACAAAGTTGGGGCCCAATACAAGTCCCTCAGAGATAGAGCATGCAGTCAAAGAGGTGGGAGCTGAGTGTCAATCCCCTAAAATCTTCCAGAAATGAAGCCAGTTATCTGAATCCACCTTAGACCACAATCAAACCCTCAAGGTCATCAAATAGAATATACGAAGAAAACAACCCATCCAAAGGTCAGTAATCTCAAAGACTGAAGGAACATAAGCCTACAAAGACGAGAAATAACGAGCACAAGAACCCTGACAACTCAAAAACCCAGAGCGCCTCCTTTCCTTCAAATGATTGTATTACTTCTCCAGCAAGGGTTCTGAACTGAGCTGAGATGGTTGAAATGACAGAAATATAATTCAGAATATAGATAGGAACAAAGATCATTACGCTACAGGAGTACCTTGAAACCCAATCCAAGGAAGGTAAGAATTATGATAAAACAGTGCAGGAGCTGACAGACAAAATAACTAGTATAGAAAAGAATGTAACTGACCTGATAGAGCTGAAAAACACATTACAAGAATTTCATAATGGAATCACAACGATTAATGGCAGAATAAACCAAGCAGAGGAAAGAGTCTCAGAGCCTGAAGACTAGCCTTCTGAAACAAGACAGCCAAAAATAGAGTAAAAAGAATGAAAAGAAATGAACAAAATCTCCAAGACATATGGGATTATGTAAAGAGGCTAAATCAACAAATTATTGATGTCCTTGAAAGAGATTGGGAGAATGGAACCAATTGAGAAAGCAGATTTCAGGATATTATCCGTGAGAACTTCCCCAGCCTAGACAGAGAGGCCAACATTCAAATTCAGGAAATGTAGAGAACCCCAGTAAGATACTTCACAAGAAGATCATCCCCAAGACATCAGGTTCTCCAAACTCAAAATGCAAGAAAACATGTTGACAGCAGCTAGAGAGAAAGGTCAGGTCACTTAAAAGGGAAGCCCATTAGACTAACAGTGAACCTCTCAGCAAAAACCATATAAGCCAGAAGAGATTGGGGGCCAATATTCAACATTCTTAAAGAAAATAAATTCCAACTCAGAATTTCATGTTTGGCCAAACTAAGCTTCATAAGTGAAGGAGAAATAAAATCCTTGTCGGACAAGCAAATGCTGAGGGAATTCATTACCACCAGACCTGCTATACAAGAGCTCCTGAAGGAAACACTAAATATGGAAAGGAAAGACCATTACTGGCTACTACAAAAACACGCTGAAATACACAAACCAGTGACACTATAAAGCAACCATGTAAACAAGTCTGCAAAATAACTGGTTAACATCATCATGACAGAATCAAATCCTCACATATCAATACTATTGTTGAAAGTAAATGGACTAAATGCCCCAGTTAAAAGGCACTAAGTGGCAAGCTGGATAAAGAGCCAAGACCAATTGGTATGTTGTCTTCAAGAGACCCATCTCACATGCAATGACACACATAGGTTCAAAATAAACGAATGGAGGAAAATCTACCAAGCAAATGGAAAACAGAAAAAAGCAGGGATTGCAATACTAGTTTCAGAAAAAAACAGACTTTAAATCAACAAAGGTCAAAAAACACAAAGAAGGGCATTACATAATGGTAAAGTGTTCAATTAAAGAAGATCTAACTATCCCAAATATATATGTACCCAATGGAGGAGCAACCAGATTCATAAAGCAAGTTCTTAGAGACCTTCAAAGAGATTTAGACTTCCACACAATAATAGCAGGAGACTTTTAACACCCCACTGACAATATTAGACAAATCATTGAGACAGGCAATTAACAAAGATATTCAGGACCTGAACTGAGTACTGGGTAAAATAGACCTGATATAGACATTTAGAGAACTCTGCACCCCAAAACAACAGAATATACATTCTTCTCATTGTCACATGGCACATACTCCAAAATCAATCACATAATTGGAAGTAAGGCACTCCTTAGCAAATGAAAAATAACTGAAGTCGTAACAATCTCTCAGACCACAGCACAATCAAATTAGAAATCAAGACTAAGAAATTCACTCAAAACCATACAATTACATGGAAATTGAATAATCTGCTCTTGAGTGACTTTTGGGTAAAAAATGAAGTTAAGACAGAAATCAAGAAATTCTTTGAAACTAATGAGGAAAAAGATACAACATACCAGAATCTCTGGGACACAGCTATGTCAGTGTTGACTGGGAAACTTCTAGCACTAAAAGCCTGAATCAAAAATTTAGAAAGATCTCAATTTAACAACTTAACATCATAACTAATATAACTAGAGAACCAAGAGCAAACAAATTCCAAAGCTAGCAGATGGCAAGAAATAACCAAAATCAGAGCTGAACTGAAGGAGATTGAGACATGAAAAACCGTTAAAAAGATCAACAAATTCAGGATCTGTTTTTCTGAAAAAATTAATAAAATAGACTGCTAGCTAGACTAATAATGAAGAAATGAGAGACAATTCAAATAAACACAATCAGAAACTACAAGGGGTTGTTACCACTGACCCCACAGAAATAGAAATAACCATCAGATAATATGATAAACACCTGTATTCACATAAACTAGAAACTATAGAAGAAATGGATAAATTCCTGGGTACCTACATCCTCCCAAGACTGAACCAGAAAGAAATTAAATCCCTGAACAGACCAATAATAAGCTCTGAAATTGAGTCAGTAATAGTTTACCAAAAAGCCCAGGACCAGATAGAGTCACAACTGAGTTCCACCAGATATAAAAAGAAAAGCTGGTACCACACCTACTGAAACTATTCCACAAAACTGAAGAGGATGGACTCCTCCCCAACTCATTCTATGAGACCAGCACCATCCTGATACCAAAAACTGGCAGAGACACAGCAACAACAACAACAAAAATTCGGGCCAATATCCTTGATAAATATTGATGCCAAAATGGGCAACAAAATATTTGCAAATCAAATCCAGCAGCACATCAAAAAGCTAATCCACCACAATCAAGTAGGCTTTATCCCTGGGTTGCAAGGTTGTTTCAACATACACAAATTGATAAATGTGATTCATCACATAAACAGAACTGAAGACAAAGACTCCATGATTATCTCAATAGTTACAGAAAAGGCTTTTGATAAAATTCAACACAGTTCCTGTTAACAACTCTGAATAAATGAGGCATTGAAGGAACATACCCCAAAATAATAAGAGCCATCTATGACAAACCCACAGCCACCACTGAATGGGCAAAACTGGAAACATTCCCCTTGAAAACTGGCAGAAGACAAGGATGCCCTCTTCACCACTCTTATTCAACATAGTATTGGAATTCCTGGCTAGGGCAATCAGGCAAGAGAAACAAAGGGCATCCAAATAGGAAAAGAGGAAGTCAAACTATCCCTGTTTGCAGGTGACATGATCCTGTACCTAGAAAACCCCGTTGTCTTGACCCAAAGGCTTCTTAAGCTGATAAAGAACTTTAGCAAAGTCTTAAGATACAAACTCAATGTGCAAAAATTACTAGCACTCCTATAAACCAACAACAGTCCAGGTGAGAGCCAAATCAGGAAGACAATTCCATTCACAATTGTCACACAAGCACAAAAATACCTAGGAATACAGCTAACCAGGGGGGTGAAAGATCTCTACAAGGAGAACTACAAAACACTGCTGAAAGAAATTAGGACACAAACAAATGGAAAAATATTACATGCACTTGGCTAGGAAGGATTAATATCGTTAAAATGGCCACACTGCCCAAAGCAATTTATAGATTCAAATCTAGTCCTATTCAACTACCAATGATATTCTTTACAGAACTAGAAGAAACTATTTTAAAATTCATGGAACCAAAAAGATAAAAATAAAGACTGAATAGCCAAGGCAATTCTAAACAAATAGAACAGAGCTGGAAATATCACACTACCCAACTTCAAACTATACTACAAGCCTATAGTAACCAAAACAACATGCTACCGGTACAAAACCAGACATATAGACCAATGGAACAGGTTAGAGAACCCGGAAATAAGGCTGCATACCTACAGCTATCTGATCTTTGACAAACCTGATAAACACAAGCAATGGGGAAAGGACTCCCTATTTAGTAAATGGTGCTGGGATAGCTGGCTAGCCATATGCAGAAGATTGAAACTATACCCCTTCCTTATACCATATACAAAAATTAGCTGAAGATGGATTAAAGACTTAAATGTAAAACCCAAAAACTGTAACAACCCTGGAAGAAAACCTAGAAAATACTATTCTGGACAAAGGAATGGGTGAAGATTTCATGATGAAGATGCCGAAAGCAATTGCAACCAAAGAAAAAATTGACAAACGGAATCTAATTAAACTAAATAACTTTTGCACAGCAAAAGAAACTAGCAATAGAGTGAAAAGACAACCTAGAGAATGGGAGCAAATTTTTGTAAGCTATCCATCTGACAAAGGTCTAATATATAATATCTATAAGGAACTTAAGCAAATTTATAAGAACAAAACAAGCAACCCCATTAAAAAATGGGCAAAGGACATGAACAGACACATCTCAAAAGAAGGCATACATATGGCTAACAATCATATGAAACTATTTTCATATCACTGATCATTAGAGAAATGCAAATCAAAACCACAATGACATATCATCTCACACCAGTCAGAATGGCTATTAAAAAGTCAAAACATAACAGGTGCTGGTGAACTTGTGGAGAAAAAGGAATGCTCTTATACTGTTGTTGGGAGTGTAAATTAGTTCATCCATTGTGAAAGGCAGTGTGACAATTCCTCAAAGACCTAAAAACAGAAATACTAACAGCTATTACTAAAAAGTCAAAAATTAAGAGATGCTGGTGAACTTGTGGAGAAAAAGGAACACTTTTACACTGTTGGTGGGAGTGGATATTAATGCATCCATTGTGGAAGGCAATGTGATGATTCCTCAAAGACCTAAAAACAGAAATACCATTGGACCCAGCAATCCCAATACTGGGTGTATACCCAAAGGAATATAAGTAGTTTTATCATAAAGACACATGCACATGTATGTTCATTGCAGCACTATTCACAATAGCAAAGACATAGAATCAGCCTAAATGCCCATCAAGAGTAGACTGGATAAAGAAAATGTGGTACATATACACCATGGCATACTACGCAGCCATAAAAGAGAATGAGATCATTTCCCTTGCAGCCACATGGATGGAGCTGGATGCCATTATCCTTAGCAAACTAACACAGGAACAGAAAACCAAATACCACATATTCTCGCTTGTATGTAGGAGCTAAATGATGAGAACACACGGATACATAGAGGGGAACAACAGACACTGGGGCCTATCAGAGGATGGGGTGGAGGGTAGGGGCAGGAATAGGTTCAAGAAAAAGGTCATCTAATGGGTATTAGGCTTAATACCTGGGTGATGAAATAATCTGTACAATAAACCTCCATGACACAAGTTTACCTATATAAAAAACCTGCACATGTACCCCTGAACTTAAAATAAAAGTTAAATTTAAAATAAGAAAAAACACAAAAAATCAATAAAATAAAAAGTTGGTTTTTTGAAAAGATAAAAACATTGAAAAACATTTTAGTCAGACTAAGAAAAAACGTGAAGACCCAAATAAGTAAAATCAGAGATGAAAAAGACATCATTACAGCTGATACTGCAGAAATTCAAAGGATCATTAGAGACTACTGTGAGCAATTATCTGCCAATAAGCTGGAAAACCTAGAATAAATGGAGAAATTCCTATATATGTTTAACTTATCAAGATTGAACTGTGAAGAAATCCAAAACTTGAACAGACCAATAACAAGTAATGAGATTGAAGCTGTAATAAAATTTCTCCCAGCAAAGAAAAACCAGGGACCTGATGGCTTCATTCCTGAAGTTTACCAAATATTTAAAGAAGAGCTAATACCAAACTATTCCAAGAAATAGAGAAGGAGGGAACCCTTCCAAACTCATTCTGTGAAGTCAATATTACCCTGATGCCATAACCAGACATTGTATTAGTCTGTTTTCACACTGCTGTAAAGAACTACCTGAGACTGGGTAATTTATGAAGAAAAGAGGTTTCATTGACTCACAGTTCAGCAGGCTTAACAGGAAGCATGACTGGAAGGCCTCAGGAAACTTACAATCATAGTGGAAGGCAAAGGGGAAGCAAGCATGTCTTACCATGGCGGCAGAAGAGAGAGAGAGAGAACAAAGGGGGAAATGCCACACACTTTCAAACAACCAGCTTTCTTGAGAACTCACTCACTACCACAAGAACAGCAAGGGAGAAGTCTGCCTCATGATTCAATCACCTCTCACCAGGCCCTGCCCCTGACATGTGAGTATTCCAATTTGAGATAATATTTGGTTGGGGACACAGAGCCAAACCATATCACACATCAAAAAGACAAAATTATAGGCCAATATCCCTTATAACATTGGTGGAAAAATCTTCAACAAAAGCATAGTAAACTGAATTTGACAACAATTAAAAAATTATTCTTTATAACCAAATGGAATTTATCTCAGTAATAAAAAGATGGTTCAACATATGCTAATTAATCAATGTGCTATATCATATCAGCAGAGTGAAGGACAAAAACCATGTGATTATTTCGATTGATGCTGAAAAACATTTGGTAAAATTCAACATCCCTTCATGATAAAAACTCTAAAGAACTGGGTATAGAGGGAACATACCTCAGCGCCATAAAAACCATATATGACAGACCAACAGCTAGTATCATATGAATAGGAAAAAGCTGAAAGC
Source organism: Homo sapiens (assembly GCF_000001405.40). Taxonomy (NCBI): domain Eukaryota; kingdom Metazoa; phylum Chordata; class Mammalia; order Primates; family Hominidae; genus Homo; species Homo sapiens. Next base: position 144,926,177 of record NC_000004.12, on the reverse strand, counting down.
CTTTTTTCTAAGATGTGGAACATGACAAGGATGACAACTTTCATCACTGTTATTCAACATAGTACTGGAAGTCCTAGCTAGAGCAATCAGACAAGAGGAAAAAATAAAGGGCTTCCAAATTGGAAAGGAAGAGTCAAATTATCCTTGTTTGCAGAAGATATGATCTTATATTCAGAAAATCCTAAAGACTCCACCAAAACGCTATTAGAACTGATAAACAAATTCAGCAAAGTTGCAGGATACAAAATCAGCATACAAAAATCAGTAGCATTTCTATATGCCAATAGTGAACAATCTGAAAAAGAAATCATGAAAGTAATCCCATTTGCAATAGCTGCAAATAAAATAAGATACTTAGGAATAAACTTAAACAAATAAGTGAAAGATCTCTGCAATGAAAACTAGAGAACATTGATGCAACTAATTGAAGAGAGCATAAAATGGAAAGATATTCCATATTTATGGATTGGAAGAATCAAGATTGTTAAAATGTCCATAGGACCCAAAGCACTCTACAGATTAAATGCAATCCCCATCAGTGTACCAATGACATTCTTTATAGAAATAGAAAAAACAATCCTAAAATTTATATGGAACCACAAATGACCCAGAATATTCAAAGCCATCCTGAACAAAAAGACTAAAACTGGAGGAATCACATTACTTGACTTCAAATTATGCTACAGAGATATTGTAACCAAAACAGCATGGAATTGACATGAAAACAGACACATAGACCAATGAAACAGAATAGAGAACCCAGAAATAAATCCATACATCTGCAGTGAACTCATTTTTAACAAAGGTGCCAAAACATACATTGGGAAAAGGATAGTGTCTTTAATAAATGGTGCTAGAGAAACTAGATATCTATATGCAGAAGAATGAAACTAGACCCCTATCTCTCACTATATACAAAAATCAAATGAAAATTAATTAAAGACTTAAATCTGAGGCCTAAAACTTTTAAACTACTGATAGAAAACATTTAGAAAACTCTCCAGGCAATTGATCTGGGCAAAGATTCCTTGAGTAATACCCCAAAAGCACAGACGATGAAATCAAAAATGGACCAAAGGAACCACAACAAGTTAAAAAGCTCCTGCACAGCAAAGGAAGCAATCAACAAAGTGAAGAGACAACCTACAGAATGGGAAAAATATTTACAAACTATCTATCTGACAGGGGATTAATAACCAGAATATATAAGGTGCTCAAGCAACTCAATAGGAAACATTCTAATAATCCAGTTAAAAATGGGCTACAGATCTGAATAGGTATTTCTTAATAGATGACGTACATATGGCAGACAGGTACATGAAAAGGTGCTCAACATAATTGATCATCAGAGAAATGCAAGTCAAAATTACAATGAGCTATCATCTCACTCCAGTTTAAGTGGCTTCTATCCTAAAGACAGGCAATATGGAATGCTGGTGAGGATGTGGAGAGAAGGGAACCCTTAAACACTGTTGGTGGGAATGTAAATTAGTATAGCTACCATGGAGAACAGTATGGTGGTTCCTCAAAAAGCCAAAAATAGAACTACCATATGATCCAGCAATCACACTGCTTAGGTATATAGCCAAAAGAAAGGAAATCAGTATATCGAAGATGTATCTGCACCTCTCAAGATTTGGAAGCTACCTCAGTGTCCATCAACAGATGAATGGATAAAAAAGCATGCGGTATATATACACAATGGAGTACTATTTAGCCACAAAAAAGAAAGAGATCCTGTCATTTGCAATAACTGGATGGAATTGAAGGTTATTATGTTAAGTTAAATAAGCCAGGCACAGAAAGACAAACTTCACATGTTCTCATTCATTTGTGGGAGCTAACAAGTAAAACAATTGAACCCATGGATATAGAAAGTAGAATGATGGTTACTGGAGGCTGGGAGGGGTAGTGGGGTCAGGGAAAGGTGGGGATGGGTAATGGGTACAAAAATGTCATTAGATAGAATGAATAAGATGTAGTATTTGATAGCACAACAGGGTGATTACAGTCAATGATTATTTATTGTACATTATAAAATAACTGAAAAAATATAATTGGAATACTTGCAACATAAAGAAATGATAAATGCTTGAAGTGATGAATACCCCATTTATCCTGATGAGATTATTATACATTGTATGCTTGTACCAAGATATCTCATGTATCCCATAAATGTATAAACATATTATGTACTCATAAAAATTAAGAAAAATAAAAAATAAAAATAAAAATAATTTCACCAAAGTGGCAATTGTTGTTCATAATAAGGCTTCTAAGAAACAAAAAGTAAGAGTATAAAGATTTTTAAAATCTGTTTTGTTACTTTATGATGTTTTTGAAGGTAAATTTTCTTAGTATTTATATTATTAAGTTTTTCAGAATTTATTGAGAATTCATTGTGAATACCACTGAATTTCAGGTAGAAAAGTTTTCATCCTGTAGTTCAATTCAGCATGTATTTATGAATTACATGCCATGTGCTGTTGTACCTCTGTGATAAGCACTTTGGGGTTTAAACTCTAGCTGGTAGTAAACATTGTAAAACAACATATAGTTTATTGTTAAAACAAATAATGTAGACAATAAGGGCTATAAGGGATCAGAGAAGATAAAGTCAATATAGGCTGGAGAATTTATCAAGAATCATGTGGAAGATGGAGAACTTGAGATGCAGAGTTAGGGAGGTTGGAGGGAGAAATTTAATACCTTAACATTTGTGTTAACTCCTTTCAGATGTCAAAAATCTGACCTCAATATATGGAACAGTGATTATTGCAATTTGTTCTCTTTCAAATATGACCTCTATGCTCTCTGTGGCCATCGAGGACTAAACAAGAGGACATGAGCATCAATAAAACATCAATAATTTAAGAATGAATTTCCCATTTATTACTATTGCCTGGTATTTAGTAGTTTTCCAACCCTTCATTTTTTTTTGCATAATTTTGTTTGAAAGGGATCTGTTGTGAATAGCAGGTAGCTGGTTTTATTTTTAGTTTTTATATAATATTCTCTTGTATTGTAATCAATGAATTTAATATATTCGCATTTATGCAAATTTATGATATATTTGGAATTACTTATAATACCTTTTTATTTGTTTATTCACCATCATTTTTAATTATCTTTTCCTTTCACATATTTGGAAGTACACATAATTTCTGTTATTTAAGTAGTTACCTTGAAGTTTCAAAAATATATTTATATTTAATTTGTTAATTTAAAGTTAATTCTTCCTCACAAGAAAGAATTCCTGGTCTGATTCTCCCTTTTATCTTACGTACTATTGTTGCTAGTTTTTTTACTCTATATATTAAATGCCTTATATGTTATTATTCTTTTAGATAATGTTTTAAAAATTAATCTTCTTTTTTGCTCATTATTTCTTCTTTCATTTTAAGCGGTCCTTCAGAGACAATTTTCCTACTTCCTGAAGTACATCTTCCAAAGTTCCTTTTTTAAGGCTCTGTCACTGGTAAACTCCCTTAGTCATTATTAATCTAAAAAGATATTTATTTTACTTTTGTCTTTGAATGATAGTTTAGTTTGATATACAGTTCTAGACTAGCAGTTAAATTTTTTTGTCATTATTTCAAAAGTATTATTCTCCCATCTTGTGGTTCCATTATTACTTTTAAGATGTCTACTGTCAGTCTAATTGCTGTATCTCTTTAGGTAATCAGACTTTTTACCTCCAATCCTCCAGTGCTTCTGAGGTTTTCTCTTTGAATTGGATATTCTTTAATTGCTAGTATATGTACACGCATAGATTTTAAAAAATCTTCTCAGAATTCATTTAAATATTCCTATATTTAGCCATCTCTGGAAAATTCTTAGTCATTATCCCTCTGGATGTTATTTCGCATATATCATCTCCTTCTGTGACACTATTTATTTATTGGCTCTCTTATCCTTTTCTCTGTCTCTTGACTTTTTTTTCTATTTTATACATCTTTATTTCTCTGTTGGGCAATTTCTTCTCATTAGGTCAAGTTTTTAAATTCTATCTTCAATCATATCTCTCCTATTATTTAACCTGTGTTGAGTTTTTAATTATAACAATTATATTTTAACTTTTAGAATTTTGATTTTATTCTGTATAAAACATCTATCCCTTTGTCATGCTGTCCTATTCTTATAGTTTCTATTTTTTCCTTTATCCATCTGAACATTTTAAATATACACGCTTATCTCAAACTCTCTCTTAAATGATCTTATTACTTTAGGGTGAAAAGTCTTCCATTCCACAACTTAAATAATAGAAATTATGTATACATCCACATATATGAAGGGGAAAAATAATTTTTAAAAATCATGGTGAATAAAAAAATAAAAAGGTAGTGTAGGTGACATGGTTTGGATTGTGTCTCCACCCAAATCTCATGTCGAATTGTAATCCCCAGTGTTGGAGAAGGGGCCCGGTGGGAGGTGATTGGATCATGGGGGCAGATTTCCCCATTGTTGTTCTCATGATAGTGAGTGAGTTCTCATGAGACCTGGTTGTTTAAAAGTGTGTAGCACCATCACCTGCTCTCTCTTCCTCTTGCTCTGGCCATGTGAAGGTGTGCCTTCTTCCTCTTCCACCATAACTGCAAGTTTCCTGAGACCTCCCCAGCCATGCTTCCTGTACAGCCTGTGGAATTATGAACCAATTAAACCTCTTTTCTATATAAATTACCCAGTCTCGGGTAGTTCTTTATAGCAGTGTAAGAATAGACTAGTACAGAAAATTGGTACCAGGAATTGGGACATTGCTATTAAGACACCTGAAAATGTGCAAGCAGCTTTGGAACTGGGTAACAGGCAAAGGCTGGAATAGTTTGGAGGTCACAGAAGACAGGAAGATGAGGGAAAGTTAAGAACTTCCTAGAGACTTGTCAAATTGCAGTAACCAAAATGCTGATAGTGATATGGACAATGAAGTCCAGGCTGAGGTGGTCTCAGATGGAGATGAGAAAATTACTGGGAACTGGAGCAATGGTCACCTTTGTTATGCATTAGCAAAGACTGGGGCAGGGGAGCAGCTCTCTGCCCCTACCAGCCATCTGCTCAGCCCCTGGTCCCCTGCACCCCAGCTCCACACCTTAGCCATACACCCAACTCCCCACTCCAGAGCTATAGCCCCAGCCTCTCGCCCCTTGGCCATGTCCCCAGTCCACATCAGGCCCTTGTGACCAGGTCCCAGGAACATATCCTGGAGTTCAAGGAGCTAGAGTTGCCCAGCAAGAATCAGTGGCCTTCTCCAAGAACTGGAGCTACCAAGGGAGTCCAGGAGCCCTGCGCTCTCTGGAAACCCCCAAAGAGGCATTGTGATGGTTCTGCCTTCCAATATGAGTACGAGCCACCATGCATGTCCTTCTGTGCTCAGGTCCAAGCTGCAAGGCTCCCTTCCTAGCTTATGGCCTGTGCCTTGCATTTTCTGATGGAGCCACAGCCAGAGTCTGAGCCAACTCTTGATGTAAGAGGCCATGCAGGACATTGGAGGATGTGTGCACACAGGTTCGTGCCTGAGAGTGGACAGATACCACTCCACACTCTGCCTCCTTTGAGTTTTTAAATAAAATAATCTCATGTGGCAAAGAAAAAAAAATTGGAATTCTAGTTGTCCAAGATAACTTTTTTTTTTTCGCTTAAGCCTCTCAGAAGATAAACTTTCAAAAAATTTCCTTAGCTCAGTAAATAGAATTTCTCTAGTCTGTTTTTACTTACGAAAAAGGACTTCTAGGCTCCTAGCTCAGTTTTTACCATCCTGGGGGCACAAGTTCTATCTTTGAATTATTTTATTTCCCAGCCTTAAAGCCCTAGCTCCCAGCCTGTAAGACTAATCACTGGTCCTGATTATCCAATGAGCCCAATGGCTTCGGCCTCTTAGTTTACCATTTATATTAGTTTGCTAGTGTTGCCATAACAAAGTGCCACAGACTAGGTGGCTTAAAAAACAAAAAATTTATTGTCTCACAATTCTAGAGGTTAGAAGCCTGAGATCAAGCTATTGGTAAAACTGGTTTATTATGTGGGCTATGAGGAACAATCTTTTCCATGCCTTCCCCGTAGCTTCTGGTCCTTTATTAGCAATCTCTGGTGTTCCATGGTGTGTAGAAGCATAATCTCTGCCTTCATCTTCACATGGTATTCTCCTACATGTGTGCGCCTTTGTCCAAATTTCCCCCTCTTAAAAAGATACCAGTCCTATTGAAGTAGGGTCTCACCTTACTCCATGATGACCTTATCCTAACTACTAATTACATTGTAATAGACCTATTTCCAAATCAGGCCACATTCTGAGGCACTGAGGGTTAAGACTTCAATGTGTGAGTTTCGTAGGGATACAATTTGACTCATAACACCACTCTTCATGTTCCCCCGTTATTTGTAGCACCTGCAAATTTCTCTTAATTTATAACTCAGCAATTTAATTTTCTTTGTACTGTTTTATTCTGTGTAGTTATCTGTTTGAAGTGAGGAGGCAATGTCCCATATCAGCATGATCCACTTAATTAGCTGGAATTTTGTTTTCATGATTTAAATGGTAAACAAAAATCATCAACTAATATTTTAAAATAAATAAGGACATGAAAGAAGGAATAAAAAATAAAGCCAACTTTTCTATCAAAAAAGAAAAGTTAGATTTGGGAAATAACTGGAGAACTTTTAGAAATGCAACATATAATCATTGGAGATACAGAGCTCAGTGGATAGGTGTGATGTTTAATTTTATGTGTCATATTGACTGGGTTAAGGGCTACTCAGATAGCTAGTAAAAGATTATTTCTGGGTATGTCTGTGAAGCTGTTCCCAGAAGAGATTAGCATTTGAATCAGTAGACTGAGTAAAGATAACCTTTATCAGTTTGGGTGAGCATCATCTAAACCATTGAGGCTCCAAATAGAACAAAAAAGTGGAGGAAGGGAAAATTTGATCTTTGTTTGAGTGGGGACATCCATCTTCTCCTGCTGTAGGGCATTGGCACTCTTGGTTTTTAGGCCTTTGGATTTGGAATGTTACTTACACCATCAGCTCCGATACCAATTCTCAGGCTAGTAAACCTCACCTGACTTACACTGCTGGCTTTTCTGGTGTCCCAGCTTGAAGATATCAGATCATGAGCCTCCATCATTGCATGAGCCAATTTCTAGAATAAATCTCTGTATCGATATCTATCTATCTCCTGTTGGTTCTGTTTCTCTGGAGAGCCCTGGCTAATACAATAAGTTAAGCTGTATGTCAGACACAGCCAAAGAAAGAATTAATGAAATGGAAGGTCTGGGGAGATAAAATGAGTGTAGCACAGAGGAAAAAAAATAAAAGTAGAAAGGAGGGGTTAAAAAAACATGGAAAGTAAAATGAAGAAGTCTAACATTTGTTTCATGAGGAGTTCCAGGATAGCATAGGGAGGACTAGAGAGGAATGGCAGTTGCCATATTTGAAGAAACAATGGCAGATAATTTTCCAGATTTGAGAAAGGCATTGATTTGGAAACATGCTGACCATGGTTAATCCCTAATTATTCAAGAGTTGATGCAGTTGGGTTTTGCTTCTCCTTACATTCTGGGGAAGGAAACTCTAAGAAGATCCTTGATTTTGTATTGGTATTTTATTGGGAAGAGATTTTGTTGGTAAAGAGGTTGAAACTACTAGCTATTAGATAAAAAGTCTTTTCTGAGGATTTCCCACATTTTCCCCATTTCCAGGTCACATTACCTTAAAATAATACAAATTATGCACTTTTAGTTATCAGATAATACATTATCAAAGTAGAATTTATTGCATTTGTGAAATACAGCAGGTTAATAAATTAAAAGATATTTTAAATTAAATCTTCTCATCAAAGAACATTTAAAAAATGTTTAGACTGAAGCTATGCTCATACATAGAGTATGTTTTATAATACTTAACTGCTGTGTGGTTCTTGTTCTGAATATAATACTTGTTTTAAAATTTAAATAACAAACAATATTTTGTATATATTTTTGCTTAAGGTTACATTTTGTCATATTTGGCTGCAAAGCATATGGTAGAATCAGTACAGTGTCTATCCAATGGAAATATGAACAGGACCACATAAAATGGTTCCACTGTGTCATTTTGTTCAATGTGGTCTCATGAAAACAAACTCTTCTCACCACAAAAACTTGCTTGTCATTCCCACTCTTTAAAATGATTACTTCTAACTTCATTTCCAGCACCTTTTCCCCTTTCTAACTGTTGTCTACTTCAAGTGACGTGAAGGTTTGTTTATTTTGCTTTGAAATTCTTCATTCTTTATTTTTTACCATATTTCTAGCTATAAGATGCATATTATTAAAACATTTTCAGCCTTTGGGATAGTTTGATGTTGGTAATGTAAGAGTTTTGGCTCATTCATTTAGAGTTTTGTGGTATTTGTATTTTTGGTACGTTGGATATTTTTCTATGTGTTTTAACTTTTAGAGATTTTCTTTTAACACATAATTGAAAACTGACTTAATTCTCTAAAACATTCAACTTAATCTTTAATCAGCTTTCTTTTTTCACCTGTTTATCAGACAGTGTATTTGTGAGGCACTAAAAAAATCCAGGTATCTTAGATACCCAAGACACAGAACCTACCTTCAAAAAAGGCATAAATTATTTTCAGGTCTTCTAAATAAGTGAGAGACAGAGCAATAATACAGTAATTATTACTGTATAAGCAGAAGACCAAGACATGGACAATCATAATAGTCTATTTACAATCATTTAAATCTATACATTCTGAAGGGTAATACCCTAAAATGGAACATAATATTCTAATAAAGATCTGGGACAGAATGTGGTTGAAGGGAAACTTTAGATGCTAATATTATTTATTTTAATACATTCCTGTATCACACAATTTGTTAATTTTTTTCTCAATCTCAGCACAGTTGAAACTTTGAACAAGATAATTCTTTGTTGTGAGTAGCCTTTGCTGTGTGTGGGATATTCAGCAATATCTCTGTCTTCTATCCGGTAGATGCTGATAGCATCCTCCCAATTGTGACTATCAAAAATGTCTCCAGACACTGCCAAATATGCCCTGTGGGCCAAAATAACCCTTGATTGAAAACCACCAAGTTAGGGTATTATGTTGCAAAATCATTCAGCTTCTGGTCAAATGTAGTCTTGCCACTTAGTTCCCAGTTGTTTCACAAGAGAAACATTTGAATTATTTATTTTGGTTTCTAAATGTACATATTTTTGCTCTCCATTTTAATCTCATTTTATAGAAAATGTAGCTATTTTGTCAAAGTCATTTGGAATTCATTATGTCTTACAGAACACAAGCAGATACTTAATATACATACATAATAAACTTCATATTTTAATTGCTTTATTCTGAATACTGGTAAAGACTTAAAATGTGGTATGATCTATGGTTAATCCTTCCAAATCAGCTTGTCCCAAAACCTGCTTTTCTAAATGTCTTTAACATTGTTTTGTGAGATACTGAAAAAACCTTATTGAAATTAGGAGAGATTACTTTTCTACTTACCCCTATCTCTTTTGTAGAAGCACATTAATTCCGTCTCTCAAAATGTCTTCTTCTCACAGTCACACTGGTTGCTTGTTAGTGATTAAGTAGAACCATTCTTGAATTACACAGGACAGCAATGTGTAGTCTCTGCTGTTCTGTGAAAATGGAGTTTGCTGAGAATGATCCAGAAATCAGTCTACTACTCCATAACTCAGGTAAGGAAGAGTATGCATGGAACACAGGAGATCCATTAGGGCATCTCTTAGTATTACCATGCCCTGTGATTAAGATCAATGGGAAACTATAATAGCCCAATCCAGGCAGGTCTACAAATGGTCGAGACCCTTCAGGAATGAAGGTTTGGGTCACTCCACCAGGAGAAAAACCACGACCTGCTGAGGTGCTTGCTGAAGGCAAAGGGAGTACAGAATGGGTAGTAGAAGATAGTCATCAATACCAGCTACGATTACGTGACCAGCTGCAGAAACGAGGACTGTAACTGTTATGAGTATTTCCCCCTTCTTTTGTTAAAAACTTGTTTGTGCGTGTATACACTTGTACTAAGAAAATATCTTCATTTAATTTCCTTTTCCTTTATCATGTGACATAAGATTTACTGACTTCATGTCAGCATTTAAGTATTGTTGACTTTATGTAATAGTATTTGGGTTGGGGATTGGTGCATTTCCAGTTGTACGAAGGATACTTGTATTATGTAAGACATAATTATGACCTCATTATTGTCTTTATTTGAAAATTATAATCTAAGGAGATGTGTATGGGTTCAAATTGACAACGGGTGGATTTGTGATGGTTAATACTGAGTTTCAACTTGGTTGGTTTGAAGGATGCAAAGTCTTGATCCTGGGTGTGTCTGTGAGGGTGTTGTCAAAGGAGATTAACGTTTGAGTCAGTGGGCTGGGGAAGGCAGACCTACACTTAATCTGGTGGGCACAATCTAATCAGCTTCCAGCAAATATAAAGTGGGTAGAAAAACGTGAGAGGGCGAGACTGGCCTAGCCTCCCATCCTACATCTTTCTCCCGTGTTGAATGCTTCTTGCCCTCAAATATCAGACTCCAGTGTCTTCAGTTTTGGGGATTGGACTGGCTCTTCTTGCTTCTCAAGCTTGCAGACAGCCTATTGTGGGACCTTGTGATCATGTAAGTTAATACTTAATAAACTCCTGTTTGCATATATATCTATATATCTATATCCTATTAGTTCTGTCCCTCTAGGGAACCCTGACTAATACACCAAGATTTATCTGAATATAGTTAGTGTTCATTAACTATATAAATAGTAAGCTAATAAGTAGCTCATGACTATTTATTTCTTCCTCCCAAATTTCTACTGGTAATGGGAATATCTACACATCCCACATCATTTTTTGAGTGAACATTTCTTAATGGTGACAAAGATAGTTTTCATAAATGGAATACATAGCAAAAGAGCTGCTGCCTCATATAATAATCCAACTTCCAAGTCAGCATTTATTTATTCTCATATTTCCTTATGCTTTCAAATATAACATTGTATATTTTATATCAATATTTTAAATTAAGTCATATCAAGTAAAAAGGAAGGCAGCTACTATTTAACCACTGTTTAATCCCCAAGGAAATTAATGCTCTCTCCCATTGTATTGCAATAGCTGCTCTCTCCTTTCTTCCCAGGTCTCTTTTCTTTCCTCATTTAGTATTTTCTAGTTGATTATTCTTTTTCTCTGGCTTTAGAACTCCCGCCTTCAGCCTGTCATATTTCATTATACACTGAATTAGACCATGCTTGTTCTCTGGGAGTATAAAGAATTAAATAACAGGATTTAAGTAAGTCTCATATCTGTTTGTAAATGGGCAGAATCATTTTTTTACTAGTTTGTTTTAAGTTGAGAACAAAGACTAATCTTGCTTACCTTTATTTAGTTTAAAAAAATTAACTCATGACATTGATCCCTACCTCAAAATAAGAAGCAATTATTATCAAATATTTTGCAAATAAAGTGGTAAAAATAAGCAGTAGACTTGCAAAAGGTCTGTAATAAAACAAGGAACCTATCAATAATTAAGCATGATGCATTTAATTGTCTCTGAGTATAGTTCATCCATAGTATATAAAAATATCTGAAATCTACTCTTTCAAGTGGCCCTTCTTATGGCTGATAAAACCATGATACATTCTTTTACATTTCAATGGTAATACAGTTAACGTTTCTAGAGTTTGCATTGGGAAGATGCCATTTGTCTTCATAAAGAACCTCTGCTTAATATAAACATGTACTACAAAGCCTCTCTTGGGAAGAATTGGTTCATACCACTAGGCATCAATATTTAAGGTAAGCTGAGAAAAGAGGTGATATGGGCTTGGGTTTGTGGCAGGCACAATTATGGCTCCCAAAGATGTCCCTGTCCTAATCCCTGGAACCTGTGAATATGTTGTTGCATGACAAAGGTAGAAGATAGAATTAAGGTTTGCAATCATCTGACTTTAAAATGGGAAATTATTCCAGGTTATCTGGGTTATTCCAGGTTATCTGGGCGGATCCAATGTAATCACAAGAGTCCTTAAAAGTAGAAGAGGGAGGACATGAGCTAAGAAATGCAGGCAGCCTGGAGGAGCTGAAAAAGGCAAGAAAATGGAGGCTCCTTAGAGCCTCCAGAAAGGAATGCAGCCTGTTGACACACTGACTTTAGCTTAGTGAGATTCATTTCAGATGTCTGGCCTCCAGAACTATAAGATAATAAATCGGTGTTGTTTTAAGCTACCTAATTTGTGACAATTTGTTATAGCAGCAGTAGGAAACTAATAGAGGATTATAGAGAGGGAGTTGGGGTTAGGTGGAGGATTCATCCCTGTGGATTCAGTCATTGCACCCATTCTATTGTAATTAAAAACAAAAAGCATGTAAGAAGAATTAAAGCATTAGGATATCAAAGAAAATCTAACTAGACATGTATACTCTTTGGTAATGGCAAAGTCAGAACTGATGTGAACTAAATGTACCCAAATTAAGAACATACATTTTGCCTAAATTCAGTCACTGATTGCCAATTATTTACTGAGATTTCTACAGTCAATTACTTTTTTTCTGTTCTTTCCACAGAAAGGAAAACATGATGGTACTCAAATCTATTGACAGCTGACTTTTGATAATGCTATTGCAATCACTGGGTAAATCATTACACACCAGGATACACTATACATTGAATATTTCCTGTTTAGACTTCTGTTGTCCTGAAGTTTTCTTATTTTTTGTAAAAATGCTGCTTTCTAGGATTCTGGTTTAGTAGGAAATGTTAGTGTTATTTACTATAGGATCACAAAGGAATGAGACACATGGAAAGTCTTGAAGTCCTGTATCACTTCAATGGAGTTGGGTATAGAAACTGACATAGACATTTATAATATCCTGTGTCACTTTCTTCAGCTGACCCATCAATATCACTAACATTCATTCCACCAAAAGTATGTGCAATTCATGATGTCCTAACAAAAAGGGAACTTTAAGTTATGTGGGGCATATTGATTTCCCCACAGTGTTCTATTGGTTCTGGACGTGACAGTACAAGGACATGTTCTGAAATGCAAGCAATGATTAATTTCTGTACCTGCATGTTTATAAAAATAAACTTTATTTTTTAAATCATATTACTTCATTTTTATTGTAGAAAATTAACCTAGGTTCGTAGTAGGTATGGTAAATTGGTTGAAAAATTGGTCCTAATTTTTTATTCCTCCCTGTAATAATGTCCCTTGCAATATGATTTTATAACACCTTACATAAGAGATAGAGTCTATTTCCCAGCTCCTCGAATGTGGGCAGGCCTTGTGACTTGGCTTTGGTCAAAAGAACTAGGCAGTAGTACCAATTCTGGTATTAGTCCTCAGGAGGCTTTGTGTATTTCCGTTCTCTTTCAGGCACCTACCTCCACCATGATAATAAATCTGGGCAACTTGCTAGAAGATCACAGACCACATGGAACTGAGCCAAAATGTTCTAGCCTCTGAGAGCCAACACCCAGAAGCAGATCTAACTACTTGACCTATGGCTCACCACAGATGTGTGAGGGAACACAGACATGTATGAGGGATGTATGAGGGAACACACCACAGATGTATGAGGGAACACAGAGCTGCCCAGCTGGGTTCAGCCTAAATTGTTGATCCCTAAAATTTTGAGATAAATAGTGTTGTTTTAAACCATAACATTTGCAGTGGTTTGTTATACAGCAAAGGCTAACTGATGCAATAGATTTTATGGAGGTCTGTGAACTCTCTGAAATTATTTGTAAAATTTGATGTGTATGTATGTTTTTCTGGGAATAACTTTTAGCTTTTAGCTTTAACTTTTCTGTGGTACAGAAAAGTTTTACAAATCATTGCCTTATTTGTTTAGTGGTAGGCTTAATCACATGCCAGATATCGTACCCATTCACTTATTGAATGAATCTACTCAGATTCTGATGAAGATGAGTTTTTGTTAGAGTGAGAGTTAAAAATTTTCTTTCCTGGGCTGGGCACGGTGGCTCACGCCTGTAATCCCAGCACTTTGGGAGGCCGAGGCGGGCGGATCACAAGGTCAGGAGATGGAGACCATCCTGGCTAACACGGTGAAACCCTGTCTCTACTAAAAATACAAAAAAAAAATTAGCCGGGCGTGGTGGCGAGCGCCTGCAGTCCCAGCTACTCGGGAGTCTGAGGCAGGAGAATGGCGTGAACCCGGGAGGTGGAGCTTGCAGTGAGCCAAGATCGCGCCACTGCACTCCAGCCTGGGCGAGAGAGGGAGACTCTGTCTCAAAAAAAAAAAAAAAAATTTCTTTCCTGTGTGTATGTGTGCTTGCCAATGTGTTCTTCTGTCAATTAATCTGGAAATCTTTGGATTATCTTTTCTAGATAGAAGCTAACCTACCTTGATATCACCCAGTACATAGTACTTAAGACTTATGTATGTTGCTTAAAATTAAGTGCTAGAGTAGTAGATTAAAGATTAATTTCAGGGCCCGGCGTGGTGGCTCACGCCTGTAATCCCAGCACTTTGGGAGGCCGAGGCCAGCGGATCACGAGATCGGGAGATCGAGACCATCCTGGCTAACATGGTGAAACCCCGTCTCTACTAAAAATACAAAAAAAAATCAGCCGGGCGTGGTGGCTGGTACCTGTAGTCCCAGCTTTTCGGGAGGCTGAGGCAGGAGAATGGCGTGAACCCGGAAGCGGAGGTTGCAGTGAGCCGAGATTGCGCCACTGCACTCCAACCTGGGGAACAAAGTGCGACTCCGTCTCAAAAAAAAAAAAAAGATTAATTTCAAATGCTGATACCCTAATCAGATTGCCACTGCAGATACATGTATGTTCTTTGAAGAATTTGCTGTTAAAATACCTTTACAATTCATGGTTTAGGACGACCTCTTTCAACCCTGCCACTTCCATCCTCACTCTGAGCTGACAGTTTCCCTTTCTCCTTCACAGGGAAAAGGTAAGCCATGAGAGGGGGTCTTTCTCAAGTTCTAGATAGGGCAGCAATGAACAAAAGCCTGTAACGTATGACCCACTGTTTAGCTTACTAAGCTAAACGAGGCTTTGGCAATTGTTTAGTTAACACTGAAAAACCAATTTTAAAAAATTGAGTTTCTATTTCTGAGGTTGTAGGGTATATCATCTTCATCTGCTCTCTGTGTTGTCCTTTGCTGAGCTGATGAGCCAGCACACAGGGCCCTGCTTGAATGCGTGGCATTTGCTCTGCTCTTATCCACCACTGTGCCAAGACTTGAGAGCCATGCATTTTCCCCCGGCTCAGATCTTCTGGCTCATTGTCAGTCAGGTCATGCCAAAGCTGCTAGCCAACAAAAGCATATAGGGAAAATAAATTTGTCATAGGAAAAGTACAGAAAAGTGATCACTTTTGGGCAGGACTACAGTAAGAACATTGTTAGGCTGCATTTCACAAATGTTAAAAACAAAATGCCTTGCCAAATATCTTAAAAAAATGTTTTTGGGTGTATGTGTGTGTATCAAAACACAAGTGTTTGGATCCTTTCACCATATAGTTAAACCCAAATTCAGTTATACCAGAAAACCATAGACATTTGCAAAAGTTATTTACCCAGGAACCAAGATGGATGCATTTGAACACTTTCCCCGCACCCAGCCCAGCCATATTTTTGCTAGCCAGCTCCCAGGTGTCAGTAATTGAGCAATGTAGGGGTTGAATTTCAGTAAAGCATAGCAGGTGTAGTGGTGGTTCCAAAGAAATACCTCTTTTCTTTTCACAGAATAACAGGTCACTTCACTGTTTTCTCCAGCACTTGCTCCTTACAGTTTAGAATACATACCACATGAAGAGTGTATCCAAAAGACTTCAGAATGGCTGCTATAAATACTGAGTGGCTGAGAAGGGAGGTTTCTATCTGTTTTTTGTCTTTTCTTTAAGGTGTAACATAATAGTAATAATGTCTCCCTTCTTGGCTCTGAAGTTACCTTGAAATGCATATAAAAAGGTAAAAAGGAGGGTAAGGCAATATACAAAAGATTGATGTTCTAGATATTTGAATATGCTTTTCCAAAGCATATTCATCTGCCAGATTATAAATTTTGTCACCCAAAGATGTAGAATGGAATAGGAATAGAAATCTGAGGTATCCTTCAGATACCATATTTGTCATGAAAATAGTTTCTGACATTATTCTAACAGGGACTTGACTGTCTGCTGGGCTCATGTTTAAAGCTGTGAGTACCAGAAACTGGTTCAGTGATGTAGTTATAGTGTGCCAAGGAGGTGGTACCTACGACCCAGTGTTAAAAAAAAGAAATGAAGTATACATAAACTTCATACAATGCTCAAGTGATTATGAGAATCCCTGCCCCTTCCATATTTCCTAAGGCACATGTTCTTTTGTTACATCTGCATCCCTTCTTTTCCCCAGCAAAGTGGCCATTAGTATTTGTTTTTACTAGATACTATCTGTATAAACATTTTGGATTGGTAGGATGGGAGATAAAGTGTTTTACCCTGACCCACATATCTCCTTAAGGAAGGCTATGTTTATTACATACTATTCTCAGAGGATGAACATGATTTAGGGATTGCTGTTGTGCCTGTCCTGGGAGATACATGTTGGAATGAAAAAATCCCACACAAAGAGATTAGGCACAAGTTGAACTCTGAAGTTACATGCTCTGTTTTATTATTATTTTTTTCTTTTAAAGAAAATGTTCTCAGATTTTCCTCTTGCATTGACCCAAGATAGTCTTTTGAGCAATTTACAAAGTTTCAGCTGCCTCCACCCTCTGTTTCTGGATTGCTTTTATTTTCTAACACTTAGAGCCACTTAGTTATTTACTAGTGGTTCAAGAAGTGTCATAAAGCAGCAAAGTTACCTGCTAGATACACATAATTACTGACACACACACATATGTATATATATACACTCACACAAAATTTTTTCTCTAAATAAATTCTAAGAGACTGGAAGAGAATCTATAGTTGGCCTATTGTAGATAAACTTGTTTTGACAGTTTCTTTCTTTAACAAAAATAACTTTAAAAATGTCAGCAGTAGATGAACCTTGAAAACCTTTGCTTAAAAGTATTTTATGCTGTGAAAATGTGGTCAACTATTTCTAAAAATTACTTAATCTCTATTTCAACTAAAGATTTGCAGAAGCATTGGAGTTCAACTTCTTCCCTAGTTTATATGACATTATCTATAGATTACAGGCAAGAGTGCAGACTAAAGCTGGAGTCTGCAGTGCAAGCTTACATCTTCCCTGTAAATTGTTGTCATGGACTAAACTTGATATGAAATCCAGGATGTAAGAATTTTCTTCTTTCTGAAAAGTTGAGGGAGGGTCATATATTTATAATTTGAACAGTATTTTAAATGCCATAGGAGAATTTGATATTTAAAAGAATTCTATGTTGAATTTTTTTATGTAAATAATTACCTAAGAATATATTTTGGGTATAAATGCAGACCTTCCTGTATTGTTGGTTGAAGTGATTGTCTTAGTCTAGTCAGGCTAGTATAACAAAATACCTTAGACCAGGTAATTTATAAACAATAGAAATTTATTGCTTACAGCTCTGGAGGACGGGAAGTCCAAGATCAAGGTGCCAGAAGATTTGGTGTCTGGTGAGGACTCACTCACCACTTCTTTTTGCATCCTCACATTGTGGAAGGGGGCAAATGAACTCACTTGGCCCTCTTTTATAAGGGCCCTCATGACTTAATCACTTTCCAAAGGCCCCACCTCTTAATACTATCATATCGGGTATTAAATTTTTAATATATGAATTTGTGCGGGGTCGCCAATATTACACCATAGCAGCTCTATACCTCTCTTACGTAAACTCTGTTTCCTAGCTAATAATATCTCTATTGTGAGTTGCATATTATGACTTACAATAAATGCAATATTCCAACATTACTTTGGAAACTTTTACACTAAAATACCTCCTCAGTGGTAGAGAACACGAACACTAATTTTGTCTGCCCTGTGGCAATCTGGGTCTTAGCCCAAAGTAGTCCAAGTCATGTTCAAACTTTCTTTAAACACTCTACCTTAAATATTAATACAACATTTACACTATGATTCATAAGTCCTTGCTCATTTTCATTTAATATGTTTTAAATTAATTACCATATATAAAATTGATGCCATGTTTTTTTCTGTTCCACTTCAGTACAACCAACATGACTCTAAGGCAGCAGACGATATTAATGTTCTTCATCTATCCATTCATTAACGTATTTAGCTAGCATTGTTTTAGTGCTTACTCTGTGTTCTGTACTGTGCAAGGTGCTAGGAATAAAGAAGGGGTATCATTTCTTCACTTATTTAATAATCCAGTACAAAGGGAATAAATATGTAAACTCACAAATATAATAGAGCATACCAGTGCTTTGATTGAACTGTGTATGAAATATAGTTAGAATTCCAGTATAGGGGGACAAAGAGTATCAAGAAAACTTAAGAGACGAGGTCACATCTATGAAAACTATCCTGAAAACTGAGTAAGATGTTTACCAGGAAGCTAGGAAAGGGCATTTGCCGGATTGTTTTAGGTTTTATATGCCATTTTTCAGTATGTACTTCACCTTTAGGCAGTCTGGAAACCCAAAAGGGTTCTAGGCAGGGGACAAATGTGATCAGTTTAGCAGCAGAACAGATAAAGATTTGAAGAAAGCAAGATTGAGACAAAGAGATAGGTTAGATGGCTATAGGAAGAGTCCAGATGCAAAGTGATGATAGCCTGAAGTAAAGCTGTAGAAGTGGGGTGGTGATAAAGAGACTTAAAGAAGATATGTAACAGAGATGGAATTGTCAGTACTTAGTCACCAATATGATGGAGTAGATTAGGAGAGAAGATAAAAGGAAGGGAAGAGTATAATTCTCAAGTTTTTGACTTGGGGGATGGTAAATAGTACATTTAACTGAGATGTAGAACACTAAAGGAATATAATTTTTGTTTATTTGTTGATTAATCCATAGTGTTTTCTTATGCCCAATACAAGTGGCATGCCTTGTTAGCCAATGAGTTTCTCCACTGTGGGCAGCAGGAAGCCAGTGTCCAATGGATGTGAGTCAGACCTCTGAAGTTCACATGTGGCAGATAGATTTCTGCTCTGCATTTTGAGATAGACAACTGGTGACTTCTTTAGATTGAAGTACCTAAAGAGGTATCTAGGGTTTTCTACCTCTGCTTTTGACAACCCACCAGCTGAAGTCCTCGGTCTTCCACTTGGCCCAAACATTTCCATCTCCAGCCTCTACTAACTCAATGTCGAATTTTTTATGCACTATCTTGGCCATTTTCCCGTTTCCTTCCTTGTGTAGGCATATAGCTGTCAAGTGGACCAGCAGTCTCTAAGCAGCAGTGACTACTGCAGCTGCTAGGCTGGCTGGTCACAGTTCCATAAATTCAGCTGATAAGGAAACAGTGAGCAAAAACAGATTTAGACAGTTGCTTACTCTTGGGACAGCAGGCAGTACAAGCTTCATGTTCGTACTGGTTCCTCTTATTCCCCAAGTCTCATGGACAATGTGGAGCAGACCCAGCTGAATGCTGACCTACAGTGATCTCAGAGCTGAGGAATCATGCACAAAGGAACCCCCAGTCTTTTAAAGGGTCTGTTAGCAAAGCTGCCCAACCTTTGCTCATGAAGGAAGAAATTATCTTCGTTATTGTAATCAGGAAACATATTTGCCCCGTGACTCAGAGGAAAAGACACTACCTGTCTTAGTCTGTTCAGGCTGCTATAACAAAATTCCATAGATTAGGTGGCTTATAAACAATCTAAAGTTATTTCTTA
The DNA here is from genome assembly GCF_000001405.40 of Homo sapiens. Classification (NCBI taxonomy): domain Eukaryota; kingdom Metazoa; phylum Chordata; class Mammalia; order Primates; family Hominidae; genus Homo; species Homo sapiens. The sequence goes on along the minus strand of NC_000004.12, from coordinate 144,906,391 downwards.
GAGTTCTGGAGGCTGTAAGTCTGAGATCAGTTGCCATTGTGGTCAGGTTCTCTCTGGTGAAGGCCCTTTGCCAAATTGCAGACTGCTGACTTCTCATTGTGTTTTTTACATGTCAGAAAGGGGAAGAGAGAGCTCCTGGGATCTTTTTTGTACAAGTGCCAATCCCATTTGTGATGGTTTCGCTTTCATGACCTAATTATCTCCCAAAAACCCCATCTTCTAATATCATCACATTGGGGGTTAGGATTTCAACATGTAAATTTTCAGGGGGACACAAACATTCACTTCATTGCAACCTCTATTTTCCAAGGTTGTTTGCTATACTAACATCCTTGAAAGATAATCTGAGATATGTAGGTAGAAATGCTATAGAGAATTGCCTCCCAACAATAGCTCCCATGTTTGCCAATTTTGATGGTGAAACTAGAGTTTAATTTTGAAATATTAAATTTGAGGTGTTAATGGGGCATTAAGGTAGATACATTCAGCAGTTGGCTATATGTACATACAGCTCCAGAGATGTGCTTTTATCAAGAAATCTATTAGATTTTCATCTCTACATGTGGCATAAAGCCATAGGACAAGAGGAAGTTACTCAGAAAGCACATAAATGAAAGAGAAAAAAGACATGAATAGAAAGAAGCTTGAGTATTAGGAATATTTTCATGACTAGGAAAATAGGAGCAACAGAAGGAGTTCAAGAAGGAATGGTTAAAGGGGTAAGAGAATTAGGAGAGAGTTACATCTTACAATTGAAGAGAAGGAAATATTTCAAGGGGGTTTGCAGTATTGTCAAATGCAACCATGAGGTCAAATAAGATGAAAGTTGAAGAGTCCGTTGGCTTTAGCACTTTGAGAACATAGGTGACATTTGCCAGAGCATTTCAGTGGAGTGGTATGCAGAGAAGTTCGATTGCAGCAGTTTGGAATGTGAGAGGAAGCTAATGGACAGGGAGCTAAGCATGCAGAATATTTTTTTTAAATGCTTACCTGGAAAGGAAAGAGAAAGTGGTACTGAGTTAAAAAACAGCAACAGGTTTTATGATGGAAGAAAATTGCAAGAATGTATTGCTAGGGGAAAACAAGCAGCAGGGAAACTGAAAATGTAGGAGAAAGAACTGTAAGGAAGAATTGATGGAGCAAGATCTTCCTCTGCTAAGGAAGTTTTATTAGTTTCCTGTGGTTGTCATAACAAATTATCAAAAACTTGGTGCCTTAAAACAACAACAATTTATTCTTTCACAGTCTGGAGGCCAGAAGTCTGAAATCAAGGTGTCAGCAGGGCCATGTTCTCTCTGGAGCCTGGTTGATGGTGAGACCTCTTCCTTGCCTCTTCTAACTTCTGGTGGTTGCTGGCACTCCTTTGATTTGTGGTATGATCACCCCAATCTTTGCCTTCATCTTCATATCATCTTTTTCTCTATGTGTTTTTGTCCTGTTCTCTTCTGTTTCAAATTTTCCTTTGCCTTTCTCTATAAGGACACTTGTTATTGAACTTAGGGCCGAGCTGAATAATCCAGGATGATCTTATTTTAAGATCCTTAACTTAATCATATTTGCAAAGACCCTTTTTCCAAATAAAGTAACATTCTCAGGTTCCAGAGATTAGAATGTGAATCCATCTTTTTAGGGACTGCCCTTCAACACAGTACAGATGGGATCAAGAGTGAAGGTAAAGGGATGTGTCTAGAACTGGATAAGGGATATTACCTCTCAAGAATGGGAAAATGAGGATAAGATAGGGGTGTGTAGAAATTGGAATTGGAAGGTCAGAGCAAAGACTTTTCACTTGCAAGCCACGTATCTCTCAATAAAGCAAGAGGCAAGGTCATTGGTTCAAGGAAGAGCAGCGAGGGCAGGGCTGAATGTAGGAGAAAAATGAGGAAATGCTGCAAAGCCATGGGTGTGGGAGGACAAATGACAAAGAGCTGTTACATAGCAAATGGGGAGCTAAGGTGCTGGGAACTACATATTTGTAGATCATACATTTGTAGATTTTACCATAACTTTATAAATCTTTGTATTTCACTTTAATTGTATGCAGTAAAACAAAAAACTTCAACAACAAACAAAATAAAGCAAAACAACTGCCTATGAAGATGAAGCAGCAGCCTACTAACTTAGTGTAGACTGGCCCAGCAAATTGACCACTTTTTCATCATGAAGCCTGAGGAAACACAGATGGTGACTAATGCACATCAGAATTAATGTGGGAGAGAAGGGAATGAAAGCCTTCAGTCATTGGGAGCTCCATGGGGAGCAGGGCAAATTGAGCTGAATTTTCTTTGGCTGCTGATCTGAAATTTCTCTAGAAAAGGCTTTTCGAGGAAATGAGAGAAATGCCAAGATGGGGAGTATGCTAAATGTGGGGTAGATAAGTCTCTGAACATACTGTACTTGTCCAAATGATCAAACTTAGGAACAAATTTCAGTCTGTAACTTTAGCTTTATTATCACTTAAAAAAATTCACATGGGTATTTACAGAGCACAGCCATGTTTTGGCCTCCATATCACCCTGAGTCCATACTTGGTAGAAATAATACAAGCTTTTGTCTAAATGTCTCCAAGCAAATTCTGATCTTTAGTTTTCCCACTGTGTACCCGCAAACCCATATGGAAATATCTAGGCTGCTTTAACAAGATCAGAAGAAGCAATCAGACATTATTCTGATCTGGTATCCCTTATGTCTAAGTCAATGAGTTTAAGTGAAATCTTGATATTTGCATTAATGGAACAGTGATAAAAGATGAGCAGAAATTTTGTTCTCTGAGTCCATGATATTCACTTAATTCTTCAAGTTCCAAGCTAAAGTAACATGAGTTATGCACTGTAGGTCATTTCTAGATTTCATATTATGCATATATCCCTCCAGCACCAGGAGACAAGGTAGTGACTACATATATCTTACAGTAGTGCTGCTCAAACTTTAATGTGCAAATGAATCTCCTGGGAATCTTGTTAAAATACATATTTTGTAGGTTTGGGGTGGGCCTGAGATTTTTGTATTTCTAACAAGCTCCCAGATGACACTGATGCTGCTGGTCCAAGGACTATAAGGTGTTAGACTACATAAAAAACATGTAGAATACTTACATGGAATCCAAAAATGTGAATCAGTAGCTATAACATCAGAAAAAAATAATACATGACAGTAAGCTGAAAATGTTTCTCTTATCTTTTGAGAAAATCCACATTTTTTTTACGCTGTTAAGAAGTCTTCATATTGACCATGAATCCACTTATCTTTCTCTGTAGTATCAGCAATTAAAAGAAGCCAAAAATCTACTTAAAAATAGTTAATGAGAAATTTCTTAGTTTTGAGGTTGAATGGACTCAGTAAGTGCATTCCTAAGAGTGCATAGGTTTTTTGTTTTGTTTTGTTTTGTTTTAATAATAGACCTAATGAAGAAACTGGTTAATTTCTTTGAGAAGGAAGAACTTTTTGTTTTTATAGTCAGGATTTCAGTACTAATTTTAGAGAAACTTACTAACAGTTATTAAACTACTTGCAGATTTAGCTATCTGAGAGGATCATATTGGTCCTCATTCAACATTCACTTTCTCTTTCTTTTTATCTATCAGAAACCCAATTTTGTGAAAGTATACCTCTCTAACAGCATGCAGCCATCTGCCTAAGGGTAACTAGCATCTGCCCAGCTCCAACAGGGAGTCTACTTTATTACGGATAATCCACTCCCCTGCCTTTTTTTTTTTTTTTTTTTTGCTGCTGGTGGTTTAGTAAAGAGATGTGGAAGCTTCTGGGAGAGCTTCTAGAACACATTTGCTTGCTTCTAAAAGAGAGCCACAGAAGAGAAAGTCCATCATCTATATTTTAGTAGGATCTGAGCTCTAGAATTCCCAAAGTCATCTTCTAACCAGCCTGAGAATAAAGCCAACAATAGTGGAGGGAAATATAGAACTGATAACATCATTAGCTGCTGATCTAACCAATCCTATACCCCTCCCTACTTCTAGACCTCTTATGTGAAATACTTTCTTTTTTAAAATCATTCTGATTAGTTTGATTTGAGATCTCTGTTAGCTGCAGTTGAAAACATCTTTCTTTTATCTTCCTACCAATTAAGGTTGAAAAGGACAAGATCTACAGTACATTCATTACTGGATTAGCTGATGTTAGAATCCTCAGGAGGATCATAATGCAATGAAAATCTATAAACCATCTTATTAAAGCTTTATAAACTCAGTTTGGTTACATTGTAATGGCCAACCACATTGATTCTCCTCTGTTAAGTGAATAAATTTCTTTTTCAAAAATTTTTTTAAAAAATTATTAGTTAATATCAACTTTCAAATGACATTGATAAATATTAGAGCTGAGCAAGTTTTTTTAAAAAAACACTAGTGTATTTATTTTCATCTTCTACTTTATGAACTTCATATGGCTTCTGATGAGTGGTTGTACGTTATTCATGACTGCTTCTACTGTGAGTAGGTCTATTAAAAAAAACCCAAGTAACCAGCCACTCTTTTTTCACTTTGAACACACACACACATTGCCAGAATGGATATTGTACAAATGTGAAAAATTGAAACCCACATTATAGCTCAGGCTGCTGCAATGCTTTGACATTGGCATCTCCCAAAAGTAAATAATGTTAGTTTGTTTACCATTTTTTTTGTTGTTGTTAAAACTCTACTTGTGAATGCTGTGAAATTTGCAACTGCTGGGCATAATGTGGGAAGCACAAGAGTTGAAGAATGGCTTCTTTATGATAGCATATGGCAAATCTTTCTAATGAGAGCCATTTACTATATGAGTCTCCTACATGTGGTAGTTGACAGCAGGTGTCTGGAGAAAATCCTGCAAACATTTTTAAGTATACTGTTACTGGCAATTGGCGGGAAAAGGTAAGGATCTGAATGTGGAGGACTGAACCAGAAAGGAGAATAAAATGCAAAATGATAGTGAAAGAGAGAGAAAGAAAACACCCCCAAGCCAGAGCCCAGCAGCTTGTTTCTGCATTAAGGAAGTATATAAATAACTCCATTGGAGGGCACTAAACATGACATATTGCCTACATGGAAGAGAAAGGTCTTATTGTGCTCAGACCACTAAGTTCCCTAAGGCTCCTTTTTCAATAGAGAATGTATGCAAGTGACTGGCTCACATCAGTGTGGAGTTTAATTAAACCACTCAACACTGGTCCGCAGAAGCTGAGAATGAAATTTATTGGGGGAAAATATACATTTGGACAAGTTTTACATGAGAATTTTTTGCATCCCATGCTTAATGTCAAATGCAAGGCTGTCACCCATAATTGTGCTTTTGTGCACTGAACAAAGGCACCTGGTCCAAGGAGTGAGTGGGGTCTGCAGTCGAAGCCACACAGCATTTACCAAACCAAAACCCTGGCTAAGGGCTGTATTTGCTGGAAGTGGAGGTTGCATTTTTTCTTTCTATAAAGCTGCTTTCTTTATCTAAGCCATGTGCTCTAGCTTGGTGGGGCCATGGGGGGCATCTTCTAATTCACCAAAGTTGGGGGGGGTGGATTAAAAACAATTTATGAATGGTGGTGAGGGTGCTTTTTCTAATTCATCTACCTAGAAGGAACACCATTTTTCTTTTCTTTTCTTTTCTTTTTTTTTTTTTTTGAGACAGAGTCTCGCTCTGTCGCCCAGGCTGGAGTGCAGTAGTGTGATCTCGGCTCACTGCAATCTCCGCCTCCCGGGTTCTAGCAATTCTCCTGCCTCAGCCTCCCGAGTAGCTGGGATTACAGGAACCTGCCACTACGCCAGGCTAACTTTTTGTATTTTTAGTAGAGATGGGGTTTCGCCATGTTGGCCAGGCTGGTCTCGAGCTCCTGGCCTCAAGTGATCTGCCGACCTTGGCCTCCCAAAGTGCTGGGATTACAGGCGTGAGCCATGGCACCCAGCCAGGACACCTTTTTTCTATTTGGAACAAAGGCTCATACAAGCTAGCAAAAGCCCTGTTTAAGATGTAAGATTGAGTCTCTGCTCCCAACACTGGACTGGAGTAAAAGGCTGACAAAGAGGGCAATTGGCCATTTACTTACTGATATGTAGGGCAGATTACTCTTATACTTTGAGTACTTTTATTATTGGAATAGATGTGGCCTTACTATCTTCATGCTATTCTCAAAATTGGCCTAGTCTGTTGGTGAAAGTTAAGTTGCCAGAGGGAGCAATAGTTTTATATCCCTGAAGGCTGGAATCTGCAGTCCTACCCTTCCATTGCCACCCAGTGTTTCTTGTCTTGGTGTTCTTAGGGACAGGAAATGAGCAGAGTTGATGAGGAACAATTTTTCTTTTATTCTACATGGGATATTACAAATTCAGGTATGACTAGAGCGGAAGAGTGAAAACAAAGCAACCGAGAGCAAAAGCAAATCACACATATAGTATTTTTTTTCCTTCTTCTTATCAATGTTTAGCAGGAACAAATGTAAGGCAGTATAAACAATAACTGCACCTAGCTAGAGATGGGGGTCGTCACTGTTCCCAGGAGATAACAAAACTAGTATCTTGCTAATAGAAATTAAAATTATTAGGAGCTATGATTATAAATGAATGAACAAACAACAACAAAAGGTTTTAGTCAGGATTTTAAACTCATTTTTTTTTTATTCTCTTGCTTTGTCCATATCAAGAGAGAAACACATATTCTTCAAGTAATTCTATTCTTTACCATAACGGTCAACTTGATTATTTCTCTGTTTTATTCCCCTTTCATTGTGACAAGATTGTACATTTTAACCCATTGCAATTCCTTCCTATGGAGAAATATTCTTTCTTGTCCCATTTGGTATTGGACTTGGCCATGTGACTTCGTTTGACCAATCATATTTGAGCAGATGTAATAAATGCCATTAAATGTTTAGCTATGACACTGTTTTCCATTTACCATGAGAATGACGTGTTCCAAGCAGGGGCTGCTTCTCCAGCCTGGGTCTGAGAATGAGAAGCTGTGTGGAGTAGAGTCACAGCCTACCTGCAGCCTACATGTAACACATATACTAAATGAATCTTTATTTCATAAGCCAAAGAGACTGGGGGATCATTTGTTATTACAGCAAAGTTGCCTAATATGAAAAACATGGAACCAGGAGTGGAATGCTGCATAGCAAAACCCCTAAAAGGTATAGCATTAGCTCCTGGCCAGTGTGTAACAAGGAAACTTTGATTAAAGACAGACAAAAATGCCAATCTATGATGTGGAGTAGTGAGCATTTGTTATAACTGCTGTCCACAAAAATTTGAAGGCAGATAATATATTAATATACTTGTGATTTGGGTTAAGATGTAGTAAAACAGAATGTCACCAGAGTACCATGGTTGTTGTTAGATGCATTTGACAAGAAACTATAAAGAAGAGATGAGCTCAGAAAAGAATTGACCAAGGATAAAGAAAAGAAATGGAAAATTTGGAAATGTTGAGACTTCCAGGGTTGAAAACATGCAACTAATTTTCTTATCTAACAGTAGAAGATAAAATTTAGACATCCTCTGAGCAACAGGGGCCAACTAAAACTCAATGTTCAAAAAGAATCAATTGAGGGGTGTGGCTACTACATCATTAGTTAAAATCTCTAAAAGGATGACACTCCCTCCAAAATAAATCCTTTCATCTGGACAGATGGCTCAGGGAAAGGCGATGATAAGGGCATGTCTATTCTATAAAACACTGATAAGCTTGTTAGAGAGAGGATCTTGACAAAAATTGTACTCATGGCTTTCGGCACATTGTCTTAGTCCATTTTTTGTTGCTACAGCAGAATTCCCAACTGGCTAATTTATAAACAATAGAAGTTTATTGGGTTCTGGAGGCTGGGAAGTCCAGCATCAAGGAGCTGCATCTGGTGAGGGCCTTCTTGCTCTGTCATCCCATGGTGAAAGATTGAAGGACAAAAGAGCACAAAAGAGACTGGAAAGCAGTTGAACTTTTGGTAGGAACCTATACCCAAGATAACTAACCCATATTAATCCATTAATGAGGGAGGAGCCCTCACTATCTAAGCATATCCTAAAGGCCCCACTTGTCATCACTGTTCCATTTGGGATTAAGTTTACAACACCTGAACACTGGGGAACACATTCAAACCACAGCATACATGGATCTAACTGGAATCAAATAGATATAAAGCCAATAGTGGTGTGTGCACATGTGCATGTCTGTGTGTATGTGTTTGTGTGTGTGTGTGTCTGGTGTGCTTATAAAAGAGAGAGAGAGACAAAGAGAGGGAGAGAGAGTGCCTGACTGTTCAATACAAAGCAAACTATTGGGTCCCCAATTCTCAGTAGGCAGGAAGCAGGCAAGTAAGATGCTCAGGTACAAAGGAGAGCATATTCCATAGTGACCTCTTTAGATGTAGCCAAAGAGGATAATGAAAGAAGAAAGACCTCCCAGAGGGTATAGCCAAGAGAAAAATGGACTGCAGAACTACTTCCAGGAAAAAGAACTGGAATACAATCAAGGAGCATTTTCTCCACACAGAAGAAGAAGACTTTGTAACATTTGCCCAGGAATATTTTACTTATTTATTTTTTTTATCACTGCTGTTTTCTTTTTTATTATTCAGAAAATTCTAGCCTGTGTAATAAGACAATAAAACAAAGGAGATATAACTGACAGGAAAAGACAAAATTATCATTATTTGTAGGTAATATGTTTATCTATTACTGAAACCCAAGAAAATCAACTAAAAAATACTGTGGTCAAATTATAGCACTCAGTAAAGTGGCTGCTTATAAAACAAATATTCAAAACTTAATAGCTTTTCTATGTACTTATAATAAGCAGTTAAAAATTAACTCATTCACAGCAGCAACAATATTCTATTCTGCTATTCTTCTAATGTTATATAGTATTTGACATTTCTTTTTTTAAATTTTATTATTATTATACTTTAAGTTTTAGGGTACATGTGGACAATGTGCAGGTTAGTTACATATGTATACATGTGCCATGCTGGTGTGCTGCACCCATTAACTTGTCATTTAGCATTAGGTATATCTCCTAATGCTATCCCTCCCCGCTCCCCCCACCCCACAACAGTCCCCAGAGTGTGATGTTCCCCTTCCTGTGTCCATGTGTTCTCAATGTTCAGTTCCCACCTATGAGTGAGAACATGCAGTGTTTGGTTTTTCGTCCTTGCGGTAGTTTACTGAGAATGATGATTTCCAATTTCATCCATGTCCCTACAAAGGACATGAACTCATCATTTTTTATGGCTGCATAGTATTCCATGGTGTATATGTGCCACATTTTCTTAATCCAGTCTATCATTGTTGGACATTTGGATTGGTTCCAAGTCTTTGCTATTGTGAATAGTGCCACAATAAACATACGTGTGCATGTGTCTTTATAGCAGCATGATTTATAGTCCTTTGGGTATATACCCAGTAATGGGATGGCTGGGTCAAATGGTATTTCTAGTTCTAGATCCCTGAGGAATCGCCACACTGATTTCCACAATGGTTGAACTAGTTTACAGTCCCACCAACATTGTAAAAGTGTTCCTATTTCTCCACATCCTCTCCAGCACCTGTTGTTTCCTGACTTTTCAATGATTGCCATTCTAACTGGTGTGAGATGGTATCTCGTTGTGGTTTTGATTTGCATTTCTCTGATGGCCAGTGATAGTGAGCATTTTTTCATGTGTTTTTTGGCTGCATAAATGTCTTCTTTTGAGACGTGTCTGTTGATATCCTTTGCCCACTTTTTGATGGGGTTGGTTGTTTTTTTCTTGTAAATTTGTTTGAGTTCATTGTAGATTCTGGATATTAGCCCTTTGTCAGATGAGTAGGTTGCGAAAATTTTCTCCCATTTTGTAGGTTTCCTGTTCACTCTGATGGTAGTTTCTTTTGCTGTGCAGAAGCTCTTTAGTTTAATTAGGTCCCATTTGTCAATTTTGTCTTTTGTTGCCATTGCTTTTGGTGTTTTAGACATGAAGTCCTTGCCCATGCCTGTGTCCTGAATGGTAATGCCTAAGTTTTCTTCTAGGGTTTCTATGGTTTTAGGTCTAACGTTTAAGTCTTTAATCCATCTCGAATTAATTTTTCTATAAGGTGTAAGGAAGGGATCCAGTTTCAGCTTTCTCCATATGGCTAGCCAGTTTTCCCAGCACCATTTACTAAATAGGGAATCCTTTCCCCATTGCTTGTTTTTCTCAGGTTTGTCAAAGATCAGATAGTTGTAGATATGTGGCGTTATTTCTGAGGGCTCTGTTCTGTTTGCCCAGGAAGATTTTAGATCAGTGATTGCTGTGCATCTTCGACTCTCCTTTGTAAAAATTGTTTGTTACTATTGTCTTATTCCTGAGCCACTATTATATCTTGGGTATATAACTCGTGTTTTAGTCCAGATGTTTCTGAAGAAAGAGTAGAGATATCCAGACCTGAAATAGAGACTATCAAGAAATGCTGGACTTCAAGTATACTCTCACAGCTGGATAGAATTTCACATGTGAAGAGGTGGAAAGCAACTTCATGACACCAAGGGTGAACAATAGCCAATTGTATTATTATCCTTTTCCTTCAAAGAACAATGATATCCTTCTCCTCTTCCTTCAAAAGATTACTCATTCTCACCCAGGGAATTCTCACCTAGGTTACTGTAATTTGCAGTAACCCTTCCCACCTCATCCTGCTACCATAGGAGGGGTGTATTTTGTGGAAATAAGAAAAGACCACCCAAATGAAACAAACAGAAGCTATTTATTCAGAATTCGCTATATAGCAAGTGAGCCAGCCACCATCACTTGCACTTACCAGAGATTCAAAGGCAGGCAGACAGAATAGGAAAGTTTATAGTGAAAACTATAGGGAAGACTTCAGGCATGTTCTGATTGGAGGATGTTGGCATGGGCAAGCTGCCGAACCAAGGGCTAATCACTAGGCACACCAAACTTAAATTGCCTCACTTGTTTTTAGTCACTTGCTTTTAGTTGATTTTAAAACCCATATAGCTAAAAGTCACATAGCTAAACTATATATATCTAAATTCCCACACCTTCCTTAGAAATAACATCTCTAATATATAGGTCAGCATTGTAACGTTTGCCTAAGTTATTTTTCAGGAACTTAGAGTCAGAGTCAGCTTTTGTCTAATTCAAGCTGGCCAAGACCACCAACACTTCAACTGGGCCTGCATGAGGGTCCAATGGCTGACCTTTTGATGTCAGAGGGCCAAAAACTCCACCCTCCGATCATGCTGCTGATGCCATTTTGTTACTATGCATCCTATGAAGAACTATGAAGCTTGACTACGCTTGTGAAGATCACTGATTGCCTCACTATTCCTTATCCCCAGTCACCTTTCCCTATGTCTTGAACCACCTTGCCCTTCTATGCCATAAATACCCCTAAAATCCCATCTTTAGTTGGGGAAAGGATGTATTTGAGACAGATTTTCCTATCTTCTTGCTTTGGCTGACTCATGAATAAACCCTTTCTCTGCTGCAAAACTCATCATCTCAGTCATTGGCATACTGCATCACAGGCAAAACAGGCTTGGTGTGGCAACACTGTAGGCTGGCTAACTTGAAGTGCGGCATGTTATGTGATTGGTTAGGAGAGCATGTTTTACTTTCTCTGATTGAGCCTAAGTTGGAAGCAGGGGCAAAAAAGAGGGAACCCAGGAGTCACTGATGAAGTCGTGACCGTTCTGGGCTGATTGCCACAGAGGTTGTGGTTTGGCTTTCTAGGCTGGTTGCTGCAGAGGTTGTGACTCAGAGTTCTATTGCCTAGGTCCAGCCACTATCCATCTGTATAGTCTCTCTCCTTCTTTGTCTCACTGACATTGAGCCTCTTTGGCCAGTAGGGACTTCTTTGGCCAGTAGTGGGTGGACATGATAGGTATCATGTTTGAGCAGAAGGTTGAAAAGCCATTGTGTGCTTGAGTCTGGCTCTCCTTTTCATCTGCTGTGAGAATGGCATGTCCCACATGGAGGCTGCATCTTCAGCCTGTGTTCTAGAATATGAAGACAATATAAAGAAGAGCTACAGCCTACTCACTGCCAAAAACACATGGGCAGCTGACCTAGAGCCTATGTGAAATGTCAATTAAAAAAGAATCCCCTTGTTTAGGAAGCCATTATCATTTGAGGTTCATTGTTTCTACAGTAAAGCTAATTAGTACAGTCATCCTCTGGTTTGGATTAGAGACGCTCTGACAAGTGGATGATTCTGCTTTAAGGAAAATCTAAATAAAGGGTTAATGTTTTTTTGACATACCAAGAAACAATATTCTACAGCAATGAATGATAATAATGTTGATATTAGTAGCTTATAACTAGATGATTTTGAAATATTTATGTACTAATGTAAAGAAAATATTATTCACCAAAATTCCTTAAAAAGAACTGTCTTAGAAAAATACTTTGATAATTGATAAGGTGAGAGAGTGAGAGAATGTAGGTATAGGAAGAACTACACTTAGTAAGTAGTAGGTCATATTTTCTTGTTACATGTTCTTACAGATCTTTGTCCTTCTCCTTAAAAAGTATTTGTCCTAGGTTGTAACTATAAATTTCTGTGATTTTCAGTTTGATGAGAGGCAGTAGAGCTGCAGAGGTTAAGTTAAATGGGAGAGTGATGAAGCCATATTGCCTGGGTTCAAGCCTCGGTTCTGCCATTTACTAGCAAGAGAAGGACACTGTCCCCGTTACTTAGGATCTCTGTGTCTTATTTTCCTCTTCTGTATAATGGGCATGATATAATAGTAACTGCTTCATATGGCTGTTGTGAGAATTAAATGCCTCAGTTCTTATGAAAGGCTTTGAATTTAAGAGAAAAACAGACTTACTCTTAAAATAGTTTATTAGGGAGCTAAAGCAAATAGCAAAATGAGTTGGATATGCACAAGTACATCCATTACCTCTTATTTTTTAGTACTGAAGGAAATTAGTAGACTTATAGAGACAAACGGATTAAACATATCATTTTCTAATACAATTTCTTCTTTAAGGCTGAATAATATGGTCATTAAAACATGAGTTTAAAAAAGAGTTTCCATGATTTGTAGATTAGTGTAATTAACTACTTGTTAAACAGAATGAACAGAAGTTTATTGAAGTTGAAGGTAAAAAACTTGAAGTATTAGATTTAGTCAAGAGAAAACATATTGATACTCTAGAATACAGCATTTTATTTGTTCACTAGTTAAATGGTACCCCCTAATTTGTCTGTATTGGGTAGCCTTATTTCTTCTGGTCTATAACTATAGCCTTTTGCCTGCCTAGAATAGCCAAAACAATTTTTTAACATGATTGTTGTGAAACTTACCCTACCAGATTATCAATATAAAAATTTGGACAGTGTGGTAATGCTGCAAGTATAGACATAAGCAATGGAAGAGACTTGATGACTCAGTAAATGACCATTGGATATATAGAAGCCTGGAATAGGACAGAGGTAGCATTAAATCAGTGGGGTAAAGTAGCCAAGATATGGAAACAACCTAAGTGTCCACTGACCAATGAATGAATAAAGAAATTGTGCACATGGTCTCTCTCTCTCTCTCTGCACACACACACACACACACACACACAATGGAATATGGATGAACCTAGAGAACATTATATTAAGTGAAATAAGCAAGATGCAGAAAGAAATGTACAACATAATCTCATTTATATGTGGAATCTAAAAGAAAAGTCAAATACATAGAGAGTAGAGTTGGTTACCAGGGACAGGGAGGGGGAAGAAATGGGGATATGTAGGTCAGAGGGTACAAACTTGCACTTACGCAGGATGAGTAACTCTGAAGATCTAATGTTCAGTATGAGGACTATAGTTAACAATATTATATTGTATATCTAAAATGTGCTAAGATAATGATTTTAGGTGCTTTTACCACACACACGCAAAGAGGTAACCATGGAAGGTGATGGATATGTTAATTTGCTTACCTCTAGTAATTATTTCACTGTGCCTATTAAAATACCATATTGTGCACCTTAAGTATGTATAATAAAAAATAAATTAATGAATTTTTTAAAATCAGTGGGGTAAAATAAATTACTTAACAAACAGTGCCAAAACAATTAGTTATTCATATGCAAAAAATAAAATTACATTACATATATCTACAAAAATAAATTCTAGATTTATTGCAGAGGTAAAAATAAAAAAAGTTCAAAACTTTTAAAAGATATAGGGGAATATCTCTTATGCCATATAAGAAAGGACAGATTTCTTAGATGAGATACAAAAAGCATGAACAACAAAGGAGATGATTGATAATTACATTGATGTGAAACATTTTTGTATAGTAAAAATTATATTAGTAAAGTGAAAAGGGATACCATTAGCTAGAATAGAAGATATTTACAATTGCAAAGATTTTGTATCCAGAATAAAGAACCCATAAAAATCAATAAAGAGATAAGCAAGTCCACATAAAATGAACAAATTATATGACCAGGCAATTCACTGCAAAAGGAAACTTAATAACTAATCAATGTACAAAAAAATCAGTAATCAGGGAATTGCAAATTAAAATGAGATCTTTTTTCATATCCATCAATTTAGCAAAAATTAAAAATGTCATAATCACAAATTTTGCTGAATTTTCTCCAGTTTTTCAATGTAAATTGGCACAACAGTTTGGAGGACAATTTGGCAATATCCAAGTGAAAAATGTGGCCCAATCTTATGCTCAACAATTTCACTCCTGGGGAAATACCCTGGAGACACTTTCACACATGTGCTCTGTATCATTTGGGGTTCATTTGTGAGGAACAGAATTTATTCTAGCCAGTTAAGTGGGACGGCATTTATTATAAGTTATTCAACGACTTTAGCATTATTGGGAGGGCTGAAAACTGTAGGTTGTGATTTTAGGAATGACTCCAACCACAGAACTGAGCCAATAAAGGAGCTGCTGCCTCCTGTATGAGCAGGAAGCCACTGGCTCCAGAACCACATTGCCATTGCCAAGGGTAGTACATTGTCACACCAGGTCACTGTCATAGTCCAGAAACTGCCAGGATCAGAAAACTGTTGCTACTGCTGCTGGATCCACATCAGTGCCATGCCTGCTATGACCCACACCAACAACACAGACCCCGCCCTGGCTCTCGACACCTACAAAGCTCGTGACTAGAAACTGCGACTCGGCCAGCACTGACTCCATGATCATTCTTGCCAGTAGAGAGCACAGAAGGAACAGAGGTGCAATCTCTGTCTCACTTCTATCTCCCAAATCTTGTTGAATTTATCTGGTTGGCACAGTCTAAATCACTTCCAGAACCTGTCTGTAAAAGAGAAGGGATATTGTTTTAGCTTTCTATCCTCTGCACATGTGAATCTCAGTCAGCCGTGTATACCACACTGCACCTCTATGGTTACTCAGCACACAAACATGCCAATACAACTTAGCAAAATCTTAACACTATTTCGTTGTATAAAGCTTTTTCTCAGCCAGACTATGTACTTACATCTTTGGGGTCTGCTGGGACCTGATTTTATATTTGGAGTGGATGAGAGGTGGTAGGTTGGAGCATAAGGAGAATTGGCATCTTTTTGCAAGGTAATTACTGCAGGTGCAATCACACTGGATCTTTTAATATGACAAATTTATCTGACAGAAGTGGGAGGGGCTACATTTGCTGTTTTCGGTCTCAGTGGCGCTTGGAGGTTCATTTACTCAGAGTCATCTAAATCCGCTCAAGTGTTCCCATTCCAAGTCACAATGTCCCATGCTTTCTCAATTAATGTGCGAACTTTCACATAAGAGACCAAGTGAGGCTGTGAATTTAAGTTGTATTTCAGTCACCTGTTTCATCTGATTATAGTTATATCTGCCTTGAAGGTACAAAAGATAAGACATTCATTGAGGGCAGTAGCTCTCAAAGTGTCCCTGGACCAACAATATTAGCATCACCTTGAAACTAATTGGAAATGTAAATTTCAGGGTTCACCTTAGATCTACTGGATTCTGAAACTCTAGAGGCTGGGGACCCAGCAGTTTGTACATTAACAAACCTTGTTCAGGGGATTCTTACGCATGTTGAAGTTTGAGAGCCATTATTTTAGGAAAATTCTAAAATTCTCTGGTCTCCTGTGGACTGAGCTAACAATTTAAAATGTAGAGCTTCATGTTTTCTTTTAAAAAATTTTCCAATACATTTAGAATTAGCCAACTCTGCCCACAATTCTTTTATTTATCATTTTCACCATAAGGGGTTGTGGATCAGCCAGCTGGTATGCCAAAACCTTCCATTTCATAGGTACTTCATTCCTGCCAGGCAGAGGTTATTATCTGTTGCTAATAAGATTCTCACTATTTTCAAACCCACCTGAAAGAGATAACCAACTCCAGAGGTCAGTTTCCTTGAAACTCTGTTGCATGAAACCACACTTGATACTAATTACATAATTTACTAATTTAGAATTCCATTGGCAGAGGGCAGAATCCACTTTGGCTTAAGAATCTGTTACTGGCAGGGAAGGCCCTAATTGTTTGGGGGCACGAATTTAATACAAAATTTGGGACCTTCTTCAGGAAAAGGAATATTACATTACAAATACAAAATTAGGTATGAATTTAAACTTATTAATAAGAAACTAAATTACAACAAATTACAACTTTTAAAAAGCTTATATTTACCACAAGCATCACAAATCAAGAACAATAATATGTATAATTTTATTAATCAAATGGATAAACCTTTACAGTATTTTTTTATATATATTGCTTCATACATCCTTTGATTGACTTTATTTGATAAATGACTTTGTAGTATTTTTTTGTGGGTGACTGAAATTTGTTATTAACAGTTTATAAAATTTCTTTCATCTTTACAACTCATTATTGACAATGCCATGTACATTTTTAGAATTATTGCCAAAATTGGAAGAGTTATGTCAAATTTCTTTTTTATGTGAAGCATAAGATTTGGATAAGTTTTCCACAGATTAACTTCTGGCTCTGTCAATTTTAAACTTTGTTGCCTCTTCACTACTCACTCTCCTGATGCAATGTGATCTCTCGATTTGTCCCCTCATGTCATGAAGTTGGGTGATTCCACACAGTGAGAACTAGGAGTGATTGCAAACACAAAAAATATGTCTGCTAATCCAATCTAATTATATGCCCAACTCAATTTTTCCTTAACTGCAACTTGAAAATGCCTGAGGCCACTCCATCAACACTGGAAAGTATAATTGAGGGGAAGTGCTAGTGGAAAGAGACAATAGCCTTCATTTATAGCAATAAAAATATCTTTTGCAATTTTTATAAAAATACATAACCAGTCATTGGCCCGTGCAATGAGGGTCTCTGAAATCTTAAGCTTCAATAACGTCATGGTAAATCTCTCTCTAATTATAGGGTATTAAATGAAATCATTAGAGGATGGAAAAATAGACTTTCAGTTGAGCTTTCAGGTATGACTTCTAAAGCTGCACTACAGAATGGACTACTGAAGCCATCTTTTTTTTTTTTTTGAGACGGAGTCTCACTCTGTCACCCAGGCTGCAGTGCAGTGGTGCCATCTCGGCTCACTGCAACCTCTGTCTCCCAGGTTCAAGCGATTCTCCAGCCTCAGCCTCCCAAGTAGCTGGGACTGCTGGTACGCACCACCACACCCAACTAATTTCTGTATTTTTAGTAGAGACAGGATTTCACCATATTGATGAGGCTGGTCTTGAATCTGGCCTCAAAGTGATCCGCCCTCCTCAGCCTTCCAAAGTGCTGGGATTACAGGCATGAGCCACAGTACATGGCCTGAGGCCATCTTTTTTATGATCTGGAAGCTGCCAGCCATAGAACCAAACTACCCACTACCATGAGCAGGAAGCTGCTACAATTAGGAAATCATCACATCATTAGGAAAGTTGTTGCTGCTGCTGCCAGTTCCAGACCCACAGCAGGTCTGCAACAATTCACAGTGACAAAATGGATACACTATGCCTTGCCTCTCAAACCTGTGAGTGAGTGGACATTAGGACTACTGCCATCACTGTCAGTACCTCTGTGTTCGTGCTTATCAACTGCAGCAGAAGAAATGGCCAGAGTGCAGTGTCTATCTTATTTTCAGGCTGAAAAACCTTTCATGATTGTCTTTGGCCAAACCAAAATCATATGTGGATCTCTTACTGTGAGGGAATTTGATAAATACAACTTTTAGCTTTTTAGATACCAATTTACAAAAGTCACATAAGGAGTGAAGAGTAGATACTACTCACCAAGGTACTGAATGCAAAATAAGACATAATATTATGACTAACAGGCTGGGTGCGGTGGCTCACGCCCATAATCCAGCACTTTGGGTTGCTGAGGTGGGTGGATCTCGAGGTTAGGAGTTTGAGACCAGCCTGGTCAACATGGTGAAACCCTGTCTCTACTAAAAATACAAAAATTAGTCAGGTGTGGTGGTGTGTGCCTGTAATTCCAGCTACTTGGGAGACTGAGCCAGGAGAATTGCTTGAAACCAGGAGGCAGAGTTACAATGAGCCGAGATCGCGCCACTGCACTCCAGCCTAGGCGACAGAGCAAGACTCCATCTCAAAACAAAACAAAACAAAATTATTGCTAACATTTATTGAATACTTACAAGGCTCTAATCCAAAAAATGTGGAGAGAAAAACAACTTCCAATTCTTTATCAAAAGGAGAGTGGATAAATAAACCGATTTGTTCATATAATGAAATACTATTCAGCAGTTAAAGTGAATGAACTAAAGTTATAGACATCAAGAGGAATATATTTTAGAAGCATAATATCAAGTTCGTAAAAAGCGAGTTGCAGAGGGATTCATAAAGAATAATACTGTTCATATAAGTTCAAAACAGAAAATCCGTACAAATAGATACATCTGTAATAAAAGTATAGAAATGGGACTAGGAATAATAAACATCAGATTCAGGATTGTGGCTTCTGAATGATATCAGGAAGTTTTTACTGGAGCTCTTTGGTTGTGTCTAGGTTGAAGGCTACATAGCTCCATCCTGGGGTAGCTGGTGGGGTTCCAACTACGTAGAATACAATGTGTTATCCTCCAGGGAGATCATTCACTTTCTACTCAAAGAACAGTGACTTTGTTCAACATGGCAGCCCTGAGTGTCTTCATAATGCTATAATTTTTAAGGCTGGGGATACCAGTGTTTATTATGATATTCTCTACACATTTCTGTACTTGAAAGTTTTTATAATAAAATATTCTGAGTTGACATATGAAATTCTAATTTCTGTCTATGAAATCCTATGAATCGTGATCTTGGAAATATCGTTTCTCAAACCTATGAATTTCACAGTCAAGTTCTACTTTACATCTCTTGTTCTTAGGCTCCCATGCTGGAAGATAGTCACACACTTTTTTTCTTCAGTGATGATCTTCATTTTAGCAGCTTGTTGGCATTGATGGACCAGAAGAATCTAAGAGAGTTATAACCATAAGTGTATGATAATGATCTAGCTTCTAATGGAAAATTTTAAGAACTGACTTATCATACATTTACTAAACAGTTTGAAGTCTTTGATTTCTACTGTCATTACTGCTAAAACTCAGGATCCCGATAGTTGAACAATAATTTTTTTAGTTGATTTTTTTAGCACTTTGGTCTGAAATACAACAATATTTGTTACTAACATTTATTGAGTACTTACTATGTGCTGGGCATTTTTCTAAGTGCCTTATATACATAATTCATTTAAACCTTACAATAATTTTAAACACTAGTTTTAAATCTCTATTTTAGGTACTATTGTCATTGGGGCAAATCCATATACATAGGGGGTCTGCAGCAATCTCAATTCTTGCTTCCTCGGAAGAAAGAATTTGACGGAGGAGGTGTAAGGCAGAAGGAGAAGACTGAGGCAAGTTTTAGCGCAAGAGTGGAAGTTTATTAAAAAGCTTTAGAACAGGAATGAAAGAAAGTAAAGTACACTTGGAAGAGGGCCAAGCGAGTGACTTGAGAGATCAAGTGCATGGTTTGACCTTTTGACTTGGGGTTTTATATGATGGCATGCTTCCAGGGTCTTGCTTTACTTCTTTGATTCTTCCCTCGGGGTGGGCTATGCGCAGTGGCTGGTCAGCGCTTGGGAGGGGCTGCATACGCAGTGTGTTTACTGGAATTGTACGCATGCTCGCTTGAGGCGTTCTTCCCTTACCAGTCTACTAGCATTCCCAGAGGAAGGTAATATATCAGTTGAACCCCACCATTTTGCCTCTTAGTTCACATGCTTGAGCCCACTTGCCCAACTCCTAAGATCTTATGGGGAAGCTGCTGATCACCAGTTTCAGGTGTTTTCTATCTATTAGGAGACGGCCTTCTCTGGTGCCGGCTGTGACCAATTATTATTTTAGAGAGACAGCTAACAACCACCTGACCATCACCTGATGGTAACCTGACACTTCTGGTATGTGTTTGGGGTTGGGGCGTGGGGAGCCCACTCCTGTCCTGCTCATGCCTGACTAGCTACCTACTGCAACAGTATTTTTGTCTCCATTTTACCAATTAGAAAAACGTAGTATAAGGTCAATGGCCAGAAAAGTGATAAGGCTGAATCCTGTTTTAGCTGACTCCAAAGCTTGTGTCAATGTTTCATCTCTAAAACATACTTGCTTCAGTTCTCTGTGATAACTTCTCTCTCAGATGCTGTAGAAGTGTTTTCCCCTTTTTCTCTTTTCCCCTGTCCCTCACCCCAGATTTTTGCACCTTAAGTGTTAAATACTCCAGGAGACATACTTTTGATCAAGGGAGGAAAGTCATTCCAGAATATCAAGTTGAAGGTTAGTCAGTTGTAAACAGAAAATTCTAATGTTACTCTGGAATTCAGTAAAATTTATATACACCCACACATATTTACATTCTCTTTAAAAGGAGGACTTGTAAGTGTTAATTTCACATTATTCACTTAGTCTGCATTTAGTGGTTTGTACAGCTGATTGATCACTTTGGAAATTAGTCCCCAAAGCTGCATTAAGGAGCCCACCTCAAACATTACCATCTAGTGCCATTGTCAGAGACAAAAACTTCTGGCAAGCAGCAAAGTGTATTCATGGAAATATTACGGTTTCAAAAAACAAACAAATACAAGCAGTGAAACCTTGCTTCCTGAGTCAAGGATTTGGGGATTTTTGTGTATTTTTGTGGGTTTGGGTCAAAGGCTGTCTATTTTAATAGTTCATCTTAGAAATATTAAAAATACTTTCTCTGGATGCTGACAGAGAAGGAAAACTCACAGAGGCCCTTTACCCTCAACCTTGGCCCAACAGCAGCAGTGGGGCAGGGTGGGGGGTAAGGGTGGGTTGGTGGGGTGGAGAGGAGGGGGGCACGGTTAGAGCTTGCTGTAGCAATGACTCGATTACGTAATGCCTCCCATCTGTCCACAGATGTGTGAGTTTGCTCAAATGTTTTATTAGAAGTTTATTACATTTTCTTGTAGTCCCAGCCCATCTGCATTTGCCAGCCTATTTGCAACTTCTAAAATACTTAATCCATTTGCTATTCAATAAATGGAGTTACGAATTGAGACATGTTCTGTAAGTCCCTGGTGCCATTTTGGTGATAATAACACATGTTCCATGGATATAATAAATAGGATTGATAAAGTAGGCCTTGCAAGCCTCTTGATGATGATGATGATGTTGATGCTGGTGATATTTCTCTGGATCAGTTCAATGCCAAAGGCTGTAAATGAGAGTCAGTGTTCTGTGTTGGTAACATTAATCCTACTTCAATCCACCCATAATTTGATTTACAAGGAGAGAAGACAGAAGAATAACAACAACAACAAAACAAAACAAAAACAATTCACATAGACTTTATGTAAATTTTTTAACTAATAAAAGTGATTTAAATATCTATATCTAACTATATGTAACCCCATCAATTTTTTGGCCTTGAGAGAATTGGATCTAAGAGTTTTATCATTCTGCCACCAATAACAGCACCTTTTCAATCTGAGTTGTGACTATCACTTGTAGGTTGGCATGCCCAGTAGTAGAAAGTGAGACTCTTTATTTCTATCCATGGGAAAAACACTATGTCTGTCTTGCTGACACCCCAGCTCCCAGCATGGTGCTGAGCATGTGGTAGGTCCTCAATAAATTTGTCCTGAATAGATGACAGAACAGATATAGATTTGTATTGGGTGTGTCTTTTCCAGCTGGTTCATAGTTACTGAATGCTTGCTGACTAAATAGATTGTTAGTTTAATGTCGACTTTATATTTCATGGTAGAATTTTTATTTGTCAGAACCACTATTTGTCATGAGAAATTCAATCTTGGAACTCCTCTGAGATTCTGAGAAAACTTTCTATTGCATATTAGAGATTCCTTGCTGGATAATAGTGGCTTTCATAGGCTGAATTATTCATGTGGTTGTGTACTAAAGCTTGGTAATTTTCATCTTTTGATTTAGGAGTAGGATCTGTAAGAGACTAATTTTATTCCTTAAACTGAGAAAGGTTTGGAGTTTTTAATATCTAATTTTGGCAGCCCTCTGTCAATGAATAGAGTTTCTCTTCTTTCCCAGTCTCATAAGCAACTGTTCTATTCACATGCCATTTGCGCGTATAATACATTTTCAAGTTGTTTGTTCCAGTACAAAATGTGTTTCACATATATTGAAAGGTCAAAAAATAATGTCCTCTCTTTCATATTTTAGCATGTGCAGAATTCATTGTGGTGTTATTATGTGATTTTATTTCATTTTTATTTAAAAGGAAAACAACAACATCGAAGACATCTTGAAATAGCATTCATTTGGCAGGTAGGTCTCTGGCTTTCTGGTTCTGATTCCATGCTTAGCTGTGCCAAATCCAGTCAGAAGAGGAGAAATGGTTTACAGGTGTCATGGAATTCCATGGTTTCACTTGCATTGGGTAACCCTAGGAAGGAGAATTTCCATACATGAAGCCAATGTTGATTTGTCCAAAGAAAGCATCCCCAAGTCTCAGGCTGAAAATAAGGTATTTGGTTGTATGAGAGGATGAGCCCAGCAGTTGGTAACCCAGCAGGCGATTCTTCCCTGAGAAATTGTGATTATTTTCACATGTAAGAAAAGGGACAAATGAATATCATTTTCAAACCTCTATCTGACTAAACATACCAACCAGAAATGCATCTACCTACATCATTTTAAAAGAAATTCAGTGGGGCTTTGACAGCATTGACCTTCTTTCACTGGATGTTTCTCACACTTACTTGCTCTCTGTTTTCATGTTTATAAAATGTGTTCCCAAGCCCTTTAAGATAAAATCAACAATAGAGCCTAGGGCTCCAGAGAAAGATTCCCAGTGGGAGGGTCTGGGCCTTTTGTTCCAGAGGATCTAATAGAGTGCGAAACTGACACAGAAATGGGAAGATCATTCAGCTAAAATTAAAGTCTTTGTTCCTTCGTTAGTTGAACTTGAACTTCACATTTCTGAAGTTCTGCTAGGTTATTTTCTCTAAAGTTCTGATTTAATCAAGGTGAACAGGGAAGCTCATTAAAAGCTATTCTCTCTTTCTCTTTCACTTTTAAAAAGAGATTGCAAAAATCCCATTTTTTTTTTTTTTTTGGTATAGTTAGTGTTCTTGATTCTTTTCTCGATGTAAATTTTGGGAAATTAACCTGAATCTCACATATATATTATTCATAATCATTAAAAAAGGTTTTTTCTTTTTAAAGTCTGATGGAGACTTTATTTTATCAGTTGATTGACTTCCTCAGTCCCATTGGGAAAGGTGAAGGGTCAACAGCCAGGCCTTTAGGTGATTAATGAGCTAATGTGATTACATAAAATGTATTTTTATCACCTTTGGTTTGGGGGAACTATTGAAAATGAGAATAAACCTTAGACTGTAAATCTTTATCATTGATCTAACTTTCATGTCATAGTTGCTGTATCTTTTTTTTAATATGAGCTAATATCTCACTTTCTTTACTTAGCAGGAAAAAGGTGAGACAATTAAAATAGAGCAAAACCCTGGGATTGAGGGTGTCAGATAAGTGGCTCTGATAGTTCTTTGATCTTGATAATACAATTAATTCTTTTATATTCCTAAATTGGCAGTGGGAACTTATTGCCAAAAGCCAGTGAAACTGTCGGATTCTTATACAATTCTAACTAGCACGTTGATTTTTTTTCTTCTTTTTAAGAATGTAAACTTCTCCCCTTTCTCCTTCTCTCAGTGTTCCAGTCATCAAAGTATATGATCTCAAGTCCTTCTCTTTGATCTTTCTAAATGAAGAATGGCATGGAAAATTAAAAAGTAGCCCAATAAACTGAAAAGAATTTTTTTCATATTTCTTGAGGTTTTATTATATTCTTATTATATTCTTTGTATGACACAGAACTAACTATATTACTTAACTCTGGATGTGCAACTCTAGCTACTGACCGCAGAAGGTCATAAAGCTTCAGTAAGACCCTCTGATCTTAAGTGAATTACAAGTATAATAAGTTGTTACTGTTTTATTATTCTGATCAGAGCAGATGTTTAGGGTAATGACAGTGAATAGGGGAAATGAATAATGAACATGCCTTTGGGTAAATTAGCATCAAATTCAGATTTTATAAAGTTTGTATATATAGATGCTGACTTATCCCAAACCAAAAACAAACAAAACAAAACAAAAACTTCCAGAAAATGCTTGGAGGATACCTGGTATGCGCAGAGCCCATGGAAGAGTAATGGAATGAAAAGATGAATGGAGCATCAAGTCTGATCTTAAACAGCTAATTTTTAGTGGGGAAGAGATATTGGCTTATAAATAGCCATAGCTGGATGTACATGATTCAGTTTTCCTTTCTTAGACCTCCTTTCTGATTCTACACAGAGGGTCACAAATTCAGATGCCTACAAGCAGCAGGCAGGTAAATACAATTAGTGAAGACAATGAGAAAGGCGGCTAATTGAAGGACACGTGGTTATTCTAAAGGTAGCTGCTGCTTTTCAGCTCCAATTATTGCTGAGTGGCAACATGAGCCCAGTGTTGCAATTTCTTTTAATTAATTTTCCAAGAGAAGTTGAATTTGATTTTTTGGGGTGAAATCTCCCAATTTTTAAATATTGGCAGATAACATCGTTTTAAAAAACACTGTACAGGCCAAACAAAACTCTGGGAAAAAACAGGCTGCCATTTGTGAATTCTGCATTTCCCCCACCTTCTGGTTGGTTTTGTCCATTCTCGTGGGCTTTATACCTATAACTTGCAAATTACGTATCTCACAGTCACCATGGGTGGTAGCTGATATCTCCTTTAAGATCAGACTTTATGCTCTATTCATCTTTTCATTCTCACAGTACTCTGCCATGGACTCTGTACTAGGTATCCTCTTAAACATTTTCTGGAGGTTTTTATTTTGCTTTGTTTTTGTTTTGGGATAAGTCAGCGTTTTGGGATAAGTCAGTGTTTGTACATAAAAGCTTTATAAAATCTGAATTTGATGCTAATTTATCCAAAGCTTTTGGAAATATCTCTCGCTCTCTGTGCTGTTATAACTTCCTCCTCTTAGGAAGTGTTGGTTCAAGTGACAAATGTGTGGAGCTGATTTGCAAGAAGTGTGTGCAGGATGACAGCATGGACTGGAGGCTTGTGTGCATTTGCAGTTCAGGGTGTAGAGCATTGACCTCAACCCCAGCCTCGGCTCACAGGACTTGGCCTGTGAGGACACACTGCTGCTCCATGTACTGAGGAAAAGTTGGTATTTTCTCTCTCTCTTTTTGTTCTCTGTCTCTTTTTTTCTTTTCAAGAGCCAGTCACAGAAGAGTCATCTTTGCACTGGGCTGGCAATTCTTTAAGTGCCTTTGACCAAGGCGTGTGTATTTTCGTGTTTAGAACATATGTATCACCCTCAATTTTTCCTTCATGCTGCATTTCCCTTGACTCCTCAAATTCCTCAGAATTTATAGTCAGTAACTTCCAAATCTTCGTTCTTTACTATTTGTTTGAGCTCTAGGCCTGCTGCACAATCTATAATTGAACATGTTCAAAATGGGATTTAAAATAATTTCTCTGTCTGTGATGTTCCTTTGGCATTCTCTCCTCAGTGATTTTTATCGCCATCTCCATTCGTGCAATCAGGAAATACTAATCCCAGATTGCTTTCTCATTTTTATACCTAATCAGTCAATAGCTCTTGATGATTCTACTTTCAAACCTCACCTCTGTCCTCTACATCTCTGTGCCACTCCCTGAATTCAGACTTCCATCATTTCCTGCCTGTACTATTGCCAGTTTGCACTAGTCATTTCTCCAAGCAAGCTGTTCTATTCTCTGCCACCAGGACTTGTAAAATGCGATTTTTCACAATGTTTTTTCTCTCTTTTTTTTTTTTTTTTTTGAGACGGAGTCTCACTGTCACCCTGGCTGGAGTGCAGTGGCGCGATCTCGGCTCACTGCAGGCTCCGCCCCCCGGGGTTCACGCCATTCTCCTGCCTCAGCCTCCTGAGTAGCTGGGACTACGGGCCCCGGCCACCTCGCCCGGCTAATTTTTTTTTTGTATTTTTAGTAGAGACAGGGTTTCACCGTGTTAGCCAGGATGGTCTCCATCTCCTGACCTCGTGATCCGCCCGCCTCGGCCTCCCAAAGTGCTGGGATTACAGGCGTGAGCCACCGCGCCCGGCTCACAATGTTTTTTCTTTGCTTAAAAACTTTTAGTGGCAGATCCTTACAGTTTTAAAAAACAAATTCCCTGGCATGGACTACAAGCCCTTCACATCTTGACCTCAGCCTTCTTCAGTTTTATCTTCCATACCTTTACTACGTATCTTGCTACATGTACAATTTCTTTTCCCTAAATAAACCAGGCAGTTTTACTTTTCCATGCCTGGTTTATTTAGGGAAAAGAAATTGTACACGTAAATGGGATAGTTGTACCTGCTATCCCATTGCCTGAAAGGTTCTTTGTGTCTGTGGAGACACTTGGGAAGAATAATTTCTTTGAGAAAGCCTTAGAATTCCTCAGGAGATTTTAAACGTTTTCTTCTCTGTATTGCCATACTACCTGGCACATACCTCTATTATTGGATTTGATGTATGATATTATACTTTTTATAACTGCATCAATATCTTCACGACTGTGCTGTATTAACCTTTTGGTGAGAGACCACCTTATTTGAGAATCTGATAAAAACTATAAACTCCACTTCCCCAGAGGAAAAACACTTGAGAAGACTTGTTAAATCTCACATATAATTTAAGAGAATTTAAAATCTCTTTAAAGTCCATCTGTGGGCCCCAGATTAAAAGACCTTATACAGAAGATGAGTCCTTCAAGGGCAGAAAGGACCACATTGTTTCCATCTTTTTAGTATGCCTAGTAAGGAGTGTTAACGATTATCACAATAATACTGCTTAACAAACCAGCCCAAAACTTAGCTGCTTAAAATAGTAACCATTCATTTAGCTCAAAATTCTATGAGCTGGTAATCTGGCCTGGGCTCAGTTGGGTGGCTCTTCTACCCTTGGCTGGACTGCCACGTGCATCTGCTGTTAGCCACATGCAGATTAGGCAACTCTGTTAAGGATTTTTTTTGGGGGGTGGTAGGGGTGGGACTGGGTTTCACTCTTGTTGCCCAGGCTGGAGTGCAATGGTGCGATCTCAGCTCACTGCAACCTCCGCCTCCTGGGTTCAAGCGATTCTCCTGCCTCAGCCTCCCAAGTAGCTGGGATTACAGGCATGTACCACCATGCCTGGCTAATTTTTGTATTTTTAGTAGAGACGGGGTTTCTCCATGTTGGTCAGGCTGGTCTTGAACTCCTGACCTCAAGTGATCCACCTGCCTCGGCCTCCCAAAGTGCTGGGATTACAGGTGTGAGCCACCATGCCAGGCCTGGGACATTCATTAGTGATCATCTAGAACACCTCTGCTCTCTAGCATGTGGTCTCTTACCCATCCTGGTCTTAGTCTGTGGGTTAGTGAGTTTTCCAAGGCATATGGTGGAAGTAGGCCTAGAGTGGAACTGACACACTATCACCTCTGCCATGTTTTATTGGCCAAAAATAAAAGTGCCAAAGTTAGTCTATATTCAAGAGATGGGAATATATACTTCACTTTCTAATAAGAGGAACTGCAAAGCCACATTGCAAAGAGCATGTAGATACAGAAAACAGGGACATTTTTGCAATCGATCTACCATAGAAGCAGGTAGTATACTAGTTGTTGAATACAATTTTTTGGAAGTGAACCCCAAATTACAGAGAAAACTCAGATAAAATGAAAGAAGAAAGGAAAGGCATTCTAAATAATGGGAATGACATAGCTATTTTGTGATAAAAGTTTTTTTCCTTCTGCAGTGGTTTTACGTGAAAGGAGGGATCAGAAGATAAAAAGCTTAATACAGTGTTTATGTATGTGATTGTTTGTTTACTTAAATATGTCCCATCACATTCCAAAACAGATTCAAGAAAACTTATTGATGAAAGCATAAGTACTTTAAATATTCTAAGGGAAAATCTATGTGTACAGTGTTATTTTACTATCAAAATATTATTCTTGACTATAGGTATATACTTAGAATTATCTCCTGGCTGGCATTAAGGACAATAGAGCTACATAATATTCCTATGAATAAAATGAATTGATCTCGTTACTCTAAGGAAGAACTATACCTACATAATTTCAATGGATGAGAATTAGTCTTGTGGCTTCTTGCCACCATAAAGAAAAGCCTTTCTCATATATAACCTTGGTCTTCCATATTGCAGTTTTAGACCATTTGCTTTTTAAACCAAAGTTTGTAGATTCCTCCCTAACTGGTTTCCGAGACATTTTAGACCAATAGTCTCTATATTTTATATCCATATTAATAAACATTTTTATGTGTGAACAAAATTAATTTATTTGTGAGTTATATGCATATGCTATGTACCAATATATTATGCACTTTATAAGACATATGTAAGATAGAAAATAACATAGGCTTAAAATAGATGAAAGAAAGAATACTTTAAAAATTATTTTACTTATTTTTGCTTTCGATACCTAGCTCTTTTTGCTCTTATTAGTGAGAGTTGTATGATTTAATATGGTTTAATATGTTTTTAAAATCCTAGCATAAAACTCGAATTTAATGAATCCACAATCAGAGAATTTTTGAATTTTGACTGCCTTATCTTAAAAAGATCACTTATGACTATTTGTAGATCTGAATGGAATCTACAAATGGAAGGAAAGAAGGAATGGAAGGAACCCATCATTGACAAGGCTTACTAAATCATGATGATCATTTTTCTAGTCTATACTTCAATTATGCAGAAACTTCTGTTGAAATTTGGATAAAATTTTTTATCTTCCCTGATATTAACCACTTGCTCTTACAAACTAATTGGGGGTTGCTTGTTACTGTTTCACCAATTGAATTCTAAGCCATTAAAACTCTTTGATAAATTATTAAATAGCTTAAATGTTCCATTTCTAAGTGTAAGTGTTCAGTTATGAAAATATTTATAGGGCTGCATTTGTATAATTATCGACAACAACACACACAGTGATGGAAATGCTTTAAATATGTTTTCAAAATGTTATCAGCATAGCTTGAATTTCTTTCAAAGAACAGTTATTTTAAATTCGTTGTGAAAATATCATCTTTACCTTGAAAGTAGATAGTGTGTGTGTCCCTTGTTTTTTAAATATCAGCAAACTCTGCGTGATAGAAAATATTTTCAACATTGCTCCATATCTCAATATCAAACTGTAGAGTCCTCTACGTTAAAACAATTAATTATAGTAAAATACTCATAATACACATTTACCATTTTAGCAATTTTTAAATGTATAGTTCATTAATGTTAAGTACATTCACATTGTTGGATAACCAATCTCCAGAATTATATGGATCTTGCAAAACTGATACTCTATACCTATTAAACAACTCCTCCATCCCTCCTTCTCCCTAGTCTCTGATAACTACCCTTTCATTTTCTGTCTCTATGCATTTCACTATTATAGGTACTCATATAAGTGGTATTATACAGTACTTATCTTTTTGTTATTGGCTTATTTCATTTAGCATAATGTCCTTAAGGCTCATCCATATTATGGCATGTGTCAAAATTTCCTTCTTTTTAAAGGCTGAACTCTATTTCATTGTATGTATATCTGTATCACATTTTGCTTATCTGTTCATCTGTTGATGGACACTGGGTTGCTTCCACCTTTTGGCTTTTGTGACTGATGGTGCTATGAACATGGGTGTACAAATATCTCTTCAGGACACAGCTTTCAATTCTTTTGGGTATATACCCAGAAGTAGAATTTATGCATCATATAGTAATTCAATTTTTAATTTTTTGAGGAATTACCATATTGTTTCCCATAACAACTATACCATTTTATATTCCCACCAATAGTGCACAAGAACATACTATCTCCAGATCCTTGCCAATACTTGCTATTTTCTGTTTTGTTTTTTGATAATAGTCATCCTAATGGGTATAAGGTATTTGACTTCCCTTTATTTGAAGGTTCTAGTTTTTCTAAAATTGAACTTATGAGTGACATTTTGTAGCATTTTGTTACAATAGCTTGCCTATGAATGGTGAAGCAAAAAGATTTCATTTATGCTGCCTCAGTAAACTTATTCCAAAAACCTTTTAAAACATTTCATCGAAGTAGTTGCTCCATCATTGATACACTTACACAATTTTCTCTTAAAATATTGTTTTTGCAAGATTGAGTATTGCTACTGTAATTAAAACTGCATCAGGATAAGGAGCAGGTGCTCTATAAATATTAGTTGAGTTATTTTTGAGAAGATACATTCCTTAGTACATATCTTTTTGTGGTATATGCACAGGTATATGCGTGCACACACACATGCACACAAATAGTTATATATTTAACTATTGAAACAGGATCTAGAAAATACCATAAGCTGAGATACATTAGAAACCTGTACTTTCATTCTTCTGTAAATCAACCTCCCAACACTTCAAAACATATTTTAATTATTTCTTAAAACTTCAGCTATTTTTTTTTTTTTTTTTGAGACGGAGTCTCACTCTGTTACCCAGGCTGGAGTACAGTGGCGCCATCTTGGCTCACTGCAAGTTCTGCCTCCCAGGTTCACGCCATTCTCCTGCCTCAGCCTCCTGAGTAGCTGTGATTACAGGCGCCTGCCACCACGCCTGGCTAATTTTTTGTATTTTTAGTAGAGACGGAGTTTCACTGTGTTAGCCAGGATGGTCTCAATCTCCTGACCTCGTGATCCACCCGCCTCGGCCTCCCAAAGTGCTGGGATTACAGGCGTGAGCCACCGCACCCGGCCAGCTTTTTTTTTTATATTAACAAAGGAATACAATTTTGTTGCCAGATTTTTTTTTTTTTTCTGTGACAGAGTCTCGCTCCATTGCCCAGGCTGGAGTGCAGTGGTGCAATCTCAGCTCACTGCAACCTCTGCCTCCCAGGTTCAAGTGATTCTTGTGCCTCAGCCACCTGAGTAGCTGGGATTATAGGTGTGTGCCACCATGTCCAGCTAATTTTTAGTAGAGGCGGGGTTTGCTACGTTTCACAGGCTGGTCTCAAACTCCTGGCATCAAGTGATCTGCTCGCCTTGGCCTCCCAAAGTGCTGGGATTACAGGCGTGAGCCACCGTGCCCAGCCTATTGCCAGATTGTTTTACATATGTTATTTTGCCATTTTAAATTATGGAGTGAAGAAAAAATGAGTACCCAATGGTATGTGGCTTTTTGTACTTTATTATTTAATGAGAAATCTCAAAGGAGACCTCTAAACATCTCTCATCAAGTTTAGTAAAATTTTTCAGAATAGATTAAGTATAACACGACTTTAAACTGCACATAAAATTACAGAAGCTTTTCTCCATGTTTATTTTATGGCTACTTAAATTTTTTGCTAATTTTGGTATGTTCACATTCTTATTAGCCATGTTTCAGGTATATAAGGTTCATTATTATAAAAGTGGATATAAATCTGTATTTCAAATAAACTTAAAATTTTTAAAAATATTTGGTTTGACTTCTTTCCAGAAGTAATTTAATAGTCTTTTTTTAAAAAAAACCTCACATTATTGTTGACAAAGAGTTTAAAATATGAGGCTTTAGCTCTGCTCTTTTCTTGTGGTTGGCTTGTGTTCCTATTATTAATATTATCTTCAATTTTTAACTTTGTAGTAGGAATATTTTTCAGCTACCTGTTCATTTTATGAGGTTAAATTTTATTAAAATGGTTAAATCCGTGTAAGGGGAACATGTCGATTGCAATACATTGCAATCCACTGAATGGATGAGCACACCTATGGTAGAAACTGCTGACTGTTTGCCATAATTTGTTTCTTCTTCTTGAGCACATAATCAGGCTACATTTCCTGGCTTCCCTTGTGGTTAGTTGTGGCTCTGAGACTAAGTCATGGCCAATGGAGGATGAGCTTCGATAATATGTACCACTTTCAGTCTGGTCCCATAAAAAGCCTCCTAGAAGTGATTCTCCAAGGTTCTTCCTTCTTCCTGCAGGAAGCGATGCAGATGGCTATGCTAACCATAAGCCGAAGTTGGCAGAGCCTCATCTAAGTGATGGCATGGCTTGAGCTGTCCTGCTGATCTCATCACCAGAATGGCACCCTAAGCAAGAACTAACTTCCTATTGTGTTGAGCCATTACCTGCTTGGTCTATGTGTTACTGCAGCCCAGCCTACCTGAACTGATGCTACCCCTATCATACCCTCAGCACTGTTGAGCCCTCAACCTTCTTTCAGGAAGACTCACAGTCCACAGGTGGTGGGTGAGAGGTGACTGTCTGTATCTGCACCAAATGAGGACAACTGGTGTCATCCAGATTTTAACTCTTAGTGAGGCTTTCTTTCCTTCTTAGTGTTTAGCTTAAAAGTCAATAGAAATAGAAGTTCTAGTAATTTTTTCCTAGACCCTGTATTTATTACACTTCCCTTAGCAAACTATTGCTTTAAGAAACTTGATTCTATGCGTTTTACATTTCTTCACTGGGCCAACTTTGTAACTGCTATAAAATGACAGTGTAAGTAGGAGTTTGGCATTGGTAAGGTTGCATTTTTCTGTAAGAAGGAAAAAAAGAGATCTGATTCTTGTTCCATTGTCCTGGCAACAGAAATAAAAACTGCATGAAATATGTAACTTTAATGTATTTTTCATTGCTCATGTGCCCTTCTATGGGATTTCCTGACTGGCTTTCTTTATTCCATAGGGTCCTCCGCTGTTAATTTGACATATGCAAAGTGTTTCTCTGTTGCTACCATTTTATTTCTTTTCTAAAGAATGAGTGATGGGAAATAGAGCTCCACCTGAGCTCCAGTTCCATTTGGTGTGAGACTGGACAACGTGATTCAGCCCAGATCTGACTCTTTCTCATTGGGGTTAGTTTTTGCTTGTGAAAGAATGTTGCTTAAGTTAGCCCTATTCCTGCCTTCCCACCCATGGAATAAATCACCAGTGCAGAAGAGAGTGGCAGTCCAGTTGGTACACTGCCACTAAATAGCTTCATCCTATTTTCCTGGCCCCTTCCCCACCTGCCCATCTTCATCTTATACAAATGGATATTAAGCAAATCTATGAGCATCCAAAGCAGATGGCACTTTTAAAATGAGCAGGCCCGGCTGAATCTCTACCCTCTCGCTGACAGAATTCAAACTGATAAGAAAGTGAAACATTACTTCAAATGTTTGCTTAAGGATGGGGAAGTTGGGCCCAACCCCTCCGTATTGGCAAATGTTACATGGAACATCGTAAAATCAAATTCTCACATCTTGTTGTCCTCGCATTAGATCACATTAAATTCTGGCAATGAGGCCAGCCCGCCTTGGTGGTTTTCTGATTTGTGGTTTGCTCTTGGCTTTCCTTGTAGGCTTTAAAAATGATTTTATTTTGCGAACAAGTCACTGATAGTCAGACTCTAGAGTAAACGTGCTTGAGCCAACATTTGCAGTAATAACATTTCACATTATCAAGAGTTTCCTGAAGGACTGCGAAGAATGAAAACAAAGAAGAGCTTTTCTGGTAGTGGTTGTTTTTCTTCAGATGCTGGTAACCTCCCGCGTAGAGAGGCTATGAATTTAGGCTTTGAAGAGCTCCTCACAAGCATCTACAGTTCTTTGCCTTTAAGGTGAAACTAGAGAACTGGAACAGATTTGGGTTTTCTTGTTTTCTGGCTTGCTGGATATGTAACTGATTCTCCCTTTTCCTTTTCTTGGGTGGTTTTTCTGATTATCTTCTTCGATCTTTCATGGCGTAGGAGCTGGAGGGTGGTGGGCTTGGCAGAGGTTGCCCTGGGTCAAGGAAGGGAAAGTTCAGTTTAGGTAAGTCCAGCTAAGTATTCCAAATGAGGACTTTCTCAATGCTCCTCATAGTGTTTTTCTCCAAAAAGTATTTATGCTGCCTGTATAAAGAAAATGAAAAGTGATCTTTAGAATAAAGCATACAACTGTTTTTGCAGTACTTTGATGCTGATGGGGATGATGAAAATGGTGATTATGTTATAATGATTCATTAATGAAAAATAATAAGTAAATGAGCTTATGATATTAAAAATGAACGTCAGATAGGTACACATTACCTTGAAGTGTTTTAAGATCAAAGTCTCTTTTTTATTTTTATTTTTTTAATTGTGGTAAACTATGCACAAAAGTCATCATTTTAACTTTTTTTTTGAGATGGAGTTTCGCTCTTGTCACGCAGGCTGGAGTGCAATGGCATGGTCTCTGCTCACTGCAACCTCGGCTCACTGCAACCTCTGCCTCCTGGGTTGCAGTGATTCTCCCGCCTCAGCCTCCCAAGTAGCTGGGATTACAAGTGTGCACCACCAAGTTCAGTTAAGTTTTTTGTTATTATTAGTAGAGACGGGGTTTCACCATGTTGGCCAGGCTGGTCTCGAACTCCAGACCTCAGGTGATCCACTCACCTCAGCCTCCAGGCGTGAGCCACCTCAGCCAGCCCATTTTAACCATTTTTAAGTGTACAGTTCAATGGTATTCAGCACACTCACATTGTTGTGCAACCATCACCACCACCCATCTCCAGAACTTTTTTTTTTCTCGCAAAACTGAAACTCCATACTCATTCAATAAGTCCTCATTTCCACCTGCCGCCAGTCCCTAGTAACTACCATTTTACTTTTGGTGTCTATGAATTTGAGCACTCTAAATACCTCATGTAAGTGGAATCGTATGGCATTTGTCCTTTTGTGACTGGCTTATTTCACTTAACATAATGTCTTCAAGGTTCACCCATGTTGTACTATGTGTCAGAATTTTTTTAAAGGCTGAATAATATTGCATTGTGTGTTTGTACTACATTTTATTTGTTCACCCGTGAATAGACTTGGGTTTGCAGACTCACTTTTATCAGAGAGCATCAGTAGGATTTGAATGGCAAAGACTGATGTTCTGAAGAGTAGAACTTGAATAATTATGCAAATTCCCTCAGTTTGAAATTCTTATAAGCCAAGCCAGACTAATAAAATTATATTGATCAATTTGCCAACATGTATTTACTGAATATCATGTCCTTTTCTATTTTTATTTTTAGTTTTGTAGAGATGGGGTTTTGCCATGTTGCCTGGGCTGATTGTGAACTTCTAGGCTCAAGCCATCTGCCTGCCTTGGCCTCCTAGGATTACAGGTACGAGCCATTGCACCTGGCCACCTTTTTATCTCTTTAATAATATAGTCTTTTTTAATTACAAGATATATCATTGCAAAAAACTAGACAATATAGAAAAGCATGAAGATGAATATAAAGGGAACTTGAAAAATTGTAGCTGTGTTAATACTGTGAATATTTTGGGGATATGTTGTACCAAAAATGGTGTTGATCTAAATATAAGCACTGTAGATATAGATGGTGACTTTTTAAAACTTATATAGAACTGGGAACATATTCACATGCTTGCAAACTGCTTTTGTTAATTAGCAATATATTTGGCACATATATAAATATAGTTTTATATTGGTTGCTTTTAAACATTTTAAATTGTGGAAGCTTTTCTTCAGATGAACTTTCAGAATGTTAATTTATAAAAATTGGAACTTTTCTAGTTAAAGTGGACAAGGGAAATCTAGAGCTCACCAGCTCAGGACCAACAGTTAATTGCAATAGTTTTTGAGGCACCCCTCAGAGACCCCACAATTCTGTTATGGGTTCTGTAAAAAGATTTTGAAGTCCTACTGCCCCAGTTCCTTTGAAAGTGACCAAATGCTTATGGGGTATTTATAAAGTTAAGATGAGGTTACCAGGGTGGACCCTAATCCAACATGATTGGTGTCCCTACAAAAAAGAGAAATCTGGACACAGACACAGGTACATGCATAGGAAGTCTGCCATGTGAAGATAAAGGCAGATATCAGAGTGGTGCATCCACAAGCCAAGGAACCCCAGAGATTGCCAGCAAACACAAGAAGGAGGAGAGAAGCATGAAAGAAATTCTCCCCCACAGCCCTCAGATGGAACCAACCCTGCTGACACCTTGATCTAAGAGTTCTAGCCAACAACTGTAAGACAATAGATTTCTGTTTTTCTAAGCCACCTAGATTTTGGTACTTTGTTATGGCAGCCCTAGAGAAATGAATATAGACTTCCAAAAACATGATTTGAAACCACTACTTTATGTCAATATTGTAAAAGTCTGCAGGTATTCCCCTGTATGGAAGTATATAATGTACTTAATCAGTCCTTATTAATGTACATGAATAGTCAGAATGTTCCAGTATTTTAAAGTATGATGCTGTGAACACCCTTTTAGGTAAATTTTTACATCTGTCCTGTTGTTTTCTTAAAATAACTTGCCAGAGGAGGAATCATTGGATTAGATAATAAGGATATTTGAAATTTTGATATTACTGCCAACATGCTCTCCAAAAAGCCTGTACTAAGTTATTCTCTTAGCTATCAGGTCTAAGACTACACATGTTTCTCTGCATCCTTACTGGATACTGTCAGTGTTTTTTAAAATCTGAATTTAGTTTTAATTTTTACTAAAGGAATATATGAAGGTATTTTAAGTTAGTAAATTAGTTTTACATGACATAGAAACTGGCAGTCCTCGCTGCATCCTTCTCCACCTCTGTCATTCCTCAGTGGCAACCACTTTCAATTCTCATAGCTATTTCTTCTGTTTTTTATACTTATATTTCTAAATATCATGCTTATACTACTACTTTTAAATTTTTTCAATTTTAAGCATTATTCATTGACTTACTATTATGGAAGATTAGAAAGTAGCTCTCTAATATATGCCCTCCCCCATATTCCCAAATGATTTTTATCACAATTTTGGTTAAATCAGTATTCAGTTTACACATTATATGTTATTATGGCTATATTTTTTATTTTATTTTTTATTTTAGATGGAGTCTCACTCTTGTCACCCATACTGGAGTGCAGTGGCGTGATCTCAGCTAGCTGTAACCTCTGCCTTCCGGGTTCAAGTGATTCTCCTGCCCCAGCCTCCTGAGTAGCTGGGATTACAGGCACCCACCACCATGTGGGGGTAATTTTTATATTTTTAGTAGAGATGGGGTTTCACCATGCTGGCCAGTCTGGTCTCGAACTCCTGACTTTAAGTGATCCACCTGCCTCGGCCTCCCAAAGTGCTGGGATTACAGTCATGAGCCATTGTGCCCAGCCCAATGATTATAAATAGTATTTTCAACTGAGTCATATCGAATACTGTATTTATTTTTCTTAAGTCTCCCTGTGAAGGGTTAATCATTAATTCATTTTTTCTTTGCTTAGTTTTTGTCAATGTATTACTAATTTGTATGCAAACTCTCTGCCTGAAGTCTACGTATTGTCGCAATGAATTTTAACACTGTCCTATCAGTTTAGTTTTTTTTGAATTATCCTTCCAGTAATCATTCAACCTCCTGTACCTTACTTTGTAGATCTGCTGCACATTTATCACTCTGGATTTTCCTTCACAGTAATCCTGGGGATTTCCTTTGCCTCTCTTCTGTGTAGTATCTCCTGCTTCCTGGATCCCATATCTTTCTGTTTCTTGATTTACTACCTTGCTTTGTTGGAGTTTGTTCCCACTGAGGGAGTAACAGAACCTTCCTCTTGTTTTAAACTTCAATGGGAGTAGTCTTTGTGATTCATCAGAAGTATCATATAGGTTTCTGGTGGTAGCTTCTGTCAGTTTGCTGAATAAAAGCTTTTCTTATCAAGAGTGATCATTAAGTTTTAGCAAGTACTTTTTCATGTGTATTTAGATAATAATGTCATTTTTCTTTTTTAAGCTCTTGGTGTAGTGAATTACACTAAACGACAGACTAATGTTAACCTGTCCTAGCATTTCTGTGAAAAAGACTGCCAGTTCATGCTATAATTCTCTTAATGCACTACTGAATTAAAATGTCCAATATTTGGCTCTCTGTTTGTCTGTTATTGGTGTATTGGAATGCTTGTGAGTTTTGTACAT
This sequence comes from Homo sapiens, assembly GCF_000001405.40. Lineage (NCBI taxonomy): Eukaryota > Metazoa > Chordata > Mammalia > Primates > Hominidae > Homo > Homo sapiens. Next base: position 144,868,063 of record NC_000004.12, on the reverse strand, counting down.
TGATTTTGTATCCTGAGACTTTGCTGAAGTTGCTTTTCAGCTTAAGGAGGTTTTGGGCTGAGATGATGGGATTTTCTAAATATACAATCATGTCATCTGCAAACAGAGACAATTTGACTTCCTCTCTTCGTATTTGAATACGCTTTATTTCTTTCGCTTGCCTGATTGCCCTGGCCAGAATGTCCAATACTATGTTGAATAGGAGTGGTGAGAGAGGGCATCCTTGTCTTGTGCCGATTTTCAAAGGAAATGCTTCCAGTTTTTGCCCATTCAGTATGATATTGGCTATGGGTTTGTCATAAATAGCTCTTATTATTTTGAGATACGTTCCATCAATACCAAGTTTATTGAGAGTTTTTAGCATGAAGGGGTGTTGAATTTTATTGAAGGCCTTTTCTGCATCTGTTGAGATAATCATGTGGTTTTTGTCATTGGTTCTGTTTATGTGATAGTTTATGTTCTAGAAAGAGAATAAAATACCTAGGGATACAACTGACAAGGGATGTGTAGGACCTCTTCAAGGAGAGCTACAAACCACTTCTCAAGGAAATAAGAGAGGACACAAACAAATGGAAAAACATTTCATGCTCATGGATAGGAAGAATCAATATCATGAAAATGGCTATACTGCCAAAAGTAATTTATATATTCAATGCCATCCCCATCAAGCTACCATTGACTTTCTTCTCTACTGGGGGAAATTCACCCCCAATATTTCATGTAAGTTCTTTTCAATTTTCCCTAAGTGTCGACCAGTCTGAGAAATAAAGGGACAGAGTACAAAAGAGAGAAATTTTAAAGCTGGGTGTCCGGGGGAGATATCACATGTCGGCAGGTTCCGTGATGTCCCCTGAGCTGTAAAACCAGCAAGTTTTTATTAGTGATTTTCAAAAGGAGAGGGAGTGTACGAATAGGGTGTGGGTCACAGAGATCACATGCTTCACAAGGTAATAAAATATCACAAGGCAAATGGAGGCAGGGTGATATCACAGGACCGGGGCAAAATTAAAATTGCTAATGAAGTTTCGGGCATGCATTGTCATTGATGACATCTTATCAGGAGACAGGGTTTGAGAGCAGATAACCGGTCTGACCAAAATTTATTAGGCAGGAATTTCCTCGTCCTAGTAAGCCTGGGAGTGCTACGGGAGACCGGGGCTTATTTCATCCCTTATCTATGACCGTAAAAGATGGCCGTCCCCAAAGCAGCCATTTCAGAGGCCTCCCCTTAGGGACGCATTCTCTTTCTCAGGGATGTTCCTTGCTGAGAAAAAGAATTCAGCGATATTTCTCCTATTTGCTTTTGAAAGAAGAGAAATATGGCTCTGTTCTGCCCAGCTTACAGACAGCCAGAGTTTAAGGTTATCTCCCTTGTTCCCTGAACATTGCTGTTATCCTGTTCTTTTTTCAAGGTTCCCAGATTTCATATTGTTCAAACAATTTGTGCAGTTAACGTAATTATCACAGGGTCCTGAGGTGACATTCATCCTCAGCTTACGAAGATGGCAGGATTAAGAGATTAAAGTAAAGACAGGCATAGGAAATCACAAGGGTATTGATTGGGGAAGTGATAAGTGTCCATGAAATCTTCACAATTTATGTTCAGAGACTGCAGTAAAGACAGGTGTAAGAAATTATAAAACTATTAATTTGGGGAACTAATAAATGTCCATGAAATCTTCACAATTTATGTTCTTCTGCCATGGCTTCAGCTGGTCCCTCCGTTTGGGGTACCTGACTTCCCGCAACACTTTTCAGAATTAGAAAAAGCTACTTTAAATTTCATATGGAACCAAAAAAGAGCCCGTATGGTCAAGACAATCCTAAGCAAAAAGAACAGAGCTGGAGGCATCATGCTACCTGACTTCCAACTATACTACAAGGCTACAGTAACAAAAACAGCTTGGTACTGGTACCAAATCAGATACATAGACCAATGGAACAGAACGGAGGCCTCAGAAATAATGCCACACATCTACAACCATCTGATCTTTGACAAACCTGACACAAACAAGCAATGGGGAAAGGATTCCCTATTTAATAAATGGTGTTGGGAAAACTGACTAGCCATATGCAGAAAACTGAAACTGGACCCCTTCAATATGTAAACATTATACAAAAATTAACTCAAGATGGATTAAAGATTTAAACATAAGACCTAAAACCATAAAAACCCCAAAACCATAAAAACCCTAGAAGAAAACCTAGGCAATACCCTTCAGGACATAGGCATGGGCAAAAACTTCTTGACTGAAACACCAAAAGCAATGGCAATAAAAGCCAAAATTGACAAATGGGATCTAATTAAACTGAAGAGCTTCTGCACAGCAAAAGAAACTGTCTCAGATTGAACAGGTACCCTACAGAATGGGAGAAAATTTTTGCAATCTGTCCATCTGACAAAGGTCTAATATCCAGAATCTACAAGGAACTTAAACAAATTTACAAGAAAAGAAAAACAGCACCATCAAAAAGTGGGCAAAGGATATGAACAGACACTTCTCAAAAGAAGACATTTATGCAGCCAACAAATATATGAAAAAAAGCTCATCATCACTGGTCATTAGAGAAATGCAAATCGAAACCACAATGAGATATCATCTCATGCTAATTAGAATGGTGTTCATTAAAAAGTCAGGAAACAACAGATGCTGGAGAGGATGTGGAGAAACAGGAATGCTTTTACACTATTGGTGGAAATGTAAATTAGTTCAACCCATTGTGGAAGACAGTGTGGCGATTCCTCAAGGATCTAGAATCAGAAATATCATTTGACCCAGCAATCCCATTACTGGGTATATACCCAAAGGATTATAAATCATTCTACTATAAAGACACATGCACATGTATGTTTATTGCAGCATTATTCACAATAGCAAAAACTTGGAACCAACCTAAATGCCCATCATGTTAGACTGGATAAAGAAAATGTGGCACATATACACCATGGAATACTATGCAGCCATAAAAAAGGTTGAGTTAATGTCTTTTGCAGGAACATGCATGGAGCTGGAAATCATCATTCTCAGCAAACTAACACAGGAACAGAAAACCAAACACCACATGTTTTCACTCATAAGTGGGAGTTGAACAATGAGAATATATGGAGACAGGGAGGGGAATATCACACACCAGTGCCTGTTGGGGGTTGGGAGGCTAGGGGAGGGATAGCATTAGGAGAAATACCTAACATAGATGATGGGTTGATGGGTGCAGCAAACCACCATGGCACGTGTATACCTAGTAACAAATCTGCACCTTCTGCACATGTATCCCAAAACTTAAAGTATAATATAAAAAATTCCAATATTTTTGGGGAGATTTTTGCCTCCATTTGTCTTTGGATTTTTTGATTTTTTTTGTGGGTTTCTTTCTTTCTATTTTTATCTGGTTATGGTTCAGTGTGATGTTAAATTTGTAGAATGAGCTGAAAACATTCCATTTTTTTCTATGTTCTGTAACAGTGTAAATAATACAGGAATTATCTGTTCTTTGTAGGTTTAATACAATGTGCCCATAAGATTGTCTGGGCATTGTGCCCTTTCTAGAGTTTTGATTTCTTCTAAATTTCTTTTCTAGTTATTGGGTTTTTCAGAGTGTCAGGTCCTTTTTGAGTCAAGTTTGCTTACTCAGTTTTTTCTACTACATTATCTATTTCAACTAATTTTCAGATTTGTTTGGTGTAAACTTGTATTTGAGTTCTTATGATTAAACATTTTTCCCACATCACTTTTCCATTTTATTTATTTATGTATTTATTTATTTATTTTTATCTTTTATTTTAGGTTCAGGGGTATATGTGCAGGTTTGTTATGTTGGTAAATTGGGTGTCATAGGGGTTTGGCATACGGATTATTTTGTCACCTAGGTAAAAAGCATAGTACCAATAGGTAGTTTTTGGATCCTCACCTTCCTCCCTCCCTCCACCCTAAAGAAGGCCCCAGTGTCTGTTATTCCCTTCTTTGTGTCCATGTGTACTCAATGTTTAGCTCCCACTTATAAATGAGAACATGTGGTATTTGCTTTTCTGTTCATACATTAGTTTGCTTAGGATAATACCCTCCAGTTTCATCCATGTTGCTGCATACGAGATGATTTCATTCTTTTTTACGGCTGCATATATTCCACGGTGTGTATGTGCTACATTTTCTTTATCCGATTTATCGCTGATGGGCATTTAGGTTGATCCAATGTCTTTGTTATTGTGAATAATGCTATGATGAACATACATGTGCATGTATCTTTAAGGTAGAATAATTTATATTTCATTTGGTATATACAAAATAATGGGATTGCTTGGCAGAATGGTAACTCTGTTTTAAGTTCTTTGAGAAATTGCCAAACTGCTTTCCACAGTGGCTGAACTAATTCACATTCCCATCAGCAGTGTTTAAGGGTTCCATTTTCTCCATAACCTTACCAACATCTGTTGTTTTTGACTTTTCAGTGATAGCCATTCTGACTGGTGGGAGATGGTATCTCATCGTGGTTTTGATTTGCATTTCTGTAATAATTAGCAATGTTGAGCATTTTTTCACATGCTTGTTGGCTCCATGTGTGTCTTCTTTTGAAAAGCATCTGTTTATGTCCTTTGCTCAATTTTTAATGGTGGTGTTTTTTTGCTTGTTAATTTATTTAAGTTCCTTATAGATTCTGGATATTAGACCTTTGTCAGATGCATAGTTTGCAAATATTTTCTTCAATTCTATAGGTTGTCTGTTTATACTGTTGATAGTTTCTTTTGCTGTGCAACAGTTCTTTAGTTTAATTAGATACCATTTGTCAATTTTTGTTTTTGTTGCAATTGCTTTTGGCATTTCTGTCATGAAATCTCTGACATGTCCTATGTCCAAAATGGTATTTCCTAGGTTATCTTCTAGGATTTTTATAGTTTTGGGTTTTACATTCAAATCTTTAATCCATCTTGAGTTGATTTTTATATATGGTGTAAGGAATAGGTCCAGTTTCAATCTTCTGCATATGGCTAGCCAGTTATCCCAGTAGCATTTACTGAATAGGGTGTCCTTTCCCCATTGCTTGTTTTTGTCAGGTTTGTCAAAGATCAGATAGTTGTAAGTGTACCCCCATTATTTCTGGATTCTCTAACTTGTTCCATTTGTCTATGTGTCTGTTTTTGTACAAGTACCATGCTGTTTTAGCTACTATAGCCTTGTAGTGCAGTTTAAAGTCAGGTGGTGTGATGTCTCCAGCTGTGTTCTTTTTGTTTAGGATTGCTTTGGCTATTTGGGCTCTTTTTTGAATATTAGAACTCTTACATCCATATTTTATGTCTCCAGTTTTCTACTCACATATCTTTGTACTGTGTTACTACTGTGTTTTGGGATAATTTTTTTATCTCAATTTTCAAGCTAAGTTATTTGATATTTATGTTTTTCCGTTCTATTTAATCTATATATTGAATTATTTAAATCGAGTTATATTTTAAACTTCTAATTATTTCTAAAATAATTTTACCTTTTTCAATACCATAACTGTTCTATTTTATGGATACAATATTCTCACATCTCTCTCCCTCTCTCTGTGTGTGTTTGTGTGCATTTATGTGTTTTCTGCTGTTTCCTTGATGTAGCAGATATTCATTAGTATCATTTTCTGCATCTTCCTTGGTGAGAGAAAGTTCATATTGCTGAGTCATGCATCACTTCCATCTCGGCTATCATGCCAGTAAGTTTCTATGCTTATTGACCAAGCCCTAGGGTAGCCAGTGAAAAAGGCTAAATGAAATCCACAGAACAGGTTTTCTTCTTCTCACTAGGTAGGATTCTCCTCAACGGAGAAGCCAGCCCTGTGGTGAGAATTCAGTGGAACACAAATGTTCTCCTACTCTGCCATTCTGAGGAGTCCAGCAATAGGCCTTTTCTCCAGACTTTCTCATAACTAATTCTCTAATCTTTTTTCTTTCCCATCCAAGACTGTCTGGCCAAACCATTAGCTCTTTCCCATGGACTGTAGATTCAAACCCTTCTTTCTCTCCTTTCAGGCAAAGTGTAGAGCCAGATGCAGTATTTAACTTTGCTCATTGGGTGCACTTGGTTTCTCAAGTTGCCTGCTTGGCTCTCTTCCAAGCGGTACTTTCCTTCTCTCTCTTTCCCTTCCTTTCCTTACTCTTCTAAAGCTTTTTAATAAACGTTCACTCCTGCTTTGAAGCTTGCCTCAGTCTCTAATTCTGCCTTATGCCACTCAGTCGAATTCTGTCTTCTGAGGAGGCAAGAATTGAAATTGCTACAGACCGGTAGATAGGCCACTAGTAACTTGGTGTAAGTCGGATCTCTTCCACCACTAACTTATTTGGTGCCATGACTTGGATACTTTCCTATTGGAAAGCCGCTGCTGGACCTTCCACCTTGAGGGCAAGTCTGCTTCCTTGTTTTCACTTTGCATGCCACGTGACTTCTTAAACATACATTTCCTGTTATTCACGCACCGTGGTTCTCTGTGTTTGTGTGGCAGCAAAGGTGTGGGCTTCCGTGCGGATATTCCCTGAGGTTTATATTTGTTTCTACCAGCTCGAGTGACCTTTAATCCTTCCTCTGCTTGTTCTTTCAACTAAAACTGGCTCTTACGAAAAAAAAAGAAAAAAATGCATAAAGTTTTGCTCATTGAACATATTACTTTTTCTGATTGTCCTTGTATTGGGCTACTTACAATTGGGGCTTTAATATGCAGCAGTTCAATTTTGGCTGGTGCCAGCTACAAACCGGGCTGACATTTTTTTCTTCTTCTTCAATTAACTAGTTATAGGGAACTCCTCATAAGGCCATGTGTATTAGTTTGTGGAGAGGTTGCAATGTAACAAGAGTATTTGGTAAATACGTATTTCCTAAGAGGGAAATAGCTTGCTCTGATAATTTCGGGATTTTCCTATCAACATTTGCTGGGGTGCATGTATAGTATCTGCATCTGTAACAATTTTAAAATCATTAGATATACTGGGTCATAAAGCCAGAGTTTCTTGAACTGCAGCCTAGACTGGCTGCAGAGCCTTCTCTTATTCTGGGCCCTACTCAAAACTGGCAGCTTTAACATGTACTCAGTTTGGTAGATGATTGCATTAATGGCCCCACTTAATGGCTGCCATGTATCTATACACTTTGACTTGTAACTTTATAGTCCCTTTCTATCTGTTGTTGGGCTTAGCAATGAGACTTGCATTGGTCAATGGGATAACACATAACTTGACTGAAGGAGAAGCTGCAAAAGGTGCTGGGTGTTTGTTTCTTTTTCCAAATCCTGTGCAGTATTAGGTTGCTGGAAGATATGACACCATGTGTAAAAGAGCTGAGTTTTCCCAGCTGAGACTATCCCAAAATAGTAAGTCCCCAGTTGACTGATATAAAAATAATAAATGACTTTCATTTGAAGCCACTAAATTTTGAAGTGGTTTGTTTTATAGCATTATTAAGGTGATAGATAACTGATATAATTGGTAGATGGATAAGAGGAGCACACTCAGATGCCATATTCATACACATTGCCTTCTGAATGGAAAGAGACTACCAAATACTGCCTTTTTCATAGTTGTAGGGTGTTCAAGGCACAGTGTCTTATCTTTTAACTTTGGAGATTTCCCAGCATAATCTCAGAAAACTGGACTCCTGGAATGCTCTCTGAAATGTCTTCCAAATTTTCAATCTTGTTAGCTGACACTGCTGCACACCACTGGCTCACATCTCCTTTTTGCCTTCCAAACTCTATAGGAATACATCTCATTGTCAGATTCTAAATCATATATAAAACCTAAGCTGCAAAAGAGTCTTGCACATGTAATATTTAGCTTTCTAGAGCTCGACATATGGGACCAGAATATAGAATAGAAAGGGCCATGAATAGATACCAAATACCAAATATGAATGGACAATATTTATCCATTCATAACTTGCAACTTGAGAAAACTCTGCTAGACTGAATCCACCTTTCCAGCCTTAACATTCACTTTTCTTTATGTGTCCTTTTCCTTGGCCAAACAGAATCATTCTTCTCTGTATGCATATCACACTAAGCAGTTTTCTTTTTTCAGCTATGCCTGTTTAAATCCTGTTGATCTGTCAGGGTTATCTCAAAAAATTATTGGCTCTAGTTAGCTTTCATGGATACTGTATTAGTCTGTTCTCACAGTGCTATAAAGACATACTTGAGATTGGGTAATTTGTAAAGAGAAGATGTTTAATCAGCTAAAGATTCTGCAGGGTGTGCAGGCTTCTGCTTCTAGGGAGGCCTCAGAGCTTACAATTACGGCAGAAGGCAAAGGGGAAGCAGGTACATCTTCACATGGCTGGCAGGAGAGAGAACAAAGCAGAAAGTGCTATACACTTTCAAACAATCAGATCTCCTGGGAACTCTATCACAAGACAGCACTAGGAGGATTGTGCTAAACCATTAGAAACCACTCCCATGATTCAATCACCTCCCACCAGGCCCATCCTCCAACACTGGGGATTACAATTCAATATGAGATTTGGGTGGGAACACAGAGCCAAACCATATCAGATACCTCCAGAAAGAGAGGCTTTTTCTCTCCTTTAAAATTCTTTCATGATTTGCACTTCTTTCAAGATACTTCTCTTATTTCACCTGGCATTACTGTAATATTTGTACATCTCTAATCACCTTCTTCTATTTTAGAAAGACCTTGGGAATAGGGATAAATTTCTTAATTACCTTTATATCCCGTGTCATGCTAACAACATGTTTTGCACAATGTGTATTCTCTATAAATATTAGTTGATACCAATTGAAATATAATCACAGACAATGGTAGGTGTTGTGCTAAATATTGAGATGAATATGGATGGTACTCACTCTCAAGGAGCTTACAGACTGCTCAAAGTGTACAATATTTCAGCTTTGTACCTTCAAAGAGGACAAAATTTATAACACTTTAAATGGGACCACAGTTAGTGAGTTGGGTTCTCTCACAACCTACTGGGACAAGATTTGGCAGAAGTGTAGGGAGAAGTAAGGAAACTTATTCTTTTAAAGCTCATTTTTAATTAATAAAAGTTTTGCTACAAGAAGTACTTCACCCATAAGAAAGAACTAATAAAATATTCACAAAGCTGCTTTATTTCCCAGCCAGTCCTAGCTTAAGCACAGTGAAAAAGAAGCTTTTTGGCTACATTACTTATCATAGAATATACCTTGTCTTCTTAGTTCCTGCAGAACATGCAGCTTCCTGGTTCATGTTATTCTCACATTCCATGATATGGTAACTTGTGACATCCCTTCCTGACTTCTCTTTCACCTTCTAAAAGAGGAGGCTACTGATTAATTTTCACTCCAGGTGGGCTATCTTTAATTGAGTTAGCTGTTGACATTCATGGGATTTTTTCCTTTGCCATGTTCTATTAATAGGAGAAAATGGGTGGAGAAGAACCTTATGTGCCATATTCTATTCAGATACTGGTTATGCTTTAGGAAATGGAAGAAGCCAAGAAGGAAAGGAAGAGGTGTAGTCTGTGGTCTCTGAACCCACCAGACTGTGGATATATAAATTTCTCTACTCTGTAGGCCTGAGTGAGACTGATGTTTTGCAGGCCCACAGAGGATGATCTTCTCTATATGAAAACATAGATGTCAAGTGTTGTATTCAGCTGTGAGAGATGACTGCCCTCTGTTGTTTCAGAATTAAGAAAATGGAGACTCAAAATGCTCGGCGCCAATGGAAAAATCAACAAATATAGCTGTCACTGAGGAAAGCAGTGCAGCAAGATTTTGTTTTACCCTTTGCCAACCTCAACTCACCAATGTGCAGGCTACATATGTTTAGAATTAGCAAGTAATGTTTTATCCTTCATTTCCCCATTCCCATCCCCCACTCTTTCAGTTGCTTATCCAAAATGGAACTAAGCTTACAGGCTTCTTGAAGGTCACCCACCTCTCAATACAGGTGCAATTGAAACAGCTCCCTCCTAACTTAGCTCTTCCCTGACCACCTTGCTCTCTGACTCTCATTAGGTCTGGAGTGATTTTATTTTCATAGTTCTCTGGAGGGCTAATGAGCTTTTAAGAAACACCTGCAGCAACTCCAGATTCTACACAGCAACTTAAGTTTTCAGAGAATGTTTTAAAGAGTACTTTGTTGGGGGGCAAATTCCTTGCCCAGATAAATGGAATTGCAGCCATGAGAGCAACTTAATCCAACATCCACATTCACTCTTTTTTTTTTCACTGATATGCCCAAACTCTAATGCCTTCATTTCACCTTCATTTGCAATAGCAAAGCCTCCTTTACCAGAAAAATAAATGTGCAGTTGGCAAGAGCTGAATAGAGGTCTGCTTAAATGATTTTTAATTTATGTTAAAATGCTAAGAGCAGTTTTCCAGGTCTCCACTGAACACCTCACAAAATGAAGTTTTTCAAAGCCTACCTTTAAAAAAGGAACTAAAAGATTTAAAAACATTCCCTTTAATTTTACTGCCCCAATTGTATCTTTTATTCCTGCTCTACTGGGATCAAGCAGCTGGTTATGAGTTTACACTCACTTCATCTTAGTGCTCTGCTCTGAAAGTTAGAGACCTGTCTTCTATTCCTGCCTCCAAACAAAAAGTTGTATAAGTTTGAGCTTATCATTTACTCTCTATACTTCCTTCTCTCATAGAATGGACAGTAACTTGAATGTAAAGTATATAAAAAATCAAAACCACTTATAAGAAAATACTTAGATTTTCTGGATGCTTTTACATTTGTAACATGTATTATTTCTTTTGATTGGCATCTGCTTGGAAAGAAGCCACAAAGCAGTTGACAATTCAGTCTTGTCAACTCTTTTTTTTTTCCATTTTTTATTTTAAATTCAGGGGGTACATGAGCAGGTTTGTTACCTGAGTATATTGCATGATGCTGAGGTGTGGGTACGATTGATCCTGTCATGCAGGTACTGAGCATAGGACCCAATACTTAGTCTTTCAACTCTTTCCCCCTTCCCCCTCCCCATTCTAGTAGTCCCCAGTTTTTATTGTTGCCATCTTTATGTCCATCAGTACCCAATGTTTAGCTCCCACTTGTAAGTGAGAACATGCAGTGTGTGACTTTCTGTTCCTGTGTTAATTCACTTAGGATAATGGACTCCAGCTGCATCCACGTTGCTACAAAGGACATGATTTTTTTCTTTGTTATGGCTGTGTAGTATTCTATTGTGTATACGCACTAGATTTTAAAAATCCAATCCACTGCTGATGGCCACCTAGGTTGATTCCATGTCTTTGCTATTGTGAATAGTGCTGTGATGAACATGCAAGTGTATGTGCTTTTTGGTAGAAAGATTTGTTTTCTTTTGGGTATATATCCAGTAATGGAATTGCTGTGTCAAATGGTCGTTCTGTTTTAAATTTTTTTGAAAAATCTCCAGATTACCTTCCAAAGTGGCTGAACTAATTTACATTCCTACCAATGCCATTAAAAATGGCATTCTGCTCTCAGTTATGAGTCTAGGAAAATGTCTGCAGCTTTTCCTGGTATCTTTCCCTTACAGTGTCTCCTAGACTCTCCCCAAGTTAGCTCCAGGGCCTGGGGGAAACAAAGTGTTCTCACTTGGCCTGGGTTGCTCAGATCCCCAGTGGAAAGGTGAGTCACGGAGGGAGGCTCTCTGCCTCTCTTACATACTGGGGATTCACTCATTTTTATCAGCCTGATACTGTCATGGAGGCTCTTTGCCAGTGTTCTCCTCTCCGGGATCTGGGGTGTCCTTCATAATTCTGGTGGATTCTTGTTTTTCTTCTTGAATTAAAGCTCACAAAGTTGATCTTTATGTACTATCTTGCTGTTTTCAAGTAGCCTAGGTGTGCTAAAAGCCTCTAATCTACCATCTTGGAAAAAACAAACTGTCAACTCTTGAGACTCTTGATTATTGATTATTATGACCTAATTTTTAAACCAGGTTAACTTTTGTCTGCCACTTAGTATGAATCAAGGTTAACATTTCAACAATTGTTTATTGCACAAAGATATAGTCATGGAGATACACACAAGGATAAGCATTTAAAGAATAAGAATTATCTCAATTGTTTGAACTAGGTCGTAAAAGTACTATGAAATAGTTAATTATCAAACGCATTTTTTAGTTAGGTTTCAACATTTTTCTAGTACTGTGCTAAAGTTCTGAAGAAGATACAAAAGTCACATAAGGCCTTGTCATTATGTAACTTACAGTTTACTTTTGGGTACAAAATTGTTATGTGTGCATACGTGTGTGCATGTGTATATATAACACAAATGGCCCATGTTAAATGAAGTATGCTAATTTCAAATGTAAGCACCTCAGAGAAGGAAGACAGCACTGGAAGTTTAAATGATCATGAAAATTTTAGACTTTGGATGGATGACAGAGGAGAGAAAGGGAATTCTAGACTATGAAAACAATATGAAAGGAAGGAGCTCTATGGCCTGATTGTCAACCCACTAGGAGGCATGCTCACCTAGGTGGCTCAGATTAAAAAATCAAGCCAAATTGAACTTATCATCTTTTTTCTGAAACTCTCTTCTTCTATGTCCCATAATTCAGCAGGACCCTAGTATTTACCTAATTTGTTAGCCTGCCCAGCTAGGAGTCATCCTAAACTCTCCCATTCCTACTTCTTCTATTCTGTCATTCTTTCTATGTTCTGGGGCTGCCTTTTGAGAGCTCCCAGGATGCTCATTACCTCAAGGACTGGAATAAGCTCAAGATTGTTATTGACCCCACCTCCTACTACTGATTTAAATTCTACTCTCTCATTATCTCTCTTTGAGAGGCTTTGCTCTTAAATTTCTCATCTTGGGCTAATGTCAAATTAGTTAACTGATTTAGATTGACTACCCAACTCTAATCAGGCACTTCCTTGAGTTAAAACTTTTGGTTTAATTTCCTAGTTTCCTCACAAGACAGTCTATCTCTGTCCAGCCAGAATAGCTAGGATCAGAATCTGGTTAGTCTTGGTTTCTTAATCCCCTCTTGTTTATTCCTACTCGTCTGCCTTAGTTTAGTGGTTCATAATCTTTTGCCTGGTGTGGTAGATTGAGCTAATATGTTCAACAAGTGTTCATTCTCTCTTTCCTCACCCTATGGGTAGAGTATCCTACTGCGTCCTGTAGACATTGAGCTTGGCCATGAGACTCTGGCTGGTGGCAGGTGCATAGAAGAGATGCTGTGCTAGCTCTGAGTAGAGGCTTTAGGAGATATTGCATGTTTCTGCCCACCCCACTACCTCCCTGCACTCCTGCCATCCACCAATAGAAGAACAGAAAAGACATTGCTCCTTCATCATGAATTTTGAAAAGGAAAACCCATGGAGCACACATGAGTCTGCCTATGTAGTCTAGAGCCAAGCCAAGCCTGGTCCAACCCAGCCAAGCTGAAACCGACCATGACTGACCCACAGACCTGTAAGTAAGAAACAAATGTTTGCTGTTATAAGCCACTAAGATTTTGAATTGTTTAATAAAACCTGACATATATTCCTGAATTTTTATAAAACCTCCTACCTCATCTTCCCAGTCTTACCTTCCTCCCATCTACCCTTCACATTAGATTAAACAAAAATTCTTCAATAGCTCTAATAGCTCCAATGTCCCACAGGATAAAAATCCAAAATGGAATAAGAGACCACTACTTGCCTAGCCTCACCTCTATTTCTGTCTTGCATTTTCAGCTCTAGTTATACCTACCTACCTAATGTTCCTATAATTGATAATGCTTTCTCTCAGTGTCCTCTTTTACAAATGCAGTCAACTGTTTCAAATACCTTTGCCCAGACCCCCTCCCTCTCCCACCTGACGGATGGGCTGATGAAGGGCTGTTGAAGCCCTTTGCCCTGCAAAACTTACAAGATTTAAGTGTTGCCACTTCTGGAGGGCCTTCCCTCACTCCTCTAAACTCTCAAAACTACTTGCCTAATTCCAAGAGAGCAGACTTTGTTTTGAAATAGATTATTTTTATACCTCCTTTTCAGCTTGATTGTGAACAATTTGCTAATAGGAAGTTTGTCTTTTCATCTTTTTATTTTCAGGACTTAACATTTGTTTCATGCATATTTTAGATACTCAATAAATGATGCTATGGATATTTAGCTGATTTTGAAATTTAATCTGCTTAATGTTCCTCTACCTGGTTGAACCACTTTCACTTAAGATACACATACCATGAATTTGGGTTACCTTCTCTCTCACCAAGGTGTTACTTCTGGAACTATACTTGAAACATTAAGTGGACACAACCATGTGACCAATGCCCTGATCAACAGATAAAGCATTCCCAGCATCCTTCTTCTCTTACCAATCGCTACAAACACTTCCCAGAGAATAAGTCTTTTTCTGACTTCTGTCATCATAGATCGTTTTGCCTATTTTAGAACAGTATGTAAATGGAAATAGAGGGTATGCCCACTTTTATGCCTGGCTTTTTTCTTGCTCAACATTGTGAGATTTATTCAAATTATTGTGTATAGCAGTAGATCATTTTTATTGCTGTATAGTACTCCCTAGTATAAATATATCACATTTTTTCCATTACACTGTTAATAGTTATTTAGGTTGTTGCCAGTTTTGGGCTCTTATGAATAAAGGTGTCACAAACACGTTTTTGTACATGTCTTTTGGTGCACATATGTGAATTTCTGCTGAGTAAAAACCTAGGAGTTGAATTTCTGGTTCATAGGGCATTTTATGTCTTCACCTATGGTAGCTACTTCTAGACTCTTCTCCAAAGTGACTGTACCAAGAGTTCCTCTTCTTTTATATACTCACCAGCTCCTTGTCTTGTCAGTCTTTTTACTTGCAATCATTTGGGTGACATGTTGTGTCATTAATTTGCATTTCCCTGATGACTAGTGACATTGAGCACTTAATAGTTTTTTAAGGAAAAAAAAGTTTTTTTCCTTTTTTTTTTTTAACCATTTGGATATCTTCTTTTGTGAAATCGCATTTTTCTTTTGGGTTATCTTTTTCTTATTTGTTTGCATGAATTCTCTGAAACCAATTTGTTGGTATTTTGGTATACCATTTTTTTGCTTCTACCTTCCCAAGACAGAGTGGCCTGTAATTTTCCTTTTTTATTATATCCATGTCAGCTTTTAGTGAAGGATATCCAGGTCTCGTAAAATGAGTTGGAAAATGTTCTCTCTTTTTATATTCTTTGGAAAGTTTAATGTAAGGGTGGTGTTATTTCTAATTTCTTCTCTAGGAGTCAGTGAACATAGCACATGAGCAGATGAGCCCTGGAATCAGAGTGCTGGGACTGAATCCTGACTCGGCTACTTTCTTATCATGTCAACCTTGGGAAAGATACACAACCTGTTTCTGCCTCAGCTTTCTCATCTATAAAATGGGGATAATGAAAATACTTTATAAAATCTTTGTCAGGATCTTTGAGTCACATGTAGAATTCTCACTACCATTTCTGGCACACAATAGGAGTTCAAAAATTATTATTTATCCATTTATTCAATGTTTTTGCATACAGTGCAGTCTTATTGAAGCTGAAGCTGTGTCTTTCTTACGGTGTTGGTTCAACAATAAGCATTCCATGGGTTGAGGAAGTAAGTGGAACCTCTCAAAGCAATGCCAAAATCAAATTCTTCTTTACACTTAGCCTTTCCTCAGGGATATTTTTTTCCTTTCCTTTTTCTCTATTTTGTGAAATGTCAGGGAAGAGACATAAGAAGCTTTCTGTGGAAATAGTACCCAGAGAAAGACATGGATCTTAGTCATGGTACTTTTTTGGGGTTTTGGCAATATCCTAGTTGGGTGTGGGTCTACATGGCAAATATTCAGTGGTTAGAGGGGAGTTTGGACTTTTGATTTTTACTGCCTGGTAACTAACCTCAGAGATCTTTGGTTTTTCTTTTTAACAAAAAGAAGCCCAGCCTTCCCAGGGTGCGGTTTGAATTCCTGATTTGGTGGTTGTTCAGGGCTCTGAAAAGTCTATGCAGCTTTAAAGCAATGATAGTTATTGCTATGCAAATCTTTTTTTTTTTTCCCTTTAGCCTTTGTGTCATTAAAAGGCCGCTCAAGTGGAATGTTTGTTTTCAACTGGCTTATATCTCAGATTTAAGATACGTGGATCTCTGATGAACTCTGAAACAATTAATACTACATCTTCATCAGAAAAAACACAGAAATTAGGGTTAAACAGATCTTCTTGTGGTTTTCTCTAATCTTTTTCCAGCTTTATGGTTTCTCTGTCAGTTCTCCCTATGTCTTCTCTCAGTCTGCTTTTTTGAGTTTGAAATGAATTATCCATTCCAGACCTCCCCTATCTATCCCCACCCCAACATATGCACATTCCTCCTCTTGCACAGTTCCTGACCTATAGTCCTTCATATAAGCGAGGAAAAAATAGAAAGATAACAACACTTCCGTGGATTCGCATAGCTCACATGTGTCTGGTCTTCTGAGGAGAAATCGCTCCAGTCAATAAATCCCATGATCCAGCCACAGAAATCTTTGCCATTTCAAAGAATAATTTTCATGATTCCGTGCTTTTGCTTAACCTCAGTTGTTCAAAATTCTACTCATCTTTCATAGGACTTTCATCAAATGTTACCTTATTTGTGATGTCATTCTGATGTCAGAATGGGATTTTTCCTTTGGGTTCCTTTCGCATTTTGTTTATGCCCCTATTGTAATATTCCTTCAAATCCCAATTCGAAATCCTGGGTGTGCAAGCAATGTGATTTTATTTTTCTGTCACTAATTTGTATCTTTTGTGGTTAAATCATAGATATTTCCTTCCTCCACTTCCAGGGATTTCATCTAAGTGTGGATGTGGTAGACACAGAATCAATGGCCCCAATTCTTCACCTTTCTCTTTACTGAATACCTTTGGACAAGGCTATCCTGAGCTCTTCACTCCAGATTCAGCCACGGGACTTAGTGGGATATCAGCAGGCATATATGTCAGTGGGATATTAGCAGGAGTAATGTGATCAGAGGTTTGAAACATATGCAGATTTGGATGTGCCGACCTTTGTACCTTCACTGGCACCATAAGAAAAACAAGCCTCAACTAGTCCACCAGTCCTAGAAAAAGGGTGAGAGACATGTCCAGCAGAATTTACCCCCATCACATCCACCTAGATGAGCTAACTCCCAGCAAACCTGCAGACATGTTTGCTAAATAGTTCTTATTTTAAGACACTGAGTTTGGGATAGTTTGTTATGCAGCATTTTTCTAGCAAGAGCTAACATCTATTATGTAGATTTGGGGCAAGGTAATGGTATTTTAATAAGACTTTTATATTGCTTGATACATCTTTGTTCTCATCTTCTTTTTGGTCATCAATCCATTGAAATGGCTGTTATGTTTTTCTCATATTGACCAATAGGTCTTTAGCGCTCACTTCTCCCTTTCAGCAACTTCTATTTTTTTCCTATGCCTCACTGGAGCATGGAACACTCAGGCTGTCCAGGACAGGTCTGTTATAGCTTAGTTACCCTGCCCTATGTTAAGGTAGCTCTGAAGAACCTGTCAGCTCCCTGGGACTCACAGGAGAACTGAGACATAGTTTCCTCGATATTTAAGCTGATTACGTATCTGAGGTTTCCATTGTTTTCTCTCCCTTTCCTAAGACTCAGCCCAGGGCAGGTCTGGGTAGAGGGTAATAAATAGGGCCCCTAATCAGAGAAACCACCTAAGTGTAGATTTTTGTCACTTCTTCAACTCTTTTCTATCCCAACCCTCAAACCCTTTATCTTTTTTGGGGCAGGAAAACTAATTCTAACTGATTATGTATTATTTTGAATCTATTGTTTATGATGTAAAATTTGGGCCTCAAGTCCTTCAGAGCTTTGACTTACAAGTCTAGAATTTGGCCCTTTTTTTTAATACAATTAATATGGTAAAGTCGTGTTGCCTGAATGGGGGTAGGTTATGGGGTAAAAGAGAATTATCGAACAAAAACAAAGCATATGTTAATATTGAAAAATAATTCTGTCACACATTCTATTGCCAACAAGAAGTAGAATCACTAATGACCTATGCCTTCAATTCAGCCCTCTATCCTGAATTTGCGACTTATGTATCCAAATGCTTACTTGAGACCTCCTCTTGGATGTCCTGCAGAGATCTCAAGGTCAGTATGTCTAAAATGGAACACATCCTTTTGCCTTGATTTAACCATTCTCCAGGATTCCCTATCACAATAGCTGGCATTATCATCCACTCAGTTGTCTGGAAAGACCTCTGGGAAACCTCTCTGACTTGTACCTTTTCTTTATACCTTATATCCCATCATCAATGTACATCCTACATTTCTTTCTCTCTATTCCCTCTGTCCAGGCTAATGAAATCCACCATCATCTACTTGGGGTACTGTGACAGTCTCTTAAACAGTCTCTCCAATTCCAGTCTTTCTTCCCTGTAATCAATTCTCCATGCTGTAGCCGTCTTCTAACAATAAAACCAGGTCATGTCAGGCCTGTACTATAAGTCTATCTATAACTTTCCATTGCATTTAAGATAGAATTTGAAACTCTTGATATGGCATATAAGGCCCTGTCTGACCTAGATCTTGCCTATGTCTTCAGCCTCATTTCTTGCCACTCCTACCCTAGGTCTTTTTGCTTGCATCAGACTTCCTTCTATATCTTGAATGAGCTATGCCCTTTTCATGTGTCTAGGTTTCTGCTCAAATCCTTTCTTTCCTAAAAGAGTCTTCTCCTTCTCCACTCCATCTGTTCCCTGCTGCTGACACCACACCTACTTTTTCCTGGCTAATTCCCATAGTTCAATTTAAATAGTATGTCCTTTAGGATGACTGTCCTGACTTTATCTGTCTTCTGTGATATACTTGCATATCATCCTGCTAATTTCCAGAACGCTCATCAAATTTCTAATTTTCTTTTCATTTAAATAAACTTTTAATTGAAGTATAGCATCACACAAAAATGTGAACAAATCATGAGTGTATATTATATATATATATATATATATATAGAGAGAGAGAGAGAGAGAGAGAGAGAGAGAGAGAGAGAGAGAGAGATGAATTTTCACAGCATGTGCACAATACATGTTATCACCCATTCAGATCAAAAAATATAATATTACCAGCACTCCAAAAACCCCTTTGTTCCCTCTTCCAGTAATAAGCTCCTTCAAGGTAACCAATATGTTGACTTCTAGCGCCACAGATTAGTTTGTATTTTCTTGAACTTCACATAAATGAAACTATACAGTGTATTTCTTGGGGTCTTCTTTGGCTCAATATTATGTTTGTAACATTCATGGTGTGAATGGCAATGGTCTTTCTTTCCTGTTTCTTTGAATGAATATACCACGATTTGTTTAATCCATTCTACTGTTCATTGTCATTTGTGTCATTTATAATTTCTGGCTATCATGACTGCTGCTGCTATAATGAACATTCTTTTGTGCTTGTGTCTGCTTTTTATTTCTGAAAGATTTATGTATTTCTATTAGGTGTATTTCTAGGAGTAAATTTGCAGGGTCATGGGTAGGCATATGTTCAGTGTTAGTAGATACTGTCAAGCAGTTTCCTAAACGGGTTCTAGTAATTTAAACTCCCATCAGCCCCATGAATATATATACCCACTATGTGCCCACAGAAATTAAAAATAAAAAATAAAATAAATAAAAAATAAACTCCCACCATCAATGTATGAAAATTTTAGTGACTTTTCATTCTTGTCAACATTTGGTATTGCCAATATTTTATTTAGTCATTCTGATGTGTGTGTAGTGGTATCTTCATTGTGTTTTTATAAATTGCATCTCCATAATGGTGACTAATGAGAATGAATATCTTTTTATTGGCCATTTATATATCAGCCATTTATATATCTTCTTTTGTGAAATTCCTGTTCAAGTCTTTGCTCACTTTGTTATTGGGATGCCTCTCCCACCACACTCCATTGATATGTTAGAGGTTTGTTTTATATTCTTTTTGTAATATATTTTGTATATTTGTCTGTTGTTGAATATGTGTGTCTTGCAAATATCTTCTTCTAGTCTTTGGCTTACCTTTTACAGACTCTTCTGAGATCAGAAGTCCTTAATTTTAATAAAGTATAATTTGTCAATATTTTTCTTTGTGGATTTTCTGTCTTATTTAAGAAATTGTTATCTACCCCCAAATCATGACTTTATTCTCTTGTTGTTTTTTTTTCCCTAGAAGCTTAATTGTTTTATACTATTCATGTAAAAGTGATTTTTGTGTAAGGTATAAAATAAGTACATCAAGACCATCCTTAGCATGTGTTAATTTTATCATAAATCAAGTATATATTTGTTTTTTTAACTTTAAACAAATTTTTGTTACACAAAGATTGTCACATAATTGGACATTTCTCTACTTTGTACACAATTATTCTCACTCTCCACAGAAAGGCTGTTTAACTTCTCATCTGGTGGTGGCAAGAACTAAAATCCTGATTTCAACAGAATAGTAGTGAAAATGCCTCAATGATTTAAGTTGAAAGCAGTACATTGGTACATGGCTCTTTTATCCAGTATCAGGAATGTACAAATGACTTTTTATTCAAAAATACAAAATAAATTATCTGTATGCATGGACAATGACAGCAGTAAACCATTATATATTTTGTCAACTGAAACCAGTAACTGATGGTTTTAGTGATTTCTTTAACATCAGCCAGCCTTTTCTTCATTTTCTCCAACTGACTTCTCTGAAGTTATTGGTAAGGAACACTGCCTTGGGCTTCCTGTCACAGTTCATTAATAAAGGTAAAGCACTCTTCTAGGAGTTAGAACATACCACCTCCCATACCACCTCCCATTCCATCCATTGCACCCATTCCAGGATCCTTCTCTTCTTTAGGAATTTCTGTGACTAAAACTTCTGCTGTAGTTAAGAGAGAGGCCACACCAGAAGCATCCAATAAAGCAGTTCTCACAAACTTTGTTGTGTCGATAATTCCTTTTTCCACCATATTCACAAAATCTCTGCCCATAGCATCATAACCAACTTCTGAGGAACTTTGCATAATTTTCTCAACTATCAAAGATACTTCAACACCTGCATTCTTAGCAATGGTCATTGCTGGAAATTTGAGTGTTTTTTTAATAATTTCTATACCAATGTTGTGATCTTCATTAACTGGAGTCAGTGAGTCCAAGGCTGGAATGCACCGAAGCAGGGCACGACCCCCTCTCAAAACAATGCCTTCTTCAACAGCAGCTCTTGTAGCATTAAGGGCATCTGTAACTCTGTCTTGCTTTTCATTCACTTCAGCATCACTTGTCCCACCAACCTTCAGCACAGCTACTCCATCTGAAAGTTTTGCCAGTGTTCATTCAGTTTTTCCTTTTCATATTCACTAGTTGTGACATCTAACTGCTCAATGATTTCTTGAACACATTTTTCAATTTGAGCCTTGTCACCTTTTCCTTTTAAAAGCATGGCATCGTCTTTGGTCACAATGACCTCTCCAACTTTTCCTAAGTCATGAGGCTGAACGTCTTCAAGATTTAGGGTCAACCCCTCTTCTGCAAACACTGCACCACCAGTAGCAATAGCCATATCTTTAAGCTGGTTGTTTCTATTGTCACCAAACCCTGGATCCTTGACTGCCACAACCTGAAGACCAACCTTTAGCCTATTCAAGACGAGTGTACTTAGAGCTTCTCCATTAACGTCTTCAGCAATTATGACCAAGGCTTACAGTAAGCATTGGCAATTTCAAGAGCAGGTGCAATGGACTGGACACTAGAAATTTTCTTTTCACTCAGCAGAACATAGGCATCCTGGAATTCACATTTCTGACCTTTTGATGTATTAATTAAGTATGGAGAAATATAGCCTCAATCAAACTTCATGCCTTCGATAATTTCTAATTCATCATTCGGTACTTTTCCCATTATTTACTGTGATGATACCCTTGCTTCCAACCTTTTTCATTGCATCAGAAATGATATTGCCAATTTCTTTGTCTCCATTTGCAGAAATTGTAGCAACCCGTGCAATTTCTTCAGGGGTGGTCACAGGTTTAGACTGCTTTTTTGGTTCAGCGATTATAGCATCAACAGCTAACATCACACCTCTCCTGATTTCCACCGGATTAGCCCCTTTGCTAATCTTCTCGAAGCCTTCCTTGGCAATAGAGCGTGCCAGTGCAGTAACAGTGGTAGTGCCATCCACAGCCTCTTCATTTGTGTTATTGGCAACATCTTGAACAAGTTTTGCTCCAGTATTTTTATATTTATCCTTTAAGTCAATTGACTTTGCAACAGTCACACTATCTTTTGTTACTTTAGGACTTCCCCAGCTCTGTCTGCTCAATAATCACTGTTCTTCCCTTTGGCCCCATTGTAACGGCTACAGCATGGGCTAAAAGGTCTACACCTTGAAGCATTAAGGCTCAGGCATCTGCACCAAAATTATCTTTGGCATAAGCCTAAGTGAGATGAGGAGCCAGTACCCTGGACACTGGTCTTATCTGGCAAAAGACTGTGGGTAAACAAAGCATTTCTGCGGGGCGGCAGCAGGGCGTGCGCTTGGTGAGGCAGGTCGTCGGCGGTCAGTGAGGGCAGTATATATTTGTTTCTGAGCTATGTCTTTTGTTTCATTGTCCTATTTGCCTAATGACTAATTAAAATTCCTTTCTTCTACTTTGAACTACATGTTTTATAAAGGCTGGAGTGGTGTGTATTTCTTATTAAATAATATATTCTTATTTATTATAATAGTGCCTGACACCTTGGTTGGGACTTACTACAGTTTTGATGAACATTGAATTAATAGCCATACTTCATAAGCAGTTTAAATGATCAAATATTGAATAGAAGTGCTGAAAGTGGGCAACTTTGTCTTTTTCTGATCTTACTGGAAAAGCTTTCAGCTTTTCACCATTGAGGGTGATGTTAGCTGTGGGCTTGTCCTATATGTCTTTTATTTTATTGAGGTACCTTCCTTCTACACATAACTTAGTGACAGTTTTTAACATAAAAGGATTATGAATTTTGTCAAATGCTTTTTCTGCATGTACTGAGATGATCATATAATTTTTGTATTTTATTCTGTTAATGTGGTGTATCACATTTATTGACTTGAGTATGTTGAATAATCCTTGCTAGGATAGGGATAAATCCTACTTGATCATGAAATATTATTTTTTAAATGTGCTATTGAACTTGGTTTGTTAGTATTCTTTTGAGGATTTTTGCTTCCGTGTTTATCAGGGATATTGGTCTGTAATTTTCTTTTCTTGCAATGTCCTTTTCTGGCTTTGGTATCAGGGCGAAGCTGGTCTAATAAAATGTGTTTGGAAGTTTTCCTTCCTTTTCAAGTTTTAAAAGGAGTTTAAGAAGAAATTGTGTTAGTTTTTCTTTAAATGTTTGGAAGAATTTTCCATGAGGCTATCCGGTTCTGGGCTTTTCTTTGACGAGAGACCTTTTGTTAGTGATTCAAGCTTTCTACTTGTTATTGGTCTATTCAGATTTTCTATATCTTTATGATTCAGTCTTGGTGGGTTGTATGTTTCTAGGAATTTATCCATTTCTTCTAAGTTAGCTGATTTGTTGACACAGAATTATTCATAATAGTTTCTTATGATCCTTTGTATTTCTGTGGTATGAGTTGTAATGTCACCTCTTTCATTTCTGATTTTATTTATTTGAGTCTTCTTTCTTTCTTAGTATAACTAAGTTTTTAAAAAATCTTGTAGTTTTATTGATTCTTTTTTAGACTTTATTTCATTTATTTCTGTTCTGACTTTTATTATTTCCTTTCTTCTGTTGACTTTGTGCTTAGTTTTTTTTTTTTTCCTAGTTCTATAACATATAACGTGGGTTGTTTATTTGAGATCTTTCTTCTTTTTTGATGTAAGTGCTTTTGCTATAAACTTACCTTTTAAAACTGCTTTGGCTGCATCCCAGAAGTTTTGAGATGTTGTGTTTTTATTTTTGTTTGTGTGAGGATATTCTGAAATTTACCTTTTAATTTCTCATTTGACCCATTGGTTATTCCTGATCATGTTTTTAAATTTCTACATATTTTTACATTTTTGAGATTGTTTATGCTATTGATCTCTAGTTTTATACCATTGTATAAAGAAGATACTTCATATGATTTAAATCTTATTACATTTGTCAAGATTTGTTTTATGACCTAACAAATTATCCTGAAGAATATTTTATGTGCATGTGAGAAGAATGAGTATTATGTTGCTTTTGGATGGAATGTTCTATATATGTCTGTTAGGTTCATTTGGTTTAAAGTGTAGTTCAAGTCCAAAGTTTTCTTATTATCTGTCTGAATGATCTGTCCATAGTGAAAGTAAAGTATTGAGGTACCCTACTATTATTGTATTGTAGTCTCTCTCTCCCCTCAGATCATTTAATATTTGCCTTATATATGTAGGTGCTCTGATATTGGGTGTATATATTTATAATTCTTATGTCGTTTTGATGAACTGACCCCTTTATCATTATATAATAACCTTCTTTGCTTCTTTTTATAGTTTTTGACTTAAGAATATTTTGTCTAAGTATAGCTACTCCTGATCTCTTTTGGTTTCCATTTAGTAGAATATCCTTTTCCATCTCTTCACTTTTAGTCTATTTGTGTCCATAAAGGTGGAGTGAGTTTCTTGTAGGCAGCATATTGTTGGGCCTTGGTCTCTAAAAAATGTATTCAGCCACTCTACAGCTTCTGATTGAAGAATATAATCCATTTACATTTAAAGTAATTATTTATAGGTAAGCATATACTATATACTACTGCCACTTTGTTATTCTTTTTCTGGTTGTTTTATAGATCTTTCTGGTTGTTTTTCTGGTTGTTTTAAGATCTTTTGTTCATTTTTTCCTTTCTTACTGTTTTTCTTCATGGTTTGATGGTGATGATCTTCTATGGTGATGTGTTTTGAATACTTATTTTTATATTTTGTGTATCTACTATAGGTTTTTGCTTTGTGGTTATCACTAGGCTTGCATGAAACATCTTATAGTTATAACAGACTATTTTAAGCTGATAACCACTTACCTTTGCTTACAAAAACTCTACATTTTTGCTTCCCCCACTTATATTAATGTTTTTCATGTCATAATTTACATCTTTTTGTAACCTGTATCTCTCAACAAATGATTGTAGCTATCGTTATTTATTTATTTTTTAATTATACTTTAAGTTCTAGAGTACATATGTACAACTTGCAGGTTTGTTACCTAGGTATACATGTGCCATGTTGGTTTGCTGCACCCATTAACTCATCATTTACATTAGGTATTTATCCTAATGTGCCCCTCCCCCTATCCCCCACCCCACGAGAGGCCCCCATGTGTGATGTTCCCTACCCTGTGTCCAAGTGTTCTCATTGTTCAATTCCCACCTATGAGTGAGAACATGTGGTGTTTTGTTTTCTGTCCTTATGATAGTTTGCTCAGAATGATGGTTTCCAGCTTCATCCATATCCCTGCAAAGGACATGAACTCATCCTTTCTTATGGCTGCATAGTATTCCATGGTGTATATGTGCCACATTTTTTTTTTTTTTATTATACTCTAAGTTTTAGGATACATGTGCACAATATGCAGGTTAGTTACATATGTATACATGTGCCATGTTGGTGTGCTGCACCCATTAACTCATCATTTAATATTAGGTATATCTCCTAATGCCACATTTTCTTATTGCAGTCTATCATTGATGGACATTTGGGTTGGTTCCAAGTTTTTGCTATTGTGAATAGTGCCACAAGAAACATACTTGTGCGTGTGTCTTTATAGTAGAATGATTTATAATCCTTTGAGTATATACCCAGTAATGGGATTGTTGGGTCAAATGGTATTTCTGGTTCCAGATCCTTGAGGAATTGCCACACTGTCTTCCACAATGGTTGAGCTAGTTTACACTTCCACCAACAATGTAAAAGTGTTCCTATTTCTCCATGTCCTCTTCAGCATCTGTTTCCTGACTTTTTTAATGATCGCCATTCTAACTGGTGTGAGATGGTATCTTATTGTGGTTTTGATTTGCATTTCTCTGATGACCAGTGATGATGAGCATTTTTTCATGTGTCTGTTGGCTGCATAAATGTCTTCTTTTGAGAAGTGTCTGTTCATATCATTTGCCCACGTTTTGATGGGGTTTTTTTTTCTTGTAAATTTGCTTAAGTTCTTTGTAGATTCTGGATATTA
The DNA here is from genome assembly GCF_000001405.40 of Homo sapiens. Lineage (NCBI taxonomy): Eukaryota > Metazoa > Chordata > Mammalia > Primates > Hominidae > Homo > Homo sapiens. The sequence goes on along the minus strand of NC_000004.12, from coordinate 144,841,955 downwards.
GCCCTTTGTCAGACGGGTAGATTGCAAAAATTTTCTCCCATTCTGTAGGATGCCTGTTCTACTCTGATGGTAGTTTCTTTTGCTGTGCAGAAGCTCCTCAGTTTAATTAGATCCCATTTGTCTATTTTTGGCTTTTTTTGTCATTGTTTTTGGTGTTTTATTCATAAAGTCTTTGCCCATGCAAAGACTTGTTATTGTCCTGAATGGTATTGCCTAAGTTTTCTTCTAGGGATTTTATGGTTTTAGGTCTAACATTTAAGTCTTTATTCCATTTTGAATTAATTTTTACATAAGGTATAAGGAAGGGATCTAGTTTCAGCTTTCTCCATGTGGCTAGCCAGTTTTCCCAGCACCATTTATTAAATAGGGAATCCTTTCCCCATTCCTTGTTTTTGTCAGGTTTGTCAAAGATCAGATGGCTGTAGATGTGTGGTGTTATTTCTGAGGCCTCTGTTCTGTTACATTGGTCTATATATCTGTTTTTGTATCAGTACCATGCTGTTTTGGCTACTGTCGCCTTGTAGTATAGTTTGAAGTCAGATAGCGTGATGCCTCCAGCTTTGTTCTTTTGGCTTAGGATTGTCTTGGCAACGCAGGCTCTTTTTTTTGGTTCCATATGAACTTCAAAGTAGTTTTTTCCAATTCTTTGTAGACAGGCATTGGTAGCTTGATGGGAATGGCATTGAATCTGTAAATTACGTTGGGCAGTATGGCTATTTTCACGATATTGATTCTTCCTATTCATGAGCATGGAATGTTCTTCCATTTGTTTGTGTCCTCTTTTATTTTGTTGAGCAGTGGTTTGTAGTTCTCCTTGAAGAGGTCCTTCACATCCCTTGTAGGTTGGATTCCTAGGTATTTTATTCTCTTTGTAGCAATTGTGAATGGGAGTTCACTCATGATTTGGCTCTCTGTTTGTCTGTTATTGGTGTATAGGAATGCTTGTGATTTTTACACACTGATTTTGTATCCTGAGACTTTGCTGAAGTTGCTTATCAGCTTAAGGAAATTTTGGGCTGAGACAATGGGGTTTTCTAAATATACAGTCATGTCATCTGCAAACAGGGACAACTTGACTTCCTCTTTTCCTAATCGAATACCCTTTATTTCTTTCTCTTGCCTGATTGCCGTGGCCAGAGCTTTCAACACTATGTTGAATAGGAGTGGTGAGATAATGCATCCTGTCTTGTGCCAGTTGTCAAAGGGAATGTTTCCAGTTTTTGCCCATTCAGTATGATATTGGCTGTGGGTTTGTCATAAACAGCTCTTATTGTTTTGAGATACCTTCCATCAGTACCTAGTTTATTGAGAGTTTTCAGCATGAAGTTCTGTTGAATTTTGTCAAAGGCCTTTTCTGCATCTATTGAGATAATCATGTGGTTTTTGTCTTTGGTTCTGTTTATGTGATCGGTTATGTTTATTGATTTGCATATGTGGATCTGGCCTTGCATCCCAGGGATGAAGCCCACTTGATCATGGTGGATAAGCTTTTTGATGTGCTGCTGGATTTTGTTTGCCAGTATTTTATTGAGGATTTTTGCATTGATGTTCATCAGGGATATTGGTCTAAAATTCTCTTTTCTTGTTGTGTCTCTGCCAGGCTTTGGTATCAGGATGATTCTTGCCTCATAAAATGAGTTAGGGAGGATTCCCTCTTTTTCTATTGATTGGAATAGTTTCAGAAGGAATGGTACCAGCAGCTCCTCTTTGTACCTCTGGTAGAATTCGGCTGTGAATCCGTCTGGTCCTGGACTTTTTTTGGTCGGTAGGCTATTAATTATTGCTTCAATTTCAGAGCCTGTTATTGGTCTATTCAAAGATTCAACTTCTTCTTTGTTTAGTTTTGGGAGGGTGCGTGTGTCCAGGAATTTATCCATTTCTTCTAGATTTTCTAGTTTATTTGCATAGAGGAGTTTATAGTATTCTCTGGTGGTAGTTTGTATTTCTATGGGATCAGTGGTGATATCATCCTCTTTATCACATTTTGTTGCGTCTATTTGATTCTTCTGTCTTTTCTTCTTTATTAGTCTTGCTAGCAGTCTATCAATTTTGTTGATCTTTTCAAAAAACCAGGTCCTGGATTCATTGATTTTTTTGAAGGTTTTTTTGTGTCTCTATCTCCTTCAGTTCTGCTCTGATCTTAGTTATTTCTTGCCTTTTGGTAGCTTTTGAATTTGTTTGCTCTTGCTTCTCTAGTTCTTTTAATTGTGATGTTAGGGTGTTGATTTTAGATCTTTCCTGCTTTCTCTTGTGGGCATTTAGTGCTCTAAATTTCTCTCTGCACATTGCTTTAAATGTGTCCCAGAGATTCTGGTACGTTGTGTCTTTGTTCTCATTGGTTTCAAAGAACATCTTTATTTCTGCCTTCATTTCATTATTTACCCAGTAGTCATTCAGGAGCAGGTTTTTCAGTTTCCATGTAGTTGAGCAGTTTTGAGTGAGTTTCTTAATCCTGAGTTCTAGTTTGTTTGCACTGTGGTCTGAGAGACAGTTTGTTGTGATTTCTGTTCTTTTACATTTGCTGAGGAGTGCTTTACTTCCAACTATGTGGTCAATTTTGGAATAAGTGCATGTGGTGCTGAGAAGAATGTATATTCTGTTGATTTGAGGTGGAGAGTTCTGTAGATGTCTATTAGGTCTGCTTTGTGCAGAGCTGAGTTCAAGTCCTGGATATCCTAGTTAATCTTCTGTCTCGTAGATCTGTCTAATATTTACAGTGTGGTGTTAAAGTCTCCCATTATTATTGTGTGGGAGTCTAAGTCTCTTTGTAGGTCTCTGAGGCTCTTCTTGTTGAATTGATCCCTTTACCATTATGTAATGGCCTTCTTTGTCTCTCTTGATCTTTGTTGGTTTAAAGTCTGCTTTATCTGAGACTAGAATTGCAACCCCTGCTTTTTTTTTGTTTTCCATCTGCTTGGTAGATCTTCCTCCATCCCTTTATTTTGAGCCTATGTGTGTCTCTGCATGTGAGATGGGTCTCCTGAACATAGCACACTGATGGTTCTTGATTCTTTATCCAATTTGCCAGTCTGTGTCTTTTAATTGGAGCATTTAGCCCATTTATATTTAAGGTTAATATTGTTATGTGTGAATTTGATCCTGTCATTATGATGTTAGCTGGTTATTTTGCCCATTAGTTGATGAAGTTTCTTCCTAGCATCGATGGTCTTTACAATTTGGCATGTTTTTGCAGTGGCTGGTACCGGTTGTTCCTTTCCATGTTTAGTGCTTACTTCAGGAGCTCCTGTAAGGCAGGCTTGGTGGTGACAAAGTCTCTCAGCATTTGCTTGTCTGTAAAGGATTTTATTTCTCCTTCACTTATGAAGCTTAGTTTTGCTGGATATGAAATTCTGGGTTGAAAATTCTTTTCTTTAAGAATGTTGAATATTGGCCCCCACTCTCTTCTGGCTTGTAGAGTTTCTGCCGAGAGATCTGCTGTTAGTCTGATGGGCTTCCCTTTGTGGGTAACCCAGCCTTTCTCTCTGGCTGCCATTAACATTTTTTCCTCATTTCAGCCTTGGAGAATCTGACAATTATGTTTCTTGGGGTTGCTCTTCTTGAGGAGTATCTTTGTGGTGTTCTCTGTATCTCCTGAATTTGAAGGTTGGCCTACCTTGCTAGACTGGGGAAGTTCTCCTGGACAATATCCTGAAGCGTGTTTTCCAACTTGGTTCCATTCTCCCCATCACTTTCAGGTACATAAATCAGACGTAGATTTGGCCTTTTCACATAGTCCCATATTTCTTGGAGGCTTTGTTTCTTTCTTTTTACTCTTTTTTCTCTAATCTTGTTTTCTTGCTTTATTTCATTAATTTGATCTTCAATCACTGGTACCCTTTTTTCCCACTTGATCTAATCAGCTATTGAAGGTTGTGCATGTGTCATGAAATTCTCATGTCATGGTTTTCAGCTCCATCAGGTCATTTAAGGTCTTCTCTACACTGGTTATTCTAGTTAACCATTCATCCAAACCTTTTTTCAAGGTTTTTAGCTTCCTTGCAATGGGTTCGAACACCCTCCTTTAGCTCAGAGAAGTTTGTTATTACTGAGCTTCTGAAGTCTACTTCTGTCAGCTTGTCAAAGTCATTTTCCGTCCACCTTTGTTCCATTGCTGGCGAAGAGCTGTGATCCTTTGGAGGAGAAGAAACGCTCTGGTTTTTAGAATTTTCAGCTTTTCTGCTCTGGTTTCTCCCCATCTTTGTGGTTTTATCTACCTTTGGTCTTTGATACTGGTGACCTACAGATGGGGTTTTGGTGTGGATGTCCTTTTTGTTGATGTTGATGCTATCCTTTTCTGTTTGTTAGTTTTCCTTCTAAGAGTCAGGTCCCTTAGCTGCAGGTCTGTTGGAGTTTGCTAGAGGTCCACTCCAGACCCTGTTTGCCTGGGTGTCACCAGCAGAGGCTGCAGAACAACAAATATTGCAGAACAGCAAATATTGCTGCCTGATCCTTCCTATGGAAGCTTCGTCCCAGAGGGGTACCCACCTGTATGAGGTGTCAGTCGGCCTCTACTGGGTGGGGTCTCCCAGTTAGGCTACACGGGAGTCAGTGACCCACATAAGGAGGCAGTCTTTTCGTTCTCAGAGCTCAAACACCATGTTAGGAGACCCACTGCTCTCTTCAGAGCTGTCAGACAGGGATGTTTAAGTCTGCAGAAGTTTCTGCTGCCTTTTGTTCAGCTATGCCCTGCCCCCAGAGGTGGGGTTTACAGAGGCAGCAGGCCTTGCAGAGCTGCAGTGGGCTCCACCCAATTCAAGTTTCCCAGCCGCTTTGTTTACCTACTCAAGCCTCAGCAATGGTGGATGCCTTTCCCCCTGCCAGGCTGCTGTCTTGCAGGTCATTCTCAGACTGCTGCACTAGCAGTGAGCAAGGGTCCATGGGCATGGGACCCACTGAGCCAGGTGTGGCATATAATCTCCTGCTGTGCCATTTGCTAAGACCATTGGAAAAGTGCAGTATTTGGGTGGGAGTGTCCCAATTTTCCAGGTACAGTCTGTCACAACTTCCCTTGGCTAGGAAAGGGAAATCCCCTGACCCCTTGCGCTTTCTGGGTGAGGCGATGCCCTGCCCTGCTTTGGCTCGCCCTCCGTGGGCTGCACCCACTGTCCAACCAGTCATAGTGAGATGAACCAGGTACCTCAGTTGGAAATGCAGAAATCACTGTCTTCTGCATCGATCATGCTGGGAGCTACAGACTGGAGCTGTTCCTATTTGGCCATATTGGAACGGGCCTCTCTAGCTATGGTTACTTTTTAACAGTTTTATGGGAAAAGCTTCTTGAAACTGATCTGAGCAATAGCTTTCTGAATATGACCCCAAAAGCACAGGACACAAAAGCAAAAATAGAAGAATGGAATTCCATCATACTAAAAAAGTTTTGCACAGCAAAACAGACAAATAGACACATGCACATGCACACACACACACACATCAAACAAGAGTGAAGCTACAATCTACAAAATGAAAGAAAATATTTAAAAACCATACATCTGAAAAAGGGTTAATATTCAAAATATGTAAGGATCTTAAAGAATGCAATAGCAAGAAAGCAAATAACCCAATTTAAAATGGGTGTAGAGCCTGAATAGACATTTCTCAGAAGAAGACATACGAATGGACAACAGATATTAAAAAAATGCTCATCAGCAGGGAAATGCAAATTGAAACCACAATGAGATATCACCTCAGACATCTTAGGATGGCTATTGTCAAAAAGGCTAGAGACAACAAGTGTTTGTGGTAATGTAGAGAAAAGGGAATCTGTGTGCACTGAGGGTAGGAATATAAATTATTGGAGCCACAATGGAAAACAGTATGGAGGTTCCTCAAAAAATTTAAAATAGGGCTATCGTAAAATCTAGCAATCTTACTTCTGGGTATGTATCCAAAGGAAATAAAATCAGTATGTTGAAGAGATAACCACAGTCTCATGTTCATTGCAGCATTATTCACAATAGCCATGATATAGAATCAACAGATTAATTGATAAAGAAAATGCAGTATATATACAAAATGAAATACTATTCAGTCTCAAAAAAGAAGGAAATTCTGTTATTTGCTGCAACACAAATGAACCTGAAGGACATTAGGTTAAGTGAAGTAAGCCAGGCATGAAGGTACAAATGATACATTATCTCATTTATAGGTGGAATCTAAAAAGGTCAAACTCATGGAAGCAGAGAGTAGAATGGTGGTTATTGGGCTGGGTGGGAGGGGGGATAGGGAGATATGGTTAAAGGTTAAAAGTTTTAGTTTTATAGAATAAACTCTGGAGATCTATTGTGTAGCATGATAAGTATAGTTAATAATAATGTATAATATACTTGAAAATTGCTAAGAGAGTAGATCTTAAATGTTCTTCACCCACACATGATAACTGTGAGTTGATGAATATATTAGCTTGATTGTGGTAATCATTTCTCAATGCATACATATATCAAAACATCAATTTATAATAGACACAATTTAAATTTGTCAGTTATATCGCAATAAATCTGGAAAAGTGATAGAATATATTCACAAATTGATAGTTATCTCTGAAGTGATATATAGATGCTAGTTACAATAACCTCTTCTGTGTTTTAGGTTTATTCATAAAAATAGTGCTCTCTTTTAAAATGCTCCTCCAAGAAACATGCATAAAACTCTCATATTTGCACATGACTTTGTGTACTTAAAATAGATTAAATGATCCGCTTTTGGGGCTATCAAGCTAAGAGTTTGTTATTGATGCTGCTGACACTGTCATTGATACTGTTGATACTGTCACTAATACTACTGACACTGATTATTATTAATATAATTGATATTACTGGTCCAGTAGACTCGATAACAAACTTTTAGCTTGATAACTGTATTATATGAATATATTCTACTTTTTAAAAATTAAGACATTACAGATAAAACTAAAGTTTTCTTTGATCAACACTCTCAAGTTCAGGTCCTTTTCCTTCTCCTAACTAATGATTATTACTGTATTTGGCATGAATATTTTCATATTTTGAAAAATATTTTTCATAGGTATATATGCCCTTGTGAAATTCACAATGTTATTTTTATGTTTGCCTTTGTTTTTATCATAAATGGTTTCATATATGTATCTTTGTATAACTTGCTAATTTTGCCTAACAATATTTTGAGATCCATCTATTTTAATACATGAAGTTCATACTTATTTAATTGGGTCTATAATATTTTATTTTATAAATATTTGATGTTTTGCCAGTCATGGTGGCTCACACCTATAAGCCCAACACTTTGGGAGGCTGAGATGGGACGATCACTCAGAGTTCAAGACCAGCCTGGGAAACATAGCAAGACCCTGTCTCTACAAAAACTAAAAAAAAAAATTAGCCAGGTATGGTGGTGTGCGCCTTTAGTCCCTGCTACTTGGGAGATTGATGCAAGAGGATTGCTTGAGCACAAGAGTTCAAGGTTGCAGTGAGCTACGATGATACTATGTACTCCAGCCTAGGTGACAGAGAGACCCTGTCTATAGAGAAAAAATAATGTTTTTTTATTGTATAATGTTATAATGTAGGGGCCAAATGTTCAGACCATCTAGGTTCAAATAGAAGCTCTATCACTTTGTGTGGCGTTGGGAAAGCTACTTAACCAAGGTGTGCTTCAGTTTCTCATCTATAAGATGGAGATAATAGTGTCGAGCTCATGTTATTATTTTGCTGTAAGAAGTCAATGGTTTATTTTATTTTTTTTTTGAAACGAAGTTTCACTCTTGTTGCCCAGGCTGGAGTGCAATGGTGTGATCTTAGTTCACTGCAACATCTGCCTCCTGGGTTCAAGTGATTCTCCTGCCTCAGCCTCCCAAGTAGCTAGGATTACAGGAATGCAGCACCACTCCTGGCAAATTTTGTATTTTTAGTGGAGATGGGGTTTTACCATATTGGTCAGGTTGGTCTTGAACTCCTGACCTCAAGCAATCCGCCCACCTCGGCTTTCCAAAGTGCAGGGATTACAGGCGTGAGCCACTGTGCCTGTCCGAAGTCAATGATCTTTTAATTAAAACTCAGTAAAATTTTCTTTCATATTTACCTGCATATTTACCATTTCTGATGCTGATTACTCCATTGGGTAGTTCCAAATTTTTATTAGGTACCACTTTCTTTCTGTTTGAAGAACGTCTTTTCTTCTAGTGCAGTTCTGCTGGTGATATATTTCCTAAGCCATTGCTTGCCTAAAAAGTTTTTATTTTGCCTTCATTTTGTAACATATTTTACTGGGTATAGAGTTTTAGATTGTTTTTTTTTTTCAGTTTTCTAGTTTGTATAGTTTCTGACAAAAAGTGCCTTATCAGAAATGATACAACCTCTATCATTGTACTTTTGTATGTAATATGTCTCTTTTTATGGCTTTAAGATTTTCTTTATCACTGTTTTTGAGCATTGTTATAATGTGCTTTGGTAGGAATAATCTTTGTGTTATTTTGCTTGAGGTTTGTTAAACTTCTTCGACTTTCGTGTTTATAATTTTGATCAAATTTGGAAAGTTTTCATTCAGTAGTTATTCAAATAGTTTTTCTGTATTTCCATGCCCTTACATTCCCTCCTACTGAGAGTATGATTATGTGTATGTTAGTGTGCTTGATAATGTCCCACAGGTCACTAGGGCCTTATTCATTGTTTTAAAAATTATCTCTTTTGTGTATTATTTTGGATAGTTTCTCTTGCTATAGCTTTGTGTTCACTAATCTTTTCTTCGTTAATCCTATCCTGTGTATTTTTTTTTCATATCTGAAAGTTCCACTTGTATTATTTTTATCTCTTATTCTCATTGTGTTGATATTTTTCTTTAAAATTTTCAGTATAATATTAATACACTTTGACAATTTCATCATCTGCATCATTTGTTTTTCTATCTATTGATTTTTCTTTTGCTTATATGTAACATTTTTCTGTTTGTTTTGTAGTCTGCTCAGGTTGCTATAACAAAATACCTCATAGACTGGGTGGCTTAAATAACAAACATTTATTTCTGTAAAGTTCAGGATTAAGGTGCATGGTGTCTTTTTGGTTTGCAGATGGCTACCTTCTTGCTGTATCTTCACATGGTGGAAAGAGTGAGTGAGCACTGGTCTGTTTCTCTTCTTACAAGGACACTAATCTCATCATGAAGACTCTACTCTCACGACATCTTCTAAACCTAATTACCTCCCAAAGGCCCCACCTCCTAATACCATCACATAAGTGGGTTTCAACATGTGAATTTGGGGGAGGCATAAACTTTCAGTTCATAACAGCTTCTTTGCATGCTTGCTCATTTTTAAATTAGATTCCACACAGTAAATTTTATATTGTTGAGTACCTGATTTCATTTGATTCCTTTAAAGAGTGTTGTAGTTTGTTTTGCGAAGCCCTTTTGGTTCTTTCAAATTTTGCTCAGGTGGATTTAGAGCAGTCTTTAGTCCTAGGTTAGCCCCACTACTGACATCTAACCTTTCCGAGGTCTCTTCCAAATGTTCTTCATATTATGAAGTTTCTGTACTCTGATTTGTGAACTATTCCTAGACTCATTCTGGGAATAGTTCAGCCTACTGATTTCCTGCTCTCAGTCTCAAGGAGTTTTATTTCATGGATGTGTAGGTTAGTATACTCTTCCAAACACTCCAGAAGATTCCTTTGCAGAATGTAGAGCTGTTGTTTTACAGTTTCACCATCTCTGGAATTCTGCTGCATAAATTCTAGTCATTTTGACCTCCCTGAATTCCAATCTCTTCTCACCTCAGGAGAAAATAAAGAGAACGTATAATCCCCTTCTTGAGCTGTGTAAAACTACCACCTGGCAGAAAGCCAGGAAAATTATAGGTTTCATCTTGTTTGCTTCCTGCTTCTCAAGTGTCACAAGACTATGTTGCCTATTGTTGAATATCTTAGAAGCGTTGTTTCATATTTTGTTCAGTTTTGTGGTTATTTACAGTGGGAGGGTAATTCTCATAACCTTTTTATGATATTTTTGTTTTCTATTACCATACTTTTTATTCATACATGTTTTATTCTTCCCTTCTTTTCCAGCAATAAAATTTTCTTTGTTCCATACTTTTATTATATTTGTTTGAAATATATCCTATTCTTCTAGTGATTGCCCTTGAATTTAATTCTTTCAAGAAGGATCTATGGATTAGGTTTACTGCACACACTACACAGGCTGTGCACTGCACCACTCCAGGGAAAATCAGGTACATGTACTTGAAGTTGTGCAACATTAGAGCTGGTATACATTAGGATTTTTATATATCTGATTATATTTTTATATTTTTCTTACTGTTGAATGATAGCTTGTCTGGATAGACAACTTTGTGTTTCAAGTTATTTCCATTTAAATCTTTAAAGATATCACTCCATTCATTGTATAGTTACCAATATTACTTTTGGGATATGTAACATAAATTTGATTCTCCTTCCATTCCAGGTCATCTGTCTTTCTGGTAGCTTTTAAGATTTACTATTTATTTTTGATGTTTTAAAATTTTGGTGCCAGGACTCAAAGTATAGCTTTTAAAAGCATTTTTTCCTGTTTAGCAATATGATGGCTTTTTCTATTTGAAGACTCATGCTAACCTTAAGTTCTGGGAATTTTCTTTTTTTTGCTGTTGTTACTTAAGTTCTTGCTTCTCATACAGTTTCTATAGACTTTTGAATGTACTACTAATATTAATACTTCTGCATCTATTCTCCATGTCATTCAAATTCTGTATTAAAAAAATATGTATTTTTCCATTTGCTAGAATTCCTCAGTTATATTTTCTAATTTGATTGTTCTTTAACTTTGTCCTATTGGGAGTTATCCCTTCTATAGATTTTTTAGAAAATATATTTTATTTTGAAATAATTAAAGGTGTATAGTGTTTTGAAAATGGTTCCCACTCACTTTCACCAACTTTTCTTAATGTTAACATCTTACATAATATAATACAATTATAAACTAAGAAATCAGCACTGGTACAAAATATAATACAATTATAAACTAATAAATTAGTGCTGGCACAACTCTATTAAACTAAAATACAGATTTTATTTGGTCCAAGATCTCACATTCCAGTTAGTTGTCATGTCTCCTTATTGTCCTCCAAACTATGACCATTCTTCAATCTTTCCTTGTCTCTTATGGCCTTGATATTTTAAAAATAGCATTGCTGGAGTATAATTAACATACAATAATTTAGTGTTGTACATATTTAAAATGGATAATTTGATACATTTTGGCAAATGTATATGCATCTGTGAAACTATCAACACAGTCAAGATAATGAGCATATCTATTAAGAGAAATCTTGTGCCTTTTGGAATTTCTTCCTATTGTTCTCTCCACCTCATATCCCCTGGCAACCACTGATCTGCTTTTTGTCCATTTAAAAATGATTATGATTTTATTTTTTATTTGTTTTAGAGCTGAAGTCTCACTTTGTTGCTCAGGCTTGTCTTGACATCCTGGCCTCAAGTGATCCTTCTGCCTCAGCCCCCTGAGTAGCTGGGGGCTACTACGTAAGCCACCGTGCTGGTTGTCATTTTATATTTGCTTTACTTTTCTAGAAATTTATGTAAGTGGAATTATACAGCAAGTGCTTCTTTTTGTCTAGTTTCTTTCTCTCAGCATAATTATTTTGAGGTTGATTCATGTTGTAGTTTGTATCAACAGTTCATTCCTTTTTATTGCTGATTATTTTTTGTTGTACAGATACATCATAGTTTGTGTTTATATTCACCTGTTGATGGACATTGGGGTTGGTCCTAGTTTTTGGTCATTAAAAATAAAGTTGAGGCTGAGCCTCAACTCAGCTCACACCTGTAGTCCCAGCACTTTGGGAGGTGGAGGCAGGCAGATTGCTTGAGCCCAAGAGTTTGAGACCAGCCTGGGCATTATGGCAAAACCCCGGCTCTACAAAAAATACAAAAATTAGTCAGGCATGGTGGCTTTCACCTGTAGTCCCAGCTACTTGGGAGGCTGAAGCAAGGTGATCACCTGAGCCCAGGTGGCAGAGATTCCAGTGAGCCAAGATCACCATTGCACTCCAACCTGGGCAACAGAGCGAGACTCTGTCTCAATAAATAAATAAATAAATAAATAAATAAATAAATAAATAAATAAGTTGCCATGGACATTCCTGCACAAGTCTTTCTATGGACATATACTTTCCTTTCTCTTAAATAAATACATAGAAGTGGAATGTCTAGATCATTTGACAGATGTGTATTTAACTGTTTAAGAGAACTGCTAAACTGTTTTGCAAAGTGGTTGTACTATTTTACATTTTCTCCAGTAGTTTATGAGATTTCCCGTTTCTCCACATCCTTGCCAACACTTGGTGAGGTCAATCTTTTAAATTTTAACCCTTTAAATAAGTGTATAGGGGGATGCTATTGTAGTTTAAATTTACATTTCCCTGATGACTAGAGATACTGAGCATTTAAAAATGTACTTATTTGCCACCTGTATTTCTTGGGTTGTTTGTTCAAATATTTTACCCCTTTTTTATTGTTGTGTCATTTGTTTTCCTATAATTGAGTTTTGGGAGTTCTTTATATATTCTGGATTCAAGTACCTTCTTAGTCATATGTTTTGTAAATATTTTCTTCTAGCCTCTGGCTTGTTTTTTTCATACTCTTCACAGTGTTGTTCAGAGGGTAGAAATTTAAAATTGTGATGAAACCCAATTTATCAATTTATTTATTTATGAATTGTGCTTGGACTGTCATATATACAAAATATTTACCTGATCCAAAGTCATGTAGACTGTCTTTCTTTTTAGGTTTTACCTTTAGGTCTGTGATCCATCATGACTGACTTAATTTTTGCATATGGTGAAAGGTATAGATCAAAAATTCATTTTTTGTAAATATGAATGTTGACTTGGCCCACCATCATTTGTCAGAAGTCCTGTCTTTTGTCCACTCAATCACTTTATACCTTTGTTGAAAACCAGTTGTCTATGTGTGGGCATATATAGAGTTTTTTTAAAAAGTCAATAATTATATATCTAATTTCCAAGATCTCTAATTTTTAAATATCTGACTCTTTTTAATTTAATTTTATTTTTTTTTGAGATGGAATTTTGCTCTGTTGCCCAGCCTGGAGTGCAATGGCGCGATCTCAGCTCGCTACAACTTCTGCCTCCCGGTTTCAAGCAATTCTCCTGCCTCAGCCTCCTGAGTAGCTGGGATTACAGGCACTTGCCATCATGCCTGACTAATTTTTGTATTTTTGTAGAGACGGGGTTTGACCATGTTGGCCAGGCTGGTCTTGAACTCCTGACCTCAGGTGATTTGCCTGCCTCGGCCTCCCAAAGTGCTGGGAATACAGGCATGAGCCACTGCACCTGGCCAATATCTGCCTCTTATAGTCTTCATCTGAACATTAGTTTTTCAAACTTTTCTACTTTTTAAAAACCATGTATATCAAAATTATACATTTATGTAGTATAAAGAATCAAATGATTCTCCACAGCTTGTTATAGGAAAATAATAGCTGGATCCTGCCTCTAGTCTCACATTCCTACTATTCACAAAAAACTAATTTTTTTTAGCTATTTCTTTCATTCAATTTTTATATATCTGAATAGCATGCTGTATTGCTACTTCGCGATTCTCAGTTTAGGCATTATCTATTCAACTTCCTTCATGGAGGATGAGGGTTTGATTATCTTTTTTCTCCCTATGCCAAATACATATGCACACACTTTCTATCCTCAATATAATTTCTCAGTAGAGTTTTATAGTTATTTATTGCTTTTGTTATTATAATTTTTAAAAATGCTATGAAGCAACCTATGACAAATATTCATGTTCCCTGAAGTCAATATCTCTCTTTTGGGCGGGGAAGGGGCAGAGGATGTCATTTACTTGACTTTCTAGGAATAACATGACCGGCTTCAAAACTGCTAAGTGAACATCTTCAGATGTTGAGACATATTAGGTACTCTATCAACTTCATCCTTTTGAAGAAATTTCTCTAAGCCTTTTACAGTTTCTAATGTGGGCAGGTTACTCCATATTACTATTAAGAGAGATCATTCTAGGATCACTGCTACCATCGGTTTAGGATTCCCTTTGACTCTGGATTTCCTGTTGCCAGAATCCTCCATCTGAGTTTACTCTTTCAGTTTGGTAGAATATAATCTCTAATAACTTCCAGAGAAAGGATTTGTGAGAGAAAAATTTACGAGTTCTTGCATGTCTAAAATATTCTTTAGTCTATCTTCACACTTGATTGATAACTTCTTTGGATAAATATGTCTAGGTTGTAAATCTTCTTAATAATTTTGAGAAAATATTTTTCTATTGTCTTCCAGATTCCAGTGTTGCTTATGAAAACTCAGAGGGCGTTCTAATTCCTGAATTTTAATATTTGACTTGTTTTTTTTCGCATCTGGAAGCTATCAACCAACCTTCCTTGTTTTAGCACCATTCCTCTGCTTTTGTTTTTAATGATAATTTCTGCATTGATTTCTGAATTTCTTGGAGAATCTGTGGTGTAAACTATGTTGGTATTGGCCTTCTCCACTGGTAGCTTAGCATTTAGTTTTCTCAGACTAGTAATTTTCTCTTGTCCAGTGTTTTTCTAGCTTCAAATATTTTGTAGTCTCCTCTCCTATTTGCCCCATTCTGATGGGTCTTTGCCTTAAAAAAGTTCTGTTCCTTTAATCAGATTTCAAAATGAACCAAAAAAATGTGTGTTTAATTAGCTACATTTACTCAACATTATCCTACTTGAAAATTTAAAAATTCATATATTACATATATACAGTAAAGCATATAAAGCACACTACTTTTATGTTTACAGCTTGATGAATTTTTTTATTTTTTTATCTTATTTTTTACTTTTTCTTTATTTTATTATATTTTATTATTATTATACTTTAAGTTTTAGGGTACATGTGCACAACGTGCAGGTTTGTTACAAATGTGTACGTGTGCCATGTTGGTGTGCTGCACCCATTAACTCGTCATTTAGCATGATGAATTTTTATGTAAATCTATCGAGATATGAGATATATATTGTGTGTAATCACTGAGTAAAGTTAGATATAAAATATTTCCAGTATCCTAGGAAGGTTTTTTGTCCTGCTTTCCTATCAAGACCAATTCTCCATAGTAACCTCTTTTCTGACTTCTTTCATCATCAAATATTTTTTCTTATTCTAATTAATATAAAAGCAATATTTGGACACTCTTTACTTTCTGACTTATTTTGCTCAGCATAGGGTGTGAGAGATTCCTCAATATTGTTGCATGTATTAGTAATGCAGCAGTGTGCTGAAGCTGGCTCACACAGCTTGCAGTTGTGCACATTTTTTTGCAATGCTGCATTCTGTGACTTCATGTGGGTAACTTGAAAATGGCCATGGTGGGAGTATTTATGCCACAAAAATCAGGAAATGCTACCAATCAGGACTTTTTCCCTCGCTGGAGAGGCAGTCGTTAAATGTTTACCACTGCAGTAGTTTATTCTTTTTTATTGCTGTGTGAGTATTCCCCATACAGCAATACACTATAAAGTTTTACACTGTTATTTATTCATGATCTTTTTGATGTACAGTTATTTCTAGTCTTTTGTTATCATGAATAAAATGGGTGTGATCATTCTTGTTCATGTTCTTATGTCTTTTTAAAGTAAATATGTATTTATTTCTCTTAAATATGTACTTAGAAGTGTAATTGCTGGGCAATGAAGTGGGTAGACATTTAGCTTTATGAGGTACTGCCAAATAGTTTTCCAAACAGGTTGTACCAATTTACACTTTCACCAGCAATCCCGTTGCTTCACATTCTTGTTAACACTTGATATTGCCAACCATTTCAATTTTAGCCATTCTGCTGGGTGTGTGATGGTATCTGTGGTTTAAATTTGCTATCCCTGAGGAGTAATGATTTTGCATTCCTTCTCATATATTATTGGCCATTTGTATATCTTCTTTTATAACAATTCTGGGCATGTCTTCTATCCAACTTAAAATTGTTTTTTAAAAATATATTATGTACATATTCCTTTGCTGAATATAGTGTTGTCAGTATCTTCTCTCACTCTGTGGCTTGTTTTTTGACTCTCTTAATATATCTTATGGTGATGAAGAGAAATTCTTAAGATTAATTAATCTAATTTAACATTTTTAAATTTACATTTAGTACTTTTTGCATTAGCAATGAAGATATTCTCCTGTACTTTTTCAAAAGATTTTTTATGGTTTTACCATTTATATTTATGTGTATGATAAATTCAAATTAAATTTTTATGTATGGGATGATGTAGGCATCAAGATTCATTTTTTTCCATATAGAAATCCAATTGTTATGGCATCATTTACTAAAATTATCACCTTTCTCCCCACAGAATTTTAGTAGCAACTTTTCTTTCAATCATTCGACAGTATAAAATGCATCTAAATGTGATACTCATCTGACAAAGGTTTAATATCCAGAATCTATAAAGAACTTTTATAAAGAACAAATTAGCCTACAGAAAACAAACAACCCCATTAAAAAGTGGACAAAGGACATAAACAAACACTTTTCAAAAGAAGACATACATGCAGCCAACAAGCATATGAAGAAATGTTCAACATCACTAATCATTAGAGAAATAAAAATCAAAACCACAATGAGATACCATCTCACACCAATCAGAATGATTATCATTAAAAAGTCAAAAACTCTGTTTTGGTACCAGCACCATGCTGTTTTGGTTACTGTAGCCTTGTAGTATAGTTTGAAGTCAGGTAGCGTGATGCCTCCAGCTTTGTTCTTTTGGCTTAGGATTGACTTGGCAATGCGGGCTCTTTTTTGGTTCCATATGAACTTTAAAGTAGTTTTTTCCAATTCTGTGAAGAAAGTCATTGGTAGCTTGATGGGGATGGCATTGAATCTATAAATTACCTTGGGCAGTATGGCCATTTACACGATATTGATTCTTGGTACCAAAACAGAGATATAGATCAATGGAACAGAACAGAGCCCTCAGAAATAATGCCACGTATCTACAACTATCTGATCTTTGACAAACCTGAGAAAAACAAGCAATGGGGAAAGGATTCCCTATTTAATAAATGGTGCTGGGAAAACTGGCCAGCCGTATGTAGAAAGCTGAAACTGGCTCCCTTCCTTACACCTTATACAAAAATTAATTCAAGATGGATTAAAGACTTAAATGTTAGACCTAAAACCATAAACACCCTAGAAGAAAACCTAGGCATTACCATTCAGGACATAGGCATGGGCAAGGACTTCATGTCTGAAACACCAAAAGCAATGGCAACAAAAGCCAAAATTGACAAATGGGATCTAATTAAACTAAAGAGCTTCTGCACAGCAAAAGAAACTACCATCAGAGTGAACAGGAAACCTACAAAATGGGAGAAAATTTTCGCAACCTACTCATCTGGCAAAGGGCTAATATCCAGAATCTACAATGAACTCAAACAAATTTACAAGAAAAAAGCAAACAACCCCATCAAAAAGTGGGCAAAGGATATGAACAAAAGAAGACATTCAAAAGAAGACATTTATGCAGCCAAAAGACACATGAAGAAATGCTCATCATCGCTGGCCATCAGAGAAATGCAAATCAAAACCACAATGAGATACCATCTCACACCAGTTAGAATGGCAATCATTAAAAAGTCAGGAAACAACAGGTGCTGGAGAGGATGTGGAAAAATAGGAACACTTTTACAATGTTGGTGGGACTGTAAACTAGTCCAACCATTGTGGAAGTCAGTGTGGCGATTCCTCAGGGATCTAGAACTAGAAATACCATTTGACCCAGCCATCCCATTACTGGGTATATACCCAAAGGACTATAAATCATGCTGCTATAAAGACACATGCACACGTATGTTTATTGTGGCACTATTCACAATAGCAAAGACTTGGAACCAACCCAAATGTCCAACAATGATAGACTGGATTAAGAAAATGTGGCACATATACACCATGGAATACTATGCAGCCATAAAAAATGATGAGTTCATGTCGTTTGTAGGGACATGGATGAAACTGGAAATCATCATTCTCAGTAAACTATCTCAAGGACAAAAAACCAAACACCGCATGTTCTCACTCATAGATGGGAATTGAACAATGAGAACACATGGACACAGGAAGGGGAACATCACACTCTGGGGACTGTTGTGGGGTGGGGGGAGGGGGAGGGATAGCATTAGGAGATATACCTAATGCTAAATGACGAGTTAATGGGTGCAGCACACCAGCATGGCACATGTATACATATGTAACTAACCTGCACATTGTCCACATGTACCCTAAAACTTAAAGTATAAAAAAAAAAAGTCAAAAACTCACAAATAGTGGTGAGACTGTGGGAAAAAGGGAATGCTTGCACACTGCTGGTGGGGATGTAAATTAGTTCAGCCACTGTGGAAAGCAGTCTGGTGATTTCTCAAAGAACTTAAAAAAGAACTATTCAATTCAGCAATTTCATTATTGGATATATACTAAAAGGAATATAAATTGTTCTGCCACAAAGACACATATATGTGTACGTTCATTGTAGCACTATTCACAATAGCAAAGACATGAAATCAACCTAAACGCCCATCAATGGTAGACTGGATAAAGAAAATGTGGTACATATACACCATGGAATACTATGCAGCCATAAAAAGAATGAGATTATGTCTTTTGCAGCAGCATGGATGGAGCTGGGAGCCATTATTCTAAGCAAACTAACACAGGAACAGAAAACCAAATACCACATATTCTTACTTATAAGTAGGAGCTAAACATTGAGTACACATGGACACAGAGAAGGAAACAATAGGCATCAGAGCCTACTTGAGGGTGGAGAGCGAGAGGAGGGTGAGGATCTCACAACTACCTGTCAGGTACCATGCTTATCACCTGGGTGATGAAATCATCTGTACACCAAACCCCTGTGACAGGCAATTTACCCATATAACAAACCTGCACATATACTGCTGAATCTAAAAGTTCAAAAAAATAAATATAATACTTTTTTTCTATTCTATTGGTCCAATATGACACTGTCTTAATTACTGTAGCTTTATAATAGGTCTTGCAACCCCACAGTATTATTCCTACAAATTTATTGTACTTCAAGATTTTTTTTTCTTTTTTTTTTTTTGAGATGGAGTCTTACTCCGTCACCCAGGTTGGAGTGCAGTGGCACAATCTTGGCTCACTGCAACCTCCACCTCCTGGGTTTAGGTGATTCTTCTGTCTCAGCCTCCCAAGTAGCTGGAATTACAGACATGCACCACCATGCCCAGCTAATTTTTGCATTTTTAGTAGAGATGTGTTTCACCATGTTGGTCAGGCTGGTCTCAAACTCCTGACCTCAGGTGATCTGCCCGCCTCGGCTTCCCAAAGTGCTGGGATTATAGGCGTGAGCCACCATGCTTGGCCAAGATTGTCTTTCTAAGTCCTTTTAATTTTCATATACATTTAGATTTATGTTTCAATTAAAAAAATCTTTGCTGGGATTTGGTTTTGGATTTCATTGAATCTGCAGATAAATTTTGAGATAATTGAAAAAAATTTTTTTTCTTTCTGCCTCAGCCTCCCAACTAGCTAGGACTACAGACAGGCACTACCACACTCAGTAGAGATGGTGTCTCACTATGTTACCCAGGCTGGTCTCAAACTTCTGGCCTCAAGTAATTCTTCCACTTTGGCCTCCCAAAGTGCTGAGATTATAGGTGTGAACCACCATTGCTGGCAAGAAACCTTAGTAATCTTGAGTACATGTTGTGTCTCTTGATTTATTTAGGTAATTTCTCTTTAATATTTTGTAGTTTTTGCTCATATGCATCTTTCATTAAATTCATTTCTAATTATTTGATTTTCTTAATGAGACTGTATGTAGTATTTTTTAAATTTTATTTTCCAATATTTTTAAAGTCATAGAAACTTATAAAAAATTTATCATTTTTTTAAAGACATAGGGTCTCACTCTGTTGCCCAGGCTGGAGTGCAGTGGTGCGATCTTGGCTCACTGCAACCTCTGCCTCCCAGTTTCAATCAATCCTGCTACCTCAGCCTCCCTAGTAGCTGGGACTACAGGTGTGCACCACCATGCCTGGCTAATTTTTTGTATTTTTAGTAGTGATGGGGTTTCACCCTGTTGGGCAGGCTGGTCTTCAACTCCTGACCTCAGGTGATCTCCCTGCCTCATCCTCCCAAACAGAATTTGTTTTTCTGTGTCAATTTTGTTACTAATTACCCTCTAAATTCACTTTTATTAATTACAACAGTTTGCAGATTATTTTGAATTTTCCATGTATATAGTCATGTTATTTGCAAATAAGGATAATGTGTTTTTTCCTATTTTTCAATCATTATACTTTTCCTTTTCCTTTTTCTTTCTTATTGCACTGACTAGGGCCTAGAGTACAATGTTGAGAACATGTGATGGTATACCTTCTCACCCTTAAAATGTTATTGGTTGTCACCACTGAAGGGATGGTGCTACTGGCACCTAGTAGGTAGAGACCAGGGATGCTGCTAAACATCCTACATTGTACAGGCCATACTCCCACAACAAAGGATTATCTGACCCAAGATATCAATAATGCCAAGGTTGGGAAACCTGGATGTGAGGAAAAGCAGACAAATATAGATCTTATGGCATGGCTGCTTGTATTCTTAACATTGGTTCTGAATCATTAAGAAAACATTAGCTTATGATCAGCACACTCTAAAGTGTAATGCATACTAGAAAGATTTATGTAAAAATGGTTGCAGATTTTCAATTGTTAAAGATGTTTCAGCTGTCTTAAAGATGTTTCAATTGTCTTAAAAATCAATCCTTTGTGGAAGAGCTCATTTCCAAATACTGCCAAAAGCTGAAGTACTAGAGAAAGGCAAGACCTCTTTGCAATTTTTATATTGTACAATAACAATTTAAACAACATTTCTGGCTTACTGGTTTGACATTTGCACAAAGACATTAAAAAAATGATTCTAAAACAAACTGCGGTTTGTACTTCAGGGCCCCAGTGAATGTTTTTTTTTCCCTACAGAGACTTTACACAATAGGCAGCCCAGACCTCAACAGCATCTGGCCATCAGCTGGGAGTTCATTCTGAAAAGGCTCTTCCTGAAGTCCAATCATCTCTTTTGTCTTCAGAGTCAAGACACAGTCAGCTGGGGCATGAAAGAGCCAATTAAATTTGGTGTAATTGCAGCAGAGTTTAGGAATTTGCCTCGTTGGGGTGGGTATGGGAAGGAAGGGTGGCATGGAAGAAGATTATGTGGGAGTTCAGGAAAGGATAAAATGTGCTGAAAATAAAATGAATAAGCAACAACATCTGGAAATTGATTGGAAAAAGACCACAGCTGAAAGTGCATGTGGGGAATAGGAAACAGGCCCCAGATTGCCATGGGTCTGAAAGATCAGGAGCCTAGAGAAAGTTGTATTTAAAAAATTTCTTTAAAAGACCCGATGGCCTGGTGACATGCATCAAGAAGCAAATGAACTTGGCTTGGTTTCCTGAACCAAGAAATCTCTATCTGTATTTTAGCATGCTCTCTGAGTCATGAAATATGTGTAGGAAGGAAGCCCAAAAGAGCCAAAAATTCCAGTGGTAAGGAAAGATGGAACTTTGTGTCAAAATACAAAAAGGTGCAGAGTTGAGTGGAGTTGGTTTCTGTAGCTGACAAGTCATTTGTTAGGCAGAAATAAGCAATTTTCATTGCCTCTTTAATCACTGCATTCATGTCTTCACATTCCACCCATCTCCTCAATGAAATACTTTCTTGATTCTTGGGTCATGACATCACCAAGCTGTTCAGATGATACTGGCTTGTGATGTGGCATAAGAGAACATCTTTCTCAGTTTATTCATAACACTAAATAATAGCCACATTGGGACTGCTGGTCGTAAATCATACTATCATCACACTCTCTAATCATTTGGAGCCAATCATCATTTTCCCTATCCATCTGCAGAATTAAGAGAGCCTAGCATTGTTCACTGGCCCCCCAGTGTCCTTATTTAAGTCATGGAGAAATGAATGCATAATGCAATCTTGACATACAAAGTGAGTCTGCCATATCAAATCTACAGTGGTGATGAGGTGAATTCTACCAGAGCTGAAGGCTGGTGTTTCTTGTGGAGACTCAAAATCAGATCAGAATGCCTTTCCTTGTTCGTGCTGTGGGAGGACTATTTGTCAAGAACCTGGTTATGTTACTCAGGAGGCTCACAGATTTCTTTCTGTTATAGTTCTTCCTTGTTTTCAAAATTTCTTCCCTTTATTTATTTTGGGAGAGGCGTCTCGGCCCACTCAGCAATGCTGAACCTTGAGTTTAAAAAAAGCACACTATTCTGTAATCCATATTGTTCTAATCTGTGGAGAGGAGGATGGCAAATAAATCATCTATTCACAAAGCATTTTGCCTCTAAAGACAAAAATGACACAAAACACAGACATCCACTGTTATGGGTTGAATCGTATCTCACCCAAATTTATATGTTGAAATCTTAACCCTCAGTCCCTCAGAATGTGACTGTATTTGGTTTCAGGGCCTTCAAAGAAGTAATGAAGTCAAAATGAGGTCATTAGAATGGCCTGTAATACAACCAGACTAGCATCCATATAAGAAGAGATTATTACACAGATACAGAGGGAACCATGTGAAGACACAGGAAGAAGACGGCCATCTACATGTCAAGGAGAAAGGTCTCAGAAGAAATCAATGCTGCTTACACCTTGAACTCTGATTTCCAGCCTCCACCATGAGATAACAAATTTCTGTTGTTTCAGTCGCCCAGTCTGTGGTACTTTGTTATGGCAGCCCTAGCATACTAATATATCTACATATGCCTTGCTATATTTTTCTGGATAAATAAATATTTTCTCTGGATTGAAATGAACTAACAGAATACTTTTTTAGTACCCAGTAAGTGTCCAGACAAATATACTGAGTCTTATGAAGAAAACAGAGAGACAATGCCCAAAGCATTTCCTACAAATTTTCTTCACATGAAATGAACAGAAAACAGTATGGATTCACCAACCATGATGTTCATGTTATTTTGAGTTTCCACACAATCAGACCCTCAGACATATATTGCAATGTCCGTACGTTATTTCGGAGGTGATTCCAGGTAACTGAGGTAGCACGGCGGGGGAGTGAAGCAGAAAACTTGAGCTAAAAAGCAGGTTACCATTGTGGAGACCTGGGGCTCAATTGCACTGGTCCCCTCACTGGGATTACCTTCACTGGGAGAGGGTCTATCTAGAACATGCTTCAGAGTTGTTGCTCTTGAGGAGTTGAAGCAGTTGTTGTATTCAACAACTTCATGTCACCGGTTGAAAACTGTACCTGTGGACTCCACCTCCCTGGTAGGCCTGTCTGTCTTGCTCCACAGCCAGAGAGAGTTCTCAAGTAGAAAATATCAACTATTTGCATTAAATACTCATGCTTGCATCAAACAAGGAGGGTTGAGGGAATGTACGCAGGGCAATGAAGTACATTGTACATATTCCACTGTATGCTAGTATCTCTCAGGAGGAAGTTTTCCCTTGTTCTTAGTCCATGCGATTCAGGTGGTACAGATTCACCCTGTGGCTCTAGCAGTAGGTCTGTGACTCAGCTCACTAGTTGACCTGAGCTGGTCAATCAGGTTATTTCATTCCTGCAGCCTGAGTATTTGGTTCACAAATCCCAAGCTTGACCAATAGAGCACACCCTGCAGGACTTTTTGTGGGCCCTGTCTTTATGCTGGGATTTCTACCTGCAAAGCTAATGAAGGTGGAAGCTGGCCGTAGCTTCTCTTAGCCCCAGGTAAAGAGAGCTGACCTGAGTGTGAAGTACCATACAGGAAAGCTGAGCAAGAGATGGCACACTGGACAAGGATAATGCTCTAAAATTTTTTTTTGATAAATAATATTTGTATGCATTTATGGGGTACATGTAATATTTTCACATGCACAGAATGAATGTGTAATGATCAAGTCAGCACATTTAGGGTATCCATCACCTTGAGAATTTATTATTTCTGTGTTGGGAAAATTTCAAGTCCTCTCTTCTAGATCTTTTGTTGTTAGCTATAGTCACCCTACTCTGCCTTCAAACATTAGAACTTATTCCTTCTATCTAACTGTATGTTTGTATCCATTAACTAACCTTTCTTTACTCCCCTGCCCCAACCTTTCCAGCCTCTGGTATCTATCTTTGTACTGCCTACCTCCATAAGATCAACATTTTTAGCTTCCATATATGAGTGAGGATACCCAATATTTATATTTCTGTGCGTAGCTTATTTCACTTAACATAGTGACCTCCAGTTCCATCCATGTTGCCGCAAATGACAGGATCTTATTCCTTTTTATGACCACATGGTATACCATTGTGTATATATACCACATTTCCTTTATCTGTTTATTCATTGTTGGACACCTGGGTTGATTCCATATCTTTGCGATTGTGAATAGTACTGCAATAAACAAAGGAGTGCAGGTATCCCTTTGATATACTGATTTCCATTCCTTGGATAAATATGCAGTAATGGGATTGCTGAATCATATGGTAGTTCTATTTTTAGTTTTTTGAGAAATTTCTATGCTCTCTTCCATAATAGCTATACAAATTTACATTCCCTCCAACAGTGCATAAGAATTCCCTTTACTCAGCATCCTTGCCAGCATTTGTCATTTTTTATCTTTTTGATAATAGCCATTCCAGCTGGGATGAGATATCTCATTGTGGTTTTTTTTTAAATTCCTATAGCTTTAGGGGTATGAGTGGTTTTTGGTTACATGGATGACTTTTATAGTGGTGAAGTCTGAAATTTTAGTGTACCTGTCACTGGAGTGATGCACATTGTACTTAATATGTAGTTTTTGTCCCTCACTCACTGTGGTTTTAACTTGAATTTCTGTGATGATTAGTGATGTTGAGAATTTTTTCATATACCTTTTG
This sequence comes from Homo sapiens, assembly GCF_000001405.40. Lineage (NCBI taxonomy): Eukaryota > Metazoa > Chordata > Mammalia > Primates > Hominidae > Homo > Homo sapiens. The sequence continues at coordinate 144,817,040 of NC_000004.12, read as the reverse complement.
GCCATTTGTATGTCTCCTTTTGGGAAATGTCTATTCCTGTCCTTTGCCCACTTTTTAATAGCATTTTATTTCTTTTAAGTTGTTTGAGTTCTTTGTATATTCTGGATATTTGTCCCTTGTCAGATGGATAGTTTGCAAATATTTTCTCCCATTCAACAGGTTGTGTCTTCCATCTGTTGAGTGTTTCCAATGCTGTGAAGAAGCTTTTGAGTTTATTATAGTCTTGTTTGTCTATTTTTGTTGTAATTGCCTGTGCTTTTATGGTCTTATTAATGATGTTGTTACCTACACTGCTGTCTTGAAGTGTTTTGCCTATTTTTTTTTAAGTAGTTTTATAATTTTGGGTCTAATGTTTGTCTTTAACCCATCTTGAATTGATTTTTGTATATGGGGAAGTTTAGGGGTCCAGTTTAATTCTTCTGCATATGGATAGCCAGGTTTACCAGCACTATTTACTGAAGAAGGTGTCCTTTCCCCAATATATGTTCTTGGTACCATTGTCAAAAATTAGTTGGCTGTGAATATCTGGATTTATTTCTGATTTCTGTATTTTGTTCCATTGGTCTTTGTATCCATTTTTATGCCACTACTATGCTGCTTTGGTTACTATAGCCTTGTAATATATTTTGAAATCAGGTAGTGTGATCCTCCTAGATTTGCTCTTTCAGGATTGCTTGGGCTATTTGGGCTCTCTTTTGGTTTCACACAAATTTTAGATTTTTTTTTCTATTTTTGTGAAAAACATCACTAGTATTTTGATAGCGATTGCATTGAATCTGTAGAGTCCTTTGTGTATCATGGTCAATTTAACAATATTAATTCTTCTGATTCATGAACATAGGGTGTCTTTCCATTTGTGTTCTCTTCAATTTCTTTCATCTGTGTTTTGTAGTTTTCCTTGTGGTGGTCTTCTTTCACCTCCTTGGTTATATTTACTTCTAGATATTTTAATTTTTTGTTAGTTATTGTAAATGAGATTGCCTTTTTTATTTCTTTTTCAGCTAGTTCATTATTAGTGCAAAGAAATACTGAATTTTTATATGTTGATTTTGTATTCTTTGAAGTTACTGAATTTATTTATCAGTTCTAAGCATTTTCTGGTGGAGTTTTTCAATGTTTCTAAATGTGAAATATGTCATCTGCAAAAAGGGACAACTTGATTTTTCTTTTCCAATTTAGATGTCTTTTGTTTCTTTCTCTTACCTGATTGCTCTGATTAAGACTTCTAGTACTATTTTCAATAGGAATAGTGAAAGTGGGCATCCTTGTTTTGTTCTAGTTCTTAGAGGAAAGGTTTTCAGCTTTTCTCCATTCAGTATGGCATTAGCTGTGGGTTTGCCATAAATGGCTTTTATTGTATTAGGGTATGTTCTTTTCATGCCTAGTTTCTTGAGATTTTTATCATGAAGAAATGTTAAATTTTTATCAAATGCCTTTTCTGCATCTATTGAGATGATTATATAAATTTTGTCCTTTATTCTGTTGATGTGATGTATCTCATTTACTGATTTACATATGTTAAGCCATCCTTGCATCCCTAGGATAAATCTTACTTGATCGTGGTGTATTATCTTTGATATGCTATTAGATTCAGTTTGCTAGTATTTTGATGAGGATTTTTGTGTCTATGTTCATCAAGAAGTTTTGTGTGTGTGCATGTTTTCTCTGGTTTTGTTATCAGAGTAATGCTGGCCTTGTAGAATGCAGTAGGAAGAATTCTCTGCAATTTTTTGGAATAGTTTGAGGAGAATTGGTATTAGTTCTTCTTTAAAAGTTTGGTAGAATTCAGCAATAAAGCCATTCAGTCCTGGGCTTTTCTTTGTCGGGAGACTTTTTATTATTGATTCAAACTCATTACTCCTTAATTGTGTGTTCAGGATTTTATTTTATTTTTCCTGTTTTAATCTTGGTAGATTGTATGTGTCCACAAATACATCGATTTCTTCTAGGTTTCCAGTTTGTTAGTGTGTAGGAGTTCATAATAATCTGTATTGCTATGGTATCAGTTGTATGTCTCCTTTTTTATTTCTGATTTTGTTCATTTGGGTCTTTTCTCTCTTGGCTAGTTTAGCTAGTAGTTTATCAATTTTGCTTATCTTTTCAAAAAACAAACAATTTCATTGATTCTTTGTATTGAGTTTTTAGTTTCTATTTTGCTTAGTTTTTCTCTGACCTTTATTATTTCTTTCCCTTTATTAATTTTGGGTTTTGTTTGTGCTTGCTTTTCTAATTCTTTGAGGTGATTCATTAGATTGTTTATTTGAAAACTTTTTACTTTTTTGATGTAGGCATGTATTGCTATACACCTTTTTTTTTTTTTTAATATAGATTCTCCCTCTGTCACCAGGCTGGAGTGCAGTGGTGCGATCTCAGCTCACTGCAACCTCCACCTCCCAGGTTCAAGCGATTCTCCTGCCTCAGCCTTCTGAGTAGCTGAGACTACTGGTGTGCACCACCATGCCCAGCTAATTTTTGTATTTTTAGTAGAGATGAGGTTTCACCATATTGGCCAGGATGGTCTCAATCTCTTGACATCGTGATCCACCTGCCTCGGCCTCCCAAACTGCTGGGATTACAGGCGTGAGCCACCGCACCCAGCCACATTTCTCTCTTAGCACTGCTTTTGCAATTGCTCACAGATTTTCGTATGTTGTGTTTTTATTTTCAGTTGTTTCAAGACATTTTTTACTTCTTTTCTAATTTCTTCATTGCCCAATGGTTGTTCAAGAGCATGTTGTTTAATTTCTATGTATTTGTATAGTTTCCAAAGTTCCTCTTGTTATTGACTCTTAGTTTTATTGCACTGTGGTCTGAGAATATGCTTGATATGATTTCAAGTTTTAAAATTTGTTGAGACTTGTTTTGTGGCCTGACATATATGTCCCATGTATGATGAATATAATATATATGATGTAGCTGCTGGATAGAATGTTCTGTAAATGTCTGTTAAGTCCATTTGGTCTAAAGTGCAGTTTAAATGAAATATTTCTTTGTGACATGGAATCAACCAAAAAGCCCATGAATGACAGACTGGATAAAGAAACTGGTACATATACACCATGGAATACTATGCAGCCATAGTATTCCTTTGCAGAAACATGGATGGAGCTGGAGGCCATTATCCTAAGCAGACTAACAGAGAAACAGAAAACCACATGCTACATGATCTCACTTTTAATTGGGAGCTAAATGATGACAACACATGAACACATAGAAGGGAATGACACACACTGGGTTCTATTGGAGGGTGGAAGATAGGACGAGAGAGAGGACCAGGAAAAATAACTAATGGGTACTAGGCTTAATACCTGGATGATAAAATTATCTGTACCACAAGCCCCCATGACACAAGTTTACTTATATAAACAACATGCACATGTACCCCTGAACTTAAAAGTTAAATAAATTAAAAAAAGAAAATAAATGTTCTTTGTTAATTCTCTGTCTAGATAATCTGTATAAAGCTGAGAGTGGGGTGTTGAAGTTTCCAACTATTATAGTTTTGGAGTCTACTCTCCATTTAGATCTAATAATATTTCCTTTATATATCTGGGTGCTTGGGTGTTGGGTGCATATATATTTTAAATTGTTATATACTTTTGCTTAATGGATTCCTTTATCATTATATAATGACTTTGTCTGTTTTTACTGTTTTTGACTTAAAGTCTGTTTTATCTGATATGGGTGTAAATACTCCTGCTCACTTTGGGTTTTTGTTTTGTGGAATATCTTTTTCCATCCCTTTATGTTCAATTTATATGTCTTTACAGGTGAGATGAGATTCTTAGAGGCAGCATATAGTTGGGTCATTAAAAAAAATCTATTCAGCCAGTGTCTATCTTTTTTGTTGTTGTTCATTCCAACTTTTTTTTTTAATTATTATATTCTAAGTTCTGGAATACATGTGCAGAACGTGCAGGTTTGTTACATAGGCATGCACGTGCCATGGTGGCTTGCTGCACCCATCAACGCATCGTCTACATTAGGCATTTTTCCTAATGCTATCCCTCCCCTTTCCCCCTACCCACTGACAGGACCTGGTGTGTGATGTTCCTCTCTCTGTGTCCATATGTTCTCATCGTTCAAATCCCACTTATGAGTGAGAGCATGCAGTGTTTGGTTTTCTGTTCCTGTGTTAGTTTGCTGAGAATGATGGTTTCCAGCTTCATCCATGTCCCTGCAAAGGACAAGAACTCATTCTTTTTTACGGCTGCATAGTATTCCATGGTGTATATGTGCCACATGTTCTTTATCCAGTCTAACATTGATGGGCATTTGGATTGGTTCCAAGTCTTTGCTATTGTGAAGAGTGCTGCAATAAACATACGTGTGCATGTGTCTTTACAGTAGGATGATTTATAATCCTTTGGGTGTATACCCAGTAATGGGATTGCTGGGTCAAATGGTATTTCTGATTCTAGACTCTTGAGGAATCACCACACTGTCTTCCACAATGGTTGAACTAATTTACTCTCCCACCAACAGTGTAAAAGCATTCCTGTTTCTTTACGTCTTCTCCAGCATCTGTTGTTTCCTGACTTTTTAATGATCACCATTCTAACTGGCATGAGATGGTATCTCATTGTGGTTTTGATTTGCATTTCTCTAATGACCGGTGATGATAAGCGTTTTTTCATGTTTGTTGGCCACATAAATGTCTTCTTTTCAGAAGTGGCTGTTCATATCCTTTGTCCACTTTTTGATGGGGTTATTTGTTTTTTCTTGTGAATTTGTTTAAGTTCCTTGTAGATTCTGGATATTAGCCCTTTGTCAGATGGCTAGATTGCAAAAGTTTTCTCCCATTCTGTAGGTTGCGTGTTCACTCTGATGATGTTTCTTTTGCTGTGCAGAAGCTCTTCAGTTTAATTAGATCCCATTTGTCAATTTTGGCTTTTATTGTCATGGCTTTTGGTGTTTTAGTCATGAAGTCTTTGCCCATGCCTATGTCCTGAATGGTGTTGCCTAGGTTTTCTTCTAGGGTTTTTATGGTATTAGGTCTTATGTTTAAGTCTTTAATCCATCTTGAGTTAATTTTTGTATAATTTGTAAGGAAGGGATCCAGTTTCAGTTTTCTGCCTATGGCTAGTGAGTTTTCCCAACACCATTTATTAAATAGGGAATCCTTTCCCCATTGCTTGTTTTTGTCAGGTTTGTCAAAGATCAGATGGTTGTGGATGTGTGGTATTATTTCTGAGGCCTCTGTTCTGTTCCACTGGTCTATATATCTGTTTTGGTACCATAGCCTTGTAGTATAGTTTGAAGTCAGGCAGCGTGATGCCTCCAGCTTTGTTCTTTTTGCTTAGGACTGTCTTGGCTACATGGGCTCTTTTTTAGTTCCATGTGAAATTTTTTTTTTTAATTATACTTTAAGTTTTAGGGTACATGTGCACAATGTGCAGGTTAGTTACATATGTATACATGTGCCATGCTGGTGCGCTGCACCCACTAACTCGTCATCTAGCATTAGGTATATCTTCCAATGCTCTCCCTCCCCCCTCCCCCAACCCCACCACAGTCCCCAGAGTGTGATATTCCCCTTCCTGTGTCCATGTGATCTCATTGTTCAATTCCCACCTATGAGTGAGAATATGCGGTGTTTGGTTTTTTGTTCTTGAGATAGTTTACTGAGAATGATGATTTCCAATTTCATCCATGTCCCTACAAAGGACATGAACTCATCATTTTTTATGGCTGCATAGTATTCCATGGTGTATATGTGCCACATTTTCTTAATCCAGTCTATCATTGTTGGACATTTGGGTTGGTTCCAAGTCTTTGCTATAATGAATAGTGCCGCAATAAACATACGTGTGCATGTATCTTTATAGCAGCATGATTTATAGTCCTTTGGGTATATAACTCAGTATTGGGATGGCTGGGTCAAATGGTATTTCTAGTTCTAGATCCCTGAGGAATCGCCACACTGACTTCTACAATGGTTGAACTAGTTTACAGTCCCACCAACAGTGTAAAAGTGTTCCTATTTCTCCACATCCTCTCCAGCACCTGTTGTTTCCTGACTTTTTAATGATTGCCATTCTAACTGGTGTGAGATGGTATCTCATTGTGGTTTTGATTTGCATTTCTCACTTCATTTCATTCATTTCATCTTCCATCGCTGATACCCTTTCTTCCAGTTGATCGCATCGGCTCCTGAGGCTTCTGCATTCTTCACGTAGTTCTCGAGCCTTGGTTTTCAGCTCCATCAGCTCCTTTAAGCACTTCTCTGTATTGGTTATTCTAGTTATACATTCTTCTAAATTTTTTTCAAAGTTTTCAACTTCTTTGCCTTTGGTTTGAATGTCCTCCCGTAGCTCAGAGTAATTTGATCCTCTGAAGCCTTCTTCTCTCAGCTCGTCAAAGTCATTCTCCATCCAGCTTTGTTCCGTTGCTGGTGAGGAACTGCGTTCCTTTGGAGGAGGAGAGGCGCTCTGCGTTTTAGAGTTTCCAGTTTTTCTGTTCTGTTTTTTCCCCATCTTTGTGGTTTTATCTACTTTTGGTCTTTGATGATGGTGATGTACAGATGGGTTTTTGGTGTGGATGTCCTTTCTGTTTGTTAGTTTTCCTTCTAACAGACAGGACCCTCAGCTGCAGGTCTGTTGGAATACCCTGCCGTGTGAGGTGTCAGTGTGCCCCTGCTGGGGGGTGCCTCCCAGTTAGGCTGCTCGGGGGTCAGGGGTCAGGGACCCACTTGAGGAGGCAGTCTGCCCGTTCTCAGATCTCCAGCTGCGTGCTGGGAGAACCACTGCTCTCTTCAAAGCTGTCAGACAGGGACATTTAAGTCTGCAGAGGTTACTGCTGTCTTTTTGTTTGTCTGTGCCCTGCCCCCAGAGGTGGAGCCTACAGAGGCAGGCAGGCCTCCTTGAGCTGTGGTGGGCTCCACCCAGTTCGAGCTTCCCGGCTGCTTTGTTTACCTAAGCAAGCCTGGGCAATGGTGGGCACCCCTCCCCCAGCCTCGCTGCCTCCTTGCAGTTTGATCTCAGACTGCTGTGCTAGCAATCAGCGAGACTCCATGGGCGTAGGACCCTCCGAGCCAGGTGCGGGATATAATCTGGTGGTGCATTGTTTTTTAAGCCGGTCCAAAAAGCGCAATATTCGGGTGGGAGTGACCCGATTTTCCAGGTGCGTCCGTCACCCCTTTCTTTGACTCGGAAAGGGAACTCCCTGACCCCTTGCGCTTCCCAAGGGAGGCAATGCCTCGCCCTGCTTCGGCTCGCGCACGGTGCGCGCACCCACTGACCTGCGCCCACTGTCTGGCACTCCCTAGTGAGATGAACCCGGTACCTCAGATGGAAATGCAGAAATCACCCGTCTTCTGCATCGCTCACGCTGGGAGCTGTAGACTGGAGCTGTTCCTATTCGGCCATCTTGGCTCCTCCCCCCCAATGTGAAATTTAAAGTAGTTTTTTTCTAATTCTGTGAAGAAAGTAAATGGTAGCTTGATGAGGATAGCATTGAATCTATAAATTACTTTATGCAGTATGGCACAGGGGTCAGGGACCCACTTGAGGAGGCAGTATGTCTCTTAGCAGAGCTCGAGCACTGTGCTGGGAGATCTGCTTTCTTCAGAGCTGGCAGACAGGAACATTTAGGTCTGCTGAAGCAGTGCCCACAGCTGCCCCTTCCCCCAAGTGCTCTGTCCTAGGGAGATGAGAGTTTTATCTACAAGCCCCTGACTGGGGCTGCTTCCTTTCTTTCAGAGATGCCCTGCCCAGAAAGGAGGAATCTAGAGAGGCAGTCTGACTATAGCAGCTTTGTGGTGCTATGGTGGGCTCTGCCCAGTCTGAGTTTACACTGTGAGGGGAAAACTGCCTACTCAAGCCTCAGTAATGGTGGTTGCCCCTCCCCCAACCAAGCTCTAGCATCCCAGTTTGACTTCAGACTGCTGTGCTGGCAGCAAGAATTTCAAGCCAGTGGATCTTAGCTTTCTGAGCTCCATGGGGGTGGGATCCACTGAACTACACCACTTGTCTCCCTGGCTTCTGCCCCCTTTCCAGGGGAAGGAATGGTTCTATCTTGCTGGTGTTCCTGGCACCACTGGGGTATATAAAAAAAATTCCTGCAGCTAGCTCAGTGTCTGCCCAAATGGCCACCCAATTTTGTGCTTGAAACCCAGGGCACTGGTGGTGTAGGCACCCGAGGGAATCTCCTGGTCTCTGTGTTGCAAAGACTGTGGGAAAAGCATAGTATCTGGGCTGGAATGCACCATTCCTCACAGCATAGTCCCTCACGGCTTCCCTTGGCTAGGGGCGGGAGTTCCCTAAACCCTTGCACTTCCCAGGTGAGGTGACACCCACCCTTCTTTGATTCGCACTCTGTGGGCTGCACCCACTGTCTAACCAGTCCCAGTGAGATGAGCTAGGTGCCTCAGTTGGAAATGCAGAAATCACCTGCCTTCTGCATTGATCTCTCTGGGAGCTGCAGACCAGAGTTGTTCCTATTCGGCAATCTTGCCAGCCATCCCATTGTATATATTTTAAGTAGAATATTTAATCTATTTGCATTCAAGTTTATTATTGATATGTGAGGGAACTCTTATTCCTGTCATTTTGTCATTTTGGTAATTGCTTTCTGGTTGTTTTGTATATCCTTTATTCTTTCTTTCTTATTGTCACCATAGTTTTGTATTTTTCTGTAGTATTAACATTTGAGTTTTTTCTCCTCCTCATTTGTGTGTTTGCTCTACCCGTAAGTTTTATACTTCTGTGTGCTTTTGTGATGATAGATACTGTTTTTTCCCTTCCGAGAGTATGATTTTCTTAGGCATTTCTTGTGCAGCTGGTCTAGTGGTGATAAATTCCCTCAGTTTTTGCGTGTCTGGGAAACACTTTATTTATCCTTCATTTATAAAGAATAACTATGCTGGGTGTAACATTTTTGGCTAGCATATTTATTTCTTTTAGCATTTTGAATATTTCATCCCATTCTCTTCTGGCCTGTAAGATTTCTGCTGAGAAATCTGTTATTCTGTTGAGGGGTTCCCTTATATGTGACTAGATCTTAGTCACTTAACTTTAGTGCTGTTAGTTACTGAATGTCTAGTCACATTTATGGGAATCCTCATCTTGCTGTCCTTACAATTCTTTCTTTGTCTTTGACTTTTGATAGTTTTCATATAATATACTATGGAGAGACCTTTTTAGATTGTATCTACCTGGGAATCTGAGTTTTCTGTAGTTAGATGTCTAAATCTCTTGCTAGACTTGTGACATTCTTAGCTATCATTTTGTTATATAGATTTTCTATGCCTTTGGGCTTTTCCTCAACTTCCAGAATACCCATAATTAAAAATTTGGTCTCTTCATGGTGTCTCATTTGTCACATAAGTGTTCTTCATTTTTTTCTTTCTATTTTTCTGAGTTATTTCAAAAGTCTTGTCTTCAAGTTCTGAAAAATTCTTTCTTTCATTTGATCTAGTCTATTATTGAAACTCTTGACTGTATTTTTTTAAACTCATTAAATTCTTCAGTTTCAGGATTTGTTTGGTTCTTTTTAAATGATGTCTTTGGTGAATTTCTCACTCATATCTGAAAGAATTTTTTTTTCTGATTTTGTTGTGCATTGTTGTAATGTTTGTCTGTGTTATCTTGTATCTCATGGAGCTCCTTTGATATTATCACTTCAAATTCTTTTTCAGGTATTTCATGCATTTTGGTTTCTTTAGAATCTGTTGCTGGAGAATTATTGTGTTCTTTTGGAGGTTTTATATTCCCTTTCTTTTTCATATTTCTTGTGTTTTTACATTATTAGCTGTAATGTTCATGTTTCTTGTTTCTGTAATGTTTATGTTTCATGTTTCTTTACATTGATATCTGAATGCTCCTGTCATATAATGGCTGCTTCTTCCATTTTTCTGGATTAACTTTTACAGGGGAAAACTTTTTCCTGAAGATGTGTCTACAGTGTTGGTTGGGTAGGCCACTTTAGCTTTGATTCTTAGTGTGTGCAGTAGTGTCATCTTTGTATAATTTTTTTGGCCCTAAACAGCCTTAGTGGTGTCTGTGATTTCTTCAGTGGCTTAGGCTGCAGTTGTTAGTGGAGGCTGTGGTGAGGCTTTATTGGGATGAGGACAACAAATGGGCCTCTCTCCAGAACCCAGTGGTGGCAGCAGTGGGCTGAGCATGTCTGTCCTTGGGTGCCTGGATGGCATTTGTGGGCATTGGTGTTAGGAAGTCCAGGTGGGCTGATTCCTGGGCCTCCAGGCTCTTTCTCAGGTGCTGGCAGTGCCAGTGATGGACTGGGAAAATGGATGAATCCTTGGGCCTCTGGGTAGCATGTATGGTGTGGGAGATGGCAGCACAGGTGGTAGAACAACCCTTGGGCTCCCAGGCAGCACATGCTGGTTTTAGTGCTGGCTGAAATGGGCTGAGCAGGTCAGTCCAGGCCCCAAGTGGTGTGTGTGGATGACTGCTGGCAGTGGTGGTAGTGGCAGGTGGGTGGGCCCATCCTCAAGCCCCCAGGAGGAATGCATGGATACCAACAATGGTGGATGAGGTGGGATGATCCCAGGCTCTCAAGGGGTGTTTTTGAGTACTTGGGAAACAGTTCCAGCCTGGGTGGGCCTGGGGGAGAACCTGTCCTCAGAATGCATGTCATTGTAGAGCAGCCCTGATGCTGGTGGGGTGAGGTTGCAGTCAATGGACCCAGGCAGGCAGCTTTTAAACTCTAGGGAGTATATGCTGTCCTCCCTTTGTTTTAGGAGCAGCCTCCCAGTGGGCTAAACTGCCTGTTCTCTGGGGTGTAGGGCACTGTGTGGCCTTCAGTCCTGGGGATCCTGCTCCACTGCTGGGTCCAATGTTACCTCCTTTTCCCAGCCTCTAATAACCACTATTCTACTTTCTGTCTGTATTAATTTTACTATTCTATCTACCTCATATAAGAGATATCATACAATATTTATTCTTTTCATATGTGTTATTTCACTTAGCATAATGTTTCCAAAGCTCATCTAATACATGTAGCATGTATTAGAATGCCATTCTTTTCGCTGAATAACATCTCATTAGGCACACACACACACACACAGACACACACACAGATAAAACATTATATAAAACATTTTGTTTATCCATTTATCTGTTGAGGGACAGTTGAGTTGTTTCCACCTTTTGGCTATTGGGAGTAATGCTGCTATGAACATGAGTGGACGATAATATGGTGTACATTGTACATTGATGTACAATAATGTGTACAATACTAATTCTTAATCTAACTAACAGAAATATCCCATCTGAAGAAGCTCAGATCAGTCCTGAGGCTTCACATAACAATAAAGGTCTGTAGGCCTTGTGGATAGGGCTTGGCTTTTACAGCTTTGTCCTTTGCTTGGAATATGCTCTCTCCCTTATTCCTGACCACAGCCTCACCCTTTTCAAAGTGAACTGTAGAATCAATCTTGGAGCTGAATGGTTGTGTGGGATTTCTGCCTCTGACACGTAGTAGTTGTGTGACCTTTCATTAATTATTTAACAAACATAATTATATCTGTTAATAATTATGATGCCAACTAATATGATAAATATCAATGAGTCTACTCTGTGAGAATAGAGCATTTAGAGAAATGTATATGTAGTCAAACTGGGTGTTATTATATTAACGCTATATATAGTGTGTCTATTAGGGTTCTTTCTTTGCAACTGTCAAAATTCACCTTTGACGAATGGAAAGGAAACATTGAGCCCTAACACTGTGGACATTTGAGTGCCTGTTTTTGTGTAAACATTATGTTTTCAATTCTCATAGGTATATACCTCCAGTTGAATTGCTGGATTATATGTCAACTCTGTTTAACGTTTTAAGGAAGTGCCAAACTGTCTTCTACAGAGGATGCATCATTTTACACTTTCATCAGGAATTTATAAAGGTTTTAAAACTCTACATCCTCAACAACACACTTGCTATTATTTGTCTTCTTGGTTATAGCCATCCTAGTGGGTGTAAAGTGGAATCTTATTGTGAGTTTTATTTGCATTTCCCTAATGACCAATGATGTTGGGCATATTTTCATGTGCTTATTGATGATTTATATATTTTCTTTGGGGAAAATTTATTTAAATACTTTGCTGATTTAAAATATGGGGGTGTCCAAAAGCAATGGCAACAAAAGTCAAAATTGACAAATGGGATTTAATTAAACTAAAGAGCTTCTGCACAGCAAAAGAAATTACCATCAGAGTGAACAGGCAACCTACAGAATGGGAGAAAATTTTTGCAACCTACTCATCTGACAAAGGGCTAATATCCAGAATCTACGATGAACTCAAACAAATTTACAAGAAAAAAACAACCCCATCAAAAAGTGAGCGAAGGATATGAACAGATACTTCTCAAAAGAAGACATTTATGCAGCCAAAAAACACATGAAAAAATGCTCATCATCACTGGCCATCAGAGAAATGCAAATCAAAACCACAAGAAGATACCATCTCACACCAGTTAGAATGGCGATCATTAAAAAGTCAGGAAACAACAGGTGCTGGAGAGGATGTGGAGAAATAGGAATACTTTTACACTGTTGGTGGGACTGTAAACTAGTTCAACCATTGTGGAAGTCAGTGTGGCGATTCGTCAGGGATCTAGAACTAGGAATACCATTTGACCCAACCATCCCATTGCTGGGTACATACTCAAAGGATTATAAATCATGCTGCTGTAAAGACACATGCACACGTATGTTTATTGTGGCACTATTCACAATAGCAAAGACTTGGAACCAACCCAAATGTCCAACGATGATAGACTGGATTAAGAAAATGTGGCACATATACACCATGGAATACTATGCAGCCATAAAAAATGATGAGTTCATGTCCTTTGTAGGGACATGGATGAAACTGGAAACCATCATTCTCAGCAAACTATCGCAAGGACAAAAAACCAAACACCGCATATTCTCACTCATAGGTTGGAATTGAACAATGAGAACACATGGGCACAGAAAGGGGAACATCACACATTGGGGCCTGTTGTGGGGTGGGGGGAAGAGGGGAGGGATAGCATTAGGAGATATACCTAATGCTAAATGACAAGTTAATGGGTGCAGCACACCAACATGGCACATGTATACATATGTAACAAACCTGCACATTGTGCACATGTACCCTAAAACTTAAAGTATAATAATAAAAAAGGGGGTGTCTTTTTGATGTTTAGTTAGAAGAATTCTTTAAGTGTATATCAGGCCCATATCAGATACATGATTTGCACATATTTTATTCCTTTCTGTATGTTTTCTTTTTACTTTCTTAATAGTGTTCTTTGGGGAGTCCTAGCCAGAGCATTCAGGCAAGGCCAAGAAATAAAGGACAGCCCAATTGGAAAAGAGGAAGTCAGATTATCTCTGTTTGCTGATTATATGATCTTACATCTAGAAAACCCTAAATACTCCTCAAAAAGACTCCTAGATATGATAAATGAATTAGTAAAGTCTCAGGTTATAAGATTAATATGTGCATGAATTAGTACCACTGCTATACACCAACAATGATCGAGCAGAGAATCAAATCAAGAACTCAATCCTTTACACAATAGCTACAAAAACAAAACACAATAAAATACCCAGGAATATACTTAATCAAGGAGGTGAAAGATCTCTACAAGGAGAGCTACAAAACACTGCTGAAAGAAATAATAGATAACACAAATACATGGATTGGAAAAATCAATATTGTGAAAATGACCACACTTCCCAAAGCATCTATAGATTCAGTGAAATTCCTATCATAATGCCAACATCATTTCTCACAGAATTAGAAAAAGCAATCCTAAGCTTCACATGGAACCAAAAAAGAGCCCAAATAGGGAAAGGAATCCCGTGCAAAAAGAACAAATCTGGAGACATTGCATTACCCAACTTCAAATTATAATACAAGGCTACAGTAACCAAAACAGCATGGTACTGGTATAAAGGCAGGTATATACACCAATGGAAAAGAATAGAGAACCCATAAATAAAGCCAAATACTTACAACTAACTGATCTTGGACAAAGCATACAAAAACATAAATTGGGGAAAAGATTTCCTATTCAACAAATGGTGCTGGAAAAATTGGATAGCCACATTTGAAAAATGAAACTATCCCTATCTCTCACCATATACCAAAATTAACTTAAGATGAATTAAAGACTTTAAGCCTTGAAACCATAAAAATTCTATAAGAAAACCTTGAAAAACCTTTCTGGACATTGGCTTAGGCAAATGATTTATGACCAAGACCCTAAAAGCAAATGCAGCAAAAACAAAAACAAATAAATGGAAACTAATTAAAGTAAAAAGCCTCTGCATAGTGAAAGAAATAATTATCAAATTAGATCAGCAGCTTATGGAATGGGAGAAAATGTTTATAAATTTTGCATCTGACAAAGGATTAATATCCACAGTTTACAAGGAACTCAAACATATCAGCAAGAAAAAAAATCATCAAAAAGTGGCAAATGACATAAATAGACATTTCTCAAAAGAATATATACAAATGGCTAACAAACATATTGGAAAATGTTCAACATCACTAATCATCAGGGAAATGCAAATTAAAACCACTATGAGATACCACCTTACCACAGCCAGAGTGGCTGTTATTAAAAAGTCAAAAAACAGTAGATGTTGGCATGGATGTGCTGAAAAGGGAACATTTATGTACTGTTGGTGAGAATGTAAATTAGTAAAACCTCTATGCAAAACAGTATGAAGATTTCTGAGAAAACTAAAATAGATCTACCATGCAACCCAGCAATCCCACTACTGGGTATCTACCCAAAGGAAAAGAAGTCACTCTATTAAAAAGATACCTGCATGCATATGTTTATCACAACACAATTCCCAGTTGCAAAGATATGAAACCAACATAAGTGCCCAACAACTAATAAGTGGTTAAGGAAAATGTGGTATATATATATATATATACATATACATATATATATATACACATATACATATATATATATATACATATACATATATATATATATATATATATATATACACCATGGAATACTTCTCAGCTATAAATAATTATAAAATAATTTCTTTTGCAGTAACTTGGATGGAACTGGAGTCCATTATCTTAAGTGAGATAACTCAGGAATCAAAAACCACATACCACATGTTCTCACTTAGAAGTGGGAGGTAAGCTATGGGTGCACAAAGGCATACAGAGTGGTGTAATAAATATTGGAGATTCAGAAGAGGGGAGGCTGGAAGGTGAATGGTGAAAAACTACCTATTGAGTACAATGTACACTATTTGGGTGACAGATGCACTAAAATCCCAGACTTCACCACTGTGCAATTCATCCATGTAACCAGAAACCACTTTTACTCCTAAAGCTATTTTAAAAAAAAAAAGTGTCCTTTGGAGCACAAGAGTTTTAATTTTGATGAAGTACAGATTATCTTTTCGTGACGAAGGGGTGCTTATGCTTTTAGTGTCACCTTTAATAAATCATTGCCTTATCCAAGTTCAGGGTTTTCCCCAATGTTTTCTCCTAAAAGGTTTATAATTTTAGCTTTTACATTTAGGTTTTTGATTCATATTGAGTTGCTTTTTGTATATAGTATGAAACAGAGGTTTATTTATGGACTTTCGGATCTATATGTCTACCCTTATCCTATTGCAGCAATGTATATTTGAGAGCATCAAATATTATATATGCTAGTACCACATTGTATGTATGTACCCTTATGCTAGTATCCCACTATATCTATATTTATCTATCTATCTATCTATTATCTATCTATCTATCTATCTATCTATCTATCTACCTATCTATAATAAGGAATTGGCTCCCAAGATTATAGAGGTTGAGAACTCACATGATCTTCTATCTACAACCTGCAGACCCAGGAAAGCCATTGGTGGAATTTAGTCCAAGGCCAAACCTGAAGACCAGAGCTGATGATTTAACTCCTGGTCCAAGGGCAGGAGAAGATGACATGAGATGTCCCAGATGAAGCAGTGAGGCAGGAAAAAAAGGAGGCCAATTCCTCCTTCTGCCTTTTGTTCTATTTAGACCTTCAATGGATTGAATGATACCCAACCACATTTGGGAGAACAATATACTTTGCTGAGCCCTCCAATTCAAATGTGAATTTCATCAGGAAACACTCTCACAGACGTACCAAGAAATAATGCTTAATCTGGGTACCTCATAGTCCATTCCAGTTGACATATGAAATTAACCATATAGTGTCAATTGAAATGATCATGTGGTTTTTGTCTTTTATTCTATTAATATGGTATATTTCACTGATTAATTTTTGTATGTTGAACCAAGTTTGCATTTCTGGAATAAGTCTCACTTTATCTTGGTGAATAATCCTTGTTATATATTGCTAGAGTCAATTTACTAGTATTTTCTAGAGGATTTTTGTCTCTATATCATAAAATATATTAGTCCATAGTTTTCTTGTGATATCTTTGTGTGGTTTTGGTATTAGAGTAATATCAGTTTCATAGAATAAATTAAACAGTGTTCCATCCTCTTCTATTTTTTGAGAGAGTTTATGAGGGAGTAATGCTCTTTAAACATTTTGGTAGAATTTATCGCTGGAGTCATCTCTGTGCATTACTTTGTGCAAAGTTTGTGATCTTATTATAAGTCTATTCAGATTTTATATTCTCTCTTGAGTCACTTTTGTTAATTTATGTTTTTCTAGAAATTTGTCCGTTTTATCTAGGTCATCTAATTTGTTGGCATATAATTATTCATATTGAAAAAATGGTATCTAGGAGACAAGACTAATGTGCAGCTCCCACTTGGACAGACAGAAGAGCATGTGGAGACTCACACTGTAAACTTTTGCCCCAAGAACCACTGCAGGAACATACCAGGAAAACTAAAAGAATTCACAGACCCTTTGAAAGAAGTGGCTTGCCACTACAGACTCCATGAGCCAGCTGAAAAACTGTGAGTTCTTAAAGTGTAAGAGGGGGAACAGCCTGCCTCTAAACACACATCCCCATTGGGGAACCTGAAAAAATCCAGATTATTGGAGAAGGATTTAACCCTACCTAGAGCTGAAATGAATTTAGAGAGCTGAGAGAAATATAAAAGTAGAAGAAGCAGCAGAAAAAGCCCTATAGGCACTCTCAGTTCCCAGCTTGAGTCCAGGGAAGCCTTTCCTGGCTTTATCTCACAGGGGTCCATGGGGAAGGCAGCCAGAAGAATTGGAGAGGGGCCACAGGATTAAGAAAGCTTATAGTTAAACTTTGTAATAATTTTGACTGAGCACAAATTTTCCTGAGCAGAATCTAAGGGGTGGGGTGTGAATGGGAAGTACAGATACCAGCACAGAAGCCACAGCCCACAGCATGGGCAGGTGGATTGCGCTGCTTTCTCAGTGGGGAGGCTTGTAGGCTGGTGCAAGACCTCAGCCTTGCTCACCAGCTGCCTGGATATAAACTCAGTGCTGTTGGTGGGGCATCGCAGGAGTGAGACTGGCCTTGCTGGCTGCATGGGAGCTGGCTGAGGCCTGTCACTGCTGGCTTTCCCCCACTTCCCTGGTGACCTGTATGAAGCAGCAAAGGCAGCCATAATCCACCTGGGGACATAACTCCATTGGCCAGAGAACCATCTCCCATCCCCCACAGTGGCCACAGCAAACCCTGCCCAAGGATGGTCTGAGCTAAGACCTGCCTAACCCTGCCCCTAGTGAATGTTTTTTCTCTATCTGCCTGGTAGCTGAAGACAAATGACAAACTCTTGGGAGCACTATGGGTCTGCCTATTGCCTGAGAAATGTGAGTACTTATCCTGGCCAATGTAGAGCAAGCTTATATCTCCCTCCTACTACCACAGCTGGTGCTGTCTTGAAAACACCACCTCCTGGCTGGAGACCAATCAACTCAAGCCATTACAGCAACTCATAACAGAACAACCATGATCCAAAGGAGAAAACAATAGCTAATTCCACTGCCTGTAACACCCTGGCTAACCAGAGGTCCTGAGTCTGTCCATGTGACAACTTCGCTGATAGCATAACAAACATTCAAGGAAACCAGTATGCTAAACAAAACTGCAATCAAGGATTCCCACAGATCCCACTTTACTCCCATCACCTCCACTTGAGCAGGTGCTGGTCCATGGCTGAGAGACCTTAAGATGGATCACATCATAGGACTCTTTGCAGACACTCCCCAGCACCAGCCCAGAGCCTGGTATCCCTGCTTGGTAGCTAGACCCAGACAAGCAATAACAATCACTGCAGTCTGGCTCTCAGGAAGCCCCATCCCTAGGGGAAGGAGGGGAACCCCACCTCAAGGGATCACCCCATAAGACAAAAGAATCTGAACAGCAGCCCTTGAGTTCCAGATCTTTTCACTGAAAGTCTACCCAAATGAGAAGGAACTGGAAAAGTAATTCTGGTATGCAAAAACAAGATTTATACCACTCCCAAAGATCACACTAGCTCTTCAGGAATAAATCCAAACCAAGGAGAAGTTTCCGAACTGTCAGATAAAGAATTCAGAAGGTTGATTATTAAACCACTCAAGGAGGTACCAGGGAAAGGTAAAAACCAACTTAAAGAGATTAAAAAATGGATGTGGATGAAAACGTATCCAGAGAAACAGGTATCATAGAGAAAAGACAATCACAACTCTGAAAATGAAAGACACACTTGTAGAAATGCAAAATACATGGAAAGTTTTAACAATGGAGTAAAACAAATAGAAGAAAGAACTTCAGAACTCAAAGGCAAGGCTTTCAAATTAACCCAATCTGAAAAAGATAAAGGAAAAAGAGTTTAAAAAATGAATAAAGCCTCCCAGAAATTTGGCTTATGTTAAATGACCAAGCATAAGAACAATTGGTGTTCCTGAGGAAGAAGAGAAATCTAAAAGTTTGGAAAACTTATTTGAGGAAATAATCAAGGAAAACTTCCCTGGTCTTGCTGGAAATCTAGAAATTCAAATACAAGAAGCTCAAAGAACACCCATGAAATTCATCACAAAAAGGTTATCACCTAGGCATATAGTCATCAGGTTATCTAAAGTCAAGATTAAGGAAAGAATTTTAAGAGCTGTGAGGCAAAAGCATCAAGTAACCTATTTAAAAAAAAAACCATCAGATTAACAGCAGATTTTTCAGCAGAAATCCTATAGATTGGGGTTCTATCTTTAGCTTCCTTAAACAAAATATATGTAATTGTATGCATATACAATTATATATATATAATTTATATATATAAAATTTCCTTATAATCCTTTTATTTCTATATGGTAAGTGATAATGTCCACTCCCTCATTTTAGTAATTTGCTTGAGTCCTCTCTTGTTTTTTCTTGGTCAGTGTAGCTAAATCTTCATCAGTTGTTTAAATCACTTAAAAGAACTAACCTTGGTTTAGTCAACTTTTTTTACTGTTTTCATATTTTTTATTTATTTAGACTCTGATCTTTATTACTTCTATCTTTTTGCTTTCTTTGCGTTTAGTTTACTCTTCTTTTTTGAGTTGCTTAAGGTGGAAGGTTAGTGTATTATTTCATTCTTATATTTGTATAAAAATATCTGAGATTGGATAATTCATAACTAAAAGAGGTTTAATTGGCCCACAGTTCTGCAGGCTATACAGGAAGCATAGCAGCATCTTCTGGGGAGGACTCAGGAAGCTTCCACTCATGGTAGAAGGCAAAGCAGGAGCAGGGACCTTACATGGCTGGAGCAGAAGCAAGAAAGAGAGGGGAGAGGTGCTACACACTATTATACAACTGGATCTCCCTAGAACTGTATCACAAGAATATCACCAAGGGGGTGATGCTAAGCCATTCATCAGGGATTTACCCCCATGATTCAGTCACCTCCCACCAGGTTCCATTTCCAACACTGGGGATTACAATTTGACCTCAGATTTCAGTGGACAGATACAAACCATATCATTCCACCTCTGTGCCCTCCCAAATCTCATGTTCTTACCATATTTCAAAATACAATCATGTCTCCAATAATTCCCAAAGTCATCACTCATTTTCACATTAACTCAAAAGTCCAAAGTATCATTTGAGATTAGGCAAGACTCTTCCATCTGTGAGCCTGTAAAATAAGAAACAAGTAACACTTCCAAGATATAATGGGAATATAGGCACTGGATAAATACTCCTGTTTCCAAAGGGAAAAAAATTGGCTGAAAGAAAGGGGCCACAGGTCCCCCATTAAGTTTGCTTAAAAGTTTGCTTTTTTCTTGTAAATTAGTTTATGTTCTTTGTAGATTCTGGATATCAGCCCTTTGTCAGATAGATAGATTGTAAAAATTTTCTCCCATTCTGTAGGTTGCCTGTTCACTCTGATGGTAGTTTCTTTTGCTGTGCAGAAGCTCTTCAGTTTAATTAGATCCCATTTGTCAATTTTGGCTTTTGTTGCCATTGCTTTTGGTGTTTTAGTCATGAAGTCCTTGGCCATGCCTATGTCCTGAATGGTATTGCCTAGGTTTTCTTCTAGGGTTTTTATGGTTTTAGGTCTAACATTTAAGTCTTTAATTCATTTTGAATTAATTTTCGTATAATGTGTAAGGAAGGGATCCAGTTTCAGCCTTCTACATATGGCTAGCCAGTTTTCCCAGCACCATTTATTAAACAGGGAATCCTTTCCCCATTTCTTGTTTTTGTCAGGTTTGTCAAACATCAGACAGTCATAGATGTATGGTATTATTTCTGAGGGCTCTGTTCTGTTCTATTGGTCTATATCTCTGTTTTGGTACCGGTACCATGCTGTTTTGGCTACTGTAGCCTTGTAGTATAGTTTGAAGTCAGATCGCGTGATGCCTCCAGCTTTGTTCTTTTTGCTTAGGATTGGCAATGAGGTCTCTTTTTTGGTTCCATATGAATTTTAAAGTAGTTTTTTCCAATTCTGTGAAGAAAGTCATTGGTAGCTTGATGGGGATGGCATTGAATCTATAAATTACCTTGGGCAGTATGGCCATTTTCATGATATTGATTCTTCCCATCCATGAGCATGGAATGTTCTTCCGTTTGTTTATGTCCTCTTTTATTTCGTTGAGCAGTGGTTTGTAGTTCTCCTTAAAGAGGTCCTTCACATCCCTTGTAAGTTGGATTCCTAGGTATTTTATTGTCTTTGAAGCAATTGTGATGGGAGTTCCCTCATGATTTGGCTCTCTGTTTGTCTGTAATTGGTGTATAAGAATGCTTGTGATTTTTGCACGTGGATTTTGTATCCTGAGGCTTTGCTGAAGTTGCTTATCAGCTTAAGGAGATTTTGAGCTGAGACAATGGGGTTTTCTAAATATACAATCATGTCATCTACAAACAGGGACAATTTGACTTCCTCTTTTCCTGATTGAATACCCTTTATTTCTTTCTCTTGCCTGATTGCCCTGGCCAGAACTTCCAACACTATGTTGAATAGGAGTAGTGAGAGAGGGCATGCCTCTCTTGTGCCACTTTTCAAAGGGAATGCTTCCAGTTTTTGTCCATTCAGTATGATATTGGCTGTGGGTTTGTCATAGATAGCTCTTATTATTTTGAGATACGTCCCATCCATACCTAATTTATTGAGAGTTTTTAGCATGAAGGGTTGTCAAAGGCCTTTTCTGCATCTATTGAGATAATCATGTGGTTTTTGTCTTTGGTTCTGTTTATATGCTGGATTACGTTTATTGATTTTCGTATGTTGAACCAGCCTTGCATCCCAGGGATGAAGCCCACTTGATCATGGTGGATAAGCTTTTTGATGTGCTGCTGGATTTTGTTTGCCAGTATTTTATTGAGGATTTTTGCATCGATGTTCATCAATGATATTGGTCTAAAATTCTCTTTTTTTTGTTGTGTCTCTGCCAGGCTTTGGTATCAGGATGATGCTGGCCTCATAAAATGAGTTAGGGAGGATTTCTTCTTTTTCTATTGATTGGAACAGTTTCAGAAGGAATGGTCCCAGCTCCTCCTTGTACCTCTGGTAGAATTCGGCTGTGAATCCATCTGGTCCTGGACTTTTTTTGGTTGGTAAGCTACTAATTATTGCCTCATTTTCAGAGCCTGTTATTGGTCTATTCAGAGATTCAACTTCTTCCTGGTTTTGTCTTGGGAGGGTGTATGTGTTGAGGAATTTATCCATTTCTTCTAGATTTTCTAGTTTATTTGCATAGACATGTTTATAGTATTCTCTGATGGTAGTTTGTATTTCTGTGGGATCGGTGGTGATATCCCCTTTATCATTTTTTATTGCATCTATTTGATTCTTCTGTCTTTTCTTCTTTATTAGTCTTGCTAGCGGTCTATCAATTTTGTTGATTTTTTCACAAAACCAGCTCCTGTATTCATTGATTTTTTGAAGGGTTTGTTGTGTCTCTATTTCCTTCAGTTCTGCTCTGATCTTAGTTATTTCTTGCCTTCTGCTAGCTTTTGAATGTGTTTGCTCTTGC
This sequence comes from Homo sapiens, assembly GCF_000001405.40. Lineage (NCBI taxonomy): Eukaryota > Metazoa > Chordata > Mammalia > Primates > Hominidae > Homo > Homo sapiens. Next base: position 144,794,675 of record NC_000004.12, on the reverse strand, counting down.
TTCTCTAGTTCTTTTAATTGTGATGTTAGGGTGTCAATTTTAGATCTTTCCTGCTTTCTCTTGTGGGTATTTAGTGCTATAAATGTCCCTCTATACACTGCTTTGAATGTGTCCCAGAGATTCTGGTATGTTGTGTCTTTGTTCTCATTGGTTTCAAAGAACTTCTTTATTTCTGCCTTCATTTCGTTATGTACCCAGTAGTCATTCAGGAGCAGGTTGTTCAGTTTCCATGTAGTTGAGTGGTTTTGAGTGAGTTTCTTAATCCTGAGTTCTAGTTTGATTGCACTGTGATCTGAGAGACAGTTTGTTATAATTTCTGTTCTTTTACATTTTCTGAGGAGTGCTTTACTTCCAAGTATGTGGTCAATTTTGGAATAGGTGTGGTGTGGTGCTGAAAAGAATGCATATTCTGTTGATTTGGGGTGGAGAGTTCTGTAGATGTCCATTAGGTCCTCTTGGTGCAGAGCTGAGTTCAATTCCTGGATATCCTTGTTAACTTTCTGTCTCATTGATCTGTCTAATGTTGACAGTGGGGTGTTAAAGTCTCTCATTATTATTGTGTGGGAGTCTAAGTCTCTTTGTAGGTTACTAAGGACTTGCTTTATGAATCTGCATGCTCCTGTATTGGGTGCATATATATTTAGGATAGTTAGCTCTTCTTGTTGAATTGATCCCTTTACCATTATGTAATGGCCTTTGTCTCTTTTGCTCTTTGTTGGTTTAAAGTCTGGTTTATCAGAGACTCGGATTGCAATCCCTGCTTTTTTTTTGTTTTCCATTTGCTTGGTAGATCTTCCTCCATCCCTTTATTTTGAGCCTATGTGTGTCTCTGCACGTGTGATGGGTTTCCCGAATACAGCACACTGATGGGTCTTGACTCTTGATCCAATTTGCCAGTATTTGTCTTTTAATTGGAGCATTTAGCCCATTTACATTTAAGGTTAATATTGTTATGTGTGAATTTGATCCTGTCATTATGATGTTAGCTGGTTATTTTGCTCGTTAGTTGATGCAGTTTCTTCCTAGCCTTGATGGTCTTTACAATTTGGCATGTTTTTGCAGTGGCTGGCATCAGTTGTTCCTTTCCATGTTTAGTGCTTCCTTCAGGAGCTCTTTTAGGGCAGGCCTGGTGGTGACAAAATCTCTCAGCATTTTCTTGTCTTTAAAGTATTTTATTTCTCCTTCACTTATGAAGCTCAGTTTGGCTGGATATGAAATTCTGGGTTGAAAATTCTTTTCTTTAAGAATGTTGAATATTGGCCCCCCACTCTCTTCTGGTTTGTAGAGTTTCTGCCGAGAGATCAGCTGTTAGTGTGATGGGCTTCCCTTTGTGGGTAATCCGACCTTTCTCTCTGGCTGCCCTTAACATTTTTTCCTTCATTTCAACTTTGGTGAATCTGACGATTATGTGTCTTGGAGTTGCTCTTCTCTAGGAGTATCTTTGTGGTGTTCTCTGTATTTCCTGAATTTGAATGTTGGCCTGCCTTGCTAGTTTGGGGAAATTCTCCTGGATAATATCCTGCAGAGTGTTTTCCAACTTGGTTCCATTCTCCCCTTCACTTTCAGGTACACGAATCAGACATAGATTTGGTCTTTTCACATAGTCCCATATTTCTTGGAGGTTTTGTTTGTTTCTTTTTATTCTTTTTTCTCTAAACTTCTCTTCTCACTTCATTTCATTCGTTTCATCTTCCATCACTGATAGCCTTTCTTCCAGTTGATCGCATCGGCTACTGAGGCTTGTCCATTCATCACGTAGTTCTCGTGCCATGGTTTTCAGCTCTATCAGGTCCTTTAAGGACTTCTCTGCATTGGTTATTCTAGTTAGCCATTCATCTAATCTTTTTTCAAGGTTTTTAACTTCTTTTCCATGGGTTCAAACTTTCTCCTTTAGCTCGGAGTAGTTTGATCTTCTGAAGCCTTCTTCTCTCAACTCGTCAAAGTCATTCTCTATCCAGCTTTGTTCCGTTGCTGGTGAGGAGCTGCATTCCTTTGGAGGAGGAGAGGCACTCTGATTTTTAGAGTTTCCAGTTTTTCTGCTCGTTTTTCCCCATCTTTGTGGTTTATCTACCTTTGGTCTTTGATGACGGTGACGTACAGATGGGTTTTTGGTGTGGATGTCCTTTCTGTTTGTTAGTTTTCCTTCTAACAGTCAGCACCCTTAGCTGCAGGTCTGTTGGAATTTGCTGGAGGTCCACTCCAGACCCTGTTTGCCTGGATATCAGCAGCAGAGCCTGCAGAACAGCAAATATTGCTCAACAGCAAATGTTGCTGCCTGATCGTTCCTCTGGAATCTTCATCTCAGAGGGGTACCAGGCTGTGTGGGGTGTCAGTCTGCCCCTACTGGAGGGTGCCTCCCAGTTAGGCTACTCAGCGGTCAGGGACCTACTTGAGGAGGCAGTCTGTCCGTTCTCAGATCTCCAGCTGCGTGCTGGGAGAACTGCTACTCTCTTCAAAGCTGTCAGACAGGGACATTTAAGTCTGCAGTGGTTTCTGTTGCCTTTTGTTCAGCTATGCCCTGCCCCCAGATGTGGAGACTACAGAGGCAGGCAGGCCTCCTTGAGCTGCGGTGGGCTCCACCCAGTTTGAGCTTCCTGGCTGCTTTGTTTACCTACTCAAGCCTCAGCAATGGTGGATGCCCCTCCCCTAGCCTCGCTGCCACCTTGCAGTTTGATCTCAGACTGCTGCACTAGCAGTGAGCAACGCTCCATGGGTGTGAGACCCTCGGTGCCAGGCGTGGGATATAATCTCCTTGTGTGCCGTTTGCTAAGACCATTGGAAAAGCACAGTATTAGGGTGGGAGTGTCCTGAGTTTCCAGGTGCCATCTGTCACCCCTTTCTTTGACTAGGAAAGGGAATTTCCTGACCCCTTGCACTTCCCGGGTGAGGTGATGCCTCACCCTGCTTCAGCTCACACTCCGTGGGCTGCACCCACTGTCCGACAAGCCCCAGTGAGATGAACCCAGCATCTCAGTTGGAAATGCAGAAATCACCCGTCTTCTGTGTCACTCATGCTGGGAGCTGTAGACTGGAGCTGTTCCTATTCGGCCATCTTGGAACCAGAAAAGTCTTTTGATAAAATTTAACACCACTTCATGTTAAAAATTCTCAAAAAAGTAGCTATTGAAGGAACATATCTGAAAAGAATAAGAGCCATCTATTCTTAGCCCATGGCTAAGATTATACTGAATGGGCAAAAACTGGCAGCATTGCCTTGAAAACTGACACAAGACAAGGATGCACTCTTTCACCACTGATATTCAACATAGTATTGGAAGTCCTGGCCAGGGCAATCAGGCAAGAGAAAGAAATAAAGGTCATCCAAATAGGAAGAGGGAAAGTCAAACTATTCCTGTTGGCAGACAACATGATTCTATATCTAGAAAACTTCGTAGTTTCAGCTCAAAAGTTTCTTAAACTGATAAACAACTTCAGCAAAGTCTCAGGATATAAAATCAATTTGCAAAAATCACCAATATTCCTATATATCAACAACAGTCAAGCCAAGAGCCAAATCAGGAACACAATCCCGTTCAAAATTGCCACAAAAAGATTAAAATAACTAGGAATACAGCTAACAAGGGAGGTGAAGATCTCTACAAGGAGAACTACAAAACAGTGCTCAAAGAAATCAGAGATTACACAAAGGGAAAAATATTTCATGCTTATGGAAAAGAAGGGTAAATATTGTAAAAATGGCCATACTGCTCAAAGCATTTATAGATTCAGTGGTATTCCTATTAAACTACCATTGAGATTCTTGACAGAATTAGGGAAAAAAAAACTATTTTAAAATTCACATGGAACCAAAAAAACTGCCTAAATAGCCAAGGCAATCCTAAGGAAAACAAAAACAAAAACAACAACAACAACAACAGAAAAACCCAGAAAACAAAAATCAAAGCTGGAGGCATCATGCCACCCGACTTCAAACTATACTACAGGGCTATAGGACCAAAACAACTGGTACTGGTACAAAAACAGTTGCATAGACCAATGGAACAGAATAGAGAACCCAGAAGTAAGGTCACCCAACTACAGCCATCTGATCTTTGGCAAACCAGACAAAAACAAGCAATGGAGAAAGAATTCCCTATTCAATAAATGGTGCTATGATAACTAGCTAGCCATATGCACAAGATTGAAACTAGACCTCTTTCTTACACTATATACTATATATATATATATATATATATATATATATATTATATATATATACATATATATATATATTTATATATTTATATTTATAGAAAAATTAACTCAAGATGGATTAAAGACCGAAATGTAAAACCCAAAACTATCAAAACCCTGGAAGGCAATCTAGGCAATAACATTCAGGACATAGGAACAGGCAAAGATTTCATGATGAAGATGCCAAAAGCAATTGCAACAAAAGCAAAAATTGATAAATGGGATCTAATAAAATTAAAGAGCTTCTGTACAGCGAAGGAAAGTATCAACAGAGTGAACAGATAACCTACATAATTGAAGAAAGTTTTGTAATGCATGGATATGACAAAGGTCCAATATCCAGCATCTATAAGGAACTTAAGCAAATTAACAAGCAAAAAAACAAACAACCCCATTAAAAAGTGGGCAAAGGACATGAAAAGATACTTTTCAAAAGAAGACATACAATCATATGAAAAAAACCTCAACGTCATTGATCATTAGAGAAATGCAAATCAAAACAACAATGAGATATCATCTGACACTAGTCAGAATGTTTATTATTAAAAAGTCAAAAAATAACAGATGCTGGCGAAGTTTTGGAGAAAAAGGAACACTTATACACTGTTGTTGGGAATGTAAATTAGTTCAACCATTGTAGAAAGCAGCGTGATGATGCCTCAAAGTACTAAAGACAGAAATACCATTTGACCAAGAAATTCCATTACTGGGTACATGCCCAAATGAATATAAATTATTCTATTATAAAGACACATGCATGTGTATGTTTATTGCAGTATTATTCACAATAGTGAAGACATGGAATCAACCTAAATGCCCATAAGTGATAGACTGGATAAAGAAAATGTGGTACATATACACGGTGGTACATGGACTACTACACAGTCATAAAAAATAATAAGATTATGTCCTTTGCAGGAGCATGAATGGAGCTGGAGGCCATCATCCTTAGCAAACTAACACAGGAACAGAAAACCAAATACTGCATGTTCTCACTCATAAGTGTGAGCTAAATGATGGGAACACAAGGACACATAGAGGGGAACAATACACACTGGAGCCTTTTGGAGGGTGAGGGTTGGATCAGGATAAATAACTAATGGGTACTAGGCTTAATACCTGCGTGATGAAATAATCTGCACAACAAACCTCCATGACACAAGTTTACCTATATTAACAAACCTGCACATGTACCCCTGAACTGAAAATAAACATTAAAAAAAGGGTGAAGAAAACCAAATTACAAACAAAAATCGATTTATTCTTTTAGTTTTACCTATGTAATTATCCTTACAGGTGCTCATTTTTTTCTGCATGTGGATTTGAGTCACCATCTGGATTCCTTTAATTTCACCCTGAAGAACCCCCTTTAGTATTTTTTGTAGGGTAGGTCTGAGGTTCTTATACTGGTTTCTCATTTACTTCCTTTAGAAAGGAGACCATGTAATCATATAAATAGTTATGAAAATTGTTACGAAAGAATGATAAATTATAAAACAATAATTATATTTCACATTCTTTTGGAAATACAGTAGGTCTTTTATTACAAATATATTTCACATTCTTTGGACATACTGTAGTTCCTTTATTTTGAACCAGTTTTAAAGATTCTCTTGTTTTTAAAACTTTAAAAAACGTGTTTTTCTGTTAGAGTGATGGAAAAACTTCTTGAATGTAGCAATACAAATAATTAAATTATAAAAAGCACTTTAGTCTCAAATTATGAAATAAATTCTTTGTGAAATCAAATCTGGATCTGTAAACAATGGTGTTTGTTTAAAAAAAACTGAACAAGTAATGGAAAGTTTGGATAAAGGCACAGAGCATAATTCTTGAATACTGAGTGGTAAGATGATCTTTCATAACTCCCTTCAAAGTGTTTTATACATATAAACTTAAACCTCACATGTGTTCATCTGTAGATCATTTATCCACAAGTGTCTGTCACTAGATCATTTACCCCAGAGACAGGAGATACAATTGAAGATGTAACTAATGGGATCTGGAATAATAGCTTTCTAACAGAAGCAAATGTTATTTCCCTTTGAATAGCCTTGGGCTTTTAGAAAGAGCTAATAGGTGTTTGCCTAGGACCATATGCACTTACCTATGGACAAAGAAGACTCTAAAATAGCCTTTGGCTAATAGCAAGTGTGTTTAGTGACACTGTATTATAGAAACATCTCCATGTGCAGTGTGTAGTAATTCCACACTTTTTTTGCTTTGGTCGCTCAAAGACATTCATGTTTTCTTAGCCAGGTAGGCAGGGAGGCAAGTCTACTCCTTCAGGTCACTGAGGAATTGATTGCTGTCATAACATATCTGTTGGTATGACTGGGACCAACCATGCAATATTGATCTTACTCAAGAATTGAACTTTGATCAAAGTTGTTCTGAGAAGTTTTCTCTCAGCATGACTCATCAGGAAGTTTTCTTAGAAACTTAGTGGCTATCTGTGAGGTCTGGCCACTGATGATCTATCTTCTTGTTGAGGCAAGATTTTTTATCTTAGCCAACTAAAGAAATCCCTTCTATAAAGAGTTCTTCTGCTGAGCCTTTGGAGGATTAAGTGCCTTCTGCAAGGGGAAGCTGGTATGGATCTGGTTTATTTCTTAACTCTGAGGAGTCCATTTTGAAAACTATCAACTAAAGCAGATTAACAAAAGCTATTTTTGGATTCTACCCGTAGTTCCCAGTGCTTAAACACAAGTCTTTCCTACCCTGAATGTGATACATTTGAACAAGGAAAACTAAAATGACCCATTTGATTAATCTTAAAATTTTATGAAAGTTAGTTTCAAAATATGATTTTTGAAGGGAGAGTGTGTTGATAAGAGGATCTGTTTTTGTAGGGTCTTTCCATTTGGCAGGTTACCTGAGGACTGGTTTATTTACTTCTTCCACTAGGTGGCAGGACTTTTAAGCAATGTTGCAAATGTGTCCCAGAGAGTCCTCTTGAAACAGAGAAGTTAGAATTGTCAACATTTGATACAAGTCAAGAAGTTTAACTTTCTTATGCTCCTGGGCTTCTAAGATTACCTTGTTCCACATTTCTCCCCATAATGCAGTTTATTTTTCCAGGCAAGTAATGCATTAAGAATGTGTTTTCACTTTTGGCATCATGTCACAATTGCAGAAGTGATTTTATTCTCAGATCTTTGACTGAAACATCTGTGATATCTTGTTTTCAGGAGGAAAGAGAGGTGCACTATAGATTTTGAAATATCAAAAGACATTTCCATTTTCATTTTCATCTAAAATGGCCATGGAGGAAGATGAAGTATTGGTGTTGATAGGACAGGGTTGGAGTGTTTAGACCTGAATAGAATGAAAATACATAAAAAGAAATAAAAGGAATGGTATTAAGATGTGTCAAACTACAAATGTAGGAGAAAGTCAGTTGCTTCTGTGAATTAGTATCTTGTGAATTATTGGGTCCAAAGTATGTTTTGCTACATTTTCATTAGTGAATAATGGCCTTTTTGGCTCATGATTCAATGTGAGTGGCATTTGGGGTGATCCTGGCTAATTGAGAAATTAGTCAAGATGCTTTTGAAATCATGTCATCAAATACAAGTGAAAAATATTTTCCTAGCTATCTGAAAATAAACTTGTGAAAAATGAAAAGGTCAAATTGCCATAAACTCTTTTGGTTTTTGTTATGGGCAGTTGTGAATAGCACCACTCACTCTCAGATAACTGGAGCTTGAGTTACATGAAATAAGCCTTTGGAATTAAGTTAATGGGTGGTCTTTACTTTAGTTTGTTACTCTGGCACTTGGGTACCAATACTTAATATTCATGATTAAATCCAAGGAGAAAAATGCTTAAAATTACAACCTCCTTTTGTGTTTGGAGAAGAATCTCATTTCAGCCAAACTTTTTATTTAAGCAACATGTTTTAACTCTCCTTAGTGGAGAAGAGGTAGAGTTCCAAGTACTATTAAATGTTTACCTTTGGTTTACTTGCTGTAGAGTGTGACAACTTTGCAGATGTGTTTCCGACACAAAGAGACAAGGAACCTGCTTTTCTGTCTCTCTCTCAACACAAAATCTCACAAAAGCCTGTATAGTGCAGATAGAGCTGTTGGAAACATTCAGGCACAGAAACTCCCCAAACACGTAATCACTTGTCTCCTAGGTGGCTCCTGTGAATGACTGGCTTTCACAGACAGGTGCTTTTATTTAGAAATACATCCTATGAAGACAGCCAAAGGTGCAAGGTGTTCTTCCTGTCAGGGCGAGTGATGGGTACAGTATGAAGGAGTAAATGCGTGGGATAGTGGAGAGTTGAAAGCTGAGCTGTTCTAATCCCTTGGAGCAGGACACCTGGAAGCTCCTCCTGCTTCTTCCCTTTCACAGCCCCTGGTTTTGCCAGATATAGGAGGGTGGAGGGAAGTACATAAATAGTGTATTTATGTGGATGGGGGATGGAATGAGGGGGATGTTTGGGGAGTTTAATCCCAGCCAGGAACATCAAAAAGGTACTGGGGTGGTTCTTTGATTTTCACTTTAGTGGCCTTTACACTCTATGCCTGCTTTTGACTCACTGCTCTGATGGCCATGCCTCTACTTCCTGCCTCTTTGGTCCTTGAAACTCTCTAGGTTAAAGCCAGAGTGCAGTAGGAAAATATTATTTGAAAAGAATGGCCAGTGCGATGAGGCCATCTCAGTAAGATGTGTAATCCCTTTGGCAACTTTTGAAACATTGGTTGTATCTTCCACAAGAAAGACCATACATTACTCTCTTGCAAAATAAGAATATTCTTTTCTCCCTTATTTTGAATTTATGTTAATACCCATCAAATTTAATAATTTGTGCTTGACAGTTTAATTAAAGTATTATACTTACATGACTCTGTATGTACTTTGTCTAGAGTAAGGAAACCTAACTTAGATACTGGTTAATAAGCTGAATCTTTTCTATGAGGCAAAATACAGTATAAATATACTCATATGTTATAGAGGAAAGACTTTGGAATTACACACATTTGTTTTAAATTTAGATTCCAACGTTTATTACATATGTGACTTTGAGTAAGTTATTAAACTTTATGCCTTGGTTTTCTACCTCTGTTGATGAAAGAGGTTATTAATATCTTTCTTTTAGTGCTGTGATATTAAATGAAGCAATGAATGTTAAACATGAAGCATTCATTCAAATATAGAGATAGGCTCAATGCATGCTAGCTACTTCCTTCCACAGTCTATGGTAGAATCTGTTTCAAAACGAAGATTAACCATGAAGTAATGCTTTCAAAATGTTATATTCTTGGCTAATTTTTAATCATTGTAGAAAAAATTCCTTAGATGCATTTAAGTTTTCTGCTAATGGCACACTCTCCTGAAAGAAATTCCGGGCAGAGAAAACAGCAGCTAAAGACAATGTTTGGTGAATGAGAAAAAATAGAAACATGAGTAGTGTTCTAATTCGAAGTTTTTTTTTTCCAGTCATATGACTTTTTTTCATTAATACTCATCTTTAGACATATGAGCATGTGCCTTTCTCCACATATGACAGCTATTTTTAAGATATTAGTGTACTCCTCTCTGCCTATTTGATAGAAATCTAATTGCAGGAATAATAAAATCAGAATATTAGAGCTGGAGAGACTATTTTTATTTTTGTATTGGTACTTAATAGATGTGCATAGTTTGGGGCATGTGATACTTTAATACATTCATATAATTTGTAAAGTTCAAATCAATGTTACTGGGATATCTTTCACTTTAAATGTTTGTCTTTTCTTTATACTAGAATATTAAAATCATTCTTTTCTAGCTATTTCAAAATATACAATAGATTACTGTAAACTCTAATTACCCTACTGATCTATCAAACACTAGGTCTTATTTCTTCCTCCAAGCTGTATATTTCTACCCATTAATCAAACTCTCTTCATCCCCTTCTCCCTTAACCCTTCCCAGCCTCTGGTAACCACCAATCTACTCTATCTTCATGGGATCCACTTTTTTAGCTTCCACATATGAATGAGAACATGCAATATTTGTCTTCTAGCGCTTGGCTTATTTCACTTGACATAATGACACATTTCCATTCATGTTGCTGCAAATGGCAAGATTTCATTCTTTTTTATGGCTGAATAATTTTCCATTGAGCATGTATACCACATTTTCTTTATCCATTCACCCATTGATGGGCACCTGGTTTGATTCCATATTTTGGCTATTATGATTAGTGCTGCAATAAACATGGGAGTGCAGATATCTTTCTGATGTATTGATTTCTTTTTTGAGGGGATATACACCCAGTAGTGGGATTGCTGAATCATCTATTACTTTTATTTTTAGGGTTTTGATGAACCTCCATACAGTTTTCCATAATGGCTGTACTAATTTACATTCTCATCAACAGTGTACAAGTGTTCTCCTCTCTCCACATCCTCATCAGCATCCATTATTCTCTAAACTATTCTCATTATTAAAAGAGTATGTTGGAGGACCCAGAAGGAGTTTCAGAGGCCAGAAATGATACACAATGAACTTATGGAAAAGCAGGGATTAAAACCCAAGTATTTTTATGGAATCAACTTAAGTGTCCATCCACAGATGAATGAATAAAAATGTGGCACATATACACAATGGAATACTATTCAGCCACTATAAAGAAAAACAATCGTGTCATTTGTGACAACATGGATGGAACTGGAGAACATATGCTAAGTGAAATAAGCCAGGCACAGAAAGATAGATACTTCATGTTCTCACTCATGTGTGGAACCTAGAACAATGGAACTAAATGAAGCAGAAAGAATGCTGGTTATAGAGGCTGGGAAGTGGGAGGAATAGGGAAAAGATGGTTAAAAGGTACAAAGCCTCTTATACAAGAAGAACTAGGTTTTCTTTAACCTTAAAGCATATTGCACAATGTGGTGAATATAGTGAATGATAATGCAGTATACGTTTCAAAATTAGAGTAAATTTCAAAAGTTCTCACCACAAAAAAAAATTGGAGATAGGCATATTAATTAGCTTGATTTAATTATTCTACCCTGTATTTTTACATTATAACATCACTTTGTATCCCCATACAAATATATAACTGTAATTTGTCAATTGACAATTACAAATAAAAATTTAAAAAACTGCACATTGTATACTTTAAAAATTTCAAGTCTCTTGACTTTTAATCCAGAGCTCTATGTTTAAGAAAGACTATTTTATCAAAAGTTATTAATTATGTTTTCTCTTAGTAACTAGAAAGATGGACACCAACATGAGGAAGGTGGGCTTTTAAAACTCATTCTCAAATGATCCTCTACTGATTTTGAAGACAGGAAGCAGGTAGATTCAAGTCAGAATAAAGGAAAGAATCAAGAATAGCTTTTCCAGGCTGGAATTCCCACAGTAGTTTCTTCTTGGGGCAAATATTGGAATACTAAATCTTGAGCTTGTAGTTTATTTTCCTACCAATTAAAGATAAGCTCAGATTGATTAATTTGGGGAGTAATTAATTAAAACAGTTTATGGAAAATCAGAAGATATATTTCTTAGAGCTATATCGGTACATCTCTTATACAAATGTGTTCTTATAGCCATATAGGACAGCTCTTATATGGATTTGTTTTGATTATTGCATGAAATTAAACCATAGTGAAATTTCTCAGGGTTTATAACTACAAATTAAAGTTACCAAACCACCTCTGGCCAAATCCTCTTTCTAACCTGTGTTCTGAGTCTTGTTCCAAGAGCTGTGTTTCCTGCCAAACATACCGGATGGGACATCTGCAGCAAGGATTGGAAATGAGAATTTTGCCCTGAGTTTGAAGGTGTTATTTTTCCCATGGTTTGATTTGCCTGGCATTTTTTTGCTTGGCATCTTTTCCTTTTCCTTTGCAAGGAAAGGGAGAAATGAGGAGCGTTAGTTGCTGACGAAGTCAAGAGGGCGCTGAGGCTGGCTGGGTTTATTACTTTTGGCAGATGAATGGTGTGATGTGGTTTTACTTCCTATTTGCAGAGCCTTTCTAGAAACCTGGGCTCTGTTCTTCAGTGAGCTCCCCTTGTCGGCTTGTATATATATTAAAAAAGACAGAGTGAAAGTCCAAAAGAAGAAAACGCATTTTTAAAAAGAAGATTCTTGAGAATAGGGGACCCCATGAGAATGCAGTGGAATCAGAAGGGATAGAGCAAAAAACAATTGTCAACATGTAAAAATTGTCTTTCTTTCCTGTGTAGACTTTATAGAATTTGCATGCATCTCTCTCATAAGGCAATGTCGATGATAATGATATTCGCAACAACAGCAACAATTACAAATGGCACATGTGTGGTAATTCCCAGTTGTTTGCACACATTATTTCATTTTTAAAAAGAAGGTATGAGACACAAAACAAACTTTTTGAGTAATCACATTAAAACTCAGAGCCTCGGCCGCAAAACGATGAACCGGTTTGGCACAAAGAGGAGACATTTGCCTGGCATCTGGCATCTGGTTTTCAGTTCAGCTCAGTCATTTTAAGCCTCAAATAAGGCACAAGCCCCCAGGCCTCAATGTTTCTCATCTTTAATATGATAAAATTATATTAGAAGATCTCTAAGAATCATCCCAAGTTTAATATTCTAAGTCTATGATCAATTTCCCTGGATGGGCATAAATTTTCAGGTTAACTAAAGCACCATTTGGATGTTGAAAAGCTAACTCTGCTTTTTGAAAACATTTCTTATTGCAGCCAGTTGTCTGTTCAGAGGTTTACACTTGGTTTACAAAACCATTATGTTTTCAAGCATGCAGCTAGCTAAGAAAATAATGCTTTCATCACCATCTTTATTTGAAATGGAAAATGCTCCCTGAAAAAGATTTAAATGGATGTGTGGATTGCATGTATTGTGTAACTACCCCACAGTGTAACAAGGCTAACAAAAACAAGAATCACTTATTAGATGCTGTAAGCCAAGTCTTCTTGAATGCAGTTTTAAGCTAGGAATATCTTTAATCAGCATACATAAATACTTGTTATGTTACTTAAAAAGAAGTTTCTACAACACCAGGAAAATGCAGGAAAATGAAGAGCAAGTATGCAGACAAGGAAGGGCAAGCTAGCTGTGTATCAGCAATGATCTGGGGTGTGTGTATGTGTATGTGTGTGTGTATGAATCAGGGAAGGTGGCAATGATGGGAAGATCAGGTGTATTCAGGGAGTTATAATATGAAATAATAGGAATCTTGCTTCTTTAACTTGGGACTAGGATGCTTCTACACAGTTGTTTCTTTTACACACACCTTCAAAGGAGATCTTAAAACCAACAAGACAGACTTCAAGTGGCATGGGAGAGCGAACAAAATTCAATGAGAACATTATCTTTAGTAGAATATCAGCTTCTAGGCTCTGAGTTCCTGGATATATTTCTCCTTAGTTTCAAGAAAGACTATGCCCATGATACGCTTTTGTTTTATTTTAGTAGCTTTTTTATTATTCATTCTAAGGATCCTGTTTCATAAGCAAACCTTTTTAAAGTAACATTTTTATTTTGGAGTCATTTTAGAATTATGGAAAAGTTGTAAGGATTTTCCTAAGTCACCCTCACCCTGTTTATCCAATATTAATATCTGCATTATCGTGGTATATTTGTCAAAATGAAGATATCAATATTGATATTACTATTAACTAAACTCCAGACTTTGTACAGGTTTTACGTGTTTTTCCATTAAGGTCTTTTTTCTGTTCCCAGACCCAAGCCAGAATCCCACATTGCCTTCACCCACTATTTTATGTAGGCAAAGAGAAAGGTCTACAGAAAGACCTACAAATGCCTTTGAGAGGTATTGCCTTTTATCTGGATTTTCCTCATTTTCCTAGAGGTAGTGTTGCACAGTGATGAGCTGAACTCTGCTTTTCTGACTGAGCACTGACGGCCGCCGAGATGGATTTGGCTGCTTCTCTTTGATAGTGCCATTTGCAAACCTCTATCCATGCACCCACCAAGCTGTACTACAGTCTCTCTCACAAATGGTGGGAATCATTTAGCATCAAAGGTACATCTAGGGTGGAGAAGAAATGCCTCAGATCCAAGCAATGTAGTTCATATCACATAAGTTTGATGGTATTGGGTAAAGGAGTCTTGAGGCTATTGTTCATAGCTAGGCGAGCTATAAGTCCCATGAGGCAAGGGATTGGGTCTGTCTTGGTTACTACTGTCTTTCCAGTCCCACCTGGTGCCTGGCCCATTGTAGACACTCAATAAATATTTGTTGAATGAATGAACGTGTGAAAAGGTGAGAGGTTGCAAAGCTGTAGGAACATCAGCAGAGACAGGGAACACTGTGGTTGGCCAAGGAAAGGTCTTTGGCTCTCTCAGTCCTCACCCAGGTGGCTTTGGCAGTGACGGGGAAGGAATCCTTTCGATGGGGCAGTTTGGAGTCCTTCAGCTGTTCTTAGTTGGAAGCCTCACTTTGCTACATCACACCTGGTCATATTTCAAAGATTAATGAACAGCATCTTGTCAGGTTTAATATATTGCTCTTGGGGAGTTTACTTTGACGATGTAATCATAAATTCCCTGAGCTGCGAATTACACCTTAAGGACTTAAATGAAGTTCTAGTGAAAACTAAAGAAACAGGAATTACTGTAAAATGTAAAAAGTGCCAGTTTTGAGAGAAAACTGTAAATTTTCTAGGACATTAGGTTTCAAAAGAAGGATTACACACAGACTAAACAAAGTAGAAGTCATAAAAATTTAAAGACACCACAAAACATAACAAAAATAAGATCCTTTTTAGTTATGACAGAATTCTAAAAGGAAACTTACACCGAATTGTGCCACCCAAGCAGAGCCATTAATTAACCTAATGAGAAAATATGTTCCATTTCCATGGCCAAAGCATGTCAGGAAGCTTTTGACATTTTAAAATGAGGAAGAAGAAAAGAGGAAAGAGAGAGAGAGGAGGAGGAGAAAAGAAAGAAAGGAAAGAAGGAAGGAAAGGAAGGAAGGGAAAGAGGAAGAAAGGCAATTGCACATTCTAAAAAGTTTTAAATGTTAACTTATCAGTTTAGGAAATCTGGGGCACTTTTGATAATATCCTCAAAGATCTCCTGGGGAAAATTTTGTAATTTTTATATAAATAAAATGTGGACTACAAAAGTGGTATTGGGAAAAAGAAGTTGGAGTCAAGGGAACCATTAGGAAACCAAGGATGAGAATCGTTAAGTGTAATCTCAGCTACTGACCCTTGGGCAGAACTTCACAAGATGAACTTGAGCAATGAGGAGAGATCAAGCAAGGGCCTCCCTTCATCTCATCCCCCCGAAGCTACACTGACCCAAGTAAAGACTGAAGCAAAGCATGGAGATGTAAAAATTTGTATTGTGAAACAAAACTGTAAACCCCCTCCCAATTTTTTTTTACTCAACTCTTGGTACAGCATTTAAAAAATCAATCACTTTCTGTTTCTTAGTAATTCCATTGCTCTATGATTAATGTTGCTTACATTACAACCAAATTTGTTTTCGCTCTAGACTGTCATTCTGCTATCCCCTTTCTTCCTTAGCCCCCTCAATATCCCAAATCTCTCTGCCTGCCCTTAGTAAGACTTGAAGTTAGTTATGAGAGTGAGGTGACACCTGGGCAATTCACAGATGACTTTTTCCTCCTGAGAAATGGAGATAATAATATTTCCCATATATTTCACAGAAGTTGTTTCAAGGATTAGTAAAGTCATATGAGCAGAGCGCTTTGAGGTCCTTAGACGAAAAGGGTTATAGTAGTCTAACATGTTATTAGTCAGCATTATTCAAATTGCTGCACAGTCTTGTACTAGCATAGTTATAATCGTGAAGGTATTAGCCAGGGGTTTATGTATTTCTCCTCAAGATTACTCTTAAAACTGAAATTGCAAAGTAGTCCCAGTTGTGAAAGTTGAAACCAGAGTAGGTATGAAGGCTCTAGGCCTGGTTCACAGGCATCCCAGGTGGTGTTATGTGGCCTGGACAGGCTCCAGATTCTACTTTCCCTGGTGACCTGTGGGGTAACCTGCCCTTTTGCGTTTTCAAAAGTGATAGTTAACAGGGTCCTGGCAGTCCTGGAAATTATGCCTCAAAGTCTGAGGCCTGAGGTATTTTTCCAGTGTACACTGAGAGGGTAATCTAATTCTTACTGACCTTATTGATCCTGCCAATCATTTTCGGAGGCTATCCATTTGACTTACTCCATTTAAGTAAAAGAAATTGAGTCTTGAGTCCACCATTTTCCAGCCTGAGATAATACTGAGATTTCTAAATACCTCCTATCAAGTATAAAACCACAAGGCCACTGAAAATGCCCAAAGATGTGCCTAGACTTCAAGAATTCCAATGCCCCTTGGCCTGACATCTATACCTAGGCATTAAGAGCCCAGATTTCAGGATATTGGACTTGTCCAAAGATCATATTATTGAACCAGATCATTAAATGAGGATTGAAGGGATTAATCTTTTTAAATGTGAAAACATACTGAGGTTTTTATATGGAAGTTGTACCTTAATGATGAGGATAAAACATTTTGAAATGGATTTAAACTCTAAACTCTAGATTGGTATTAGAGGAATCAAAATTTCTGATTCTAGAACTGTTGATTATTAGATCAAAATTTGGAGACTGGCTGAAATCCTTTAGTTCACCAAAGTGAATGAATCTTGATAATGCCATGGTTATTAACCTTCAGCATCCATCTGTCAGAATCTCCTGGAGGGTCTATTACAATGCACATTGCTGGGCTTTACCCCTAGAATTTCTAATCCAGTAGGGCCAGAGATAGGGCCTGAGAATTTGCATCTATTAACCAGTTCCCAGGTGATATGGTTTGGAACTGTGTCCCCACAACATCTTATGTTGAATTGTAATCTCCAATCTTGGAAGTGGGGCATGGGGGGAGGTGACGGGGTCATGGGGGGGTTTCTCATGAAATCCCTCTTGGGAGTGTTCTCATGACAGTGAGTAAGTTCTCACAAGACCTGGTTGTTTAAAAGTGTGTAGCACCTCCCCCTATTTCTCTCCTGCTCCTGCTTCTACCATGTGAGACGTCTCGCTTCCCCTTTGCCTTTAGCCATGATTGTAAGTTTCCTGAGGCCTTACCAGAAGCTGAACAGATGCCAGCATCATGCTTCCTGTATAGCCTATGGAACCATGAGACAGTTAAACCTCTTATTTATAAATTACCCAGTCTCAGGTATTTCTTTATAGCAATGTGAGAACGGACATGATAACCCAGGTAAGGCTAATGCTGCTGGCCTGGGGGCCATGCTTTGAAAACCAAAGTATGCTCTTGGACCAGGTCATTGACATCAGCTGGAAGCTTGTTAGGAAGGCATTCTTTGGCCCCATTCCAGATCTACTGTATCTGCATCTGCATTTCAGAAGGTGGTAACCCAGGTGATTAGTACGCACATTAACATTTGAGAAGTGCCTTTCTAGAGGTCCCTGTATATTTGTTATTATTCCACGATCTTTGAGATATTCTGGATTCTCAGGATAGAGAGCTCGCTGAACCATGTATCTTTCTGTTTGAATACAGCTCTCACTGAATGTGGCCAAGAACCCCCTGAGAATAAACTTGGAGCAATATGGTCTAGGTGTTACTCTTCTCTTACTCATGTATCATCAAAGAGTAAGTTGAGACCTATAAAAATGTCCAGTGAACACAATCAAATGGCTTAAGAACAATGACAAGCTTGCATTTACTATAGGAACTAAAAACACAGGAGAGACTCTAGTAATCTGTAATCATGAGTGGTGTGACTCTTTTTGAGCCAGAATCCCATGAGCCAGATGAGGCCCATGAGTGTCCACATTTTAGTCCCATTGTGCAATTCTATGCAGCAGAAATGTCAATGCTACTCTTGGCAAGGCTGGGTGCAGCTCTGTGTGTCGAGACAGGTGTTCAACATCCAATAACACTGTCCTGGATCTGAGCAACCTAGAGAAACATGTAAATGAAACTTAAACAGTTGTAATAAGAACCAGTCGACCACCCTGTCCACCCTTTCCCATCTCATCCCCATCTCTACCTCCCTTCTTTGCTCACAGAGCCGAAATTCCTGGGAGTGTCTTTAGAATTGCAACTGCTATTTTAAAAAAATAGACTCCACAAACCTCAGCAACCAGGGAAGATTTATTGAAGGCTCAGGACACAAAGACTTTACCTAGAAGGACCCATCATGATATACAGTTAAGGATAGGGTTTGAACATTACAGTTTACTAAACGTGCCGATTTTTCTACTGTATTAAACATTTGTTATATCTCTTTTATTGTTTTTCATTATTCTAGCAAGGCATTAATTCAACAAGTACATACTCAGTGTTGGGGTTTGTGAAGAAGTACAAAAATAAAGCTCTTCGGAGGGGAAATAAGTGTGACCATTAAAATAAATACCAAAACAGAGTGCAAGGTTGAGAGAATTCAGGACCAGATGTCTTGGTAACTAGGAAACCTTGTAAAGAATAGGATGCCAATGACTGAGATATAGGACACATGGGCCACAGCAGTGTGAACAGAAAGTGGTGATTGGGGCTGTGGCTGTACTGTTTCTTGATGTCACCCCATTTTAGTTTCCAGTGAACACATAAGCCCCTTATTTGGATTACTGATCATCCACTGAGGAAGTTCATCCTCGGGGAAGATCATCCCTTGTGGAAAGGAGGGGACAGCCTTGGAATCAATGCAGCTGGCTTAGTGGGTGTGGACTGGTGCATGTTAGTGGTTTCAAATCTCCCAAGCGCTTTCCGATGCACTTAAAATGAAACCCAAACTTCTTATTCACCCTACAAGACCTTGCATAATTGTCTCCTGCCTACATCTCCAACTTGATTCTTTCCTTTGCTTCCAATATTTCAGCCATTCTGGTGGCCAGGACCAGTCTGTTTCTCCCTCCAGGTCTTGATTTTGCTTCTCCCTCAGATGTCCCCCACAAACTGCTCACATCCTTCTCCTGAGGTGGGATTTCTGTGGCCTCCCTGTTTAGAGTAGCTCTCACTCCCAGTTACTGTCTTTGTCATCACCCCATTCATTTCCTTCATAGCTATTCTATTCATCAATTACTATGCAACAAATCACTACAAACCTCAGTGAGTCAAAGCAAAAGCAATAATTTGATCATTTTCATAGTTTTTTCAGGACAGAAATTGGAGAAAGACTTGGTGGGGCAGCCTCCCCTCTAGGTCTTTTGCGACATCGCAGTCAAGGGGTGACTGGAGCTGGGACAGTGCAAGGCTGTTGTGGCTGGGCCAGGCTGAACATGACTTTCATGTAATCTCATGGTCTCCGCGGTGGAGCTAGTTTTAGCTTTTTCACAGCATAGTAGCCTCAGGGTAGTTAAACTGCTTACATGGTGGCCAAAGCCTTCAAGAGCCAACAGTTCTTGTGAGCAAGGTGCAAGTTTCATTGTCTTTTATGACCTAGCCTTGAAAGTCACTTAGCATCATTTCTCCTTTTTATTGGCCCAGATTCAAGAATAGAGGAATGAGACTCCACATCTTCATGGGGAACGATTCCAGGAAACATGTGGGATGGGAGATCTTGTTGCATCCAGCCTTGGAAAATGTGATCTGCCACAGTGCCGTTTATTGCAATATGTAGCTATTGTGTTTATCATTAATTTCTCTAATAGGCCTCCCTCCTTAGAATGTATACTCTCTGAGGCCTGGAGCCTTGCCTATCTTGGTAATTCCTATACCACGAGCCCACAGTGGGTGTGCAATTATGGTTTAGTGGAATATTGAATGAATGCCCAAATGCCAAGATTAATTGATGCTTCAACTCAATTCTTTTTTTTTCTTTTTTATTTATTTATTATTATTATACTTTAAGTTTTAGGGTACATGTGCACAATGTGCAGGTTAGTTACATATGTATACATGTGCCATGCTGGTGTGCTGCACCCATTAACTCGTCATTTAGCCTTCGGTATATCTCCTAATGCTATCCCACCCCCAACCCCCCACCCCACAACAGTCCCCAGAGTGTGATGTTCCCCTTCCTGTGTCCATGTGTTCTCATTGTTCAATTCCCGTCTATGAGTGAGAACATGCGGTGTTTGGTTTTTTGTCCTTGCGGTAGTTTACTGAGAATGATGATTTCCAGTTTCATCCATGTCCCTATAAAGACATGAACTCATCATTTTTTATGGCTGCATAGTATTCCATGGTGTATATGTGCCACATTTTCTTAATCCAGTCTATCATTGTTGGACATTTGGGTTGGTTCCAAGTCTTTGCTATTGTGAATAGTGCTGCAATAAACATACATGTGCATGTGTCTTTATAGCAGCATGATTTATAGTCCTTTGGGTATATACCCAGTAATGGGATGGCTGGGTTAAATGGTATTTCTAGTTCTAGATCCCTGAGGAGTTGCCACACTGACTTCCACAATGGTTGAACTACTTTACAGTCCCACCAACATTGTAAAAGTGTTCCTATTTCTCCACATCCTCTCCAGCACCTGTTGTTTCCTGACTTTTTAATGATTGCCATTCTAACTGGTGTGAGATGGTATCTCATTTTGGTTTTGATTTGCATTTCTCTGATGGCCAGTGATGATGAGCATTTTTTCATGTGTCTTTTGGCTGCATAAATGTCTTCTTTTGAGAAGTGTCTGTTCATATCCTTTGCCCACTTTTTGATGGGGTTGTTTGTTTTTTTCTTGTAAATTTGTTTGAGTTCATTGTAGATTTTGGATATTAGCCCTTTGTCAGATGAGTAGGTTGTGAAAATTTTCTCCCATTTTGTAGGTTGCCTGTTCACTCTGATGGTAGTTTCTTTTGCTGAGCAGAAGCTCTTTAGTTTAATTAGATCCCATTTGTCAATTTTGGCTTTTGTTGCCATTGCTTTTGGTGTTTTAGACATGAAGTCCTTGCCCATGCCTATGTCCTGAATGGTAATGCCTAGGTTTTCTTCTAGGGTTTTTATGGTTTTAGGTCTAACATTTAAGTCTTTAATCCATCTTGAATTAATTTTTGTATAAGGTGTAAGGAAGGGGTCCAGTTTCAGCTTTCCCCATGTGGCTAGCCAGTTTTCCCAGCACCATTTATTAAATAGGGAATCCTTTCCCCATTTCTTGTTTTTGTCAGGTTTGTCAAAGATCAGATAGTTGTAGATATGCGGCGTTATTTCTGAGGGCTCTGTTCTGTTCCATTGATCTATATCTCTGTTTTGGTACCAGTACCATGCTGTTTTGGTTACTGTAGCCTTGTAGTATAGTTTGAAGTGAGGTAGCATGATGCCTCCAGCTTTGTTCTTTTGGCTTAGGATTGACTTGGTGATGCAGGCTCTTTTTTGGTTCCATATGAACTTTAAAGTAGTTTTTTCCAATTCTGTGAAGAAAGTCATTGGTAGCTTGATGGGGATGGCATTGAATCTATAAATTACCTTGGGCAGTATGGCCATTTTCATGATATTGATTCTTCCTGCCCATGAGTATGGAATGTTCTTCCATTTGTTTGTATCCTCTTTTATTTCATTGAGCAGTGGTTTGTAGTTCTCCTTGAAGAGGTCCTTCACGTCCCTTGTAAGTTGGATTCCTAAGTATTTTATTCTCTTTGAAGCAATTGTGAATGGGAGTTCACTCATGATTTGGCTCTCTGTTTGTCTGTTATTGCTGTATAAGAATGCTTGTGATTTTTGTACATTGATTTTGTATCCTGAGACTTTGCTGAAGTTGCTTATCAGCCTAAGGAGATTTTGGGCTGAGACAATGGGGTTTTCTAGATATACAATCATGTCATCTGCAAACAGGGACAATTTGACTTCCTCTTTTCCTAATTGAATACCCTTTATTTCCTTCTCCTGCCTAATTGCCCTGGCCAGAGCTTCCAACACTATGTTGAATAGGAGTAGTGAGAGAGGGCATCCCTGTCTTGTGCCAGTTTTCAAAGGGAACGCTTCCAGTTTTTGCCCATTCAGTATGATATTGGCTGTGGGTTTGTCATAGATAGCTCTTATTATTTTGAGATATGTCCCATCAATACCTAATTTATTGAGAGTTTTTAGCATGAAGAGTTGTTGAATTTTGTCAAAGGCCTTTTCTGCATCTATTGAGATAATCATGTGGTTTTTGTCTTTGGTTCTGTTTATATGCTGGATTACATTTATTGATTTGCGTATATTGAACCAGCCTTGCATCCCAGGGATGAAGCCCACTTGATCATGGTGGATAAGCTTTTTGATGTGCTGCTGGATTCGGTTTGCCAGTATTTTATTGAGGATTTTTGCATCAATGTTCATCAAGGATATTGGTCTAAAATTCTCTTTTTTGGTTGTGTCTCTGCCTGTCTTTGGTATCAAGATGATGCTGGCCTGATAAAATGAGTTAGGGAGGATTCCCTCTTTTTGTATTGATTGGAATAGTTTCAGAAGGAATGGTACCAGCTCCTCCTTGTACCTCTGCTAGAATTCGGCTGTGAATCCATCTGGTCCTGGACTCTTTTTGGTTGGTAAGCTATTGATTATTGCCACAATTTCAGCTCCTGTTATTGGTCTATTCAGAGATTCAACTTCTTCCTGGTTTAGTCTTGGGAGAGTGTATGTGTTGAGGAATTTATCCATTTCTTCTAGATTTTCTAGTTTATTTGCATAGAGGTGTTTGTAGTATTCTCTGATGGTAGTTTGTATTTCTGTGGGATTGGTGGTGATATCCCCTTTATCATTTTTTATTGCATCTATTTGATTCTTGTCTTTTTTTTTCTTTATTAGTCTTGCTAGTGGTCTATCAATTTTGTTGATCCTTTCAAAAACCAGCTCCTGGATTCATTAATTTTTTTGAAGGGTTTTTTTTGTCTTTATTTCCTTCAGTTCTGCTCTGATTTTAGTTATTTCTTGCCTTCTGCTAGCTTTTGAATGTGTTTGCTCTTGCTTTTCTAGTTCTTCTAATTGTGAAGTTAGGGTGTCAATTTTGGATCTTTCGTGCTTTCTCTTGTGGGCATTTAGTGCTATAAATTTCCCTCTACACCCTGCTTTGAATGTGTCCCAGAGATTCTGGTATGTTGTGTCTTTGTTCTCATTGGTTTCAAAGAACATCTTTATTTCTGCCTTCATTTCATTATGTACCCAGTAGTCATTCAGGAGCAGCTTGTTCAGTTTCTATGTAGTTGAGTGGTTTTGAGTGAGTTTCTTCATCCTGAGTTCTAGTTTGATTGCACTGTGGTCTGAGAGACAGTTTGTTGTAATTTCTATTCTTTTACATTTGCTGAGGAGAGCTTTACTTCCAACTATGTGGTCAATTTTGGAATAGGTGTGGTGTGGTGGTGAAAAAAATGTATATTCTGTTGATTTGGGGTGGAGAGTTCTGTAGATGTCTATTAGGTCTGCTTGGTGCAGAGCTGAGTTCAATTCCCGTGTATCCTTGTTAACCTTGTGTCTCGTTGATCTGCCTAATGTTGACAGTGGGGTGTTAAAGTCTCCCATTATTATTGTGTGGGAGTCTAAGTCTCTTTGTAGGTCACTAAGGACTTGCTTTATGAATCTGAGTGCTCCTGTGTTGGGTGCATATATATTTAGGATAGTTAGCTCTTCTTGTTGAATTGATCCCTTTACCATTATGTAATGGCCTTCTTTGTCTCTTTTGCTCTTTGTTGGTTTAAAGTCTGTTTTATCAGAGACTAGGATTGCAACCCCTGCCTTTTTTTGTTTTCCGTTTGCTTGGTAGATCTTCCTCCATCCTTTATTTTGAGCCTATGTGAGTCTCTGCACGTGAGATGGGTTTCCTGAATACAGCACACTGATGAATCTTGACTCTTGATCCAATTTGCCAGTCTGCGTCTTTTAATTGGAGCATTTAGTCCATTTACATTTAAAGTTAATATTGTTATGTGTGAATTTGATCCTGTCATTATGATGTTAGCTGGTTATTTTGCTCGTTAGTTGACGCAGTTTCTTCCTAGTCTCGATGGTCTTTACATTTTGGCATGATTTTGCAGCGGCTGTTACCAGTTGTGACTTTCCACGTTTAGTGCTTCCTTCGGGAGCTCTTTTAGGGCAGGCCTGATGGTGACAAAATCTCTCAGAATTTTCTTGTCTTTAAAGTATTTTATTTCTCCTTCACTTATGAAGCTCAGTTTGGCTGGATATGAAATTCTGGGTTGAAAATTCTTTTCTTTAAGAATGTTGAATATTGGCCCCCACTCTCTTCTGGTTTGTAGAGTTTCTGCTGAGAGATCAGCTGTGAGTGTGATGGGCTTCCCTTTGTGGGTAACCCGACCTTTCTCTCTGGCTGCCCTTAACATTTTTTCCTTCATTTCAACTTTGGTGAATCTGACAAATAGGTGTCTTGGAGTTGCGCCTCTCGAGGAGTATCTTTGTGGCGTTCTCTGTATTTCCTGAATCTGAATGCTGGCCTGCCTTTCTAGATTGGGGAAGTTCTCCTGGATAATATCCTGCAGAGTGTTTTCCAACTTGGTTCCATTCTCCCAGTCACTTTCAGGTACACCAATCAGACGGAGATTTGGTCTTTTCACATAGTCCCATATTTCTTGGAGGCTTTGTTTGTTTCTTTTTATTCTTTTTTCTCTAAACTTCCCTTCTTGCTTCATTTCATTCATTTCATCTTCCATCACTGATACCCTTTCTTCCAGTTGATCACATCAGCTCCTGAGGCTTCTGCATTCTTCACGTAGTTCTCGAGCCTTGGCTTTCAGCTCCATCAGCTCCTTTAAGCACTTCTCTGTATTGGTTATTCTAGTTATACATTCGTCTAATTTTTTTTCAAAGTTTTCAACTTCTTTGCCTTTGGTTGGAATTTCCTCCTGTAGCTCAGAGTAGTTTGATCGTCTGAAGCCTTCTTCTCTCAACTCGTCAAAGTCATTCTCCGTCCAGCTTTGTTCCGTTGCTCGAGAGGAACTGTGTTCCTTTCGAGGAGGAGAGGCACTCTGCCTTTTAGAGTTTCCAGTTTTTCTGCTCTGTTTTTTCCCCATCTTTGTGGTTTTATCTACATTTGGTCTTTGATGATGGTGATGTACAGATGGGTTTTTGGTGTGGATGTCCTTTCTGTTTGTTAGTTTTCCTTCTAACAGATAGGACCCTCAGCTGCAGGTCTGTTGGAGTTTGCTAGAGGTCCACTCCAGACCCTGTTTGCCTGGGTATCAGCAGCATTGTCTGCAGAACCGTGGATTTTCGTGATCCGCGAATGCTGCTGTCTGATCGTTCCTCTGGAAGTTTTGTTTCAGAGGAGTACCTGGTCGTGTGAGGTGTCAGTCTGCTCCTACTGGTGGGTGCCTCCCAGTTAGGCTGCTCGGGGGTCAGGGGGTCAGACCCACATGAGGAGGCAGTCTGCTCGTTCTCAGATCTCCAGCTGCGTGCTGGGAGAACCACTGCTCTCCTCAAAGCTGACAGACAGGGACATTTAAGTCTGCAGAGGTTACTGCTGTCTTTTTGTTTGTCTGTGCCCTGCCCCTAGAGGTGGAGCCTACAGAGGCAGGCAGGCCTCTTTGAGCTATGGTGGGCTCCACCCAGTTCGAGCTTCCGGGCTGCTTTGTTTACCTAAGTGAGCCTGGACAATGGCAGGCACCTCTCCCTCAGCCTCGCTGCCGCCTTGCAGTTTGATCTCAGACTGCTGTGCTAGCAATCAGCGAGACTCCATGGGCATAGGACCCTCCAAGCCATGTGCGGGATATAACCTCCTGGTGTGCTGTTTCCTAAGCCTGTCGGAAAAGCACAGTATTCAGGTGGGAGTGGCCCAATTTTCCAGGTGCCATCTGTCACCCCTTTCCTTGACCAGGAAAGGGAACTCCCTGACTCCTTGCACTTCCCGAGTGAGGCAATGCCTCGCCCTGCTTTGGCTGGCACACGGTGCGGTGCACCCACTGTCCTGCACCCACTCTCTGGCACTCCCTAGTGAGATGAACCCAGTACCTCAGATGGAAATGCAGAAATCACCTGTCTTCTGCGTCACTCATGCTGGGAGCTGTAGACCGGAGCTGTTCCTATTCGGCCATCTTGAAAGCAGATCCCAACTCAATTCTTTTATGGAACTAAAACACATTAATTTTGAAGTAGCCTTTCCTGGCTGGGCACTGTGGCTCATGCCTGTAATCCCAGCACTTTGGGAGGCCAAGGCAGGCAAACTGCCTGAGCTCAGGAGTTTGCAACCAGCCTGGGCAACATGGTGAAACCCTGTTTCTACTAAAATACAAAAAAAATTAGCCAGGTGTGGCAGTGTGCACCTGTAGTCCCAGCTACTCGGGAGGCTGAGGCAGGAGAATTGCTTGAACCCAAGAGGCAGAGGTTGCAGTGAACCGAGATTGTGCCACTGCACTCCAGCCTGGGCAACAGAGTGAGATTCCATCTCAAAAAAAAAAAAAAAGAAGAGAAATAGCCTTTCCCCCTTGGTCCATACACTTTTGGAAGGCTGGAGTCATAACTACATAATAGCAATAAGAAGTTTTCCTTATCTCTTCTTCCTTTTAAGCTGACATTTGTCCAGTCCTTTTAAGTTTTTATTTAAAAGACACAGACATTCTGAGGCTTTTCCTCTGCTCCTTGGCCTTCTTGTTCTAGAAACCCACAACTCACACCCACTTCTTTGTTTTCCAACTTTTATTTTAAGTTCAGGGATACATATTCAGGTTTGTTACAGGTAAACTTGTGTCATGTGTCATGGGGGTTCATTGTATAGTTTATTTCATCACCCAGGTATTAGGCCTAGTACCCATTAGTTATTTTTCCTGATACTCTCCCTCCTCTCACCCTTCACCCTCCAAAAGGCCCCAGTGTGTGTTGTTTCCCTCTATGTGTCCATGTGTTCTCAACATTTAGCTCCCACTTATAAGTGAGAACATGTGGCATTTGTTTTTTTTGTTTCTGTGTTAGTCTGCTAAGGATAATGGCCTCCAGTGGCATCCATGTTCTTACAAAGGACATGATCTTGTTCTTTTTTATGGCTGCATAGTATTCCATTGTGTATATGTACCACATTTTCTTTATCCAGTCTATCATTGATGGGCATTTAGGTAGATTCCATGTCTTTGCTATTGTGAATAGTACTGCAAGGAACATATGTGTGCATGTGTCTTTATAATAGAATGATTTATATTCCTTTGGGTATACACACCGAAATGGGATTGTTGAGTTGAATGATATTTCTATCTTTAGGACTTTGAGGAAGTGCCACACTGTCTTCCACAATGGATGAACTAATTTACACTCCCACCAACAATGTATAAACGTTCCTTTTTCTCCACAATTTCACCAGCATCTGTCATTGTTTGAGTTTTTAATAACAGCCATTCTGATTGGTGTGAGATGGTATCTCATTGTGGTTTTGACTTGCATTTCTCTAATGATGAGTGATATTGAGCTTCTTTTCATATGATTGTTGGCTGCCTGTGTGTCTTCTTTTGAAAAGTATCCATTCATGTCCTTTGTCCACTTTTCAGTGAGGTTGTTTGTATTTTTTTCTTGTAAATTTATTTAAGTTCTTTGTAGATGGTGGTTATTAGACCTTTCTTGGATGCATAGTTTAGAAAAATTTTCTCCCATTCTGTAGGTTTTCTGTTTACTCTGTTGATAGTTTCTTTTGCTGTGCAGAAGTTCTTTGGTTTAATTTGATCCCATATGTCAATTTTTGCTTTGGTTGCAATTGCTTTTGGGATCTTCACTATGAAATCTTTTTTAGTGTTTATGTCCTGAATGATATTGCCCAGATTGTTTTCTAGAGTTTTTATAGTTTTGGGTTTTACATTTAAGTCTTTAATCCATCTTGAGTTAATTTTTGTATATGGTGTAAGGAAGGGGTCCAGTTTCAATTGTCTGCATATGGCTAGCCAGTTATCTCAGCACCATTCATTAAATAGGGAATCCTTTTGCCATTGCTTGTTTTTTGTCAGATTCATTGAAGATCAGATAGTTGTACGTGTGCAGTCTTATTTCTGGGTTCTGTATTCTCTTCCATTGCCAGACCCACTTTCTAGAGATGCAACCTCTGCTAATAAGTACCTTCTTTTCCTCTGCTCTTCTTCTGCCCAGTCTAGTTTTTCCAGTAGCACTCTAAGTTCTCCAATATAGGGCAATGAGTATGTCACAGGAATTCTCTGCTATAGATACATAATTCAATGAACATTGGATCACATTTTACCTAGCCAGAGAGTGAAACATTTGACCACTGATTAGGTGTGCATATAAATGTTCAGGTCTGGGTAAGGAACTATTTTATGGGCATTTTTTGCTCCCTTTTCCCCCCTTCAATTAGCTCAACTGTTTATTCCTTATGACTCACATGTTTTGTTAAATTGCCTGGAAAGGCATTTGGGGACAAGTGGAATTGAGGTGAAAAAGGCCTAGACAAAGTTATCCAGATGAACATTAAAAATTCTGCTTGGGGATCTCATGAACCACACTTAGGGATGCTGTGCAAAATGCATTTGATTGTCTTCCTAAGGAATAATAATGATGTATCTTCACACGGTGGTTTTTAGATTAATATATCTTAAAAATACTAGCATTGCTGGTTTTTTTTTTCCATAATGAGTATAGAAGCAAATTGGATCACGAAGTAACTCCAGTAGTATGAGGTACTGATCTTGAGAAGCTATGTATGTCTGTGGCAATAGTCGCATATTTCTTATTAGAGATTTTAACTTTATGGGAAGTTAAATGAATACATTCTGTTTGGAGCAGTATGGCAATGTCATACTGTTTTTTGCCCAGGCTACCTGCCTAAAAATAAACTTTTTTGAATCTGGGTATAGACATGCCTCATTTTACTGTGCTTTGCTTTATTGATCCTCACAGATATGTTTTTTTACACATTGAGACTTTGTAGCAACACTGTGTCAAGCAAGTTTATTGGGACCAGTTTTCCAACAGCATGTGCCTACCTGGTGTCTATGTCACATTTTGGCCATTCTTGCAATACTTCAAACTTTATTATTATTATTATTGTATTCCTTATGGTGACTTGTGATCAGTGATCTTTGTGGTTACTACTGTAATTGTTTTGGGGCACCATGAACCATGCCTGTGTAGGATAGTGAACTTAATAAATGTTGTATGCATCCTGACTGCTCACCAACTTGCTGTTCCCCTATCTGTCTTCCTTTCCTCAGGCCTCTCTATTCCCTGAGACACAATAATATTGAAATTAGGCCAATTAGCAACCCTACAATTACCTCTAAGTGTTCAAATGAAAAAAAAAAAAGAATCACATGTCTCTTATTTAAATAAAAGCTAAAAGGATTAAGCTTAATGAGGAAGGTATGTTGAAAGGTGAGATTGGCTGAAAGCTAGGCTTCTTGCACCAAACATTTAGCCAAATTGTGGATGCAAAGAAAAAGTTCTTGAAGGAAATGAAAAGTGCTACTCCAGTGAACACACAAATGATAAGAAAGGGAAACAACCTTATTGCTGATAAGGAGAAAGTTTTAGTGGCCTAGATAGAAGATCAAACCAGCCACAGCATTCCCTTCAGCTAAAGCCTAATCTAGAGCAAGGCCCACCTCTCTTCAATGCTATAAGGGCTGAGAAAGGTGAGCAAGCTTCAGAAGAAAAGTTAGAAGCTAGCAGAGGTTGCTTCATGAGGTTTAAGGAAAGAAGTTCTCTGCATAATATAAAAGTACAAGATAAAGTAGCAAGTGCTGATGGAGAAGGTGCAGCAAGTTATCCAGAAAATCTAGCTAAGATAACTGATGAAGGTGGTTACAATTAAAATCAGATTTTTCACTGTGGACAAGACAGCCTTCTATTGGAAGAAGATGTCATCTAGGACTTTCATAGCTAGAGAGGAGAAATTAATGCCTGGCTTCAAAGTTTCAAAGGACAGATTGATTCTCTTATTCGGGGCAAATGAAGCTCCTGACTTAAAGTTGAAGCCAATGCTCATTCACCATTCCCAAAATTTGAGAGCCCTTAAGAATTATGCTAAATCTACTCTGCATGTGCTTTGCCAATGGAAAAAAAACAACTTGGATGACAGCACATCTGTTTACAGCATGGTTTCCTGAATATTTTAAGCCCACTTTTGAGATCTACTGCTTAGCAAAAGGATTTCTTTCAAAATATTACTGCTCATTGACAATTGTACCTGGTCACCCAAGAGCTCTGATGGAAATGTTCAAGGAGGCTAATGGTATTTTCAGGTCTGTTATCACACCATCTATTTCGCAGCCCATGAATCAAAGAGTCATTTAAACTTTCAAGTCTTATTATTTAAAAAATACATTTCATAAGGCTACAGCTACCACAGATAACAATTCCTCTGATGGTTCTGGGCAAGGTAAATGGAAAACCTTCTGGAAAGGACCCACCATTTTAGATGTCATTATGAAGATTCATGATTCATGGGAGGAGGTCAAAATATCAACATTAGCAGGACTGCTGGAAAAATTAATTCCAAACCTCCTGGATGACTTTGAGGGACTCAAGACTTCACTGGGGGAAGTAACTACAGATATGGTGGAAATAGCAAGAGAAATAGAATTAGAAGTGGAGCCTCAAGGTGTGACTGAATTACTGCAATCTCATAGTAAAACTTGATTGTATGAGAAGTTTCTTCTTATGAATGAGCAAAGAAAGTGGTTTCTTGAGATGAAATCTACTCCTGGCAAAGATGCTGTGAATATTGTTGAAATGACAACAAATGATTTAGAATGTTACATCAATGTAGTTGATAAAGCAGCAGCAGGGTTGGAAAGGATTGATTCCAATTATGAAAGAACTTCTCCTGTGGGTAAAATGCTGTCAAACTTCATTACATGCTACAGAGAAACCTTTCATGAAATGAAGTATTAATCAATGCAGCAAAGTTCATTCTTGTCCTATTTTAAGAAATTTCTGTAGGAACTCCAAAATTCAGCAACAACTACCCTGATCAGTCAGCAGCCATCAACACAGAGGCAAAACCCTACATCAGCAGAAAGATTATGACTTGCTGAAGACTCAGTTGATTATTAGCTTTTTTTAACAATAAAGTATTTTTAATGAGGTATATATATTGTGTTTTAGACATAATGCTATTTCATACATAATATACAACATACAACAGTATAGTGTAAACAACCTTTTTAAAAAGTTTAATGTGATTTCATTTTGTTTTATTATTATTACTTTTAGGAAGCTTCTTGTTACTTTTCTTTAACTTTTATTTTAGATTCCCTTAGGTGTACCTGCGCAGTTTTGTTATATAAGTAAATTGTGTGTCACAGAGGTTTGGTGTACAAATTATTTCACCACCCAGGTGATGAGCATAATACTCAATAAGTGGTTTTTTTTTTTTTTTTTGACACCGTCCTCCCTCTCTCTACTCTTAAGTAGGCCCATGTGTCTTTCCTTTCTTTATGTTCATGGATACTCAATGTTTGGTTCCCACTTATAAGTGAGAACATGGGGTATTTGATTTTCTGTTCCTGTGTTAGTTTGCTAGGCATAACAGCCTCCATCTCCATCCATATTGCTGCAAAAGATGTGGTCTCATTCTTTTTTTATGGCAGTGTAATTATTCCATTGTTTATACATACCACATTTTCTTTATCTAGTCTACCATTTATAGGCATTTAGGTTGATTCTATGTCTTTGCTATTGCAAATAATGCTGCAATGAACATATGTGTGCATGAATCTTTTCAATAGAATGATTTATATTCCTTTGGGTATATACCCAATAATGGGATTGCTGGGCTGATAATTCGCTTTGAGTTCTTTGAGAAATCGCCAAACTGCTTTCCACAATAGCTGAACTAATTTATATTCCCACCAGCAGTATATAAGCATTCTCTTTTCTCTGAAAGTTTGACAGCATCTGTTTTTTTTTTTCTTTTTAGTAATAGCCATTCTGACTGGTGTCAGATGGTATCTCATTGTGGTTTTGATTTGGATTTCTCTAATGCTCAGTGATGTTGGGCATTTTTTCATATGCCTGTTGTCCACATGTATGTTTTCTTTTGAAAAGTGTCTGTTCATGTCCTTTGCCTACTTTTTAATGGAGTTATTTGTATTTTTCTTGTTGATTTGTTTAAGTTTCTTATAGTTTCCAGATATTAGACATTTTTCAGATGCACAGTTTGCAAAAATTTTCTCCCATTCTACAGGCTGTCTACTCTGTTGATAGTTTTCTTTGTTGTCCAGAAGCACTTTAGTTAGGTTCCACTTTCTTATTATTTATTTATTTATTTATTTATGTATTTATTTTTGCAATTGCTTTTGGCATCTTCATTGTGAAATCTTTGCCACGCCCTACATCCAGAGTGGTATTTCCTAGGTTACCTTCCAGAATTTTTATAGTTTTAGATTTTATATTTAAGTCTTTAATCCATCTTGAGTTAATTTTTGTATATGGTGTAAGGAAGGGATCCACTTCGATCATCTGCATATTGCTAGCCAGTTATTCCAGCAACATTTGTTGAGTAGGGTGTCCTTTCCTCATTGGTTGTTTTTGTCAGGTTTGTTGAAGATCATTTAGTTGTAGGTGTGTAGCATTATTTCTGGGCTCTCTATCTTGTTCCCATTGTCTATGTGTCTGTTTTTGTACCAATACTATGCTCTTTTGTTTACTGTAGCCCTGTAGTATAGTTTGAAGTCAGGTAGCATGATACTTCCAGCTTTGTTCTTTTTTCTTAGACTTGCCTTGGCTACTAGAGCTCTTTTTTGGTTCCATATGAATTTTAAAATAGTTTTTTCTAATTCTGTAAAGAATGTCATTGGTAGTTTGATATTATTAAAAATAGTGTTGAATCTATAAATTGCTTTGGTTGGTGTGGCCATTTTAACAATGTTGATTCTTCTATCCCTGAGCATGGAGTATTTTCTTTTTGTTTGTGTCATCTCTGATTTCTTTGAGCAGTCTTTTGTAATTCTCATTATAGAGATATTTTACCTGCCTGGTTAGCTGTATTCCTAGGTATTTTATTCTTTTTGTGAATGGGATTTCATTCTTTTATTCTATTGTGAATGGGATTGCATTCTTGATCTGACTCTCAGTTTGGATGTTGTTGGTGTACAGAAATGCTACTGATTCTCGTACATTAATTTTGTAGCCTGAAACCTCACTGAAGTTGTGTATCAGATCAAGTAGCTTTTGGGCAGAGACCAAGGGGTTTTCTAGGTATGGAGTCATATATGCTGCAAACAGGGATATTTTTACTTACTCTCTTCCTATGTAATGATGTCTTTTATTTCTTTCTATCGCCTAATTGCTCTGGTCAGGGCTTCTAGTACTATGTTGAATAGGAGTGGTGAGAGAGGGCAACTTTGTGATACAGGAGTTAAGAGAAACTCACTTAGGCAGATAGTAAGGGTATAGGAGTCCTCAGTATGGCTTTTCTTTTTAATGAAAAGCAGCCCCAAATCATTTTCTAACAAAGAGCAGCCTGGAAAGTTGAGCTGCAGACATAGACAAGCAAGCTGAGAGATCACACAGGTGAATGCTGGCAGGAACTAGGGACTAGACATGTTCAAGATGGAGGCTTCAAATTCCCTTCTCTGCCAGCCATGTGCATGGTTAGAAGCAGACAAGATGGGGCTGATCAACAGGAAAGCCCATTTGTATAAGAAGATTAGGGTGGGGTGACCAGCCTTCCCCACATGCTATGTAAATATTATACCTGACTGAACCAATCTGTGAGCCCTACCTAAATCAGACACTGCCTCCTCAAACTGGACTATAAAACCTGACACATTTGAGGTCTGCTGGTCTTTTCTGCTTGGAGACCCCTTCTTCTATGGAGGAAGCTGTTTCTCTTTCTCTTCTCTTCTACCTATTAAACTTCCACTCCTAAACTCCTCATATGTGTCTATGTCTTAAATTTTCCTGGCATGCAACAATGAACCCCTAGCTTTTGGGGGTACAAGTGGTTTCTGGTTACATGGATGAACTGTATAGTGGTAAAGTCTAAGTAATGCACCCATTACTTGAGTAGTGCACATTGTACCCAATAGGTAGTTTTTCTTTTCTCACCCCACCTTCATCTTCCCTGCTTCTGAGTCTCCATTGTCGTTATACCACTCTGTATGCCTTTGCGTACCCGTAGCTTAGCTCCCACTTATAAGTGAGAACATACAATACTTGGTTTTTTATTCCTGGGTTACTTTACTTAGAACAATGGCCTCCAGCTCCATCTAAATTGCTGCAAAAGACATTATTTCACTCTTTCTTATGGCTAATAGTGTTCCACAGTGTATATATACCACATTTTATTTTCTACTCATCAGTTGATGGGCACTTAGATTGGTACCATATCTTTGCAATTTGTGAATTGTGCTGTGATAAACATACATGTGCAGGTGTCTTTTTACTACAATGACTTATTTTCCTCTGGGTAGATACCCAGTAGTGGGATTGCTGGATCAAATGATAGATCTACTTTTCCTTCTTTGAGAAATCTCCGTACCGTTTTCCATGGAGTTTGTAATAATTTACATTCCCACCAGCAGTACATATGGGTTCCTCTTTCACCACGTCCATACAAACATCTGTTGTTTTTTGACTTTTTAAATAATGGTCATTCTGGCTAGAGTAAGGCAGTATCTCATTGTGGTTTCAATTTGCATTTCTCTGAAGATTAGTGATGTTGAGCATTTTGTCATGTTTATTTGCCATTTATATATCTTGTTTTGAGAACTGTCCATTCTTGTAATTTGCTCACTTTTCATGGGATTATTTGGTTTTTTTTCTTGCTGATTTGCTTGAGTTTTTTGTAGATTCTGGATATTAAGTTATGGATCTTTGTCAGATGCACAATTTGAGAATATTTTCTCCCATTCTTTAGGCTGCTGGTTTACTCTGATGATTATTTCTTTCACTGTGCAGAAGCTTTTTAGTTTAATTAGTTTCCATTTATTTATTTATTTTTATTTTTTTTTATTTTGAGACAGTCTTGCTCTGTCACCCAGGCTGGCTGGAGTGCAGTGGTGTGATCTCGGCTCACTCCAAGCTCAGCCTCCTGGGTTTATGTCATTCTCCTGCCTCAGCCTCCCAAGTAGCTGGGACTACAGGCGCCTGCCACCACGCCCAGCTAATTTTTTTGTAGTTTTTTTAGTAGAGACAGGGTTTCACCATGTTAGCCAGGATGGTCTCGATCTCCTGACCTCGTGATCCACCCGCTTTGGCATCCCAAACTGCTGGGATTACAAGCATGAGCCACTGCACCCAGCCTTATTTTTGTTTTTGTTGCATTTGCTTTTGGGGGTCTTAGTCATAAATTTTTTGCCTAGGCCAATGTCCAGAAAAGTTTTTCTAACTTTTCTTTTAGAGGCCTTTTTTTGGTTTCTGGTCTTAGATTTAAGTTTTTAATCTATATTAAGTTCATTTTTGTATGTGATGAGAGATAGGGATCCAGTTTCATTCTTCTATATGTGGCTATCCAGTTTTCCCAGCACCAATTATTGAATAGGGTGTCCTTTCCTCAATTTATATTGTGGTTTGCTTTGTCAAAGATAAGTTGGTTGTAAGTATTTGGCTTTATTTATGGGCTCTCTATTCTGTTCCATTGGTCTATATATCTGCCTTTATACCAGTAGCATGCTGTTTTGGTTACTGTAGCCTTGTAGTATAATTTGAAGTTGGGTAATGTGATACTCCAGATTTGTTATTTTTGTGTAGGATTGTTTTGCCTCTTTGGGCTCTTTTTAAATTCCATGTGAATTTTAGGATTGTTATTCTAATTCTGTGAAAATGATGTTAGTATTTTGATAGGAATTGCATTGAGTCTATAGATTGCTTTGGGCAGTATGGTCATTTTCATAATATTGTTTTAATCCAGAGCATGAGATGTATTTCCAATTTTTTGTGTCATATATGATTTATTTCAGCAGCGTTTTTAGTTCTTCTTGAAGAGATCTTTCACCTCCTTGGTTAAGTATATTCCTAGGTATTTTATTTTTTTGAGGGTGTTGTACAAGGGATTGAATTCTTGATTTGATTCTCAGCTCGATCATTGTTGGTGTATAGCAGATTCGCGTGCATTGATTTTGTAACCAGAGACTTTACTGAGTTTATTTGTCAGATCTAAGAGTCTTTTGGAGGAGTCTTCAGGGTTTTCTAGGTATATGATCATCTCATCAGCAAACAAAGATAACCTGACTTCCTCTTTCCAGTTGGGATGCCTTTTATTTCTTTCTCTTGCCTGATTGCTCTGGCTAGGACTTCCAGTACTACACTGAATAAAAGTGATGAAAGTAGGCATCCTTTCTTGTTCCAGCTTTTAGGGGAAATGCTTTCAACTTTCCCCACTCGGTATGATGTTGGCTGTGGGTTTGTCATATATGGCTTTTATTATTTTGAGGTATGTTCTTTCTATGCCTAATTTGTTGAAGGGATGCTGGATTTTAACAAATGCTTGCCCTGCATTTATTGAGATGATCATATAGTTCTTGTTTTGTTTTACTTCTGTTAATGTGCTGAGTCACAGTTATTGAATTGCATATGTTGAATCATCCCTGTATCCCTGGGATAAAATCTACTTGATCATGGTGAATTATCTTTTGATGTGCTGTTGGATTCAGTTTACTATATTTTGTTGAGGGTTTTTGCATTTATATTCACCAAGGTTACTGGTCTCTGTTTTCTTTTTTTGTTATGTCCTTTCCTGGCTTCAGTATCAGGGTGATATTGGCTTCATAGAATGAATTAGGGAGGATTCCCTCTTTCTCAATCTTTTGGAATAGTTTCACTAGGATTCACCAATTTTTCTTCGAATGTCTGGTAGAATTCAGCTGTGAATCTGTCTGGCCCAGGGCTTTTTTTGTTGTTGGCAGTTTTTTTTTTTTTTAATTACTGATTTGATTTCACTGCCTGTTATTGGTCTGTTCAGAATTTTTGTTTCTTCCTGATTCAAGCTAGAAGGGTTGTATGTTTCCAATTTCTCAATTTCTGCTAGATTTTGTAGTTTGTGTGCATAGAGGTGTTCATAGTGATCTTTTGTATTTCTGTGGTGTCGGTTGTAATGTCTCCATTTTCATTTCTGATTGAACTTTTTTGAATCTTCTTTCTTCTTTTCTTGGTTAATCAAGCCAATTCACCTGGAATCTTAATTATGACACAGGTAAGATCTCACCCACATCTCTTGATCCAGGATCCAAACATAGGCCTTAGCTAAGTAACCACAGTAGACTACATGTAAGAAAAAAGTTTTGGTTTGCCTAGTAAGTACTTTTAGACACTAATAGCGTTATCTTTTTGTGTTTAGACTGTTGTTGTTTTTTTTTCCCCCAGAGTTTGTTATGAGAATGAAGGACCTTCTTTCTATACCTTTGTCTTTCCAACAGGGCTTAGACCTGTCTTAGAGAATTATATATCAATTAATTGGTGGATTGTTGAAGACTATTCTAGGCCCTGTTGGGTTTTGTTGTGTAAATTTAAAAAGACAGTATAACATAAGGGAAATAAACCTTCAAATTTTTTTCCTGTCTTCCTCCCTCCTTTCATACCTTCTTTTTTTTCTTTCTCTTTCTTTCTACTTTCTTTCCTTCCTTCCTTCTTTGCTTTTTCTCTCTCAATTTCCCCTCCTTTCTTCCTTTTCTCTTTTCTCCCTTGATTTTTTTTCATTATGGAAATATGGGGCTGCATTTATTTGACTTTGCTTTTCTCCAAACTCTGGGAATCAAAGTACACTTTTTCCCTTTACATTGTCAGTAACTATAGCACATTAATATGAATGCTTTTTAAAAATCTAATATTGTAAATGGGTAGTGAATTAGGGGAAACACATTAATATGAGATCCTAAGTCAAAACAGGTGGAATTGAAATACTTTAAAGCAAGCTTCTGAGAAGCCAACAGAAACACATAAAGAAATTTCTTACTATGAAACAAGGAAGTAGGGGCCGGGCGTGGTGGCTCATGCCTGTAATCCGAGCACTTTGGGAGGCCGAGGCGGGCGGATCACGAGGTCAGGAGATTGAGACCATCCTGGGTAACACGGTGAAACCCCGTCTCTACTAAAAATACAAAAAATGAGCCGGGCACGGTGGCGGGCGCCTGTAGTCCCAGCTACTCGGGAGGCTGAGGCAGGAGAATGGCGTGAACCTGGGAGGCGGAGCTTGCAGTGAGCCGAGATGGCGCCACTGCACTCCAGCCTGGGCGACAGAGGGAGACTCCGTTTCAAAAAAAAAAAAAAAAAAAAACAAAAAAACAACAAGGAAGTAGGGAGACCAGTCTCCACGTATATCCATGGAGGGCAGGGGATTGTTGAAAGTAGGTGAAAACGTGAGTTCATGTCTAGTATATGATAATGTTTTGTGAGATAAGTGCAATAGACCTTCTACATGACTGCTGTGTTTGATGTTCAGCACGCATTTGAAAAACTCTGTGGACTTTGTTTTTATCAAAGTCAGTAGCATAGTGAGTTCAGCTAGATAATGGGCAAACTTACCAACAAAGCATGACTGCATTGTTGTATATTAAAGTCATAATCAGAAACAAATGTTTGAAAACAACATAAAAATAAATATTATCATTAATTTGGCAGTCTCATTGTGGGAGGCAACATAAATACCTAGAAATTTGGAGCAATTAAGTCATTGTGGCCTTAATTAGCGTTTTTAAATGGATGAACAAATTTAAATAAACTTCAAATTCCCCTTCCTCTTTTATTCTTACCAGAAACAATCAATATTGTCCATTATGCCAAGAAGATACGAGGCTAGTTTGCTCTGTTAGACTTGTAATGAATTGTATCTGTATCTATGGGACAATAGTTTCAAAGAAATTTCACCACATTATCTCATTTGAAGTTTGCAGAAACGTGTCGATTATCTTTTCATCCATTTTATCAAATATGAAATAAAACACAGATGATGATTTCTTCCAAAGTCTTGACTATGGGACATTAGAACAACTACTAATTAGTAGCTACTGAGGCTCTGACTCAGTTTCCAGTGCTGGTTTAGTACCTTGCCACCATGTTGTTATCTAGTCCAAAGTTCCTCGAACCTCAAACTATGAACACAGATTAACTTATACTCAACATGAATTTCCAGTCTAGCACATGATCCTGAATTACATTCTGAGCTCAAAGGAATGTAAGAATTGCCATACTGACCCATCCACCCCACTATTGTCTTGCTGAGACACTTTCCTGGGAAGAAAGCAATCTGAAGTAATCTTTAAACTTCAGGTATATTTCAGCTTTAGTATAAATTTAGGGCTTTTCCTCTTGCACATGTCTATAGGAGAAAGACGACAACATTTTGCTTAATCCTGCAATTCCTTATTCTAATAGTTTGGTGGTGGTTACTTTCAAAAGAGTTTGAGTAATTAATAGAATTGTCTAAACTTTTGCTACTCAGGGAGGATCTGTGGAGCAGCAGCATTGGAATTACCTGAGACCTTATGAGAAATGCAGACTACCGGGCTCCACTTCATTCTTAGTGAGTCACAAGACTCACTAAGATCTTAACAAGATCCTCAGATAACTGGTAAGAAAGAGCATTAAAACTTGAGAATGGGCCTTAGAAAATGGTGTGCTAATTAACAGCATCTGAGGTTGAATCAATGGACACATCTTTTCAGAGATTTGCTGTTCTGGTGTTTTGGTTGGTGATGCTTGCTGTTCAAGGTTTTTGGCACTAGAGGGTAACACTGGGCTGAGTAGCCAATGAGCAAGCCCTTTCTTTGGAAAACAAATGGGCATCTCAAAATTATCTACTCTTAAATGTGTGTTTGGTCTTTTGTGTTAAATTTACTCTAGCTGCCGAATAACAATTGACATTTATTTAGCACAAATTATATGCCAAACACTATGTCAGGTCCTTTACATGAATCACCTTATTTTATCCTCAGATGTGCTATTTATAGTCCTACTTTAAAGATAAAGAAATTAGAGTTAAGGAAGTTCAGGATATATGTTTGTGGTCACACAGCTGAGAAAAGACAAGACTTGGCAGAGTGTGGATCAGACCAGGTCTGTCTGGCTATGAGCCTGTGCTCTGATAATGGATTTCAACTACAGTACAGCCATTCTGCTCTGGCTTCTCTTGACTTCTGCAATAATCCATCAGGGCAGGCAGATTAAAGTAAACAACTGTGACTTCATTGAACAATCAAAATAGAAGAACAAAAAATTAAATTAAAATTCTGTATGTTTTTAATGCACTTTCTTTGTAAGTGAGAACATAGTGATTATGTGCCCACGTTCTAGAGTTTTCTGTCTAATACAGGAGCCACTAGCCATATATGGCTTTTAAGTAATAGGAATGTGGCTACTATGACTGAAAAACTCAATGTTTAAATGAGTTTTTAAGTAGTTTAATTTTAATTAGTTTAACCTTAAAAAGTGATAATTCAGTCATTAGAAAGCTTTTAAGTGTGTTTGGAACAACTTGGGCATGTTTATCTACTTTTTCAGCTCTAAGTTTTATGCAAACTTTATTAAACAGATCAAATATTTTTGATGAAAATTTTGGGCTGAATTGAGATGTGCTATAAATGTAGAATACACACTGGCTTCCAAAGACACTATAACAACATAACATATTTTATGACTAGTCTTGATATTGATTACATGTTGAAATAATAATATTCTCAGTGCATTGAGTTACACAAAATGTATTGTTGAAATTAGTTTTGTTTATTTTTGCTTTTAAAATGTGGCTACTAGAAAATTTAAAATGATATGTCTAGTTCACATATTTCTGTGGGACAGTGCTGCTCCAGAGCCCTATTGCTGGATTCAAATCCTCACTCTACCATTGAATAGCTGTGGGAACTTTGTGTCCCATTTCTTAATCTATAAAATGACATAAGAGTACCTATCTCATGTGGTTGTTGAGGAGGTCCAGAGAATCAATATATGTAAAGTACTTATTGGGAGACAATTCTCAATGGACCTTTTGTGTTTCTGCTCATCTTGTAAGCAGAAGTTTTGAATGCATTTCTTCTGAACTAACTTTTAAAGGATGCTTGTATAACAGCCAGCCTTGGAAGACAGTGATAGCTTCTCCCTCTAATGCAAAGGTCAGGTAGGTTTGCCTACTCTCTGTTATAAAAGATTTGGGATCCCTAAGCTCAAAGTTTCTTTTCTGTAACTCAACCAACTTCCAGTGCAAATATCACCTGGTTCTTTCTGTTTCAATCTGTGAGAAATGGGGCTCAGGGAACTGGTTACTGCTTCTGACTATTCCTGTGACTAATGAACGGTCCTTTGTCTCTGACCCAGGAGTCTTATGTCTTCTGTCAGCTTCCCTGAAATTATGGCAGGCTAACTTGTTAGTTTCTAAAAGGAGTGAAATCTCAGAACTTTCACAGTTCTTGACATTTCTTTGAAGAGGTGTCTGGCACACGGCACTATATAAGTGTTAGCAATTATTACTAACTCCCACTTGTTTCCATTCAGTTTAGCTGACTTGTTACTGTACTACACCTATTATGTCCACTTCCACTTACGTAGGTATCTTTTCTTCGCTCTTTATTTGGGCCTCTGACATTCCCTCTGGCTCTACTCTATTGCTTATCTCTCACGGTTATTTCAGGTTGTATGTAGTGAAATTTTTAGAGCTATATCTTATAGATCAGTGTAATGGATTTGATTGTCTTTAAATATTGCTCCAAAATTTGTCTCTTCCAGGATAATTTTACAAAACTAAGTATAAAAATATATGGTGGCAGTCTCATGCCCCTAGTTCCTCTGCCTGCATTTTCTCTAATTGAGGAGAGCTTGGCACCTGACAAGTACTAGCCTCCCTTTCTTCTTCCCACCAGCAATTCTTTGTATATAATGCTTTTTCTTCACTTGTACACACTCAGAAATGGGCATATACATGATCACTGTGCATAGTTTCCACTTTCGCATAATGCATTTTGACTACACTATAAAACTACTTAGAATTAAGAATTTTACTGATTTTGGTCAAAAGTGAAGGTAAAAATTTTTAGAGCAAAGAGTATGTACACTATTCTATTTGCAGTAAGCTACAGGAGCAAAAGGGAACAAAGGAAAAGGGAATATGAAACATTTCAGTATGAATTACATATAAGGGATTGTCAAACATATCACCAAAATGTTTTAACCAAATTGTCTGAATTGCTTTTAGCTCTGACTTTTGAAGTAGCCAATATTAAAGAAAAAACACCAAAAAGCTCTTTTTATATGAGCAACTAATATTTAAATTTAATTAAAATAAAATAAAAGTAAGTATTCATTTCCTCAGTTGCACCAGCCACATTTCAAGAGCTTGACAGCCACACGTGACTAGTGGCTACCATATTGGACAGTGCAAGTATACAACATTTCTATCATCACAGAAGGTTATATTGGGCAGCCCTGCTCTCAGCCCTTCTAAGTGTGGTACATAAATGTGTGGGTCAGATATTTT
This sequence comes from Homo sapiens, assembly GCF_000001405.40. Classification (NCBI taxonomy): domain Eukaryota; kingdom Metazoa; phylum Chordata; class Mammalia; order Primates; family Hominidae; genus Homo; species Homo sapiens. The sequence goes on along the minus strand of NC_000004.12, from coordinate 144,752,261 downwards.
GTGTTGTTCTTTAACAAATAGCACTAAATTTGCTTCCATAGCATTTTTGACATAATTTCAGATATGTTTACAACTCTAAGTAACATGATTATACCTTGGTGTTAGGATAAAGTTATAAAATTTTAGTTCTTTTCCCTTTCCTTTCCTTTTTTTTTTTTTCTGAAGACAGAGTCACACTCTGTACCTACCCTGGAGTGCAGTGGCACAATCAGGGCTCACGGCAGCCTCGACCTCCTGGGTTCAAACAATTTTCCTGCCTCAGCTTCCCATGTAGCTGGGACCACAGGTGCATGCCACCCTAAATTTTTGTATTTTTTTGTGGAGACAGGGTTTTGCTATGTGGTTCAGGCTACTTTCAAACTCCTGAGCTCAAGCGATCCACCTGCCTTGGCCTTTCAAAGTGCTGGGATTATAGGCATGAGCCACAGCACCTGACTGTATTTCTGAAAATTCAGGACACACTGTCAATACCAAATGCTGGTGAGGATGTGGAGATCTCATTAATTGTTTGTGGGAATGCAAAATGATACAGCTACTTTGGAAGACAGTTGGGCAGTTTCTTAAAAAACTAAACATACTCTTACCATACAGTTGAGCTCCTTGGTATTTACCCAAAGGAGTGAAAACTATATCTGCCTAAAAACCTTCACATTGTTGTTTATAGCATGGTTGGCAAGTTTATAATTGCCAGAACTTGGAAGCAGCCAAGATGTTTTTCAGTAGGTGAATGAAAAAGTAAACTGTGTTACAGGCAATGGAATAATATTCAGTGCTAAAAAGAAAAAACCCAACTATCAAAACACGAAAAGACATGGAAGAAATGTCTATTGGATAGACATTTCTAAGCAAATGGATATCACTAAGCAAAATAGCCATTCTGAAAAGGCCACACATTGTATGATTCCAACTATATGACATTCAGGAAAAGACAAACTATAAAGACAGTTAAAGAGATCAGTGGTTGGCTGGGCCTGGGGAGACACAGGGATAAATAGGTGCAGCACAGAAGATTTTTAGGGCAGTGAAACTACTCTGTATGATACCATAGTGGCAGGTACATGTCATTTTCCATTTATCACAACCCATAGAATACAGAGCTAAGAGTGAACCCTAAGGTAAACTATGAACTTTGGATGATTATGATGTGCCAATGTAAGTTCATCAGTTTTAACAAATGTACCTCTTTGGTGGGGGATGTTGATAACAGGAGAGGTAGGTTATGCATATGTGGGGGGAGATGGTATACAAGATATATCTATACTTTCTTCTCAATTTTGCTAGGAACCTAAGATTGCTCTAAAACATAAAGTCTATATAAAATTGGTAGAAAAAATCAATATAACACAGATGCTCATTTTCTTTGTTTTTCAAGGTCTACATCTTCATTAAAGTATATTTATTCATAGTGATATTTTCCTTTCATTTGTTTTTCTTTTAACAGGAGTACTTTCACAGTTTTCTGTTACTGCAATGTACTATCTTGGCACAATTTACACAGTTTAAAACTAATGTATATTTTATTTATAGTACATATCACTTTAGCAACCCAGTTTTTAACAGATAGATGAATTCCAGCATACATTGAAATATTGTACTTGTTTGTGTGATTATAATGTTATTGATGAAAATAAGAACAGCAGCTGTAGGAACCACAGCAAGGATCCCCAGTGTCATGGGGATGACTGACTGCTAAGCACAAATATTGACTCTGTGCTGTTGTGTACATTCTACCCGACGAAGCACAAGCCTGGAATTAAGATGGAGACCACACCATTGTTTCCTTTTTGGAGGCAGAAGGTCATGTTTCCACTAAGTCTTTTCCAGCATTACCATTCTGCCCTCAAAGTTAAAACAGCCTATCCACCATGAATTAGATCCTTGCTCCTAAAAGTAAGGCTGTGTACCACCAGGATTAGTATAACCTCAGGGTTTGTTGGAGATCATCTGAGGCCCCAGCCCAGATGTACTAAATCAGAATTTGTGTTTTAGTGGAGTCCCCATCTGACATGAGGCACCATGGAGTTTGAGAAGCACTGTGTCAGACAATGAAAACGAGGCCTTCATGAAGTCTGATGCCATTTCTGGGGCACAGTGCTGTGGTGAATTGTGTCCCTTCCCCCTCTCCCTTCCCCAAATTCATATGTTGAAGTCCAAACCCCCAGTACCTTAGAATGTGACCCTTTTGGAGAGAGGGTCTTTGCAGAGGTAATCAAGTTAAAATGAGGTCATTAGTTTAGGCCTGAATCCAGTATGATCGGTGTCCTTATAAAAAGGGAAACGTGGGCACAGAGACACATATAGAGGGAAGGTGATGTGAAAAGACACAGGGAGAAGATGGCCTGGCACAGATCCTTTCCTTACATCCCTCAGAAGGAACCAGGCCTGCCAACACTTTGATCTCATACTTCCTGCTTCCAGGACTACAAGGCAATAAATTTCTGTTAAGCCTCCCAGTGTGTGATACTTTGTTATGGTAGCCTGAGAAGACTAATATTTTTGGTTATGCTTTCTTCTGTGTGTTGAATTGACTGCCTTCTCAAGGACATCAACAGAGCATTTCTGCTCTTCTACGTGCCCAGAATATGCTGTCAGGTAGAGTGCCTACAGCAGTTCTCTTGGGGACGTAATTCACGGAAGAGGCAATAATGATATTTGTGACAGTTGCAAAACGAAGCATTAGGGACCCTGAAGAGAGTGGCAGCTTCCCTGTAACATGCACTTCTTCAGCATAAAGGAAATGATGGACATGGATCAGATAATGTCTTAAAAATTTTGAGTGAGAGCTGTGGGAGACATGAATGGATTCAAGAATGAACCTACCAGATGGAAGAAACAGAAAAAGGAGATTGAGAGAACATCTAAGAGGAGGCAACACCAGAACCACAGAAGAGTGGGAGAGCCAAGGCAAACAGGAGGCTGGGAGATTAGAGGAAAATGCGTAAGAGTGTCTTTTATGATTATGTAACCACTACAAATTCGTGAAATGCAGTAGTTAATATATTCCTATCTAAGATTTGCAGTTTCAAATCTTTCATCCACATGGATCATGGAATTAGTACTACCTAATAGTAAACCTGTTTGTTAGAGCTGAGAGAACCTGAGTTCTTTTGTATATAAGGAAGCTGAGTCCCAGTGCGGTGAGAGATATATCCAGTAGCTTCCAGCTAATTAGTTGGAGACTTGGCATCTCCCAGCCCTAGGCCAGAGCTCTTGCCTCTTGCCAGTACACCTGGCATGTGTGGCTTTTGGTAGCTGTAGATCATAGAACAGAGTGTCTACGATAAGTGAAATTGCTTTACATGAAGCACATGGATTTTGCATCAGGGAGTTTTAATTATAAGGCTATAAATATGTCAAAAGGATCTGACAACATCTTATTAAATTACAAGACTGAGCTCAAGTAGTTTCTGATGCTGGCATAGTCCCAAGAAGAATGAGTTTTATAGTTGGGAGCTACCCAGCCTTCTACCTCCTTCTCCTTCCCCTCTCCTTTTCCCTTTTAAAGTGTTTATTTTAATCATAGAAAATACTGCATGGTTCTAGATCCCTGAGGAATCGCCACACTGACTTCCACAATGGTTGAACTAGTTTACAGTCCCACCAACAGTGTAAGAGTTTCCTATTTCTCCACATCCTCTCCAGCACCTGTTGTTTCCTGACTTTTTAATGATTGCCATTCTAACTGGTGTGAGATGATATCTCATAGTGGTTTTGATTTGCATTTCTCTGATGGCCAGTGATGATGAGCATTTTTTCATGTATTTTTTGGCTGCATAAATGTCTTCTTTTGAGAAGTGTCTGTTCATGTCCTTCGCCCACTTTTTGATGGGGTTGTTTGTTTTTTTCTTGTAAATTTGTTTGAGTTCATTGTAGATTCTGGATATTAGCCCTTTGTCAGATGAGTAGGTTGCGAAAATTTTCTCCCATGTTGTAGGTTGCCTGTTCACTCTGATGGTAGTTTCTTTTGCTGTGCAGAAGCTCTTTAGTTTAATTAGATCCCATTTGTCAATTTTGGCTTTTGTTGCCATTGCTTTTGGTGTTTTGGACATGAAGTCCTTGCCCACGCCTATGTCCTGAATGGTAATGCCTAGGTTTTCTTCTAGGGTTTTTATGGTTTTAGGTCTAACGTTTAAATCTTTAATCCATCTTGAATAGAAATACCATTTGACCCAGCCATCCCATTACTGGGTATATACCCAAAGGACTATAAATCATGCTGCTATAAAGACACATGCACACGCATGTTTATTGCGGCATTATTCACAATAGCAAAGACTTGGAACCAACCCAAATGTCCAATAATGATAGACTGGATTAAGAAAATGTGGCACATATACACCATGGAATACTATGCAGCCATAAAAAATGATGAGTTCATGTCCTTTGTAGGGACATGGATGAAATTGGAAACCATCATTCTCAGTAAACTATCGCCAAGAACAAAAAACCAAACACCGCATATTCTCACTCATAGGTGGGAATTGAACAATGAGATCACATGGACACAGGAAGGGGAATATCACACTCTGGGGACTGTGGTGGGGTGGGGGGAGGGGGGAGGGATAGCATTGGGAGATATACCTAATGCTAGATGACGAGTTGGTGGGTGCAGCGCACCGGCATGGCACATGTATACATATGTAACTAACCTGCACAATGTGCACATGTACCCTAAAACTTGAAGTATAATAATAAAAAAAAAAAAAGAAAAAAAGAAAATACTGCATGGAAATTATAAAAATGTAGAAGAAATATTTTATCCAAATTGTTTTCCTTTCTTTTATCCTCTCATTTCTTCGAATGATAATAGGATTTAATCTTCAGAGAGTCCTCTTTAGAACTCCAAATAGAAAAAAACTATTTTTTACTGATGAGATATTATGTGTGGCTGGTATTTTAAATTGTATTTCCATTGGAAATAGAACATTAGTTTCAACTTTTCTATTAAAAAAGTGAGTGTAAAGGAGTGATTTTATAGACATATCTGTCACATTAACTGTCAAAATCCTGGGGAAATTGGCAGCTGAGAATTGTGATAGTACCGGTGTGAGCTATGAAGTCTTTTAGTGACAACTGTGAAGCTTCCACTTCTCCACTGCCTTAGAAATTTAAGGTTTACATTCCACGTTTGGAAGTAGGACCCATCTAACCTCATTTTATTGTGATCACAAGGTATCCAAGATAATAGTTTCTTAATGTGTCCTCTTAAAGATCTCATCATGTCCGTTTTTAGTTCCACCACATCATCTCTCTTCTCACTGGTCTGTCATTCTTATTAATATTTGTATCAGCCAGGCATGGTGGGTCATGCCTATAACCCCAGCACTTTGGGAGTCCGAGGCTGGGGGATCACCTGAGGTCAGGAGTTTGAGAACAGCCTGGCCAACATGGTGAAACCCCGACTGTACTAAAAATACAAAAATTAGCCAGGCGTGGTGGCGGGTGCCTGTAATCTCACCTACTTGGGAAGCTGAGGGAGAACCCAGGAGGTGTAGGTTGCAGTGAGCCTAGATCGCGCCATTGCACTCCAGCCTGGGCAACAAGAGTGAAAACTCTGACTGGGTGCGGTGGTTCATGCCTGTAATCCCAGAACTTTAGGAGGCCAAGGTGGGCAGGTCATGAGGTCAAGAGATTGAGACCATCGTGGCCAACATGGTGAAACCCCATCTCTACTAAAAATACAAAAATTAGCTGGGCATGGTGGTGCCTGTCTGTACTCCCAGCTTCCCAGCTAATTGGGAGGCTGAGGCAGGAGAATCGCTTGAACCGGGAGGCAGAGGTTGCAGTGAGCCGAGATAGTGCCACTGCACTCCCGCTTGGCGACAGAGCAAGACTTGGTAAAAAAAAAAAAAGAAAGAAAGAAAAAGAAAGAAAGAGCAAAACTCTGTCTCAAAAAAACAAAAAACAAAAAACGAAATTGTAGCACTCAGCACCTAAAAATGGGAAATGGAGGCTACTTTAAATGTTTACCACAGCGGGAATTTAAAGCAGGGAATTGCTTACGCTGGTGATGGCAGAGCTGAGAAGCCAAAAAAGAGACAGTGAAGGAATCCAGAGAGATTAGCGAGAAATCACTTCCATCACTAGAGTGGACATATATACTATTATTTTCTTCACGTATGTAGGAAATGATGTACGTCTATCAGGGATTCAAAAATAGTAGACACACAAGAAACAAAAGGGTGATCGTGGTCTGAGCCACAAGGACGCATTCAGGAACCGGAAGGGTAGAAACACAAAGAATTCCGGTGCTTCCTGGGCTGTTGTGAACATGAGCTAGAGGGCTCTTTTCATGGTGACGTTTCGTCTAACTTAAAACTTCTAAGGAGCAATCTGAGCGGAAGAACACTTTCTGAATGAACACTTTGTAACACGTTTTATTCTTTTAGAGATTATAATGTCTTGCAGAGAGATAGCTTTTCCTTTCAACGAGTCAAAGAGATGCATTTATCCAGGAAGAAAGGGGACTTAGATGAACACATTTTGCTTTTCTAAAAAAAAAAAAAATTGGCAGATTTTAAATTTGTGCTCAAATTAACAGATCAAAATACTCCTGGTAGGGTTAACTAGAAGCAAAAAGGCGAGGTCAACAAAGTTTTGGGGTACCTGCAATCACCTTCATTCATGTCCCTCCCGCTCCACATGCTTCTTCCCTTCAATTTGGGCACCCAGTGTTCCTAACTGCTCTTCTACATTCTTTACTTATTCTTACTTACTTGAAAGGATGGGGTTTAAGGGACTTACAACCTAGAACAAATTTATCAATGTAACATCTTCATGGCTGCCTAATGAAACTGACCCTTAACATTGGCATATATTTTGGAAGAAAATTTTAAAATTAGAAAGTAAAAAATGACAAAAGATGAGAATATTTTGAAGTAGTTTGGCTACAGAGTATTTAAAAATTGGTGTTTATATAATCAGTCTGTATATTTAGAAAAAAGTTTTAAATTCTAAAATAAAAAAGAATTTTAAAATAGCACATGTACATCAAGTCATAAGATAAAGTTTAATCATTTGATCATGTTAAAAGACACAAAACACAGCCAATCTAACCAAATTTCAGGCATGCATTTACATAAATATATTAAATTAAGAAAAGAAATTGTACACTTAAACGTCCTTTTCACCTAGAAATCATTAAATCCACAGATCAACAATAAAACCAATTCTCTGCATTTACCACTTCAAGATACAATTGTTCTATTTTAAAGATAACACAAATACACTTGTTAGAATTTATATGCATTATACATATATTATATTTTACATAGATAGTGTGTATACATATGTAGTGTTTGTACAGATAGATAAATATATATACATGGGTGTGTGCACACGTACAGATACACACAGATGTACTTTAGGCCATCTGTACTGTTACTGCTGAATTCTAAAGTTGAGCTGAACTGGTGCCGTTGGATGTGATTATTGTCTTTTGCTTCAGACATGCTTATGATGCCGATTGGGCCCACAATCCCCCCCTAGTAAATGTCCTTGTCTTTTCTACAGCACATAATCATGGTAGGCACTTTAATAAATATTTGTTGAATTAATAAATGGATAGATGATTGAATAATAGAAGATTGATTAAAGAGAACTGCATATTATAATAACTTGGTTAAATAAATCAAATAAGTTCAAATTCAGAGAAATTACCTGAGCCAATGACTATGCATGTAACTTTTCAGACATTTATAGAAATCTCACCTAGTACATATGATAGCCCTGCTCCCTTAAACTTGTACCTGCCTTTACTACCTATTCAAATACCCTTCTCCCTTTTATTAACAGAAATCTAAGCATGGGTTGGGTCTGGTGTCTCCTGCGAGTAAGGCTCTGGACAAACTGCCCTAATTTTCACAAGCTAAAGGAAAATGAACCATTAGAGAAACCAAAACATGTTAGAAGAATGATAAAGATAACCATTCCTTAATACTGGACAAAATAAATCACAGATAAAACCAAAAAAGACACAGAATTCTCATTTAAGTATTGTTTTATGTTTGTTCATTGTGATTCAACAATTTTTTTTCACTTTAATTAGTTGGGTTACTTTTGAATAAATAGTTTAGTTTACTGTAGCATGTCCTGGGGAATCAAGTTCTAAAAATTCCATAGTACCTCAGTTACCATTTATCTTATTACTACATGGTTCTTGGTGAAACGCATGTCCAAACATATGCTGTGAATATAATGAGATAAGGGAAATATCTGATCTCTCATAAGGTAGTCAACTTGGTTTCTTCATAACAGTATTAGGAAAGGGACTCTATTGTACATGAAATCTTAATTTGTTCCAGAAAAATCATGTCTCAGATTTTAAGAATATAAAGTAAAGAAACATAGGTTTTGGGCATACTATCCCAAACCTGATTATAACTTGTTCATGTGAATGGAAACTATCAATTAGTTATTTTTTTAGTGAAAAGGAAAATGTACAAGAATTAGTTTGTAACTGCAAAGACAAAGCTTATTTCATATTTAGCCATTATGAATTTCCCATTACTGTTAATGTTCAGTTCTTTTTATATTATGTACTTAAATGTTTTCTTTTTGACTTAGAAGATTATAGTCAATTGAGATAACTCATCAAACATTTATATTAAGTTACATATATATGTATATATATACACACATGTATTTTGGATTTAAGTAATACATAATCTATATATGCAAAAAGAAAACCCCAAGAAATCCTAAATGAAAGATGATGGCTGACTTTATGATGTATGTGAGAAGTAACCTTAGATTTAATGTTGAGCTGATACCATTTTGTAAATGTTACTGTTTAGTCTGGCTCAAAGAAGAATAACAGGTTTTAAGCACAAGGCTTTCTGTTGATACAAGGAATCCAATTATTTATTTTTTTATTTTGTCAATGGACTTATATATGACTTATACAAATTATATGGGAATCAAGGTAAATGATGGGTATGCCTTAGGTTCATATTTAATGAGGAATTTAAGAAAAGTCCTAATCTCATAAGTGAACAAACCTTTCCATAGCAGCTAGGAAAACCACCACTATGACTGAGAAGAAAACAGCTCTACAATGCTCCCTCACAATCCCATGAATATATATTACTCTCCTAAAAACTTATTTTAAGGTGAAGTCCAGAACTTATTCAGAGAAGATAGTTAAGAGAAAGAAGGATTGAAGTTGGCTAGGATTAGTGTTTGGCAGGTTCCATGGTTATATATATGTATTAAGATATATATATATATAAGATATATATTATATATATATAATATATATATATTATATATATATAATGTATATATATATACATATATCTTATATGTATAAGATATATATATAAGATATATATAAAGATATATATATAAGATATATATAAAAAGATATATATATAAGATATATATAAAAAGATATATATATAAGATATATATATAAAGATATATATATAACCAAATATATATAACCATATATATAAATATATATATGACCAATTTATGTTTGTGTGACAAAAAGAGGATAAGATAGCAAATATATATTTATTTTTAGGTATTTTAAAGATAAACTTTCTGATGGTATTGCCAGCATTCACAGTACTAGTTTACTTCCTGGGAGTAGTTTAAAAATATGTACATTTTCTGCCATGGGACTTTGGTCTGAGTCCTCTGCAACTTCAAATCTCATCCCAGGGGTGAGGAAATTAAGATTTATAAAGTCTCCATTGAGGAACTGCTTCTTATTTTTTCCTCACAGATTTGGAATAATTTTCTTAAAATTATTCCATAGAGAAGGTTGTTCCTTGGCTAGGAAATAGCTACTAACTTTCCCTGCTGTTAGCTAACCCCAGTGTTATTCTCCATGTCTTTCCTGTATCTATGCTAGAGCAGCTGAATTGGAGCCTCTGGACTGTTAGTGATTTCTGCTCTTCCTTATTTCTTTCAATGATTGTAATAGATCAGCCTAGTATGTCATTTGTTTACTATCCACTATTATTTGTTATATAGAATTTGAGAAAATGTGGAATCAAGAGAGGCTATTTTTCAGAAAAACAAAGAAAAGATCATAACCAGCAAAATCAACAGCAATCTAGCCCAGGATACCTTCAACATGGGTGTATTGAGAACATGTCTATTTAGGCAAAACCAATAGAAAATGTAGGAGAGGGAAGTGGTTAAAAGGAAAAAGAATATATGTATGTATGTATGTATGTGTGTGTGTGTGTGTATATATATACATACATATATATATACACATACACATATATATTAGCCGAGAGAGCGAGAGGGGGAGAGAGAGAGAGAAGGAGGGAGGGAGAGGAGGTGAACACTGACAGTATAGGTAACATTTTATAAATTACTTGGTTAATCAGTCAATTACAATTAAAACTACAACTGCCAATAGTATACCTTAGCCTTCCTCTAAAAATTTGGGCTTGATTTCTCTTTTATGTTTCAAAGCTAAGAGACTTAACAGAAAGTTAGACTAATAAAAGTTTAAATTAATGTATATCTTGAATGCTCCTAGATGTAGCATCTAACCTTATACCTGGTAAGCTTGTATAGTTTGTAACTCAGAGATAAAAACAATATCAAAAGCAAATGGAAGCTGGGCATGGTGGCTCACGCCTGTAATCCTAGCACTTTGGGAGGCCTGGGGGGCTGGATCACTTGAAGTCTGGAGTTTGAAATCAGCCTGGCCAACATGGTGAAACCCTGTCTCTACTAAAAACACAAAAAAATTAGCCGGGTGTGGTGGCGGGCACCTGTAATCCCAGCTACTTGGGAGGCTGAGGCAGGAGAATTGCTTGAACCCGGGAGGCGGAGGTTGTAGTGAGCTGAGATTGTGCTGCTCTGCAGCCTGGGCAACATAGCAAGGCTCCGTCTCAAAAAAAAAAAAAAAGAAACCAAAAAAAAAAAAAAAACAGCAAATGGATTAAAATTGTTAGTATACTATTTTGTAATTATTTTCAAAGAAATAAATAGGGAAGAAGTAACTTCTCTGGGGCATGCAAATGACAAAGAAAATAGTTTTCTATTTAGGTTGTGTGTATATATTGTATGTGTTGGTTTCTCTACTCTTTATGAGATACTCATTAATCTGAGAAACCTTCCGAGTATTCTTCATGATAAAATAAAAAAATATATTTTACAATAATTACATTGAAAAAAATCCAAGAAGAAAAGTTATGGATGGAAGCACTTACTTTTAGCCATCACTCAATTTCTTAAATTTTTTCTCTCTTTCACTTAAAGATCTGCCAAATTGTGTTCCTTTTATTACCTTAAATAACTGTCAAGAAAACAAGGTTCTATGAACCAGGACAACAGTGTGGCAGAAACAGTAGTAGAAAGGTTATTTCCAACCATTTAAAACAACTATAACATCATTTCACATTCAACTGACAACCGCAGCTTAAACTTGAGAATGGACAAGGGAATAATAATATACATTTTTCTTTTTCATTATTTCGTCTTTATCTTATGCATCAGTATTCTTACGAAGGACCTTTTTTTCTTCCATTCGAGACTGTGTGCTTTATGAACTGAACAGATGTTGCCTTTCATGTGATTAAACAATAATTTTTTCCTGCTCATACTTCTTAACCAATTCCTACCTGCCTCTCATCATGAATCATTGAAGATAATTCTCCAGTCATGCATTTAAAAAAATCTACTTGAAAGAAAAGGTCAAAGAGAATTTTTGAATTGACCACTTAATTTAAAATATGTTGCCATCAATTAGCCAGTGCTATCTACTTTTCTCCTAAGAACAGAAAGAAATGACTCCAATGATTTTACTTTCTTTGCTTGGCTTAATATCCGTGGATCTTGCTATCTTCTCTTGAGAAGAACTTGGCCTTTCATTCTAATGACTCACAAAAGAAAAGGCAATGACACCTGGGGCACATATGTTTTTCTAAGTCACTTGAAAATCTTTCACTTGGGAAAAAGCTGTATAAAAAATCTGGGCCTGGTCAACTTAATATAGATATTTTAAAACAGTAGAACTAATGGCAATAGAACACCTTTTATTTTGGGGAGGAGATGGAAAGTTTAAAGATGTAAGAAGTAATGCTTGATTTTTTTAGATTTTACTGAATATATAGCAGTATCCTTATTGTTTTCAGGGAAACTAGGAAGAATTGGAGAATGTGTAATAAAACTGCACGATTTGACAGATTTAGACAGCTGGCTCCCTCACAAGAAGTTCACATTTTGTTAATGTCACCCACGTTGAATAAGGGACAATTAGATGGTAAGGTCCATTTACAAAAATGGTTGTCAGGACATTTTTTTTTAATTGTAAAACTTTCTGTGATGGAATTCAGTAAAAGGGCTATGAAGAGAAAGCAATGGAGACAAAAGATTGCTATTAACCTACAGATGCAGGCTACTGCATGGTTCATTGCAAGATTTGTCACACTGTTGGGCCAATGAAGTGTTAGTGTGACTAGAAGGGACCACCCCTTTTCTGGGGTAAGAGGGCAATTTGGTCTCCATGCTCATTTAATCCTGAGACTTCTTTGAATAGACTGTCAATTGAATCTAAATTGTGCAAAATTATGCATGCACTTTTTAATGCAGGCTATTGTTCACTAAGCACTGAACCAAGATTTCTCAACCCATTTCCATTTGGCATGAGGTCACTTGAAACTTAAGTAATCATATATGGAAGACAAGAGCAGTGTACTTAACCAATCTTTCTACATTGTGGCTTCTATATAAATGCTTACTGGGCTTTAATTGCAAATCTCTCACCTTAAAACAATAGAGAAATACTAGCTACAATATATTTTTTAAATTGAGGCTTGTATTCCTAAAGGTAAGGAGAAGGTTTAGAAAGTCAGCTGGCGCTGCATAATCTATACTGCTCTACAATTTAGATTCTAGAGGAATGGATGTTTACAGAAGAAGGACAGCCATAGTGGGTGTGCACTTGTCATGAGTAGACGTGTTTTTTCACTAGTGCAAAGAGGCCTTATATTTTGTTAAAATCCAAACGTGGAGAGCTGGCTTTGAAAACCATGAAGAAAAATATCTACTAGACTTTTTGCAGTTTTAAGTCAGAACATGTCATCTCTGTAAAACCCTGAACAGAACATTTACAGAAAATTTATTGATACATTAGCCAAAGAGTATTTTCATTGAGTTCTGAAGGAACACGTACATTTAAAGTCATATTTGGCAAGAATTATTATGTTAAAAATTTGTACAGGTGACAGCTTACATAGCCAAGATTTTTAAAAACAAGTGAGCTCTTCTCCAGTGAGGTTCGATTCAGTGGAAATCTGCAACATTCTAATAACATAGACTCTGACAGTCTTGCTATGGTGAAAAGCACTTTACAAATGTTTAATGCTGGAATTTTATAAGGATTGGCTGTTTTCTTGCTTTTTCATCCGTCGTTAATGATTACATGTTGGCACAAGGATACCTTGCTAGATTAGATCCACAGCACATTAAAGACTGTTTGCTTTCTCACTCCCCTTCTTTCCAATTAAGTTGGTGAAAAATGTAACTTTAGTGTTTTACAGGACAGGGTAAAGGTGTTTCATCTAGGTGATGTCTATATTATAAAAATAAAATAAAATATATAAATATGTAACACAAACCCAGTGCCTATTGTTAAATAAAATATACAATAAAAGCAGACCTTTTAGGAAGATTGATTTTAAAATATGCTATTATGATTTAATTATAAAACACTTGAAAACAATCTTGAGATTAAGATGAAATAACCAGATTTCTCAGCCAATAAAAAGGTAAGTGTGTAGCATTCTGTAACTGGATACACTGACAAAAATGAAGATTACAATTTTATATCAAGTTGCTCACTTAGAAATTCATCAGGGAGTTCTGAAACATTCTCTCCTAGTATAGTACTTTAATATAAAAATATTGCCTTTTTTTTAATTAGATCCATCGGATTGCACAGTACTGTTTCAAAACTCTATTAAAGTTGACTTTAGTGATTACAGACAGAAAATTCCTGGGAAGTCAAATAATCTCTTCTAGTAACATAAAAAATCCATTATCAATTTACAATGGAATTTCTGTGTAAATTACTTTGCATAAGGAAGTATATATTTTAAAAAATCATCTGTTATGCAACAACGCATATAGGGGTTATGAGTATGTGTATGTGCATATGTGAACAAACATGCTGACATACACACAGAGGATCTGCACATTTCTGGAAATTATTTTTAAATTAATAAAAGAGAATGAAATCACAGGAGTGTGTAGCAGGATAACAGTCTTTTTTTTTTAATGACAGGATAAAAAATAAATGCCCATTGGAATAGAATATTCAAACAGTCCCAGAAACTATACAATGTAACTTGTTAGATCCAGCAAGTAAGATGTCATGTCAATGATCTGATCAAGAATACCTGCCCTGGTCACTCTGCGGATGTTTCTGTCCACTTGTTCACATTGAGGACCAAGATATCCTTTTTTACAGAGGCACTTGTTCGGTCTAACACAGACACCTCCATGACGACATGCTGGCTCACATTTTGCTGGGAGAGAAAAAGAGCAAGAACATCACACTCTCATTCTGTATGTCAGAAACAGGACTGAGCATGAGACCAACAAATATTTGCTGAATAAGGGAAGCGAGGGAAAAAAGGAGGGAGATAGTTACAAAATGATCTGAAAGATAAATATGCAAGTAGGAAACAGGCTTTTACACCCATAGTTATTTGGAGACCTGAACTCAGCAGAGAATGAGAGACATTTCTAGAGAAGCAGAGATCATGAGAAACAATTGCAACCCTTTGCAAAATTAACTCTATTTAAAATGAAGATTTTAGTCCTTTGAAATCTCTGCTTCACAGGAGCATTCTCTACAGAGGGCCTCCCAAGCTCTATGTTCCCATTCCTTCAAGGTAGGATCTCAACATGGGAGTGGCCCAGCCTGAGGGGGAGACACAGAGGCTCAAGCAACTCCAGTGCAACAGAAAGGAACAGTCAGTTTTGGATTTTGGTTGGGTGGAATATCCACCATATAAACTCCCTTGGATTCTTCCTTCCTCTTGCTTCCAGGGGGCAGACAGCATATGCTTTGCTCTCTGATTACACTTAGAAGTCTCTTTCTGGAGTCAGTGCAGTTGGCCAGCAAAGGATGTTCTGAGCAAACCTTTTCAGGGTTACCCTACAGCACAGAATTTATTCATTAAAGAATTTTACCACTACAATATAAATGGGAAATAAGAAGATATACTGCTAAAATGAGACATAAAATTGGGTATATAAATTGCTATTTTCTGATTAAATCTGGGGAGTACAGTCACTGGGGATGGAGTCAAATTCCTTCAATACATTTCCTTATGTTTTGACGAGACAGGGTCATTTTGACCTTTCAAATGCGTTAATCAAATTCCAGGTGTCTGTGGTTGACACATGGGATAGAAAAAGTAAGAAGAAAATAAACAATTTTATGCTTTAAATCTGTGGGAGATGAGTAAACAATGTGAGTACATGAATAAAATTCCTGTTTAGGTCCAAAACATCCCACATAAACAGATTATTTTTATAAAATGGTTTTGGTAAATGTTATATATTCAAACTATTTAAATTGATTCAGTGTAAAAATGAAAGTACCTCATGGAGTAAAACTTTATGTTAACTCAATGTATGTCTATTTTCATTTATATCACAATTTATTATTAATATCTATTAAGGTATATATAGTGCCATCTGTATTTGAGATAATTCATTCACCCTCAGTTTAAATATACTGTCACTAGCAGGCTTCAGATAACATAAGAGATTAGGCAAAATGCAAAGCAGGGAATATAACAGAATGGACACTTTATGTTATATTCTGTTACTAAAAGATGCAGAGAGGCTGGGCATGGTGGCTCACACCTGTTATCCAAGCACTCTGGGAGGCCAAGGTGGCAGATCACATGAGGTTGAGAGTTCAAGACCAGCCTGGCCAACGTGGTGGAAACCCATCTCCACTATAAATACAAAAATTAGGAGGGCATGGTGGTGGGCGCCTATAATCCAAGCTACTCGGGAAGCTGAGGCGGGAGAATCACTTGAACCCAGGAGGTGGAGGTTGTGGTGAGCCGAGATTGCCTCACTGCCCTCCAGCCTGGGCGACAGAGAGAGACTCCACCTCAAAAAAAAAAAAAAAAAGATGCAGAAAAAGTAGATATTGTTAGGCAGCAAAGGAAGCAGAGAGATAATAAATTAGCAGGAATTTGAATATCATTACATTTGAATACTGATTCTCATATTTTTGGTCAACCAACAAAAAGACAGAGAAGATGGGTAAATAACATGTAAGCATTTGTTTTAAATAATGTAATTACTTAATTTCTGTTGAGTTTTAATTTTGATAACTCCTTCCTAGATACATAACCATAGTATTAATCACACACATAATGTTATTAATGCTGAAGCAATGTAAGTTTAAAATATATCCTCTATATGTGGTTTTAAATGTTGGTTTTTTTGTTAGGCAATATAAAAATAGACAAGTTATAGTTATAATTTTTTGAAATACATCTTGAGGACAAACAAAAAGATAGCATTTATGAATAAATAATATTAAATGTTAATTTGAGGTTTTAATTTTCATTGGCAATAAGTATTTTAATATTTGAAATAGCCGAGATCAAAATCATTTCTAAGTGATGGTATATGCTGGTTGTTGATTATGCATTTTCAACATACACATTTTAAACTCTAGGTTTCTAAATTTATCTAATTTTCTGACTTCACACCAAGTAGAACTTAAGCATCATTGCACATAATTGAGGAACTATCAAGTTATAGGCTAGAACAACCCTGGAATAAATCTCCTTTGCTCTCTCTGAGCAGATGCACACCTAGTTGATGGTTCACAGGGGAGTGGCAAAAAGCATGAAAAAAAATCTCATAATATGTCTCTAGATAATTGCATTTTCCCGTTTTATTTAATAACACCCACTGAAAAGCCCTGTTTTTAGTCTGCTGTGGTAGGAAAGCAAGCAGTAAAGCCAGGGAGGGCATTTACAGGGTGTCTGGAAAATGCTAGCGCTTGGAGAGGGGCTTTGCAAACACTAAGTCATTGGCTAGTGTGAAATTTCAGAACCCAGGACCAAGAGGCCTAAAGAGATGATCTAGTTGTGCTATTTGCATTTTTTACTTTTTGAAAGGACTCAGTCATTTAAAGGTTTTGTATATTTATAATTAACTTACATAAGTGAATTGTTTACATTAAGAAAATGAACAAGATTTTACTTACAAGCTCATAAACAGATGAGCATTAATAGTATTGTAAATGGCTAAATACTTTTGAACACTATATTATTGTAGAAGAAACAATCAATGTTGAGTTCTTGAGTACCTAAGGATTGGCTCATCCCCAGTCCTTTTCAGGTGAAAACAGAAATACTAACCAGTTCTGCAGAAGTCCCCCTCCCAGCCTGGACTGCAGCAGCACTTTCCCGTGGGGGTGCAGTAGCCGTTTCGACAGAGCCTGGAGCACTCTGAAGTCAGTGTCTGTGCAGGTTGTACCGTGGCTCTGCATTCCTCAGGCATTAAAGGTCTACATTAAAACACAATAGTTGAAAGTGTATTCCATTTGAAAATCAACAGTGGAATGAAATCTAGTGATTCTGTGGCTTACAAAGCATGCCTCTTACTTTCTAGAGAGACTTTTTTTTTTTTTAAGTGACTCAGTCAGATTTACAACTTTCTAAGGATAGGAAATACATACCAGTGAGGAAACAAACTAACCAGTTTGTAACCCAACTAAACACATTAAACATTCTAAGAAACTTTATCCTGATCAAAGCCCATTGATGAAAATATCTTTAATTAAATTGATATTTCACATTTGGTAAGTAAGAATTTCTAACAATTGCAATATTTAAAGTAAAGTAGTATAAATATCTTAAAACTTTTCACCCTATATCTACAAAAATGTTTAGGAATAGTGTCTGAGATAGTTTCACTTGTTATTGACACAGTTGGCAGTAGTACAGGGCTGAAGGCATTCATCAAAATGACTTGTAGCCTGAAAAGCTTTGGAATCTTTGTTTTTTTTTTTAATTTTATTTTTGTTTTAATTTTATATTTCTTTTGAGATAATATTTTTAGACTGATTTTTCTTGAAAGGTGACCATAATATATGTGTGTATACTATTGAGTTGAAGTTTAAACTCCATGCACAGAAAGATCCATATATATGTGAAGATTATATATATATAAAATCTGATTTTGATCCATATATGTAATGATTATATATGTATATATAAATAATTTGATTTTGTCCTGCTATAAGGAAAAAAGAATGCTAAAAGTAGCAAACAGAAACATCTTATTTGCAGTGTAAAAAGTCATAGATTTTAATTGTTCTACAACTGCCATCATTTATAGTGGAAACCAAGATGCCTTCAGAAGATTTTTATGGTTCTTACTGTTTTTAAAATAAGATGTCATTTGAGCTGGGTCAGGCTGGAGTCATGGTCACAACTGCTCATTACCTAATCTTCAGGGAAAAAAATATCCAGTGGCACTTTCCTATCAGTCGCTGTTACCTGTGCCACAGTGTGGTGAGAAGTTTCTTTTCAGTTAAGGAATGTAAACAAATGTTTTCATTGACAGTCAAATCAACAGCATTAGGACGGCCAAGCAAATGGACACCTTAAGTACCATAAAAAGAAGGTGATCATTACAGGTCAAAACCTCAAGAGGTAAATTACAGAGCTTTTTGAGATAAGCAAATAATTAAGCCCTGTAGACTCAATTTTTTGGAGATAGGTTACCTTGTTATGTCCCTATGGCAATATGAACAGTGATGATAATTTGGGTCCTGATCTCAGGCTGTTTCTACAATGACTCAAAACCATATAAAAACCATATATGTTAAAAACAAAAATATTTAAAATGTACGGTGGCTTCCCTAGCTCTTCTCCAGAAGAAAAGTCCCACTCTATGTCGAAAGTGCTATGTTCTGTAGCTAACATGACAATTCAGAAAACTCCCTTAAATCTATTCAGCTTCTTATTTGAATCTAGGAATGGTCAATTTATGTGAAAGGCCCTTCAGGCATTCTATGCACTAAGCATATTTTTATTCAGAAAACATTAACAGTTTCCATATGTTCCTCAAAAGTGTCTTTCTGGGAGTAAGGGTGGGGTGGGATAAGGTAGAGAAAATGTTAAATGACTATGCCAAGAAAAGTAAGGACACAATCTTCGCCTTCTTCTTGTTCTTGAGTATCCCAAGTATATTCTATTTCTTTCTCATTTAAAATTCTTATTTTGTTTGTGAGACAATGGTGGCATTTCTGACCACAAGAAGAGCAGTTTTTCAGTAGCCATGAAATTCTTCTGAGTCATAGGCCACTGAGTGGCATTCAGTAAACAAATATTCTAGTTGAAATTGCAGAATTCTGTGCATCTAATTTCTATTCCTTACTCACTTGCTCACCCACTTTCTGACTCATTCAAGAAAAGAGACCCAGAAATAGAGTATGTCAAAAATCTATTACATGTTATAGGCAATGCAAAATTTGCAGGTACCTACTCTCACATACTACCCCATGAGATGGTTTATGCCTGAATAGGTGAATCCAAAGAGATGGCATCATTTAGGTCATGAATATAGATGAACTTTGTTAAACAACAACTAGAAGATATTGCCTGTTCGAGGCAAAGTATAGGAACACTGATTCATGGGCACTGGGAAAAGGAATGAGGACATGATAAATAGGAATCTGATACTGAAGGGCTATTCTTTAGGGGAGAGTGTCTGACCCCTGTTTCTCTGCTGATACTCCAATTTGATGCTTTGACTACTTTTCACCAAACATTCAAACATAAGGAAACTCAGATTAGGGAGAAGATTCTAAATTATTTTTTCCCTAAGATTTGGTAAATGCTTGTTTACCCACGGATGTAGTAATTATTTCACACCTGGGCTTGTTTACTTTAATTTATATAAGACTGTGTGGCTGTAATATACAAACATTGTAATTCCCTCAAGTTTTATTTAAATACCGGGAGAAATTATCTTTTTTTGTTCTACACAGTTGATAAATAACATTCTGTACTTATTATATTAAATCAATCCTCTCTCTTTTAAACTGTTACTCTATCAGGGCTCCCTTAATATGAACATTTACCTAAAAGATTGCCTGTCTCTTTTAGGGTTCTCTTCAGGAATAGGCTATTTATCTATTTTTTTCCCTTCTTCACTGAAGTTTTTCTGAGGGCAGAAGCTACATACTCAATCCTCTTCAAGTCCAATCATTTACTTGGGCAAGTACTGCGCTCTTCAGGGAGATAAGACATAAATAGTACAGGGTCCTGAGCCTCACACAGACCACTGAGGATAAGACAAACATGCATACACAAAAGTATAATGCAGTGTGATCTTTGCTATGATACAGGCACACATGAAGTATCATAGAAATACAGATGAGGAGGCAACTACTTTAAGGGATGTTATAGAGAGATGACATTTATACCACCATGTATTTTATCTTCTTCAAGTATTCATATTCATAGGAACTAGGAAAATCCTGTATAGTCAGTCAATAAATGTTTATTAAATTAAATTAGGTCAGGTACGGTGGCTCACACCTGTAATCCCAGCATGTTGGGAGGTTGAGGTGGGTGGATCACCTGAGGTCAGGAGTTTGAGACCAGCCTGGCCAATATGGTGAAATCCTGTCTGTACTAAAAATACAAAAATTAGCTGGGTGTCGTCCTGGGTGTCTGTAATCCCAGCTACTCAGGAGGCTGAGGCAGGAGAATTGCTGGAACCCAGGAGGCGGAGGTTGCAGTGAGCCAAGATCATGCCATTGCACTCCAGCCTGGGCAACAAGAGTGAAACCCCATCTCAAAATAAATAAGTAAAATAAATAAATTAAATTGAATTTATATAGTAGTAACTTTCTCAAATACACTCTCTGAAATATGAACTCCATGAGGACAAACACTTCCTCTCATCTCTTGTGGCTCCCCAGGACCTAGAAGAATGTGTTGCACATGGAAGATGGTTAATAGAAATCTATTGAATGAATGAAATTAATAAGAATATGGAATTTTAAAAGGGTGTTTGTGCCCCTTCTATGTTGTTGTGTAAAGATATTAGGAAAATATGGGCCATTCAGGGGAGGGATATCCTTAAAATCTAATTGCTATACTTTCATATCATAAACACAAAACATTTACTGTATTTCTCTCTATTGCCTAAATAAACTTGTCTTAAAGTTTTTTTCCAAGGTACAGTTATACTCATTCTGAAAGATGCATTTTGATAATAATTATAATCATAGTAAATAAACCGAAGGCTAAGAAGTCAAGGTGAGCATGAGATAAAGAGAGAGGATTGTCTTCTCTTACAGATGGGAATTAAGTCAACACATTAAAATTCATTTTTCTAATATTTGGTAACGTCTGACAAAGATTTTTGGTGATTCCAACCATTCCCCTCCAATAACTCTTTGTAATGGTGACATTCTTCCTTTTACTGAAAAGAACAGGGCCCTTTTACATGAAATAAAGAGAAACAAAAAAGGAATAAACAGTACCTTTAAACTTTATTATTATTGTCATGTTGAAATAGACCATCTTACATATACTTAAGTACTACATATACACACCTAGATAGAATCTAAACAAAACTTTAGGGTATATATCTGTGATGCATTAACCCATTTTCTTACTTAATTTTATTGGACTGGAAAATTGGGTGCTTTAATGTACGATCTAATAAGAATCATTTAAATTGTCTCGTTCTTCTTTTAAACAATAACTCTTTAAATTTTTGGAACCTTCACTTTACTAAATGAAGTCAGAGTAACTTTCAAAACAGAAAACTTACCCAAGAGGTTGTTTAGGCTTGTAAAAAAGAATATATCTAGCCTATTTGTTGACAGCTATCCCCATAGCCTTTGAACTTAATTTAAATCAGAAAAACATATTTCCTAATCCCTTCATGCATGACAAATAATGAAACACTAAAACCCTAGTTCAAAAAACTGTCCAACATTCTTTAATGTATAAAGCACTGTTTTCAGAAATTTAAAAAAATTTTCTTAGAAACCAACTTTGGCTTGCTTTGTGTAGTAGTATAAAGATTTGGATACTTTTTTGAAAGAAGGGAAGTTGAGAAGCATAAGTTATTTATAACATCCATTAGAGGTGATGACTTTCTGTGAATAGCTAAGACCAACAGTGAATGTCTTTGGGTAGTGGTATTCTGAACAGTTTTCATTTCATGATATTTAATTTAGGGGATGAACAAATAAATCAGTACATGAGAAGTCCTTTGATTCTGTGCGGAGGTACGAGGATAAATCCTGTCTGAGGAGGACTACCCTTCCAAATGAGCACTGCAGAAATCTATTTTGTCTAACAAAAATAAAGGAGCTCATTCTGAAATTTTTGTGAGGTGTCCAGATTTTGAATTCATTTCATTGTGAAACAAGATATGCAGATCAAGAATAATACTTATGTAGATATCCTGATGGAAGTATTAGAAGATGTAATAATTCTGTAGCCTGTCTTAGACAGCTTTATGTTTAAGGGTGGAAGGTAACATAAGAGCTGTGTTACTCCTTTATCCACAGACACATTGGGACACATGGAAAAGAGCACCCTTGCAACTCTAACATTTAAAAAACTACTTTTCTTCCATGCTTTCTTTCATTCTCATGAGTTAGGAAAAATTGATAAGTCAAAATCCTCATTCCACAGAATGCAGAATCTCAGGCTCTAACCCCAGACCTACTGATTTTGAATCTTTAACAAAATGGCCAGGTGACTCACATGCATATTCAAGTTTGTGAGGCCTGTTTCTAAATTAGGTCCATTTCCCAGCCAGGAGGAATCAATGTGGCCATTAATTAGTGTATTCAGGCACTTCCAAGTACAGAATGCTCTGAAATCTTCCAACTGGGTGGAGTCCTTGCCCTGAACAAGGAGGCAGTCTTCGAATGCCACAGCAGATTCTATGGTTTAATGAATTTCCTCACGCTGTAAGCAATTTGATACACAGTGATTATCCTTGACCACTCATCATTTTTAAGCCAATACTCATCACTTTTACCTAAAAAAGGGTAAGGAAGTGAAAAATTTCTTATGATGGGATAAATTTTTACTGTCTTCCATCTGTGGAGCTTTACGAATAGGAATAAGTGCTAGTATAGTACTTGCTGTGTCATCTTTTTATTAATCATTTTAGTGCCTTTCTCAAAGGCAGTACACAAACTGATATTTTTCTTCTTCGTAATTGTCTTTAATCTGGCTGCTCACTGAATTTTTCCTGGTCATATCGGTGTTTCTTTCTTCAGTGTCAGTTTACTTATAAGGAGTAGAATGCTGTATTCTGAAGGATTTACCGCATGTTTTGAGACTACACATAGCCATTTTGTAGGCAGCTTTAAAAACAACAATGCATTATACAAACTAAATTTCGCCGAGGAATCATATATTTATAATACAACCATATTCCAGGTAGAAGAACGGAGCCAATGGAATCTCTTCCTGTGTAACCATGTAATATTGATCTCATTGGGACTTCATGGCAGGATTGACAGCAACACACATTTCCTAATGTATTTTTCAAGTACTATCTGAAGTACAGCAAGAAATTAAATGTTTTAAGAGTTACAGCTTTCATTTTATTTTTAAGGAATACCTTCCTTGACATTATAGCATATGTAGGCTGCAGAAATATCTGTATTATGTATTCTTAAATAACTCTGATACTAGAATAAAGAGGAAAAAAAACCTTTGAATTCAAGGATAACTCTGAATTTATATACCTTATAAATCATATTCTAATTTTTAATTTGTACTAAACATTTCTAAAATTTGAGTTTAGGATGGATAAAGCTAATGTTCTATCTTATTTTTACATAGTGTCTAGAAATTTCTGTGTCCTGAAATGTGCTGAAAACAAGTGGGGCTCAGCATTGGCTGTCTTCTTTGCGACTAATATTTTCTTCATTTTGAGGATTTCCAAGATTTAAAAGTCTCATCCTCACAGGTTGAACTCACTTGCTCACTAAGAAACAGTGTTACTTGGCTTTAATACCTAGGCAGTTTGAAACTGAGTTGGCACTAAACCTTTCAAAGGAGGCAAAAGCAGTAGTAACTTAGTGAATCGAGCCACAGGTTTGACTGTCTACTGCTAATAACATTGTCAGAAATTTCACAAATATCCATCTAATTTTCTTCTGTGGTTAAAGATGCAACCATAATAAAAGCAAATAATGAAGCCACTTACATTTTTCAAGTTTAACTTTATTCTCATGAGAGAGGGTCAGCTTTGTAATTCTTAAGTTTAAAAGATCAGAAAGTGTATGAAGAGATTAAGTGGCTTTCACACAGCTAGTTACAGAGAATTCTGGAACTCTTTCCTGGTTCAGTGTTCTTTCCACTGAACTGGCCCTCTTACTTTAGGAAAAAAGGTAGCAATGTACCCACATTTCAGGTCCTATTAATCTCACTATACAATCATCAACACCACAGTACACAAATATCTAAAAGGGTATGTGGATATCCTGTATCAACTTTGGTTTATCAACTTAACTCAATGCATATATTTCCATGGGAAATTCAGGACATGAAAAGTTATGTAATATCTTACAGGGAAAACCTAGGAGAAAAGATTAATGAAACTAAATAATAATGTCATGTGCTTTTAGATAAAAAGACAAGGTCCAGTTTTATCAAACTGCCTTAGGTATTTGTGGTATTATATTTGCAATATCCTAGCTTTAGAAACTGATCAACTATAATATGAGCAGTGAATATAGAAAAATAGGCATTTCTACTGTAATTCAATGTACATGTTCCTGAAAAATATTGTATTCCACAAAATGGCACTTAAAATAAGGGGGCTGTTACGGACTGCTTGTTTCCCTCCAAAATCACATATTGAGGCCCTAACCCCGAAAATAACAGCATTAGGAGACAGGGTCTTTGGGAAGAAGTGAGATTTAAATAAGGTCATGAAGATAGAGCCCCCATGATGCGATTATTGCCGTTATAAGAAGTGTCACCAGAGAGCTTGCTTTCTCTCTCCATCGTGTTAGGATACAGTGAGAAGGTGGCAATATGTAAACCAGAAACGGAGCCTTCACCAAGCATCCAACCATGCTGGTACCCTGCTCTTGGATTTCCTCCAGTACGATCAGAAGTCTGTTGTTTAAGCCACCTAGGTATTTTGTTATAACAACCTCAGCTGACTAAGACAAGGGCTTATGGGAAGAATTGGTTTGGGGCAGACCCCTCAAGATCTGTGCAGCTTTGTAACTAAAGCAGTGGTGAAAACAAAAGCTGGTACCTTGGAAGAAAGTTTGGGCAACCAGCAAGCAGCTCAGAAGTAGCTGGAGGTCGCTTCAGGAGAGATTAGAAACACACAAAACAAAATAATGATGGAAGTGAAACTCTGAAAAGTGGATGTGCACCCTGAAGAGAGCCATGGAAGACTGTGGGATGCATCGAGAGAGAGGGAAACCCAGTACAGGCACTTCCTTTTCATTGACGGCTCAGTTGAGAAGGCTTTTTCTGCTTGTGCAACAGCTAGGCTGAGGGCATGTTCCTTTCCTTATAATTCTCGTTACCTCTTGCTTGAAAAGCTACATAACTACTTTCATGTTGTGCTGATATTCTCTTTTGTATATGAGCTTATTAGTGTTAAAGAAATTTGCACTGTAGCAGAACAGACTTGAATGGGAAACCAAATCATGGTGAATTTTACCTACATCAAGAACTTCTGGATCATTAATTTGGCAATTTATAATGTACAGGGTTATGGTACAGTATTTTTGTTTCAAACTGTTTTACCTCAAATAATATTTTTTACATTTTAATAATATATGCAATCTCCTGATTTAAAGTGAAAATAAACTCCTTAGGGGATGGGACCAACTTCTCATTCATTCTCTCCCTCTGTAGCACATAATGCAAATATAATATACTGAACACAGGAGACATTAAAAAATGCTTCTAATGAAATCAGGACTTAATGAAATCAGAAATCTTGGATTATATCTGTACTTACTCTGATATGACACAAAATAAAAACTAAATAATTAGGTTATAATAAAAAAGCCAATGCCATTGCTTCCTAATATAAAGAAGGAAATATATTCTGTTCAGAATTTCATGTCCAAAATCAAGTTTTTAATTTAAATACTTAATTCATAAACCATAATTGATAAAAATGTTAAACACAAGTATTGCTTTAGTAACTTAATATAACCAGAGAATTTTTTTCTGATTTTATCTATTTTTATTGTGATAAAAATAGCCCAGGGGAATGACAACTAATATTAACAAATAGAGTAAATAGCCTGGACACGGTGGCTCATGTCTGTAATCCCAGCACTTTGGGAGGCCGAGCCAGGCAGATCACCTGAGGCCAGGAGTTCGAGACCAGCCTGGCCAACATGGTGAAACCCCCGTCTCTACAAAAAATACAAAAAATTAGCCGGGTTTGGTAGTGTGCACCTGTAATCCCAGCTACTTGGGAGGCTGAGGCAGGAGAATCGCTTGAACCCGGGAGGCAGAGGTTGCAGTGAGCCGAGATCGTGCCATTGCACTCCATCCTGGGCATCAAGAACAAAACTCTGTCTCAAACACACACACACACACACACGCACGCGCACACACCCACAGAATAAATAAATAACACTGGTATTACAACATAATTCAAAAGACTTAAAGAATGCAGTATTTTTGTTTTAGAAATCATCAAAAAATAAATTCTTAGCTCCATTTCCCCACTTATAAAGCAATAGATCTACCAGTGTTTTAATTTCATATCATACAAAGGTAGAAATTTAAGATTCACTAAATGCTTTAAAGGAGAAAAGAAATTTAAAACAAGTTTCTTTCCTATAAAAGAGCACAGGAATGTCAGTTCAAATTCTCTTTGAAGATGACTAGCCTGATGAATTTCCAAATTTTGATGTTCATATATCATTCATTTGTCACGGTTGACAAAAATAAGTCATTTAAGTAACAAATTTTTTAAATCAAACAAAATGAATTAGTAACAAAATGATGCTAAGATGCAGTTTTTTCTTTATAAGCTACATCTTCCTCTAGAAAACATCTTTTCAAAAAATTTGCATGACTGTTTCAGACATATCTAATGCAACATTAAATCTGTCTTTAAGGTTCTGCAATATCTGATGATATACTAATTTACTATAAAAGTATAAGATATTCAAAAGGACTAATATCAGACTTCTAGCATTGTCCTACAAGAGATAGTGGTGGGCATGGCAGTGGTGGTGGCCATGTTAATTGAAAAGAAAATGCTTTTAAGAATTTTTCACTCAATATATAAGTCTCACTTTGAAGAATATATTCTTCACCATTCACATTCTCCATTTTATGGCTTTTTAGATGAATGCCAGTTTGAAGTGGCAATTCAGTCAAGTTTTCATAGCAATCTATCCAATTACTAAAGAAGATGATATTCTAAGTATCAAAATTGATAGCTTAAAAGAGACTACTTAGTATAAAAGAGAAAATTCCTTTGAATGCTGTGGTCATATGTCACATTTCCAGGAAATGGGATATATATATATATATGCATACATACATATATATATACTTATATATATATATAAATATATATATATACACACACACACACACACACAAAAGAAGACTGATATATGTTCTCACCAGAAATAATGATAAGTAGGTAAGGCGATGGATATGCTAGTTAACTTGACTCAGTCATTTCACAACATTTATCAAAACATCATGTTGTACACTGTAAATATATGCAATTCTTATTTGTCAATTATATCTTAAAGTTGGGGAAAAATTAAAAGTTTAGATTCATCTTTAATAGCTGTGGGTGACCAGTGAAGGATTTCAAGTAGGGGAGAAATAGAAGTAGTTTTGCATTTTATAAATACAAATCTGTCAGCACTTGGAATAAAAGCATATGATGGTTTTTAAAAATAAGACATAAACCCTTTAAAATAACATGGTCACACAAAGTTTTTTGTCATAAATTATTATATAATAGCACCTATTTATTTTGAAATAGGTGACAGCTCTACATAACATTGCATGTGTTACCTGTATGTTTCAGTGTGTCTGTACACATGTACATGTATGCAAATCTTACTAAAGTATGAATACAATTTTAGTGATACTCAGGCTGCTACCATCTATTATGTATGCATGCTCATCCATTCATTAGAAGTTTCAACTTTGATGTTGCCCAAATCTTTTGTGGTATATCTCTAAAATTTCAGATGCTATATGGCAGCTTAGTAGGGATTTGTTAGATGAAAAGGTATTGTGCACCACAACAGGAAATCTAGTATACTGATAATAAAATATAGTCAGGCAGATACATGTATATTCATCTTTGGTTACTGGATACATAGAATAATGATGATAGCAAAAATGTGGAAAATGTTTCCTTGCCTCTTAGACTTCAAATCCACCATGCTGAATGGACTTTTATAGGGCATATACTTGTTCATGACCTCTAGTGTTAAGAAATTCTGTCATGTTTGAAAACTAGTCCCTAGTGGAGCCTGTATCCCTGTTAATAGCTGAAAGGTCAATGGAGCTGCTAAACAGTTTGTATTACTGTCAGGGTGGCCATGAAAACACCACCTGCTGCAAGAGGACTTGGCAGCTGGGTCAACAGGCACTGTGGGAATTTATCAACTTAGGGGGGCCACTTGCATAAAACTTTGGCTGATGAATTGGGACTAGACTGGCTTATTGGGCTAAAGCTGCTCTATTATGTGTAACTTTCTTTAGGATGGCAGAGCTGCCTGCTGGCTCCCTGAGATATATGCAAAGGATAAACAGAACTGGTTTCCTCTTATGAAGTGATTTTTTTGAAAAAAGCACTCTTTAGCATCCAGTCTAATAAGAAGTAGGATGAAGATATTAAGAAAACAATAGACAAAGGGCAGTAAGTGGGCCATGGGGGGAAGAGGAATGAGGGGCAGTTTTTGATATTGGTCACAGAGGAGATTGGGGATACAACATGTATGTAAAATGACCTCTCGAGCCTGGAATTTGCATTATTAATTTATAGACTTATTAAGGGAATGGTCTGTGTGACTTGGTTGGGTAACAGATAAATGATATGTTAAAATATAGCAAGAGTGGGTACATAATAATTAAATCAACATGATGGAGAATAATTTTCCTTTACAAATTCCTAGAAACATAAACTCTGGAAATGTTTCAAAAAAAGTCATTTGGTTTAAGTTCATCTGAAACAAAAATTAAATAATATTTGTCAATACTATAAAAAAATTCGTGTTCTATAAAAATAAATCTTGGAAGTTACATAACTTTGTCAGAATTCTTTAATTTCCACCCCTAGGAACATTTATGTAATTCTGAAAGGATTTAGCAAAGAGCATCCAAGGTATAATTTGAAAACTATGTATTGAGAGTTCTTTTTTTTTTTGAAACAGAGTCTCACCCTGTTGCCCAGGCTGCAGTGTGCAGTGGTGTGATCTCAGCTCACTGCAACCTCCACCTCCTGGATTCAAGTGATTATCCTGCTTCAGCCTCCTGAATAGCTGGGATTACAGGCATGCACTACCATGCCCAGCTAATTTTTTGTATTTTTAGTAGATAGAGGGTTTCACCATGTTGGCCAGGCTGGTCTTGAACTCCTGACCTCAAGTGATCCTCCCATCTCGGCCTCCCAAAGTGCTGGGATTACAGGCGTGGGCCACCACACCTGGCTCTACTGAGCATTCTTAGAAGCTCCATAGATGTCTTTATTCCAATTTTGGAAATAAAGGAACCTTAAAAGTTGAGAGATCACCTGAAAATAATCCTGGAATGCCTGGAATAAACACACAAAAATTACTAAAGAATGTAATATGTTTAAAATAGATTATTTAAACACCTTCACAGCCCTCTGTAGAATGCAGCAGGGACAGAAATATCATCTTCTATATATTTTTGATGGACAAAGGGACACAGTATGGTGAAATAATCTATGCTGAGTGCTACACTAAGGAAGATTTAGAGATCAGACCAGTTGACTCCCTGTCTGACCTAGATAGACTTGCTCCCAATCTTGACTAGTTTCAGATGGCATTACTAAGTGAAAGTAAAGTTATTGCCAAGATTTTGTCCTCAGTTCATCTAAATCTGTTTTTCAGAATTGCTAGCTGAAGGATCCCCCAGGCTATGGCATGCTGAATTCAGTACTAGAGACTTTTTTGGATCCTGTGGGTTGGCTGAGCCAACTGGGTGACTGGTGTTGATTTGACCCTAACTCTGCCCTGCCATAAGATGTGACTGTTCAGTCCCTGAAGGTATTCCAGGAGTGTGTACAATGTTCTAACATGGAGGCAAACTTAATTCCTTTTCTGTTTCCTCGGAAGTTGCTTTTTTTTTTTTTTTGAGACAGAGTCTTGCTCTGTCACCCAGGCTGGAGTGCAATGGCACAATCTCGATTCACTGCAACCTCCTCCTCCTGGGTTCAAGTGATTCTCCTGCCTCAGCCTACTGAGTAGCTGGGATTACAGGCACCCGCTACCATGCCCAGCTAATTTTTTGTAGTTTTACTAGAGACGGAGTTTTTACCAGGTTGGCCAGGCTAGTCTCAAACTCCTGACCTCAGGTGATCCACCCACCTTGGCCTCCCAAAGTGCTGGGATTACAGGCGTGAGCCACCACGCCCGGCCTGGAAGTTTTTTTTTTTTTTTTTTCCTTAAATAACTCCTGAGTTCTAGGCATTTTCTATTTTTTTTCATGCTAAACAATGGCATTTAATTTTTACAAGAGAATATCTCACCATCCTTTTCTGAGATTGCTGCACACTGTAATTGATTTGAACTTATGTAAATGATTATGTAACTTACAGCTTTAGATCAAATTGTCCTTACAGACTGAGGTGGTAATACTAGAACCTTATCTGTTTTTGCCAAAATGATTTAAGAGATACTGCGTATATAGTTTCTATGGTTTCTAAACTCCCTCATTGTGTGTGTGTGTGTTTTTGTGTGTGTCTGTGTGTGTGCACATGTAGGGAAAAATAGGAAAAACATAAATCCTATGGTAAGAATGTAACTTCTATGACATATAATATAGAAAATAAAAATTTCATAGTTTCCTGCTTTTCTCTTCTTGGGCCACAAATCAACTGATGTTTGAAAGTTATTCTGAAAACATTATTCTAGCAAACCTGGGGGTTTTGGTATGAGAATACAATTAACCTAAAAGTTTAATTTGTGTTTGATTTTTGGTATAACAAAACGTGTCTATATATTGTTTTTTTAGCTGACAAGAATCTTTTTTAAAATTCTACCTCAAAAATTTTAGAAAAACAATTCTACCCTAACACAGACCTCCTGAACACTACTGTGCTTGTAATTAGTTTGTTTCCAAAATAATCCTGTTCACATACTTAAGTGTCAACTCATCTAGGAAGAAATATTATGATAATAAACGTTGATGGCCAAATCAAAACAGCATGAGGCTCCCAACAAATGTTTATAAAAACATTTGTTTTCTTATAGTCAGTTTAATTTTGAAATTTATGCTCATGTCTGTGTACAAGGACGGTTTCTTTGGGACTCTGCTACTTCCCCCACCTTCTGAAAAGCAAACACAAATCTTAACCCGGGCCCCCCACATGACATGACTCACCAGAAACAGGCACCATAATGAGAAGTCAGGCCTTCAGGTATGTCACTCTGAGACCACCCTACTAGAGGAGAACTAAGATCACAAAGCCAAGGTCCCTTATGGCAACCTTGGTAATTAGACACTAATAATAGATTGAAGGTGTAAAATGCACCTAAACTCAGCCACAGACTAAACAATCCAGATGAAGAGAGAAAGATTTTTGTGAGAAGGAGAGAGAATCCATTACAATGCTACCAGGTACTTTGCAAAAACACATAGACTGAGACAGTATAACAGAATAACAATGTCTGTTTTGAAACTAATTGTATTATATCTGAGTGAAATCCGTACACCTCATTATGAGTCTTTAGAATGCTGCTATTTTGTGAATTAACATTAGTTTGATTTTTATTCTTAAGGTTGCCAACTTCAATAATCCCCTAAGTGTCTGATTTTATTTTCATTTATCTTTGCTTTTCTTATGGAGGTCATTAATTTCACACTTGTGGAAAAAAAATCACTATAGTATATAGATGGGTATTTATCTTACTGTGAAAGAAAATGTATACAGTTAAATAGAGAAGGGATGTTATCAACCTGTGATATGTGATATGTGATACTGCCCAGAGATTGTTTGAACTGATTCTTTTTTTGTTCTGCAAGAGCCAATGTCGACCTACATTTCCCTCAGAAAAGCGTTTTGTTGCATAGAAAAAGGACAAAATCTCAGAAAAACATATACAATTTGCAATTGAGAAAGAATATTTTAAAGTGCCCTTAGTAAACTTTTCAGATTATTAGAGTTAATTCTTTTGAAAAAGACTTGAATTGTAATTTGAAAATGGAGTCATGAAAATAGTATAGAAGGAATCCGAAATTTGCAGCATGGTGTGGCTAAAGAGTAACAAGTCCTAGTGCTCAACAACAGTCGTGTCTGTGAGAATCCTTAGGTTTTGTTATGATTAGCTGTTTCTAAATTTATGACTAATGTATTTTTGACAACATATAATTTTATCAGCTTCTGATAGCTCAGGTTTGATCCATGAAATTAACAACTGACTATTGATGATTCAAGATGATTGAAGTACATATGTATAAATGTTGTGATGGGTGAGTGGGAAGGACCAGGGGTGAGATAAACATATTCTTTAAAGGAATAAAACATTCAAATCTTTCTTTTGCTGAAGCAAATAACAAAACCCTACTTAAGTTTTTATTTGTCTAGTCACCACAGTCTTCATGAGCACTGCAAGCTTTCAGATAGTTTCCAAATGAGGCTCAGATGTTGAACTGCCAAAGTAACTTACCTGTTTACTTAACAAAAATCATACTAAGCAGCTGTCATGTCTGCCAGTATGTTTCTCGTTTTCTTAACAATAAGGAGGGTTTATGGCTTCCAACACCAGAGCCTAAGCCACTGCCTCACACGTCAGGGCCCCTTTCTGGCTTTTAACTGAGGACTCTGATTCCATGAATATAATGGTGCTCTGTGATGACAGCAAGGACGACATGAATGAGCTTTTAAAGTTCTGCATAGTGGCATCAGTCATCATAGACAGGCGAAGAAAATCCTTTCAGGACAGCTCTAAGCATATGGAAATGGTAAAAGTGTACATCTTGGCTGATTGCTAATTGTGACATTCCTATCATTAATTGAATGAACTAAAATAATTGGAAGAAGAAAATTACTTGACTTAATGGGATAAAAGGAAATCTCACCTTTTGGGATCTACAATTTTGTAGAGTTTTCCATTGTGAGTCTGGGTCATACTTTTACTGCTTGATAAAATGTAAACTTCACCTGTTAAAGAAAGAAATAACAATAAGCAAATTTATAGCAGTAGAGGTCCTTACTTCCTATTGCCTGGCAGTTATTCTATATGTCAATCTATCTCCATCTATCCACAAGAAAATCACTTGCCTAAAGATTATGCAAGAGTCTCACATGTCTGCCTTTACAGTGCATCCAGAATTCCAGATTCCAGTCACTCCTTTCCATATCCCACTACTACTCCAGTGCAAGCAGATATTATTTCTCATCTAGATTATGGCAACAGCTGTCTAACTGAGCTCCCTGTTGCCACTCTTGTTCTTCTGTGTGTATTCTCAACGTACCAGCCACAGTGATTCTTTTCAAAGGAGTTAGATCATGTACGTTGGATCACACTCCTTTGTTTCAATGCCCTGCAATAGCTTCTTATCTCATCCAGAGCAAAAGCAAGTCCTGACAGTAGCACTTACTGCTATAACCTCATCTGCAACATTTTGCCCTCTTGTTCACTCTTCTCTAGCCTCACCGGCTTGTGATTTCACACAGGAGAGGCAAGTTCCCAGCTCAGGCTTCTGTCTCAAGTTCTTGCTGTTCCAGGCCCCTATTACAGGCTCCATCTTCCTGTGAGTCTCCACTAGGTTCATTTTTTCCCCCCTTCTTCAAGGCTGTACTTAAATATCACCTTTCCTGACTGCACTTTAAAATCGCACCTTCCCCAACTCCCAACAAATTCCTCTTCACTACTAGATTTTTCTTCAAAGCATTTATTACCAATTTATGTACCGTATTTTTTAAAAATTTATTTTGATTTTCCTCCTCCTGTACAATATAAATTTCATGACACTAGTTTAGACTTTTGTCTCTTTATCCACTGCTGCATCCCCAGCATCCAGAACAGAGCTTTGCACAGAGAAGGTGCTCAATAAATATTTGTAGAATGGATATTGAATGGACAAATTTTATCTTGATTTATTTCTGTGCAAGATTGATACATGTCAGTTATCAAGTTGTTACCGTTAATTGCTAATTTGAGGCCACATGAAATTGGGTTGTGCCTTCTTTAGCTTTTTAGAAGACATGAAAGTACATCAAAATATGTTAAAATAAACACTGGGGGAGAGGGGAGAGAAGGATTGAGAGAGAGAGAGAGAGAAAGAGAGAGAGAGAGACCTTGATGCTCAGTCTCAACTCTCTAAACTCTAACTCTTGATGCTAGCTGTGTTCATAATGATGAAATACAACAGATGGGGTACTCTTTTAGGAGAAAACCACCCCGTTTATCACCACTACTTCCATATAATTCTATGTGTTGAATTGATCATGTGAATAGAAAATTTGAAGCCATATTTATAATTACACATTTATAAAGTTTTAAAATTTATATTTGGTCCTCCCCCATGAAAAATCCTTTAGTCTATATTTCTCTTATTATTGTGCATTAAACACACCCTGCTACTTTTCTACTTCTGAAAAGGATTTACACAGTTTGTACTAAAAACGTAGGCACAACAGAAAAAATAAAAATGAAAGTACAAAGCAATGTAAGCAAAAGAATTAATATTATTTTGTCAAGTATTTTATAGTTTACTTCATTTAATCCTCACAACAAATCCATCCTGACTTTATAGTTAAAAAAATAATATGCAAAGTCCCAGACTCTCAATACTTTTATTTCAAAAGGTGCAAAAACTTACTCATTTTCTTATATGGTTCTTCAATTAAAGCTAGCGAGTTTCACATTAAAATGTAATCCAGTGAAACTGTATTTATTTTAATTATGAGGTATATACAGGGTTGTAGCTTTTGGAGAGTCAGGATTATATATCTTTATTTTTTAGTTCTGCTTCTAAATAGTATTAGGTGTACACAGACATTTGGGATATTTTACCTAATGGTGGTGACGTTAACATAATGAGTGATGATGAATCATTTGTAGCAAGGTCTGGGAAAATCAGAATTATTCAGTCACAACATTTAAACATTCATCTCTAACTCAGACACAAACCATTCTTTTACTTTTTTTTTTTTTTTTTTTTTTTTTTTTTTTTTTCTTTTGAGACGGAGTTTTGCTCATGTTGCCCAGGCTGGAGTGCAATGGTGCGATCTTGGCTCACTGCAACCTCCGCCTCCAGGGTTCAAGTGATTCTCCTGCCTCAGCCTCCCAAGTAACTGTGATTACAGGGGCCTGCCAGTATACCCGGCTAATTTTTTGTAGTTTTTGTAGAGACAGAGCTTCACCATGTTGGCCAGGCTGGTCTTGAATTCCCAATGTCAGACGATCCACCTGCCTTGGCCTCCCAAATTGCTGGGATTACAGGCGTGAGCCACCATGCCCATCCTCATTCTTTTAAATTTGAAATCATTGTTTGCCAGTGAAATTAAAATTATATTACAGAGGATGTAAGTTAGGGGAAGTATCTTTCTGGTTCCTTTGAGTGCGGTAGGGGAATGTTAAGGAAAAATTTTAAATTGCTTTCAGTGCTGGAACAAGCAAAGAATAGACTGGATTCTCTTCTTTGAATTGTTATATTCCTGTGGCTCTGAAACTTATCTTATGTGTTTCAACAGTCTTGTCTGAGTCCCTTATTATTCTAAGTAAAGGGCATGAAACTATTTCTGATGAAGTCTCCATTTGATGTAAAAAAAACCAAATCTGAAGTTTTAGAGAAAATATTCTGATTAACATGGGAAACATACATTCTTCTTTATGCCTAGAAATTTATCTCTGAGGCTAAAGGAGCATAATAGTTAAGGTTTGTTTGAATATTATTTTTTAAAGGGAGTCACTATGAAACTACATTGATCTCTGTAATTTAAATTAGTAGAGAATAAAATTTTTACTCACTGATCATATTTCAATTTCAACTTCTTTTTTGCTTTTTAAGCTGCATACATTTTGGTAAACATGCCAAGAAGTATATTATATGTTATACCATAGATTGTCCCATGAGAACATAATTTCTATTCTATTGGAAAGAAGATCTGCACTCAGATCATCTTGCTCAAATTTCGTGCCCCAATGGGCAAAAAGAAAAAAGAAAAAAGAAATAGCGGGTAAGGCAAGTTTCAGATTCCAACAAAACTTTTTTATTTATTCCAAGAGACATGGATACATGGAAAGGTTTTTAGATAGAGAATATACACAAACTACTCAGATGTATAATCAAAAATATCATTAAACATTTAAAAAATTATCTCTTCAGGACTAAAAAATTCTTTTCCTGCCTCCCATTTTTCTGCCTTATATTTTGGTATTTCTAGTGTGAAAATAAAATATAAAGGCTCTCAGGGAAAAGTTACTGGTAGAGAATATGTAACTGGACTATCTTAATCTCTGGAGTAGGTCATCTTTGCTGTGGATTACATTTCCAACAAGTAGAGGATAAGATTGCTGTATTTATTCTTCAGGGCAGAACAAAGCCTCTTGAAAAAGGAAGTGAGAATGAAACTTAACAGAACTAGATTGTACAGTACCTAGTTCATCTTCTCCAAATCCCAAGATGTGACCGGAAAAGTAGCCTCTACAGGACCCACTAGTGCCGAGACAGAGTGGTTTTTCTTGCCACTGCTTTGTCACAGGACTTTGCTGGAGAGTTAGGAAATTCCTACAACAGAAACATACCATAAAGCTACAATGAATACACACTTTTGTTTATTGATGACAATAAGATGTTTAAAATAAAATTCATAACAAACAATTGCTTTGCCATAGACCTGGCTTCTAAAGGGAAAAATAACATAGCCCATAACGTGTGTGAGTACTGTGAAATTCCCATATGCGGAGAAAGTACTTAAAGATAGTATTTTGTTTGGAGGGGGCACTAAAAGTACCTGAGTATGAGAAAAGCCCTCCCCTTCATCCAGAGAATGATACTTCCTCGCCAGGACTAGAATCCATGCTGTGCTATTAATCAGAGAGAGGAACAGGGGAAGAGCATGGGGTCAGTACATTTTTCTAGTTCCTTGTAGCGACCAAGAGTATCAGCTCTGCCATATGCCTGAATGCCAGTGACTTGGAAAACAAGATTCTTAATTTGGATTTCGTCACAGAGTTTCTTACAATTATCCACAATGTGACCTTGAAAATTGAGACTAAAATTTAATTTTGTATTATTCCTACTTATAGAGACAAATTATATTATCTCGCTTAAAGTCCTGAAAATTTGGCAAAACCAAAAATCTTGAGCCTTGCAATATAATTTTTAAAATATTTATACAGCAAGTAAAACAATAGTTTTCAAATTATTTATTGTCATGGTAAATTTATGTTGAGGATGAAGGGAAGAGCCTAAATAATATGAAAAGTCCATCTGAAGACTTCTGTGCCCTTAAAAATTATTTTATGAAATTTATCAAGCCTGTTGAGAGAGCATCTTTTTGGAAGTTCTTCAATTAAACCACTATATCTATGGAACTAAAAGTAAATAATATTTATGTGTATTCCCCATCTGATGCACAAAAAGAGACAATCATTTGAATATTTTGTGGCAGTTTGCCAAATGATTAATGGATATGTCATTTGGTATATCATACTGTTGTGGTATCAGGAAACCTACCCATTACGATCTCCAAACACGTAGCTTCCATACAATCTTTCTGACTGGCAGCCCCGGTATACAAATCCACCAACCAAAGGACCATTACTGAATGGCTTGAATTCTAAAAGTGATGGCTCACTTTCTGGAAAGAAACATAGCATTAGATCAAATGAAACATATTTTCATAAAGTAAAAGGAATGTACACCAAACAACAATTACTATAGTAATTTAACTCTGAAATGTGTTCTATGATACACCAAAGGGTTTCTTGCTAGAGCTATTTAATGAAAACAGTCTTTGCTAAATAGTATCAACATTAAAGGACATCCATGTACAGCTTAATGAAATCAGAATGCTCCGCAAACGCTTGCTGTTGTTGAATTTGCAAGACATACCAAGTTTTCAATGAAATTAGAATCTGGATATTTTGGGACTCATGATTATTTACTTTGAACCAAAATACTTAAAAAAAAAACATTTAAGGCTTTACATACTAAGTTTTGTGTAGAAATGCTTCTGCATATATTGAGTAAATTGAGACAGAGCTCTGTCAAAATATGTAAAATGTTTAAAAGCC
Source organism: Homo sapiens (assembly GCF_000001405.40). NCBI lineage: Eukaryota > Metazoa > Chordata > Mammalia > Primates > Hominidae > Homo > Homo sapiens. The sequence continues at coordinate 144,713,788 of NC_000004.12, read as the reverse complement.
TACACTTTAATGAAAATAAAAACATAGTACATAAAAGGTCTTTAAACATGCATTTATTCTATATGTGAAAATGTTGTAACTTAGTCAAGTAATATCTTCATTTAAAATATTTTAATGTTCTGTTTATAGAGTTGTGTGGATAACAAAGTCTATTTCAATAACTCCTGATTACATGTGTATAGTCTTGTGTCTCTATCTTTCTGTGCAGGCCATTACATACTTGGATATCTGCATGCTAATTGTAATGGAAAAGCTCTAAAGCTACTTGCAAATTAATCTGAAAATTACCTTTTATGTATTTAAGATCAAATAAGTCATTATCAACAGATTTTATCAAAAGCTTTTGTGAAAAGATAGTAATTTTTAACGACCTCTTACCCTCCCATGTGATTATGGTGTATATGAGACTACAAAAAAGTAGAAAAGATAAGAGAAATTTTAAATAATGAGCACACTGAGAGGTAGCATAATTGAATAATTAAGGTCACAAACTCTGGAGTTAGGCTGGTCAGATTCAAATCCAGACTCTGCCACTTTGTGTTGTGTGACAATTAATCTTTCTGTGCCTCAGTTTCCTCATTTGTACAATGTGGCCAATGATAGTGCCTATCACATAGAGTTGTTCTGTAAAGGAAATGAGTATAAAGTGCTTACTACAGGGTCTGGCATGTAGTAAGCACTGTAGATGTGTTTTAAAATAAATAAATGTAGTGCTGTTAATATTGTAACCAATTTTAGCTTAACCTCAATTAATGTGACTGTAGAATTTTGTTTAATCTACAAATGTAGCCAAAATTCCATCGAGCTAGTGACTCATTAGTTTTTTTTTTTTTTTCCAAATCACATTACTCTTTGGTTTGGCTTTTAAAAGATGCGCGTGCACACACACACACACACACACACCTGAAAAAAAAGTAAAATAACTGAATACCACATGAACTAACACAGCTGCTTCATTCCTGGTGTTAAATAAATATCTGTATTGAATGAGTAAATAGAAAAAGCAATCAATTTAATAATCTTAATCTACTGTGTTTCCTGAATCATAATAATGGTTGATATATTGCTTCCTTCAAAAGGAATAAATACTAAAATATTAAAAAATACTAAGTGTTTTGAACTTTATTATTATCCAACTTTATATTTTTACATGTTCTCTCTAAATATTCAAGTAATCATGTTATTAAAAATACTGCTTAAATGTCCCATTCCCATGACTTGTTTTTCAAGTTGATTACTTTGTTTTCTCTAAGATAAACATTTTTTAAAAAATTACATTCTTATTTGAATCACTTACAATTTTCCTAACTGCTGAGACAGGCATGTTGGATATTGAGAAATGTCTTACTTTTAACACTTGTTTTTTCTCTGTATATAAGATGTTAAGACAAGCTGCTCTCCCCTACTGAATAGAACTTATTCATCTTGATTCTCTGATGAACAAAATATAAGCTGCTAACTTTTGAAGGACGGTTAAATTTTTTGGACCTACTGAGAACCTTTCAATCCATGGTAATTAACCAGATGGAACCCTCAGGGCTTGTAAGAGTCACTGGAGCTTTAAAAAGTGAGCAATTTACTCCTGCATGATTGTTAGGCCAGTGTTTTTATGCTTTCCCAAATGCTCATTTTTCAGAAATCCCTTTCTCTTCAATTACTAAATATACTAAGACAAAACTTGAACTAAAGCAAAATCAGCAAATTATGCTCTACATACCATAATCTTTCCCCTTTATTATCTGTAGAATTCTGGCTGATGATCTGTTTTTTCCATTGGAGTCTGAACACAGTATCGTTAAATTGATGTTTATATCAGTGGGATGTCTATCCACAGCACATCTGCATAACAAGAGGGGATACACATTAATTCCTACCGTGATCTTTTCCAAGCTCAGACTGGAGATTCCTGACATAGGAAGGAGCCCTTTGTGGACTGGCAAGGATCCTATGGCAATTTAGTTTGGATCTTCTAGAAAGCACTGAAGGAAGTAGTCCGATGTGTTTGCTTACTTGGTTGAAGCTTAATCTCTGGAATATATTTCTTAATTTCTCTTATGATTTATAATTTCTTATGTTATAAATATGCACACTGTCTTAAAACAATTGTTAGTCTGTTCTTAAGGAATATCACATGTATAATACACTGGTAAAGTATTGTGAATAAGAATCGGTGTCACCATCCAGGAACAGAAAACCAAACACCGCCTGTTCTTACTCATAAGTGGGAGTTGAACAATGAGAACACATGGACACAGGGAGGGAAACATCACACACTGGGGCCTGTTGGGGGGCGGGGTGCAGGGGGACGAAGAGCCTTAGGACAAATACCTAACGCATACGGGCTTAAAACCTAGATGACGGGTTGATAGGTGCAGCAAACTACCATGGCACATGTAAACCTATGTAAGAAACCTGCAAGTTCAGCACATGTATCCCAGAACTTAAGGTAAAATAACATAAAAAAAACAACAGTGTTACCATCAACTCATCTCTGTGCCACACAAAACAGTACTAGTTATAACATTAATTTTGGGTTTCTTACATGAAATTGCTGCATTCTAAAACTTAGGCTGCTCTAACACAGGAAAACATGTGCTTTAATTCCAGGAATATAGTAAAGCTGGTCCCTACAAATATCGAGGTCTTTTACGTTGACTCTGTTTTCATGTTTTCCATCCCTAATCTGGGGGCCAGAGTATCTCTGTGACTTAAGCCACTGACAGGAAGCTCCATAAGGGGAGGACTTGCAACTTCATCACTATCTTCCTGTTATCTGGTTCAAAGCCAGGAATATAAGAGGGGTTCAAGGTTTGTGGAATGTTTCAATCACTGAGGGACTGGGTATGAGGAGCTTGGGTTGGGGGAAGAATGAAGTTATATAATACAATTTTGGAAGTTATCAAAAGTGTGGAAAACAGGCTTGCATTGTTTTTAGGTTTCTCTATCTTGGCACTGCTGACATTTTGGGCCAGGTAATTTTTTGTCTGGGGAGGCTGTGCTGCCAACTGTAGGGTGTTTAGCAGCATCTCTGGCCTCTACAGGCAAAATGCCAGTAGCATCACTCCCTCACCCCCATCACACTCTAATTGTGAAAACCAAAAATGTTCCCAGACATAGCCAAATGTCCCCTGGGGGTAAAATTATCCCATTGAGAATCACTGTTCTAGGCCAACAAAATATATTAATTACTTAAAAACAAAATGAAACCATTGGAGCTAATAAAGAAATTTAAAAAATAAAATAAAAAATTGAGAGTTGGTGCTGGTTCTTAAGAGACGTAAGAGTCATGTAGAAATTATAAAAGAACAAACAAAAAACAAAACATAAACTCTTGGCTCCCAATGATCTCATTCATGATAGGGAAACCATAAGCGTGACCTGCCAAAGATGGGTTAGTTGTTCTGTGGCAACAGTCCCTTTATTGTCCTCTCTAGTTCAATGATTCACAGAAGACAATGCCTGGCAGGGATCATGATACAGTCATGCTGTGACTTAAGGTGGAACTAAATCCATAGTGGAGAGAACATTTTCCTCTATTACCTTTCTTTGAAGATAGAGAAACTATGAGAAAAAGAGGTTTGACTTGTTTCCAACAAGAAACAGCAAATCTGGAAAGCAGGCCAGGTAGAGTTGCTGGGGGCTTGGAGCTATGGCTCTGGCTGAATACCAGGTCCACTAAGAACTGCTTGACCCTTGTAACCTTCAGTTTCTCATGTGAAAAAGGGCCCTGCCAGTGAAACTCTCTGGGTGATACTATAATGGTGGATACATGTCATTATCCATTTGTCTAAACCTACAGAATTCACAACACCAAGAGTGAACCCTAATGTAAACCATGGGCTCTGGGTGATTATGACGTGTCAATGTCAGTTCATCAACTATAACAAATGTTTCTCTATGGGGGATGATCATAATGCGAGAGACTATGCATGTGTGGAGGTACGGGTAATATAAAAATGTCTATACCTTTTTCTCAATTTTGCTGTGCATCTATCACTGTCCTTTAACTAGTCTATTAATAAAAGGGGAGTGGGAGAAGTGGGGCTGATGGTGAGCCTTGCTGAGAAGCAGAGAGGAGATAAAGTACACAAGATACTTAGTTCAGCACCCCACAGCAAGTGCTTAATAAAAGTTCCCTTTATTTTTAGCCAATAATTAATTTAGTTTTCTTTCTGCTTTATTAAATCGTCTTCTGCTTAGAATACTTTTGGAGGGAGGTGGAATATAAACACCAACTTTTCCTTCAGCCCTCTGCCACCAGAGGTGGGGAGGCTCCGCAGCACAGGCATCTTGCCACACATCTGGTCTGTAAAGCACCTCATCCCATGTTTTTGCATTGAGGTTCAGGACCCCCAGGAAGGTTGTGAGAAAGCTCCAGCGGGATTGTGGTGACTCAGGCTGCCTGACTTCAAAGTGTTGCTTTGTGGTGGTATCTGTGAGTTCTGAGCTCTAGGAATGGAATGTGACAGTTTCCTCCACATCCTGAACCCACCTTAAGTATTCCCTGTCTCACAGATTTTAAGATCTGCTGAGATGCCAAAAAGGAAATGAACTGTAGACTTGGGTTTGATGGAGGAGAGATGAAGGGCATGAGGGATTATAAAAATAAAAAGTTTGAGAAATATTCACCTTGCACATAGTGAACACTCAATAAACATTAAATGGTAATAATAACCTACTTAGTGAATAAATGGATGTGGCCAGATATCCCTGAGTATGAATAATAGACCATAGACTGGATGAAGCTTTCGTTACTGAAATTGCTGTATTATACTTCATAGCATTTTTACAAAATGTACCCCAAATTTCCCACCCTACATACTTTTTAGTTTTCCTTTGTTTTGGTTCATGGTAGTACCAACAGTTAATATGGAGTCCTTTAGTATTTGCAATGTTTTCAAAGTGAAATAAAAGTTAATATTTAGCTCAACTCCTTGCAAATTAACACTGCAGCATCATATTTAAGTGAAGCTATGATAACAAGAATTGCAATTCATTTAAAACCTACCAGGAGTCAGACACACTATTTGGTACTTTACTTACAGATTTTTATTTAATCATAGCAAGGCAGTTATTATCACCGCCATGTAATATATAAAGAACTTAAGACTTAGTGGGATTTAAGGAGACAAATCAAAAAGTTGATCTCTCTAAACTGTTCAGATTAAAGTCTTGGTCATTATACTAGTCCAATAGTGTTTATCTGATAATAACCTCTCCACATTTTAAGGTGAAATTTTCTCCATGAATTTGTCCTTTTCGTTGTCTAATCTGCCTTCTCAATCTGCTTCTCACAGTAATAGAAGACAGTGTGCTAAATACTCACTTGAGTAATGACCTGTTGTGACTTTAGAGGCATGGCCTTAGATACTACCTTTGGCTGCTCTGTGATGGTATATGCTCTATGCTATATTTTCCCAGTTCTCGGATCCCCGCCTGGCTTAAAAGCCAGTGAGAAGACAGACTTGTGTTCTCACCTGCCTGGATCGTGGAGCCCATGAGCAAACACTTCGGGGGGCTGGTTGGTGCTGTTGAAGTGTGGGTTGCTCCTTGGTATGGAATAAGGCACGTTGCACATGTCTGTGTCCACATCCAGCCGTAGCACTGAGCCTGTGAAATCACTGAGAAATTGGGGGACAGAGTATGTGTTTTACATTTTCATTATATATTTCACCTATATTAAATATGGTGAGGTTGCTCTATTGATGAAAAAATCATCCCCTTAGTTGAAATAAAATATTAAAGTGGCTGGATGCAGTGGCTCACGTCTGTAATCCCAGCACTTTGGGAAGCCAAGGTGAGAGGATTGTTTAATGCCAAGAGTTCAAGGCCAGCCTGGCAACATAGCGAGACTCCATCTCTACAAAAAATTTTAAAATGAGCCAGATGTGGTGGCATGCGGCCAGGCGGATCTCTTGAGCCCAGGGGTTTGAAGCCACAGTGAGCCATAATGGTGCTGCTACATGCTGGCCTGAGCAATAGAGTGAGACCTTGTCTGAATAAATAAAGGAATAATTAAATAAAATAAATTCCTTATTGTGGAAAATGAAACTGGGCCGTTCCAGACAAGCAACTGAACCAAGACACTGTGTGATGGTGGCTGAGGACTGTGGCATCAGTAGTACACTGCTTTTTTTTTTTTGCCTCTGTTCTCTTAATTTTTGTCAGCCTAAACCTATGTATTCTATATCTCCCAGGAAGGTTCGCTGGGCGGTGTTAGCCTATTACACAGTGTTGAGAGGCAGTATGGTTGTACAGGGCCACTGCTTCTCAGTGCTTTGTGGAGCAGAGGCAGCCCTGGAACAGAGAACTACACAACAGTAACTCTTTTCATGACAAACAAAAGATCACGTAGCATATTAGTGAATTCCTCTTCATTTCATAAATGCAGACACTGATGACAAAAGTTAAGTATTTAACCAAGGTGACCATTCAAAGATGGTTCTTAATTCACTGGTGCCCACCTTTTCTTCTGGCACTTAAACTATTTTAACCTTGAGAGGAACCCATCTGTGATCAGCCTTTTACCTTAACCCATCCATTTCTTCCATATCATCCAGTGTAATCATCCCATCACCAAGAATGATGTACAAAAAGCCGTCAGGGCCAAAGAGCAGTTGTCCTCCCAGATGCTTTCTGTGGAGTTCTGCAACTTCAAGAAAGACTCTGGCTGTTCTCAAATCAACTTGGTGTGGATTTTTTCTACATTGTGGGAAGAAAACAATACCATGACTGTTAAAAGATTTAAGATGAGTCCATCAGAAAGTGAATAGTATATAAATGAAAAAACAAACTCCTGGCACATAGTAAATAAGGAAACATATATTTGAAATGGAGCTAACAGAAATTGCTGGAAAATCACATTATTTTCCAAGTTTCAGAGGTAGCCTTTAAGTTGAGAGATAATTGAGGAAAAATGTCAAAACCATTGTTGTTCTCCATTTCTCTTAAAGACACATATGGAGTTTTCAGCAAGATGGAGGTAATGATTTAATTATTGCCACCTTATGGTTACTTATTTGCAACTTCTAAATAAAAAAACTTATGAAAAGATGATGAGAAAATAAGATGAGAAATTTCTATGCTTCGATGCCTTTTAGTGATACCTGGATACTGTGTATTCCACAACCCTAAGAATGTGGTCATGAGGCCCGATAGCCCACCGTTCTTGGTTGGTGGTATAGGACACATACAACTTTCCATTTTTCTTGTAATTGGGATGGAATGCGAGGCTTAGCAGTCCTCTTTCATCTCCTCCCTGCAGTCAAATGAAAAACACAAAGAATTGTAAAGTTAATTATGTTCTTTATTGTGTTTCAACTGGAACCCCAAAAGAGTCTCTTTCTTTCTTTTGGATAATCTTTGCCCAACCTCCTTTCTTTTCTTCCTTGCCTACTGCACAAAAAAGGATTATAAAACATTTCACTTTGTGGAACTCTTTAAGGGTTAGAACAAGACAATTGTCTTGTGTGGTTATCTATGTACAAGAGTCTTACACCACTTTTGTCAAGTGATTTGTGTATGTAATCTTGGGCCGCTAGGAGGACAAGTTTAAGTGCTGTGAAGAATTCTTTCCCGGGTTACTAGGTTGCTTGTAGTTCATAGAAGACAAATAAAAAGGTTCATAATCAACAGTCACTTCTAATCCAAGTCTCCAAAACCTAAAACACAGTGTGGGCTGCCAACTCCCACTGTCTTGGCAATATGTTTAGAAAACAGTTAAATTGCTTGTGTAATATGTAAACCTTTGCTTTACCCTGGAGGCATCTACATCAGTTGTCACAACGATGGTGGTCTGTTCATCATAGCTAGGTAATAGGCAGCCTTGCCTATCTATCTAGAAATGAGGCAGTTTTACATGAATCCCTTCGCTGCATAGGGTTTTTCTTTACAGAAGGATGAAGCAGCCAGAGGATGCCTAAAGGCCACGGCTGGGGAAGGAGTGGGAGAAATGCTAGAGGGGAAAGGGGACACTAGGAAATTAAAGCAAAATCCCAAACAACTTTCTTGTGTTATTATATGAATGTCAAGGATTGTATACATTAGGCATGCCAAATGCTATAACAATTAAAACATCTTCATGTTCTTAAATAGAAAGGCATTTTATCTTCATTTTCTGCTAATTCAACTTGTTGAAATTCAATATGGTCTTAGCCTTTGTTTTATCCCACAAATAGTCTAGGAATTTCTATAATGAAATCAAAGTATCTAAAATTATCTAGATCAGAGCCTTAAAGTTCACATACTAGTAAAGCCAGGAAGCACTTTCTCGGAGAAAAACATGGCATAGAAATTGAACGCTGCAACTGCTGATGGCACATCACCTTATTTATTCCATTAAACATCACGACATAGCGTATGGCAAAAAGCTATGAGAAGTTATTCCTTCTCAAGTGTTAGCAGAGAAAAAAAAATCTCTAATACTGCAACCTCTTCACAAGGTCATGTTCAGTCATGGAAGCACTCTCATGTTTTTGTCCCCCACACAATAGTATATGTTACTAGCAAAGCATAGAACTGTTTGTAGTTCTTATTTTACATGGAGTTCAGAATTGAAAGGTTTAGGCAGAAAAGTTTACTTTTAATAAACATCGATTTGTTTCCTGGCTTAGAGAAAACTGTTTTTAGGTATAGATCACCCAAAGTAGAATATCCAAACTTTCAGAACATACAAATATTAAAATGGCTGCAAATACACAGAACGACCAAGTCATTATTTAAATGTCAAAAAGTCAACTTTCCTCCACATCACAATATGCATAATTTTAATTTTAATCATAAAGGTAAAACTCTAATGACCGATATATGAATGACTCTCTGTTTTTCAGATTATCTTGTTCTGGTGATTTTAATATTGACTCGATGGTGCTGTTTTTCTGCTTAAATCTTCATTAAATAAAAATCTTTTGGCTTTCTTCTGAGACACTGGAAGCTAGGATATGTAAGTACAATTTGACTGTAGAGAAGCCACTGCACATTTGAACCTCCTTGACGGATTGTCTAACGAGGCCCGAGGGTGGGATTTCGTTTGTGATTAATTCCTCCCTCAAATATATTTCCCCCTAAAGCTGTGAGTGCAGGTTAAGTACTGCATGCCTGCTTCACAAATGTTTGTGTTCCACCATAAGCAGCTTTTGTTGAAAGTAGTTCTTTGTAGTTTTTAATCAAATCATCAGAAATACAATTTGAATTGGATAGCAACATGCTTCAGAACTGTGCTGGTTGCTTCTCAGGAATTAAGAATGTAGAATTAAGGCACTGTAGAAAGACAGATGGGAAAAGAGATTTAAACAAATCCACAAGTGATAGAAGACAATTGTTCACTTTAGAGATACCATCTATCACATAAATGACTTTGGGGGCATTTTTGACATTTACTAAAGTGCCAAATATGGAAACAGAATGAGACATGTGAATGACAGAGAAATAAATCAAAAAAGCAATTTAAAAAAAGTCAGTAATTCTGACATTTTCAGGTAATAGGATTTACAATTGATTAATCATTACATATGATCTCATTTTTGGGTCAACTTCCAGGTGCAAAGTAGTTTAGAAATTTGACTACTCTTAAGTCATTTCAGAGAAATACTCACTTTCATAACTACACTGATGAAAACAATTTAATGTATTATATAAATATCCTAGATTTTCTTGAATCTAGATTTTAAAATTATATAACAGGATTCCTAAATATTCAGAAATTAGAAAGGACAGATAGATATACTCCTGGTGTGCCACAGTGTGCCAGGAGATTAATGTATTGAGAGCTCACATTTCACTTGAATTAGACTTCAGAATTATGTTGTCTACTTAATTAAAATATATTACTGACAAATTATGATTTAACTCTCAAATGCAAACCTATCTCTAAGGTCTGGGTCATTTTTCAAGGTCTTATGAAGAAATATGTTGATTGGGCACTGAAGGGTTAATTTTAGACCAGGGTCAGTTAGAGGCCACACCATCAGAAACACCACCAGATATTTAAGGTTGCTTCAGCTGTAGTCTTCACCAGGACACCGTCCTAGCCCGAGAGCCTGGACGTTGGTGCCTGGAGCCGGGACTGGCCAGCAGACCAGACCTCCCAGCCTCCTGTACTTCCTTCTATTATCTTAGTCCCCTTTGTCCCAGCTCTGACTGTGTGTGTTCAAAGCCCCATTCTGTTGGTCTGATCCCCTAGCCCAAAGACTCCCTTCTCTTCACTCTATTTCCAAATCCGATAACCCAGCTTTAGAGGCTCAGTAGAAAAAAACAAAGCCCTGGTGCCAATGTTACTAACTGCTCTCCTTCTAACCCCTTCTCATCCTACCCCTTCATTATGTGTGGTTTTATGGCTCAGAGAATATGGAATCAAAATCATACACTCCTTCCAGAAATGTCAATTATTGAACTGAGTCTAGGGAGCATCTGGGGAGTTTTTATTTTATTCTTGAGCTTCTAGTGATTAGTTGAGCCAAGCTGGCTAAAAAGGGAGAAAAACATATTAATAGAATGGCAAATGGAAGAGTCGTGATTCAGGCAGTCTTGCCTTTCAAAAAGACACTGATTTCTAACATTATCCCTTTTTTTTTTTTGAGATGGAGTTTCATTCTTTTTGCCCAGGCTGGAGTGCAGTGGCGCAATCTCGGCTCACTGCAATCTCCGTCTCCTGGGTTCAAGTGATTCTCCTGCCTCAGCCTCCCGGGTACTTGGGATTACAGGCACTTGCACCATGCCCAGCTAATTTTGAATTTTAGCAGAGACAGGGTTTCACCATGTTGGCCAGGCTGGTCTTGAACTCCTGACCTCAGGTGATCCGCCCTCCTCGGCCTCCCAAAGTGCTGGGATTACAGGCGTGAGCCACTGTGCCTAGCCCTAACATTATACTTTTAAAAACTGTTAACCAATGTCCAAAATGTTTATTCTTACCCATGTGAAAAGCAGTGATTTGTCTAAATATTCACATTATAATTGTACTTCATTATTAGCACTGAGCACTTTGTATATTGTGCTTCTGGGAATGCACAGACAGCATTGCTAGAACCAAACTGAAAGCTAAAAGGGCAACAAGTAATTTACAAACAAGAATTTAGGATTTCCTCAGTTTGGTAATGCTTTAAAAAAAAAAAAACAACTTACTGACTTGAACCTCATCCAAGCTTCATAGGCTGCCACAAGACCCCCTCTTCCCCTTTGCTCAGCTCTTCAATGCTACATCAACTTCTGGACAGCCCTACTGGACAGCAAGCACAAATGACTGCTCAAATTTGGAGTGTTGAATGATTTGAAAATAATGTTCCCGCAATTTGGAACCTGTAGACTAAGTTGTTTCAGAGGAAATAATAAAACCCTCTTCAGGCGCTTTTAATAAGTGTTTAACTATCTGCCATTCTAGTTATCAGTCAGCTCTTAAAAGCAATTTCACAGGGTCCACAGAAAATAGACAACCCCAAAATGAAGAGTACTGATACTTTAATGTAAATACAAGATCAGACCTAGTGTTGCAGCTTTGGGATAAATTCTTCCCTGGTGAACAGATCCAAGTTCTAACCAATTAAGAATATTCCTCTTCTTTGAATAATTAAGTATCCATTTGAAAGAAGAGATAATCATAAAATGATTATAACAGAAAGTATTATTTTTTTCTTTTCTTTTTTTATACATGGTTTCACTCTATCACCCTGGCTGGAGTGCAGTGTCACAATCATGGCTCACTGCAGCCTTGAACTTCTGGGCTCAAGTGATCCTCTTGCCTTGGTTTCTGACAGTGTGGGTATTACAGGCATGAGCCACCACACTCAGCCCTATTTTTTCTTTTTTAACAGACATTATAGGACAACATCTTTCATTGTGACATTTAAAAGACAACATTCTCTTCATACTTTAATGTGGTTACAGTTAGTTTTTTTCTGGTTTCTGTTTTTGCTTTAAATTTGCCCTAATGTCCTTCAGGAAATACTGACTTGTACATTTTAGGAAACATAATTTTTCTTAGTGACCTTTTGGTAAGTGGCTGACTTCAAGTTCAGTCATCCACAACATGACCCTATGATATTATGAAAGCCATGAAACATAAACTAAATAATGTGACACTATGTTCAAGACATTAGTTGTTACTGCCAACTATTTCTTTTTTTAATTTTACACTTATTCCACAAATACTTATTGAATACCCATTATGTGTTGGATATAATGTGTTGGTGCTTAGGGATAAACAATCAATAAGAATAAATTCCTCCTCTCAATGAGTTTGTATATGGAAGCACATAACAAAGTATAGTTTTGAATTTTGAGTTGTTTCATTCCCATCATACTTGGAGATTTTTGAGGAGGATGAACAATGCTACACTGTTAGAAATGTGCATGGTCAAAAAACAAGTATTAAAGATAAGAAATAAATACTTTTGGTAACTTCTGACACAAAGATTAATTTATATATTGGCACCTGAGCTTTCTCCACTCTAAAACTTGCTAAAAAAAAAAAAAGAAAAAAACAGCTTAATTACATAAAAACTTACATGAAGAAGTAAGCGGAGTTTCTACAAACAGTAAGACCATCTGGTAATTTATTTTATGTACATGACACAAGCACACAGGTATGAATGAAGCTCTCTGGTAAAATTGTTGCTCTCTTAATGCTCAAGGAATTTTTAAGAATTAATATAAGAATAGAGTGGTGGTATTTTGAATTCCCTATAAGATATATACTTTTGCTATAAGGCAGGCTTTCACATTTCTTTTATTAACTGTCATTTTCTTGCCTATGTTTTGCTGATACACATCATGAAAGGAAAAAGAGGAAAAAGAGGACTTGGGACTAAAATGGGACCCTCTCATGCAAATCTATGCTTTCTCTTAGACTGGAACTATTTGCTGATCAGAAATGGCAAAACAGGTTTGTTTGAGAACTGTTAGTTCAAACACAGTACCAGATTGTATTCATTTTCTATTGCTGCTATGAAAATTTACCACAAACTTTGTGGCTTGAAATAACATAAATTTTTTATCTTAATTTGTAGATTAGAGTTCAACATGGGTCTCACAGGTTATAATAAATGTTGGCAGAGCTAAGTTTCTTTCTAGAGGTGCTAGAAGATAATCCATTTTCTTTCATTTTCCAATTATGGAAGCCATCTGCATTTCTCAGTTTGTGTCTTCTTTCTTCCATCTTCAAAGCCAGCAATGGTGGATTGAATCCTTCTCATATCACATCACTCTGACCTCCTTTGTCTTCCTCTTCCACTTTTAAGAACTTGTGATTACACTGAGCCCACCCAGATGATCCAGGATAATCTCCCTATGTGCTGTTTAGCAATCTTAATTCCATTGCAACCTTAATTCCCCTTTGCCATATAAGGTAACACATTCACAAGTTCTAGGGAAAGGACAAGGACATCATTTGGGGAGGGGCATTATTCTGCCTACCACATGAATATTTTAATCGGTTTCTGAAAAAGGATCCCAAGCATTTCTGACTTGTGTCTTCATGGCCATGCCCTCCTGTGAGCACTGAAAGAGGAGACCAGTGAAGTTCATATATAAGTTCACAAGGAGATACTTAAGGTACACTCTGTTACAACAAGCTCTTTCTCATAGCTGTCAGTATTGGAAGAATAACCAACATTCTTCAAAACGAAGTGAAACTATCCTTCAGAATTGAGCAGAAGGAGAGAGAAGACCATTTGATAAAATGTGGACATGTGAAACTTTCACGTATGAATTAAGTTCAGATCAAAACTCCCAAGTTAGTCAAACGAGATTCCAAGATACAGAGAAGGTAAAATTAAATATATATAAACCATTTCTACTAACTGGAGGACAATCTTTGCATTTTAAGTTGATTAAAACTGTGTTATTTTGCTGTGTGTATAAGCTGTGAAACACATTGCAGAGCACTGATTTCTTCACAACTCTTGGAAAAGATAAGAAGCATCGCTTTTCAATAGTTCCAAAAGTCTAAATTGGTCTCAGAACAGGAGTCAATCCCCTGAGGTCCCTGGGTTAACTTATGGGAAGGACTGCATGATTTGTTTCTGTGATATATTAAAAAAAAAAAAGTTTGTTCTTTGTCTCCAGTTCTTGGCACAAAGCCTCTAAAACTCTTGGAATTTCCTGAGTGATAGGAGTGCATTTTTTTTTCATTTGTAAGGAGCCGCTTTAATCACACCTGATTTTATACTACTAAGCTGACTTTGGTGGGCTTTTAGATAACTTCAAGATGGGGGCTTGCAGCCAGAGGAACCCACCATGTGATTAGAGAATTGGAACTTTCAGCCTACCCCACAACCCCAGGGAGCAAGAGAGGTTGGAGGTTGGGTTCAATCACCAATGGCCAGTAATTCAATCAATCATGTCTGTGTAATGAAACCTCCTTAAGACCCTAAACAATAGGGTTCACAGAGAGTGGCACACCCAGAGAGGGCAGGGGAGCTCTGTACAGCACCCCCTTCCAATATCTTGTTTTATGCCTCTCTTCCATTTGGCTGTTCCTGAGTCGTATCCTTCATAGTAAACCAGTAATAGTAAATAAAAGTGCTTTCCTGTGTTCTATGAGTCATTCTAGTGAATTACCAAGGCTGAAGGCGAATTATGAGAACCCCCAAATTTGTAGCCTGCTCGGCAGAAATGTGGTAGCATGGGCATCCCATTTGTGGTTGGTATTTGAAGTAGGAGCAGTCTTATGGGGCTGAGCCCTTAACCTGTGAGGTCTGAGCTAAGTCCAGATAGTTTCAGAATTGAATTGAACTAAATCAAATTGTTGGACGCACAATTGGTGTGGGAGGACTGGTGGGTGTGAGAGTAAACCTCTCATTTGGTGTCAGAAAATATCCCAGAAAGAACCTGAAAGGTTACTTAGCCCATTCTCTTTTCTAGGGAAATGGAGATCGTGATCAAGTCTATTTGAGAATACTTCTAATAATTTGGTAGTTTTCTTTTCGTTCATAAAATTCTTACTCTTGAACTTGACTTGTTTTTTCTACTAAACTTAAGTTTGGGAAAAGACATAAAATATCTTGTTTCATTTTGTAATCCACTCTTTTGGCTTTTCTGACCTGCACTATTCCCTGAGGATGAAACCAGCCACAATAAACGAAGGACGTATCAATTCTAATAGGAATTCTCCCTTTTCATTAAAATTTCCTCTACTTTTCCAGATTTGGTTTTCCTTTAAACTTAGTCCAATTAACGGAATGCTGATGCTCAACTTTTCTCTTCTCCTTAATCGTGTTTACTCACTGTTTCAGTCCTCCAAGAAGGTACAGTCATGAATAGCTTAACAATGGGGATACCTTCTGAGATGGTAGAGCCTACTACACATCTAGGCTATGTGGTATGGCCCGTTGCTCCTAGGCTGCAAAGCTGTGTAGCATGTTACTTTACTGACTATTGTAGGCAACTTAATACAATGGTCAGCATCTGTGCATGTAAACATAGAAAAGGTACTGTAAAAATATGGTGTTATAATCTTATGGGACCACCATTGTATATGTGGTCCGTTGTTGACTCAAATGTCTTTATGCAGTGCATAACTGCATATACAATTTTCAAATGCTGTTGGGACACAAGCTCATCTTCATCACACTCCATCACACCTGACAAAGAAATCTGTCCTGCTTCAGATAACATTGGAGAGCTGCTAGAAGATAACCAGCAATTCAGAATTTTAGGAAGTGTCTCATGGGGTATATAATCTCTGGTATGTAGCGATTGGTCCGTGTCAAATCTATGTTTAGGATTTTCAAGCATTTTATCTTTTGAAGGTAGCAGATGCAGACAAATTAGAAAAGTGCAAATGGAAGAATAAAAGAGATTCCACACGGAAATCATCTACCTGTAAGTCACAATAATTCTCTTTTCTACTCTCTTCAAAAAACAAAATAAATCAGTAATACTAGGTTTAAGTTACAGCCTACTCAGAGTGAGGATATTGGACGTATTGGAAGTGGCTATTTTCTAGAATTTCTAGTTTCATAGCTCCTTCTTATTCCATATATGAATGATCTTTTGACATTTCCATCTATGAGGAAAAATGTATATATACATACTCAGTTATATACTTATAACTATTAGAGTCACAATGTTATGTATATATGATTTATTTTATATAAAATTTATATTTGTCAAGTGGAATTTAATTTATTATGTTCATATTACTATTTCCTCCCCAGGCTTTTAAAGCATTTGAACTGTGGCATGTGATACATTACGGCATATTAGAGATTGGATTGACTTGTACCTTTTATCTTGCTCAGGCAGCAGTTGACAGCTGTGGAAACTTTAATATATGTGCCCAAGGAATCCAATATAATATCAGAGAATGACTTAAACACAAGGGACTATCTGGCTCAATACGCATCAGATGCTATAATATCTATTCCAAAGTTCCACTTTCTAAAATATCTTCTCAATGAGACAAAATGCTCTAATAAAATTAAACTGTGTGAAATATCTATTTGAAATAATAAAGTAATAAAACAATAAGCCTCCAAAAAGCATAAAAATCCCTTCTCAAAAGGAAAATCCTAGCAATAAACAATTTTTTAGAGAAAAAAATTATAGAAACATTGGTAACACTTGGAGAAAGCAAAGCTTTTATTCTGTGCACTGAGGCTAAATGAAAATAAATTAATGATGGTTTAACAAAACTATAAGAATATTCTTGGGAATAAAAATGAATAAAAATTACAATTAGAAAAAGCTTTGTAACCTCACAAAACTATTATGAACCATAGGCTTAAGACTTGTTGAACAAAAAATTTAAAAAAAATTCTAGACTGAACTGTAAAAGGGTAAAATATTAAGCTAACTACTTTGTTAGACACAACAAAATGTTAGATATGTAAATTAGGAGCAAGTCTCCAATAGACTGTAAGCTTCTTGAAGGCAGAGACCACATCGTGGTATTTCTGATGTCTTACATAGTACCTCATTGACAGTGGAGGTACTGACTCTACCTCCTTGTTATAGTACAAATAGGATGTACTGAGTTCTTACTGCGTGACAGAGACTGTGCTGAGTGATTTTCAAGCAATATTCTGTTTAAACTTTATAGCAACTCTAGAGTTTAATACTGTTTTATTATCTTTACTTTCCATGTAAGGAAACAAGAGGCATAGAGGAATTGAGTAACTTGCCCCAAATGCTTAAATAGAAGTAGCAAAGCAGAGATTGTGATTGGAAGACACACAATGGGAACTATTATGTTACAGTGCCCTACCAAGTACTTCCTAAATGAAGAAATGAACAAAAAAAGAAGAGACTGTATTCTCTTATCAGCACCCATTGTTCATGAACTGAGGCAGTTTTGAAACAGTCTTAAGTAACTTGGGTTTCTGAAGTTCTACAAGGGAATAAAATGAAGCTCATCCCTCAGTTACTTTAACTCATATATATTACTTTAAATTAAATGATTTAGTCATTTTAACTTATGTGGGATATACTGAAGTGTGTACCTCAATTATTTTAACACAAAGGTTAATTTAGGTTTTAAGGTAGTGTTGTGCCAGTAAATGGCCTGTTTGGGAAAAAAAAAAGAGGTGCAGATTTGTGTAAATTTATGTGGTGTAAATACACTCACTGAGGCAAAGGAAAACTTCTTGGTAAATATCTTAAATCTATCACATAAGGTTGCTCAGATAATCCAAGAAGATGATGAATGTAAAATTACTTAATGAGCTCTAAAGTGCTATTCAAATTGAAGATATAACTATTATAGTGCACAGAGAGGGAAGAACTCTTCTCACATTCAGTTGTTCTATAACATAAGAAGCTTCTCAAGTAGGGAATGTAATTTTGAAGTAGAGAATGTGAAGTCCTACATTTTGATCAGATGAGGAATGCGTGCACGTTATGTAGAAGAAGTATTAACTTGCTGCTTGCCATCCAAAGAACTTTTGGACTTCAGAAAATTGCAGGCATGGACATGCACATTTATACTTATATTTAGCACCAGGCTCACCACATACTTTTGATAAAGATTTGTGGATATCTTTTCAGGAGATTTACGTGGCATGTGTTACCAGTGGCTGGTTTATTAATGAATGATTTGTAAGGCTTGATGTAATCTAAATTTTTGTTCTAAAATTGAAACACCCATAACTTTGCTATTGTAGAAATATCGTTTTTTCATTAAAATATATAAAATTTATCCTCTAAAGTTAAACATAAAGAAATTTATTTAGTAGACAAATATAAGGGGTGAAAGAAATAGACCCCGACATTTGTGTGTTCTTCAGTAATACCGATGGCAAATTACAATATTTCCTCCCCTCCAAAAACAAACCCAATGTGAAAATGCACCACCAAGATTTATGATAGAAAAATGTGTATTTTTGATAGTAGCAATTAGCTGTGAAAATTACTTCAGAGCCCTATTGACTAATATGACACATATTTATAAGAACAAAAAAGATACCAAATTTAGATTTAAATTTGGATATTCAATTATAAACTAAGGACGAATATAAGATTATTCAAGGAGTGTATGAGAGCATGCATATCCATTAAAGACATACATATCCCCAAAGACTAGATGATGCCACAGAATAAAGGAAATACTATTTATGTTTGGAGAGGTTCAATTCTTTCTTCTCTCAGTGTCTCATGGATTTCACTCTTAGGGCCATTCTTAAATCATGAATAGTTAAAAAAAAATTAAACTGACAAATATCAAGCAAATCTTGTTAGAAAAGCAAGTATTTCCTTTGGAATAAGGAAGACAATTTAGAAAACCCATTAACTTTTTCAGACCCCCTTATAATTTATTTTACTTAATGGCTAAGAAATGTCTTTTTTAGAATGACTTGGTCTATAATAAAGACAAATGCATTTTCATATTTTATTAGTGATAATCTTACAAACATAAGAACCATTAACTTTTATAAAAACAAAAGTTAATTTTATGGAATTACTGGAATATTAGATTTTTATGTTGAAAACAAATGAAATAAAATGGACTTATTATTTCATTCACCATCTTTAAAGCTAAAATCTCTGAGGCATAAAGTCTTACCATTTGATTTTAAACATTAAACCCAGGAATATAAAGTAAGTTTTCTTGATAGTTTCATGTGATTTATACCTTTTTACTTTAATTTTTTTTTCTCCTGTCAGGAAATGGGAGATTCAGGGCCTTTTCAATAGAAGAAAGAAATCACAATATTAAAGATAAATGCTTAACTGTAGCAAAGGGTACAAAATTGTTTTTAATGAATTTGACCTCTTGCTTTTATGAAGTTTGGTTTTTACGATGTGTGGCTAATATGCTGGTCATGCAGCTAAAAGCATTATCTTCACGTCATTATATAGAAATATAACACTGGTATACTTGAGTTTCCTAGTCATGTTTCACTACTCTTAGCCATTATGTATTTCTATTGTTACTCTAAATAAGAACTCAAATTGACTTATATAAGAGAAAACATTAAGCAATTAAGTAAGATTATTGCTTTGAAAAGAAACCTTGAAAAAAAAAACCCCAATAGTTTAGACCACCAAGGAACACTAATAAATTTAAGGAAATATGAGGTTTCCTCCATGTGACTTCTCTTGAAGAGTTATGCAATAGATTGCTGGAACTTCAAGGTCATATAACAATTACGGTACTTTAAAAATTATTTTCTAAGTAGAGTTTGTATTTTCATGATTTATATGTCAATTAAACTTGCAATTTACCAAGTAGCAGAATCAAATTCTTTGAATCTTTGATATTTTTATTAAGTACTATTTTACAAAATGATCAAATGCAGAATTCTAACAACACAGAAACATTAAAACACTACAATATGAACAATCTAAACATTCATTTTTAATATGAAAAATTATTCTTATTCCAAAATATCATTAGCTACAAATCAACATTTAGCAAATAAACATTTGCTATGGCTCAGATATCTAAATTAAGAAAATCTTTTTGATATTTGATATCTTATATCTTTGTATTAATTCTGAATAAAAACTAATAATATATATTTCTGACCAAATGCATCTTTAGTATTAAATTATGTGACAATTTAAAATGTAAAATTTTGTAATTCCATGTTTTCTATAGGAAAGAAATTATGGTCTACTCCATTCAGATAGAATAAATGTGTGAACTATACATTATACATATCTAAAAAAGTTTAATCTGGATGAAGTTCAGATTAAAGATAGAAAAGTGATTATAAAATTAGAATAGGATTTATAAAGAAAGTCTAAAGGGAGGGCTTGAATTTCTTAAAGTCACAAAAGAAAAAACTCTGAGGAGTACAAATAACCTTATTTAAATACATGAGGATTTATTTTAAGGAGGACAGTGTCCAGCTGTTCACGTTTTCCATGGGAGTTTCTCCAATAGGATAGATTTCAATGAATAAAAGCTCTGTTCCTTATAATTTTTAATATAATGGAAAATTTAAATATCTATGATTAATACAATTTTGGATCAAAGGACAGAATTTGAGGGAACTTCTGATGTTAAAATTGCTTGAGACTGTGTTGTTAGTCAACTAAGGGAAGAGCCAAACAGTGAAAGACTAACCAGTGTTCTAGTATGTTCATAATTTGACCCAGGTAGCAGTTTGAAAAAAAAAACTGATGGAAAATTAAGGAGTCCCATTCCAATTCCCAGAATCACTATGCAGAGATTAGTTCCTGATTCTAAATTGTAGGGCAAATGAAGTGTTTATAGTGGTTCCACTTTCCTCACTGCCAGCACCCACTCTCTTCAACACCTATAACGTTATGAACATTTATCCTCACTCACTCCACAGCTCTTGCTCTCAGATTCCAGCACATCACTCAGTCATTAAGGGGCAGATGTGGTATGCCAGTTGCTTCCATGTCCTCATGTGTCAGATTCCTATTCATTCATAGCATGGTGTTTAAGAGTATGGGCTCAGGGATCCAGACTACCTTGCTTTGCAACTTGGCTCCTCTTGATGGCTTTCTAACTTTGGGAGAGTTACCTTAGCCTCTCTGTGTCTCGGTTTTACCACTTTCAAAATACACGCATTTCCTACCTGGTGAGTTGTTGCATGGAAAGATAGAAGGATGACCCCTGACACACTATTGGTGCTCAAGAAAATTTAGCCATTGTTAAAATATACCACAGCCTGGGCTATTGTATTCTAGCTGGGGAGAGACTTTACACAAGTAACGCTATACATAAATACGTATTTCAACTTTGGAGAGGGCTATAAAAGACAAGAATAGGGTGTTACGGGAAAGAATTCAGGGGGAATCTAATTCAGACTAGGGCGTTAGCAAAGACCTCTCTAAAGAGGGAAGACCTGTCTAAAAATTCAGGTTGAGACTTCAAGGATGAGAAGGAGCCAGAAAGGGAAGAAGGTTCCAGGTAAAGAAAGAACAGCATCTCCCAGAGAGATACTTTATCTGTAATGAGTATGATTCTTCGGGAAAAAGAGAAATGGAAGAGAAGAGTACAGAAATATGTGTACCTCCTATTCTTGCTGGTTGTGGAGAATTTTCGGTATCTGAGGGCACACGTAAATACGGTGGAGAGAATGTGGGCTCTATTACATGACAGTTGGGTTTGAATCTTCGCTTATGTGACTTCCAGGCTGTTTGACTTGGGGGAAATAATTTAACACCCCTGAGCTTCAGCTTTTTTTTTATTGTAAAGGCATGATAACTTCTACTTCACAAGGTATTTTCTTAAAAAATGAAAAATACATTAAATAAAAATTTAAAGTTACTAGTACCCAGATGGCACATATTTATTAGTTGTTCACTAATCAGCTCTTTTCTTCATCATGGTGGGGATGGGTGGGAGGAGCAATGAGCATATTGTTCCTGTACATGATGGTGCCAGCCTTGAAATGCATAAGGTCAACTCTAGCAAAAATGATAATTCAATGATTCTACCTGAGCACTTAGACTTTTTCCATTTTAATAGGAAAATTTTTTTTTTCTATTTTGGTAGTTTCAGGTGGAAAACTATAATTGGATATAGTGTTTGTTTTTTTCTCCCTTATTTGATAGAATGTGTGACAAGTGACTTTAGAGTGAGGGCTTTGGAGGAGGCATTGCTGATGGTACTTAGACTTTTCATTTGCAGCTTTTGAAGTAAAGCTACATGTTTTACTGGGTGGCTGGAGTTATTGAAATCAAATTTAAAAATTAATTTAAAAAGGCATCTCCTTCCTTATGTAAAAAAATCCTATACATAGACATTTAAGTATATAAATGGAGGCACTGTTTGTATTTATATGTACTATATGTGATTATTAAAAAAAGAAAATAGAAATACAAGCACATTAGCAAAAACTACATAGATATTTCAAGAATCATCAAATGGTTAAAAAAGCAAAACTCCTGAAGCAGCAATCCATCAGCCTAATTATGGACACAAATGTCAGCAACATCAACCAATTGCCTTGCTCTTCTCTTTCTTAAATATTGCCAGATGCAAAAATATTGTCTTTATGTCACACATATAAGCCTAGACAGCAGGAATCAGGGACTCAAATGTGAAATTGCCTATCAAAATTAGTATGCATGATATAATAAACCTTGAAGTTTGTTTATACTTATAAGCAAAATATAAGGCCATATTGATGTTTATATTAGAAATCCAGATATCTGGTGGTCTATATTTTATCACTGTGAAAACGATAAAGGAAGTTTTGTTTTTTTTCTATTGGAAAGTTGGCAATCTTTCAATTTTAATAAATGGTAGATATCAGAGATGCATGTAAGATTGTCTGGGAGCCCCTCAATATACCATGAAATATTATTTTGTGTAATATTACACAGCATTTCGAAACAGTCTTGAAGTAGGAATATGGCCTAAGTTAGAACTGCCCTTATTAATGCTGGAGTGACTTTGGCATCCCCTGCTGCTGAGCTGGTTAAAACACAGATAAAGCTGTTTTCTTTGAATTGCCTGATATAAATCTAAATGGAGGTTAAAAAAAAATCATGGACAGCATGAAGGACAGTTCATTTTTCTTCTTTGACTGTAAGAGTTTTTTGTTTCTGTTGGCCATGCTAATGATAAGACACTGGTCCATTCTTCACATAGATTTGTAACAAACAAATCTGGTCATTTTACTTTGCCTCTTCAAAATAACAACAAAGCAAAACTTTTTTACTCTTATCACCTATAAAATAGGCCCAAATAATTTATCAGGGGCCATGAGACACTTTACAATATGGTCTTAACCTCTCTTTCCAGTCTCCGCTCTGTCATTCCATCTCATGTTCGTGTCTTTCCAGCTATGGTCAACTCTGATGCTCTCTTGGCTTTCATATCCTGATGCATTTGCATTTGTTTGTTCCCTCTGCTTTGAAGATCGTTCCCATCTAGTTTCTATGGAATAACTTGTTGATCGTTTAAGACCAGCTCCAGCACTTCTGCAAAGTCCTCCTTGACTCCAGAGTTTAGCAAGCATGTCTTTTTCTTTTCATCCTAGTACTTTCCAGGTATTGCTAGGACACCATACTACCATCATATCACTTTGTGTTGATTATACCTACCAGTCTCCCTACCCCATACAGAAGAAATCTTAGATGGAAATCAAGTTTTATTATTCTTTGATTGCACCTCAGCACTTAGCTCAATGACTGATAACTCTAGGTATTCAAATATTCAGTGTGTGGGTTAATAGTAGACTCTAAGACCTATACCTCAATTTCATGAATTTCATCTATCTTTACACAATTATCTTCTCTTTCAAAACATACCAATATCAAATAAGTCATTTAAAATGGTTTACCCGCCTGTAATCCCAGTACTTTGGGAGGCCAAGGTGGATGGATCAGGTGAGGTCACGAGTTTGAGACCAGCCTGGCCAACATAGTGAAACCCTGTCTCTATAAAAATACAAAAATTAGCTGGGCGTGATGGTGCATGCCTGTAATCCCAGCTACTTGGGAGGCTGAGGCAGGAGAATTGCTTAAAGCCAGGAGGTGGAGGTTGCAGTGAGCTGAGATCACACCATTGCATTCCAGCCTGGGCGACAGGGCGAGACTCCGTCTCAAAAAAATAAAATAAAATAAAATAAAATAATTTACCTAGAAAAGATATTAGAGTAAGGCTTCAGTTAAAAACAGAATGTTAACAATTTCTATTTGATATTAGTAGAAAAAAGAAGCATCTTGCTAAAATGTATAATAAACAGTTATGTTAAACCTTCCTCTGATAGTAACAAATAATGGTCTATAAAATATTGGTCTAAAATTGTTTTTCAAGTTGTAGACTAATCCAAGCAGTGCTCCAGGCAAAAATCAAAAGTAATTATTTCCTGTTTTGAGTTTTTAAAAATGTTGTACTTTACCACCATGTTCTTTTTGATGATAAATATGTAAAAGAGAACTCATGGTAGCATAGAAGTCCTGGAATCACTTCCCAAGATTAATGTCACTAGAAAACATCAGGCAAAGTATTAAGCGGTAACACTAGACAATTTGTTTTTCTTTGTAACTACTTGTCTAGATCTTCAGAGCAAAAACACTAATAAAAGTCAGTCATCATTATGATGTCATTCTCATAATTTCCTTAGAAATAAACTAGCAAGTACAAAAAATATTTATAATGTACGACATCATCTATGTGCCTTTCCATTGCTCAAACTTTGGATTAGAGTTAGTGAGATTTCCTGTTTGTTATAAAGAACACACTCTGAATGAAATAAAATACATTAATAAAAGCTCTCTGAAATCAAACTGTCTTGTAAATCACATGTGTGCAGGTATAGTTTAATTGCTATAGATTGAAAGAATTGTATGACCTAATCCAGCAATTGATAGAAAGATTCTTTTTTTCTTTTTGCAAACCAAACCCTTGGGAAGATATTTATCTGTGACTGAAATGGTTTCAGTGTCTAGAACACGCTGTAAATGATATCTTCCTACTGGTATGGCATCGTCCCTAGATGACATTTATAACACACCAAGCTTGAAGAAATAAGCACTCCAATGACATTTTTGGTGCTCCCACTTTAAATTCATAAAATGTCTATGGCCTTCATCCAGACACAGGAGAATTGAGAAGTTTTGTGTATGAGAATGACTTCTCATCCCTTCCGTTCTTGCATATAACTTCTTAGATGATGGATTTCCTCATTTATCCAATCCTGCAACTGTTTTGTCTGGCAGAGTTAATTAACATCTACCAGTTTACATAGTTTCTTTGACATTTAACATGCTCCCCGTGACTTGTGTCTTTTAAAGGATAAAATAGACTGGGAAAAGGAACAAAAGAACCTCACGTTTATTTAAATACATTAGAAGGCATAACTCTTCCCCATAAGTTCTAATATTTAGGCTTCCAATTTATTTTTGCAGAAAAATTAAACTTCCCACTCATCCAAGATAGGAAAATCTTATCTTGGCACAGGTGTGCCTTTTCCCCAACACTTGCATAAATTATGCATTTTCACTCATTGGCTGCCTGGGACTTCAAAAAAAAAAAGACTCTCCAATTAATTCTATAGAAGCACCAGCACCGCTGGGACTCTTCTAGCAAGCCATGCTTAACTTCCTTTATAATTCACATTGCTACTCAAGGCCAAATCAAGCACAATTTTTTTTTTCCTGCTTCAACAACAAGCTATTCTGAAAGCGACTTGTGCTTGGGAACCAAGGCTGACTTGGGTGGGAACATGGTCTGTGTTTGACTTAGTGTTAGTTTATTATGCAATGTTCACAGAAGACAGCAGAGTTGAAAATCAGTGCTGATTCTAGAGCAAAATTTCTTTAAATGCGTTCACAGGCTGGGTTTTGGATGGTTATTTGATGGATTTTGTTCACAATTATTAGACATAAAATTTGAATCCTGGTTCGACCAGTTGCTAGATATATATCATTGAGAAGATTACTTAAGTTTCTGAACATGAGTTTCCTTATCCATAAAAAGGGATAATCATACCTAGTTTACAAGATTGGAACTTGTAAAGACTCTGTAACACAGTGGAACTTCAAAAAGGTGGATTTCCATTCCTAACAAGTTAAAAGCCGTATGCAAATAGAATGTAAGTTATCAAACTTAGTTTTGATAATGCTGAGATGACCTATAGGCCAATAGCAAAAAAAAAAAAAAAAAAAAAAAAAAAAGTTGCCAAAAGTTATTAGGCACCTGAAACATCTAAAGCACTGACTAGACCAGTGAGTTTTATGGCTCTGTGGTGGAGGAGTGATGCAACTGATTGTGTAAGGGATGAAGACACTGAAGCATCAGCTTAATTTAGGGCAACTCCACACAGAATGAAAGAATTCAAAGGTGTTGGTTTTCCTTTTCCCACATAAGGCTCACTACACTATGAGCACATCTAGTAAACTTTCTTGATTCCTACTTGCAGGAGACAAAAATATCCTCTGTGAAATTGGTAGAAATTAAGCAGGGATGCATCATTAAGCTCTGTACTAGCCTAGAGTTAATGCATTAATGTATACTCTAAACCAAAGCCATGTAGAGGAATGGCTGCATTAAAGATGGATTTGCCAGATACTACATTCAGCCCTTTGATTTGTCTGAGTAGCACCATCTGTGGAATCACACTTTTCCCCGAGTCACTCCTGTACTCCAAAACTCTCTATTTATGTGAAAGCCATACTTATTGCAATGTAGCTTCTGCACAAAACACATGAAGAGAATATTATTAGGTTGTTATAGGATTTATGGCATGGATGGCTGACACCTAGACAGATAAACATAAGCAGGATTATTTGTGACATTATGAAGCTGTAACCAATGATAAGCAGACTGGCTGAATATAATAATTACATAGAATGACAAAGCAGCAGTATATGACCAAAAAATAAATCACACTTGCCCTGAAGACTTGATGATTTATTTTAAGCCACTCTGTCATGGGGCCCAAGAGATAAAGAGCAATGCCTTGAACAGCAATTATTTGGAAATAAATAGAGGCTAAGCGTCTTTCTTTTTAAGGGTTTAAGTTTTCATACATGTTCCTATTTTCATATTTGTCTCTGTGACTGTTGCACCCAGACTAGGGTTCTACCAGAAAGCTCTGACAACTGTACAAGCTGCATTGCTAAGAAAGCTGTGGCCTTAAGCTGAGCCAGCAAATGGCTCTACATTCTCATTCTCTCTTCTCCTTCTTTCCACTTAGAGACGTGTAGGTCTTTAATAATCTTTTAATAGTCTGAATTAAGTCTTTAACTTAAAAGTCTAAGTTGTTTTTAGAAATTTTATGTTTTAATTACAATTTGGATAAGCAGAGAGCAATTGCCTTTCCCATAATTTCTTTTAGTAACATTTCCTATTTTTCCTTTGTTTTACTATTAATATTTCTAATGTATCTTTAATCTTCCCTTTTGTTCTCCATCCCAATTTCAATACCATCTTTAATCCCAAGGCACCCTACTCTTGTGAGAGATACTGATTTAATAGTACTCAGGATCATCGATAACTAACTACTGTATTTTAACCCAGCCTTTTTTCTTGAACAACTTTTAGATATTTCTACGGAGTTTTTAAAATCTTTGCAGCATTTTCCCCAAAGACTGCTTCTCATGAATTTCCTGGCTCTTAAAAAAAAAATCCCTCTTCTTTAAGTTTGGTGTCATAATAATACTTCTTAGAGCCTCTAGGGAGGATACCGAACTTAATTATATTATGGCCACTGTAATTTGGTGGGTGAGCCACACTTACTTCCTTAACCAATTCATATGCTACTCAAGGCTAAACCAAGAGTAACCTCTCTTTATGCTTCAGCAACAAGCTGTTCCAAGAAAGCAGTTGTTTATAGTATTGAGAAACTGTGCCTCCAAGCCACATCCCAGTGTAATGTTCAGTTGGCAAAAAAGAAGGCTGTATGTTGTTCAACAGGGAAATTTGCCTCATTCGACCACCCAAGAGGGCAGCAAAAATAAGTCACCTAGTGAAGGTGGTCTTTATACAAAGGTCAAACAGAACTTTACGGGAAACTTTGGGTGGACTGGAAAGTCCTGGCTTAATATAGTGAACTGCATAATTTAAAATGTGCTTCAGTTTTACTATAAGCAAAGCTTATTGTAAGATCAATGCATGCCTGATTATGCTTTTTAATAAAAAGAGCAATAATTAAATAGGAAAGAAATGGAACAAGATGGCTGGTGCAAGACATTATTTTCTAATCCTGACACAATCCTAGAGGAGCCGCCTTCCTTCTTCTATTTTTTTTTCTTTTATTGGTAGTTGTTTGTTGTCTATAGTGACAGCCACGTGATTTTCTTGATGATGAAAAGGATGAGAAGGTCCTGTGAAAGTACAAGAGCAAGAAAAGGAGGCTTGGCCATCATGTTGCTTCTATCAGGCATAAGATACTAACTCCAAGTTAACTGAAATTCCACAATTTTTCAAATGTTTTTGTTTTTGGTCATTTGTTGCTATTATAAAAGTCATTTTAATGTCTACTTTATGATGTACAACTATTTAATATCACACATAGTATAGTTAAGGAAATTTTGTAATTTAAAAATCTCCAAATATTAAGGTGACTGTATGTCCTGGTTTTCTGAACATAGTTCTGGTCTATGTCCTAGTACAACTATTCAGAGACTCATCTTTAACTCTCAGAATTGTCTCAATTTGGTGACAAATTAAATGGACACCCTTACTTTAATATATACTTCAACTACTGAGCTTGAACAGAGGAGAAAATTCTAAAAGTACACTTCTAGATAAAAATTTCAGTTTTGAATAGCAAACACTGCCCAAGGCTGACACGCAGGAAAATGATATTGGTATGATCCCTCTTCTCCAGGAGCTTATGGCCCACATGGACGGGGAATGTCAGTGTAAGTTGAGCAGTGCTACAGTTATGATGCAATTCATGAAGGCTGTTCTTGGGCTATCTTGTATAGTGCAAAAGGTTGCAGTTGTAAAGTACATGGAAATTGTTCCATTGATAATGGTAGAGAGTATCAGTATATGCAGGGGGCCAAGATAATGAAGTTAGGATTTGAAATATGTGTACAAGACCCAGGCAGACCAATTAGTGGTGGAAATCCTACACAAGTCATTTAGAGTTGAAAGTTACAGAATACAATCAGAAGCAACAATGCCACTTTCTTTTCACTAGTCTGGTATATGGAAATAAAAAATGGCTCCTTATAATGATGTCCTAAAAAATTCAAAGCCCTAGGAAATATAAACCATAATCTCAAATAGGACTATAATGTGTATTTAGATAAATATGCTAAACTTTTTAGAATATCCCTAATTTTGTTAAAATATCCTTGTACAAATGTTATTCTAGTGTCTTCAAAGATTTTCTTTTGGCCGGGCGCGGTGGCTCACGCCTGTAATCTCAGCACTTTGGGAGGCCGAGGCGGGCGGATCACGAGGTCGGGAGATTGAGACCATCTTAGCTAACACGGTGAAACCACGTTTCTACTAAAAATACAAAAAATAAAAAATAAAAATAAAAAAAATAGCCGGGCGTGGTGGCGAGCGCCTGTAGTCCCAGCTACTCTGGAGGCTGAGGCAGGAGAATGGCGTGAACCCGGGAGGCAGAGCTTGCAGTGAGCCGAGATCGCGCCACTGCACTCCAGCCTGGGTGACAAAGCGAGACTCCGTCTCAAAAAAAAAAAAAAAAAAAAAAAAAAAAAAAAAAAAAAAAAAAATTCTTTTTTTTTTTTGTATTTTTCATAGAGACGGGTTTTGTCATGTTGGCCAGGATGGTCTCGAACTCCTGACCTCAGGTGATCCGCCCACCTTGGCCTCACAAAATGCTGAGATTACAGGCGTGAGTCACTGCGACTGGCCTAATTCTTTCTTTCTTTTCTTTTTTTTTTAGACGGAGTCTCACTCTGTCGCTCAGGCTGGAGTGCAGTGGTGCAATCTCAGCTCACTGCAACCTCTGCCTCCTGGGTTCAAGCAATTCTCCTGCCTCAGCCTCCCAAGTAGCTGAGAGACTACAGGAGGTCTTCAAAAATTTAAGGCAACACAACTTCTCAGGGAGGAGTGTGCTCAGAATCACTAATTGACCATCCAAATCGCGGGCCAGCAAACGTTTTTCTTAAAGAGCCAGATATAATATTAAATACGTAAGGCTTTGTGGGCCATGGAATCTCTCTGGCAACTACTCAAACCTCGCTGTTGTAGCACAAAAGTAGCCACAGAGAATACATAAACAAATGATGTGGTTGTGTTCCCATAAAACTTTATTTACAAAAACAGGCTACAGGCGAGATTCAATCCGTAGATTGTCAAGCCTGAATCTAAGTCATTACCATATAGTATGTCTTAAGTACACTTTACTCTGGCCTAAAAGCTAAATAATATCCACATATGTGGAAGCAGTTGGTATACTATAATTTATCGTAAGTTTTAAATGCAATTAAATTTACATTATTTGACTATTATCTTAAATTTAGTTTCCAAGAACCAACCATTTAAACACAGTGGTCTTTTGTTAACTCTTTACCATTCCTAAAACAAAAGGAAATGTTGTAATTAGCCACAATATTTTTAAACTATAGCTCAATTTTATATTCAGAAACTCTTCATAAAATACCGACTTATTATTTATTTCTTATATAAAAATTAAGACTTAAGTGAATAGCTTAGCTCTGTGTTTATCTCAAGTGAGGACTAAGATTAAGAAGATATTTTATTTCTGTTCAATCTGATCCAAGCTTCTTTATTTTAGATAGAAAACAGGAAACATTAATTATTAATTACATATCAACAATCTAAGCAAATTAATAATGTTTCAAAATTACTGGACAAGAACGTAAAATCCTATGACCTGACAATGGAGCTTTATTCTAGAAGTTACTACTTTAATGTGGGCAAGATTATAAAACCAGAGATTTGTTTTCAGTGTCCAAACCCTCTCAGGTTTTGCCTTTCTTTCTCTCTTTGCTTAAATCTATTTCTTCCTCTAAACGCAAATATATCCAAGCTTTGTTTTATCAAAATCTGCATTTGAGACAAGAACTGGAATTTGCTCTCATTAAACTAAAAAGACTGGGAAGGGTAACAGTCAGCTTTCTCAGTAATATTTGCACTTTAACAGAGATTAAGCTAATAAAAATTTGGCCAGTGATCTTTGAAAAATATATTTCACACATCCTTGCCTACGTAAATACAGTTTTAACTTGTTCTTAGAGTCTTAGTGTCAATCTTTTAAAAAATGGTCTCATCTGTATTTTGTTTGACACATAGAGATGGTGTTTTCTTAAAAATAACTAATAGTCAATAGCAGTAATGCTGCTATTTCAGTCTCTCTTCCCAAAGTTGTCTGTTAAGAAATTCCATTGATTGAAATATCAATGAGAAGTGAATGCAATCTCTCTCTCTCTTTCTAACAGCTTTATTTTTTAGAGAAGTTTCAAGTTTACAGGAAAATTGAACAGAGATAGAGATTTCCCATATATTACAGTCCCTGAAATACTCTTTTACTTTGATATTTGGTGGTGTTTTGAAAGAAATAAATCCAACCCAGAGTGAATGGGTTTGTCAAAACGTGGTGCCATGTGGCCCTTCACTTTGTTTTCATGGGAAAACACTGCATTTCCTTTGGTTAAGAGCACCTGAACAACCAGCAGGCATTGTTATCCCTAAAGGAATCTATTACTCGTGCTGTCTAACTTTCAGAGTATGTTGAGAAGTTTTCGCTGTCCTGCAAATCTCCTGCTTCCTCCTCTGCTTCTCAGTTCCACTTCTCAGTAAATTAGTCTCTAGAGTGCTTTCTATGTCCCCCATATTTCTAATCTGCTGTTCTAATCACTATCACTCAGAAACATGAACGTTCTGGGAAAGCTTACAGCAAAACATTAGGCTTGTTAAACAATGAAGATTAATTTTACAAATAATTCAACATGAGTATGGCTCTGTTGGGCTAGCCAACCTCAAACTAACAATTTTGTCTCCCTATGCTTTAGCTTCCACAGCTGTAGAATGAAAGAGCTAGGTGGCATGATTCCAAAGGTTCCTTCCAATTCGAAAAGTTTTATAATTTTATAACTAAAGCACGTGGCCCACAGCTATCTTCTTTGATGCTCAGAAGCCAATGTTGCTTCATTTTGCCTTCCCAATTCTGCCCCCAAAAGGTGATGATGAAATCTGATTGCCAGATAAATGAGATGCTAAAGCATGCTGCTGTGAGATAAGAAGTCTGCAATCTGGGGGCTGGATGCAGTGGCTCACGCCTGTAATCCCAGCACGTTGGGAGGCCGAGGCGGGAAGATCACAAGGTCAGGAGATCAAGACCATCCTGACCAACAGGGTGAAACCCCAGCTCTATTAAAAATACAAAAATTAGCCAGGTGTGGTGTCCTGCACCTGTAGTCCCAGTTACTCGGGAGGCTGAGGCAGGAGAATTGCTTGACCCAGGATGCGGAGGCTGCAGTGAGCCGAGATTACGCCACTGCACTCCAACCTGGGTGATGGAGCGAGACTCTGTCTCAAAAAAAAAAAAAAAAAAAAAAGAACTCTGCAATCCGATAGACTTTTGAAGTCCAAGAAGCTCTGAAGAGCAAAAGCAAAGGCTTTTTTTTTATGTTTAGTGCATATTTATTTGCCAGCAAAACTAGACCTGAACGGTTGTGAAACAATTCATAGTCTTTATATATTCAGATGTTTTCTGCAGTTAGATTAATGTATAATATACAAATCATATTGACTTAATATACACCTGAAAATCCCTGAATTCTAATACTTATCTAGTCTCAATGGGTTTCACATAAAGAAAAGTGAAAGATGGTGAATCTGATATATTTGTAAAGATGACCTGAATACTACAGTATTTCATATTTTACATATAAGAATAAGCTGTTTTCACATTTTTCATGATACTTTTATGTACATTCTTTGAAAATTGGTCATTTTCACCGTGTATCTTTTAAATTATTAGTCAGTCAAAATATATAGTTAATGAGAAGTTCCTATTCCTTGGTAGAGATAAATAGAAATTTTCTGCATTTTAGTATTTTGCAGGTCAATACTGGGAACAATGAGATGGCGTCAATATCCTGACAGTAAACAAGTAAATAGGAAAACATTTGAACCTGCTTAGACAGTAATCCTGGACACAAGTCCAAAAGCCCTCATTCCTTCTATCTTTCTCTCTTTCTAATACCATAAATCTCTACCTGAATGTTTACAATTAGTAATCCATCAACATGTAAAAATAGAGTTCTTCTGTTTCATTTAGAAGAAGTCCAATAATCATTCTCGCAATGAATGAATGAATTCATCAATGAATGGCAAACATATAGTCATAGCTCTGATGTAGAGCTGAACCATATTATTTTTGCAGATCTACAAAGTACAGGGAAGACATTTACTAAGTTCCTACATAGAGATCTTAGAAAATAGATTATTCTTCTGAGCTGATTTCCACAAATCTGTCAGTTTTTTGATCAAACAGAAAGTAGCTTTGTAACTGTCTTCTGGTAACAATCCTCTAGCTAGGTTGCACCATGGGTAAAAAGCTTGTCTTAAAGAAAAATGTCTTCCCATCATTTGAATGAATGGCAGAATGAACAGCATGACAAGGGGTCAAGGTGGTGAAATAAAGCAGAAAGGTTATTTAAACTTTCTACATAAGTAAATTAAACATTGCTTTTAGAATGGCTATGGCAGACAATAGAAAACAAGAAGTTTTTTTTTGGTAAAGCACAGTGAGGACATAAGCATGTTTTTAGTCAGAAAAAACTAAAATCATGTCATATAATTGCACAAAACTACTCCTACCTAAAACTCAGACATGTAAGACATAAACACGTTCTTTTCATTAAAAAGAAATTAACTTTTTATTTTTGAATGCTTATTGTATATAGTTAGCATTAATTTCACGAACATGTTTAAATATAACAAAGACTGTCAATGAGAAAACAAATGACTAATTTAAAATCTTTCCAAATTGCTAGAGATAAAAGCACACACATTCTCCAACAGAGTCAGGATTTGTGCTTTTTAAACTTTCTCTTGTTTTTATATAAGTGAATAAACAAGAACAGATTTTAATATGCATATTAAATAGCAAAGGCACACTAATAGACTCATGAGAATGTTCAGAAATGTCCTGCATATTTCAAAGTATAAAGAAATACTGAAAATATTACATTTTAAGTAGTCTACATCATGTTAGTCGTATTATTATGACTAAAGACAAAATATGTCATACAGAACAGAACAGAGGCCTCAGAAATAATGCCACACATCTACAATTATCTGATCTTTGACAAACCGGATGAAAACAAGCAATGGGGAAAGGATTCCCTAATTAATACATGGTGTTGGGAAAACTGGCTAGCCATATACAGAAAACTGAAACTGGACCCCTTACTTACACTTTATACAAAAATTAACTCAAGATGGATTAAAAACTTAAATGTAAGACCTAAAACTGCCCTAGAAGAAAACTTAGGCAATACCATTCAGGACATAGGCATGGGCAAAGACTTCATGACTGAAACACCAAAAGCAATGGCAAAAAATAGCCAAAATCAACAAATGGGATCTAATTAAACTAAAGAGCTTCTGCACAGCAAAAGAAACTATCATCAGAGAGAACAGGCAACCTACAGAACGGGAGAAAATTTCTGCAATCTATAAATCTGACAAAGGGCTAATATCCAGAATCTACAAAGAACTTAAACAAATTTACAAGAAAAAAACAGCCCCATCAAAAAGTGGGCAAATGATATGAACAGACACTTCTCAAAAGAAGGCATTTATGCGGCCAACAAACATAGAAAAAAAAAACTAATCATCCCTGGTCATTAGAGAAATGCAAATCAAAACTACAATGAGATATCATCTCACGCCAGTTAGAAAAGAGATCATTAAAAAGTCAGGAAACAACAGATGCTGGAGAGGATGTGGAGAAATAGGAATGCTCTTACACTGTTGGTGGGAGTGTAAATTAGTTCAACCATTGTGGAAGACAGTATGGGGATTCCCCAAGGATCTAGAACCGGAAATACCATTTGACCCAGCAATCCCATTATAAACCCCTAAGGATTATAAATCATGCTACTATAAAGACACATGCACACGTATGTTTATTGCAGCACTGTTCACAATAGCAAAGAACCAACCGAAATGCCCACCAATGATAGACTGGATAAAGAAAATGTGACATACATACACCATGGAATACTACGTAGCCATAAAAACGATGATTTCATGTCCTTTGCAGGGACATGGATGAAGCTGGAAACCATCATTCTCAGCAAACTAACACAGGAACAGAAAACCAAACACTGCATGTTCTCACTGATAAGTTGGAGTTGAAGAATGAGAACATGTGGACACAGGGAGGGGAATATCACACACCGAGGCCTGTCAGGGGGATGGGGGGCTAGGGGAGGGATAGCATTAGGAGAAACACCTAATGTAGATGACAGGTTGATAGGTGCAGCAAACCACCATGGAACGTGTATACCTATGTAACAAACCTGCATGTTCTGCACATGCATCCCAGAACTTAAAGTGTAATAATAATAAAAAAAGTCATACTTCTTTACCAAAGTTAATTAAATTGCACATAATGGAGTTCAACATCATTGGAAAGAAAATGTGAACTTTAGAGCCGTAGGGTACAAAATATTTCAAAGTTAAGTTACCAAAGTACAAAACCTCATCATTAGATGTTTCATAATCTCTATATAAGCATTTTGGAGGCAGTTCCTGATATAATTCTGTTATTCTTATAGTTTTAGATGCAAATTACAGTGATTCCCTAATAAATATGATTAATGGACAGAAATAAAATAGAAATTTTACAAAAGCCTTTTAAAGTAAGGATGGGACTATAGGTTGTATAGATGTGTTTCCTACAAGGATTCAGCGACTCCTTTTTTGGGAGATGAGCCATTTTCTGCAACTTAGAAGTTACTAAGTCAGTCTTTTTGACCCCATTGCTTCTGGCGTTCCAGCAAGGCTTCCTGGACATATTTCATTGCTACCTCAAATGTGGGTACCTCTCTGGGTCTACACGTCTTATAAAAGGAAGTAGATATAAGTGAGCAAGAAACAAATATTATATGAACATTAAGAAAATACCATCTAATTAGGCACACTCTACCAAGCAAAAGCCTTAATTTGGGTTGCTTTATAAACCTTAAATGTCTCTAACAGAGGAAAGCCCAGTACTAAGAAGCACAGGGAGAATGTCAGGCAGGATTGAATATTAAGAGCCTGGACTCCGGCTCCGAGTGGTCTTATTTGTTCTGTAAGCCGTGAATGTCTGTTGTTATTGCTGCCCAGGGTCCACTCCTTTCTCTACTAACAACACCTCGATTTCCCCTTGGGGTGGTACCCTTTCCACACTTGTGGCTGAGTGCTTTGGACTCTGTCCTTGGCTCCAGAGAAGTTCTGGGACCCATGAGTGGCCCCAGGATGGGTGTGGGGCCCAATCCAGTGGCATCTGTTATGAGACTGCTGTTGAGACTCACGGAAAAGCAGCCCTCATTCTCCTGGATTTGCTAAGCTGGTAGGATGTAAGCTTAGAGCTGCTACAATCTGTGCTGCAAGGAGAAAGCCTGCGAAAAAATGAAGCCAACACGGGGGAAAGTAAAATTGTTTGGTTTTTGATGAAGCCCATCTGAATTGAGTTTCTGTTTTTCCTAAAGTCTTCTCCCCTTGCATTCATTTTTCATTTCTTTTGAGACTCAGTTTTTAAGCTGTCTTGTCCCCCAAACAGGGAGAAGCTCCCAAATCCTGTACAAGGGGAAGAACGGCAGTCACAGTAGCTAAGGTAACATTTGTCTTAAGCCAACTGGTTGCACAGAGACCTAACATGTCATTGGGAGGCTGGCCATAACTGTCCTTGCTGTTTACCACAGAAGAGACACAGAGTCCCTAGCTGAACATATAAGATGTTTTATAGGTACCCTCTCTGGCCTCAGTTTACATGTTTAGCCTGATCTCAATCTCTTAATCATGTTTCTTGCATGAAAGGCAATGCCCATATCCTTTAAGAATCATTCCTATGTGAGACACAGTCATCCTCAGAAGGATGGAGTTACCGGTTCACCTGTTCTTTCCTCTGGCATCTCC
Source organism: Homo sapiens (assembly GCF_000001405.40). Taxonomy (NCBI): domain Eukaryota; kingdom Metazoa; phylum Chordata; class Mammalia; order Primates; family Hominidae; genus Homo; species Homo sapiens. Next base: position 144,676,842 of record NC_000004.12, on the reverse strand, counting down.
AAGACTTTGGTTATACCTTCCTTACGGCATACATCAGGTCATTTATAGTTTTTCTGCTTCTATTTCCTCTCCCTCATGAAATTTGAGTTCCTCATATCCTTGTTGCTTTTCCTGACCACCACCCATTTACCTTCCTCTGATGAAAGCACACTGATATTCCTGTGGGGAAACTACCTTCCACATTCTAGGTCCTGTGTTTTGGGTTGGGCCCCAGAGATGGCTCCAGAGATGGGCCTTGTTCATTGCATAGAACACATTATGAGTGTGTGTTTTCGTCCAGGTTGAATGGAAACTGAATAGCAAGTCTCCAGAGAATGATAACGTGGGACATGCTGTAATGGTTACAACCATAAATTTACTTTCATGCAAAATTTTTGACCAAACAAAAACAAACATACAAACAATAACTTAAAAAACTCTGCTCCTAGCCATATCTAAGTAGAAATGTACATGATGATGAACAAATGCTTTTGGCAGGATTATAATAACATTTTATTCTAACTTTATTTTCAAATTTGTTTCAAAATTCTGAGTTTGGTTGCCATGTTCTCAAGTAAAATCTTTTGCTTTACTATTATTATCTCTCTGGATCCAAATATAAACAATTTAGAGTGGGGGAAAAGGGGACATTTTGTGCTGAATTTCTTGGAAGCAGATGGCTGTGTATTCCCAACATTAGTGTCATTAATTTAATATTTTCCCCATCATTTAAAGATTGCCCTCAGTCTGTTGACAACTCTTTCACCATTGAATTTCTCTCCTGGGTGGCATTTAAGCTGTATTTAAAACATACATCTTGTTTACGTACACTCTTGAGCCAGAACCTTTGGTTTATAGGAAAGAATTTTGATGATCTCCTTTCCCCACTGAAAAATTACTGAAGTTATACTAATGGCTCCTATGACTGCTTATTGTTGATCTCCTCCAAAGGATTGATATCAAATGCAAAGTTTAGACTGCCTGGCTTTGCTTATGCTATAAACTGAAATATAAACCAAAGAGATTATGGAAATATTCCACATTTAGTCTATGTACTACTCATATACCTAAACATTCTCTGGTTAAAAATTAGGTGTGTAATTTTTTAGAAAAGTTTATATTTTCAGTAATATTTCATTAAACAATACAGTGTTTTATGCATATATATACACACACATATGTATATATACATATGAAATGTTTTTTAATCAAATAGTACAATTATAGTTAACAAAACTGAGCCATGAACTATTTTTGTTTAGGAAAGAATGAAAAATACTGCCCTATCAAATATTAGCCAAAACTAATGAGAAATTAATAATCTCTTTGTATTTTATGTCCTGTAAACAAAAATTATTTCCCAATGGTTTCAGTTTAATATAGCCAAATAAGGGTTTTTAATCCAAAACTGAATCTAAATTCCTGTTTGATAATTTCATTGTATTTATTATTCCTTAAAAGCACCATAAAAACTTTCTCGTAATGAAGACAACAAAGTTAGCAAGATTTGTCTTCAATAACTAAATATTTTGTGAAAAATTAATTGTATTCTGATGTAATATCTTCATTCATCTCTAATTGTTCTTATGCATTTTCAAGTCACATAGTAAGTTCAAATTAGCAAAATTAGAGAGATTAAATGTTCTGCAGTGTTTCCTAAATTTTATCTAAAGCAGTCATAATTTAACTATGAATCCATTTGGAACTCATTTCTATTTCAATTCATTAAATGGTATTTAAAATTAAAGTATAGAAATAAATGCTTATTAGGTTAAGCATTTTATTAGGTTAAACAACAAAATTGTGGTTAACACTGTCTTCTGAGTAAAGGAGAGACTCTTTTAAAATGATATCCAACAATGTGACTAACTGCCTCCCAGAAATTTAGAATTAGAAACACAAAGGTTAGATGAAGTTAAAGGTCATCCCCCTACAGGCAAAGGGGCCCAGTTCCCTACCAAGTTTCTAGCAGACCTACTTCCCTAGGGCACATCATAAAAGTAATTTACTGACAACTCACCTTACCAGGGGTCATTTGGGGCCTCAAGTCTTCTGGAATTCACTTTTAAGAAGCATGATTAAGTGGGGACAACTATTGGCCCTAAAGTATTTATGCTGAGAACAAACGTCTGTCAGAATTAAATTCTTTGTGTGTGGTGGTTTCAGACTTAAAAAGGTGTGTACCTGATGAAAAGCACATATATTCTATTCACCAAATTAAATTTCAGAATGCATATTTTTTAATTGATTTATTCGTTTTTTTTTAACTCCAGCAATCCAAATAGAGAACGCAGTCTAATAAAAAGGATAATACATTTACCAAAAGTTAGTTATATCCTTTTCAACCTTTTCTAGTCCAGTTTATTCTCACAGTGGAGGAAAAATGCATTATACTATTTTAAAAAATGAAGATGCCATTTAAACCCAGCCAAGGAAGTTGACTTAAAAAATAAATGGCAAGAAAAGCTATTTCCTGATTAAAACAAGTCTCCTGCTTTTATTTTTTGACATAAGATATTGAGTTTAACATTAAGCAGAGATGGCCTTCGCACATTTTAAAAAATTGCTAGAAGTTAAAATATGTGTTCATTGGACAAAATTAAAACATTATTTGACACTGTGTGTGGGATACAGCTCTAATCTATACAGTGTATGGAAACGAGGTTGGTACTTTCAATTGCACAGCACACATCTCAGTAATAACAGGGGATGAGGCATACAATTTCAAGGAACACCCACAATGAAAATTATTCTTTCCAAACAGAGAATTGTTTTGGAATAAGTTAGGTTAATTGGCATCATGGGAATTCTCTCAAGGAAACACAGAGCCCTGCAATCCTTACATGTGCAAGTAAGATGATCAAGCATTAACCTCTTTCCTTTTTCAATTTTTCACATCTAATTTACTCTATCCACAACCAAATTAACTTCCATAGATTCAGATGCAGGTACGAAAGGGGACAGTTCTTTGCCAGCTTAACATACAGCCTGAAAGAATGATTTGTTAGATGAGGTTATTTGCTCAAATATCTACAACAAAGAAGAAACCCATTATGGATATTTGGGATTATTCTACTTTTGAGAGTGAATTATAGGTACTTTATTAGTAAGGTCAATTATTTTACAATTTAAAAGGTTAGAAATTCCCTACAATAAGCTTTCCATATCCCCTTATTAGAGGTCTATGTTTTTATATTCCATTATCATTTTAATCCTCTCTGACTTCAGGATACCTGGATTTTGACCTTTTCTATGCTAAACCCAAGTATAGTTATCCTTTAAAAAATAATCATATTTTCCCCCCTTTCTCCCTTTAAATGTGCATTTCCTAGGAGGAACACATATGTGTGTGTGTCTCATTCAAACAGTCTTTAATTGTGGTTACCATTTTCATGAATTAGCAATTACAACTGGCGTAGAGTGAGCCCTCTTCATTACATTACCACAATTGATATTTTCCTGTAATTTACAACCTTTCACCAGAACCCATGAAATATCCTATGTTGCTAATGTACTGAGTTTCAAAATTTGCACTTTGAAACTATGAGAAAGAAGGTATAAATTTTGGAAACACCATGTGTAAAAATGCTTATGTTTAATAGGAAAAAATTTGCAATATTCTTTCAAGTATTGACCCACTGAAAGGTAGAAATGAAAGGAATCTCAGATATTAATGATCCTCTCATTTTACAGGTAAAAATTGAGGCTTTTGTGGTGAAATGACTGGCTCACAGGCACAAAGAACATTCACAGCAGAGCTGGTACTAGAAGTCAGTATTCTACCCTACATCCCTGCTTCCACCCTTGCCTCTCCAAGTCTATTCTCAGCATGGCTGCTATAGATCTTGTTTAAAAAGTTTGGGCCGGAGCCAGGCCCTGTAGCTCATGCCTGCAGTCCCAGCACTTTGGGAGGCTGAGGCGGGCGAATCACCTGAGGTCTGGAGTTCCAGCCTGGCCAATATGGTGAAACCCTGTATCTACTAAAAATACAAAAAATAGCTGGGCATGGTGGCAGGTGCCTGTAATCCCAGCTACTTGGGAGGCTGAGGCAGGAGAATCGCTTGAACCCGGGAGGCAGGGGTTGCAGTAAGCCGAGATTGTGCCACTGCACTCCAGCCTGGGTGACAAAGCAAGACTCCATCTCAAATAAATAAATAAAATAAAAATTAAAAAAATAATACAAAATTAAAAGTTTAAGTCAGATCATATCACTCCAGTTCAAAACTCTCCAGTGATTCCCCATCTCACTCATCTCACTCAGTATAGAAGCCAAAGACCTTAGCAGAGCCTGTATACTTCATGCTCCCACCAACACACAGATGCTCAACTCTGCAATCTCATCTCCTACAACTACTCTCCTCTTCCTTCACTCAGTTCCAGGCTGGGCTTCTCCCCTACCACCCCAAGTACTGTCCACTTCGAAGTCATGGTATATCTTCACCTTGACCGAGGTTTGAAAATTTGCTTCCCTGTTTCCCTGTACATTCAAGACATTATCTTGTCATTAACTGAAACCTGAAATCTCACTACATGTTGAGTTACTGCAGCTTTTTAAAGTTTAACTAGAGCAATGATGATCATACAGAAAGACGATGCACCTATTGGCCTATGAGGCAAGGTACCCACCCAAACTCTGCACTGGGAGATGCTGACTGGGTTTCTGTATTATTACAAAGGGAAAAAAATCAAAATAAAGCAAAGTATGTCCCACAGTTTCTGAACCTGGACAAGCATGGAGTCATCCAGTGCCTGATCACACTGAACCCTTATCTTTTCCATAATTCTCTTGGAGATTTGCACTACTTTCCATTCCTCAGAATTGTAGAACAAGAAAGGACCTAAGGTATTATTATTATTTGTTTTTATTTATTTATTTATTTGTGATGGAGTCTTGAAGTGTTGCCTGGGCTGGAGTGCAATGGCATGATCTCGGCTCACTGCAACCTCTGCCTCCTGGGTTCAAGTGATTCTCCTGCCTCAGCTTCCCAAGTAGCTGAGATTACAGGTGCCCATCACCACACTCAGCTAATTTTTTGTATTTTTAGTAGAGACAGGGTTTCACTATCTTGGCCAGGCTGGTCTCGAACTCCTGATCTTGTAATCCGCCTACCTCAGTCTCCCAAAGTGCTGGGATTACAGGCGTGGCTGACCCAAGGTATTATTTAGCCTAGTCCTTTGACTTCATAGATGAGGCCGTCATGATCCCCGAAGAGATGATGCCATCACTGTGTGGCAAAACTGGTATCATCATATGATCAGTGAGTGAGTGATATGGCTATGCCATGATTAGTTCTCACACATCCAACTGAGGTGGGATATTACAGGAATGCGACCCATTAGAGATCAAAGGCTCTGAAAATTGATGCTGTCACCTAAGTTTTATTTAGTAGTCTCTCCAATAACTAATTCTTCTCAAGGGAAGAAGCTCACCTAGTCATGCCCAGAAGAGTTTTCAGTTTTTGTTTGCCTGTTTGTTTGTTTGCCCAGAAGTCTTATATGTATTAACATTTAATCAAAGCCAAAATCTTAAGAAAAAAAAAAAAAACACCCTCCTTGGACGAGGAGACATTGTTTGTAGGTTGCAATTAAGGAATTTATGCAATTAAAGAGCTATGCCAACTATAGGTTAAAGCATTTTGGTGCAGCAAGCGTGATCAACCCCAGGGTGATATACATAGACACCTCGGGTGTAAATATATTATTAACTTCATGGGGTCATCTGATCTTCCAAATCCCTGGAGATTTAAACAGAAGCTTTAAAGATGATACATAGAAAAATCACAGACAGGGTAAGAGGATGAACTATGTGACTTTTTCAACCTCGGGTCACAGGCTTGAGTCCAGTCTAGGGTAGTAATTGATAACTTATGACAGATGTTTGGTGACCTGTGTGTGGAGGGACGTCGGTTCAGGTTTTGTTTCACTTTTCCTGAACATATGTGTTCACAGCCATCCACAAAGATATTTGCACTTACGGAAGCCTCATCACCACAGCTTTCCTAGAAAGCCTAAGAATTTAATGGGAATTAAATTTCGTTATTTCTATCCTCATAAGACTAGCACTTTCTTTCTTTCTTTTTTTTTTTTTTTTTTTTTTTTCAAATCTTAAGCATCTTTTCACTCACAGGCACAATCTTGTTTGTTTTTTTTTTTTTTCTTAAAGAAATTCTTCTGAACAGTTTGAAACTGTGGACTAAGGTTTCTTATGAAACAGACATGTTTCCCTATCTAGAAAAGCCTGAGGACAGATGCCATTTTATGAAAGTTTGTGGTCTGTTTGGATCAAAGTTGGGTTAGAATAAGAGGGTGGTTTAGAAACAGCTTATTAGAACTAAATAGTATGGCAAAAACCGCAATTACTTTTGCACCAAACTAAAAGTAAATAATTTAGCTTTTTTTTTTTTTTTTGACAGTCTCTTCAGTCACCCAGGCTGGAGTGCAGTGGCATGATCTCGATTCATTGCAACCTCCGTCTCCCAAATTCAAGTGATTCTACTGCCTCAACCTCCCAAGTAGCTGGGATTGCAGGCACGCACCACCATGCCTGGCTAATTTTTGTATTTTTATTAGAGACGGGGTTTCACTATGTGGGCCAGGCTGATTGAGCACTCGTTACTTCAGGTGATCCGCCGGCCTCAGCCTCCCAAAGTGCTGGGATTACAGGCGTGAGCGACTGCGGGGGACCAATTACTGCGGGGGACCAATTCAGCTTTTTTTTTTTGAGATGGAGTCTCACTGTGTCACCAGGCTGGAGTGCTGTGGTGTGATCTCGGCTCACTGAAACCTCTGCCTCCTGGGTTCAAGCGATTCTCCTGCCTCAGCCTCCCAAGTAGCTGGGACTGCAGGTGCACACCACCACACCCAGCTAATTTTTTTTTTTTTTTTAAGTAGAGACGGGGTTTTTCCATGTTTGTCAGGATAGTCTGGATCTCTTGACCTCGTGATCCGCTTGGCTTCCCAAAGTGCTGGGATTACAGATGTGAGCCACTACACCCAGCCAGTTTAGCTACTCTTAAAGAGAAAGTCACATTATTCAATATTTGCATGTTTGAAAAAACTCTTACCACAAGAATTTTTGTGGCTATATATAAAACTGTAAGATATTTTAAAATAATGCTTTATTTTTGTGTTAAGCTTCAGTTTACTGGATTTAGTTCTATAATCAGATTAAATTATTTCAACTGCTAGCAATGATGGAATTAGTTTAGATCATATTCATTGACATTCTCTTTTTTTTGTTACTCTACTACATAGAGGTATGATAGAGTAATTAGCACATATTTTATCTTAAACAAGTTGTTATTTTTAATAGATTTTCTGTAAGTTGAAGCTGAGGACTGAGGAATTGCATAATATTTTAAGTGAGTGAATAGATGAACTTTAAGGTGTATATGACATGTACAGATTGAGTAAAATGGAAATTCTTTAGATAAAGGATTCCAATTTGACCTCCCTTCTGATGATAATTCCTGAGTGCCACTGTGACCATATACATTGTCAGCTGGTATCACAGGTCATGCTGGATAGAAAGTTACGTGATTTAGAAAAAAACTTTTCTCATGATAACACGTTATAAAATGGTCTTGATAAATAGCACCTTATTTTTCAAAACATATTTGACTGAAATGTCCAAAGATAATTTTAATTTCTAGCCAATGATCTAGTTTTGAAAACACTTTTGATTATGTCCTCAGTTCTGGGCACTTTGATTTGTAATAGCTCAACATAATTACAGACTTTAAAATTAAATATCAATTGATGACTACTATCAACAAATACCTTAAAATGTAGTAATTGAAAACATATTTGTTGTACATACTTATTGCATATAAATATTATATATTATATAAAATAAATTTATGTGTATACTTATTATATAAGTGCAAAGATGAAAGAAGTCTGTTAAAAGCCTTACACTACATAGACAAACTTCCAAAGTTGGTCATAGAAAGGTAGACACAAACCAAAGAGCAAATTTGCTTACAGATTTAGACTTTATATAAAAAATTTGTCAGTGTGATAGAAAGAGGGTCTACTGTAGCCTGAGGTTTGAGAGATAGGTAGTTGGGGCTCTTTCATTTATATATTCTTTTGTTTTGTTTTGTTTTTCTTTGAGACGGACTCTTGCTCTGTCACCAGGCTGGAGTGCAGTGGCGTGATCTCGGCTCACTGCACCGTCTGCCTCCCAGGTTCAAGCGATTCTCCTACCTCAGCCTCCTGAGTAGCTGGGACTACAGGTGTGCACCCCCACACCCAGCTAATTTTTGTATTTTTAGTAAAGAAGGGGTTTCACTATATTGGCCATGATCATCTCGATCTCTTGACCTCGTGATCTGCCCGCCTAGGCCTCCCAAAGTGCTGGGATTACAGGCGTGAGCCACTAAGAGCGGCCCCACTTATGTATTCTTGCACCCGATCTTCAGCACATTTCACTGATAATGTCTACTGTCTACTGTTGCTCTTTAAAGATTTAACTTTAAAATCTTTTAAAGTTCTCTCTTCTCTGATTTCATGGCACATTTTACTGATCTGCTTTTTTTTTTTGAGATGGAATCTGACTGTCACCCGGGCTCGAGTGCAGTGGCGTGGCGCGATCTCGGCTCACTGCAACCTCCGCCTCCGGGGTTCAAGTGATTCTCCTGCCTCAGCTTCCCAAGTAGCTGGGATTATAGGCATCTGCCACCATACCCGGCTAGTTTTTATATTTTTAATAGAGACGGGGTTTCACCACGTCGGCCAGGCTGGTCTTGAATTCCTGACGTCAAATGGTCCTCCGGCTCGGCCTCCCAAAGTGCTGGGATTACAGGTGTGAGCCACTGCGCCTGGCCTGATCTGCTTTTCAAAATAATAATAATAATAATAATTTCTTGAGAAATATACTCTCTGTAACATCCATTTCATGTTAATTTTATAGCAGCTTTACCCAATTGCCCCCCTCCCAACTGACATTCTAAATCTGTGCTGTGAGCCATAGTTGCTAGTGGGCAAAAATATGTGCCTTCTTACTTTTCAGTCCCAGTATATTTCCTTTGCAAATCCTACAATTTATTAACTCTGTGGTAGATTGACAGAAACCATGTTCCAAAATAAACACAAAAAAGACCGACATTACTATAATATCCAGGTTGAGAAAAACTACTATGAAAGCAAGGAAATGCTGCTGAAAGGTTGCTGTAGTTCTTATGGGTCAGCTGCTTTGTGCTTAGTCATCGTTAGTCCTGTGCTTTGAGAAACTCCAGAGCTGGGGACTTTGCAGTGAGGTGGGCAGCAATACCCTATAATTAATGTCCAAAGTTGATGCTGTCAAAAGGTGTTGTTTTTCTCTAGTAACACATTTAAATAGAAAACATATCCTAGGTTTATCTTTCTGAGGTAAAGAAAGCCAGTCCACATGCGTCAATAACTTTGTTTCCAAGGGACTGCCGTATTATTTTGGTGCGAATGCTAACACTATCATGAGTTTCCCGTAAGTTATACAGATACATTTTGTTCTATTTATTATTTATTATTTTTTTGAGATGAGGTCTGACTCTGTCACTGAGGCTGGAGTGTGGTGGCAAAATCATAGCTCACTGCAACCTTGAACTCCTGGGCTCAAGGGATCCTCTCGCTGAGCCTCTTGAGTAGCTGAGACTATAGGTGCATGCCATCACACCTGGCTAATGTTTAAATTTTTGGTAGAAGATGGGGTGTCGCTATGTTGATAAAGCTGGTCTTGAACTCCTGGCCTCAAGTGATTTTCCTGCTTCAGCCTCCCAAAATGCTGGGATTGGAAGTGAGCCACCAAAATTCATTTTATGAGGGACTGTTTCAACCCCAGGGTGTATTGCTAGCAGTGGTCACTGGAGCTTGTGAGTCATGCATATTTTCCTTCTTCCCCTCCTTTTTATGTTAGTATGTTAGATGATGGTTAACAGCTTACAAAGCACTTCACATTTATGTGTGATTGTGCATGCAAAATATTAGGTGTGACCTTTTATTGTCTCTATTTAACAGATAAAGAAAGTGAGCCTAGAGAGGTTAAACAACTTGCCCAAGGCCAAACAACCAGTAAGACTTGGTAGGAACAGTGGTCAGAACCCAGGTGTCTATCCATGACTCTAGATGCTGGGCTCTCAGCCTCCTCACTGAGCATGCTGACACCAACCATCACCAGTCTTGTTTTCTTAACATGCTCTGCAGTCTCTCCTCTCATGCAGTGCCACTCATTAGAGGCATATAGCAGCATTTAGCAGCTTAGCACCCTGGTTGAGAGCACAGTGTCAGACAAACTGCATTTGAAATCTGTCTGTGGTACTTGCTAGCTGTGGTATCGGGGCAGTTTCCTTAACATGTGGGCCTCAGTCCCTTCATCTGTGAAAAGGGATATTAACACCTACCTGACAGGGATTCCAGAAGTAATCAATGAAATGACTATGAAAGTAAGGACTTAAAAAGTGGTGGTTATGATTAATAAGAAAGAAGAAGAGAGTGTCTGCTAACAACATGGCTTGCTTGAAGACTGTAGTATTAAACTTTATTGTATACTTGAAATTTGCTAAGAGAATAGATTTCTTAAGTGTTCTCATCACACACACACACACACACACACACACACACACACACACACACACACGACTGTAGTATCAGGAAACAATCTTCAAAAGGGAATTCTGTACCAAAGGGAATTCTCTGCCATTTAGAGATAGTTTTGTGATGTTTGATATTTTCTTTTTATGAGGTAATACAGCCACTGGAAAACAATGATAACTTATATCATCAGTAGATTTTCTTATTTTTTCTAGTCAGAGACAGTCTGTAGAAGATGGTAGATATCTCACTTAAAGAGATGCCCTTTAAAGACGGCAGACGTTTTCTAGGGTCCAGATTTCCCGGTTTTTCACTTGTTTTAAGTGATTACCATGAGATTGCTCAGATTTATAGCTTCTATTTCCTTTGCCCTTCAAATCTTAGGTAAATATAAAGATATTAATGTAAAAACTTTCCTCACCTCTGCTGTGACTGATGGGACCTAAAATTTAGGAGAAGGCAGGGCTTTCTCTACTCAACTGGAGAAACATGGCATCTGTCACTCCAGTTTCTGCTTCAGTAAAAAATAGGGTGGAAAATAAACTACAGATTAAACTGCCTTAAACTGGCATAACCACATAAATGCACACTTATACTTATTGAAAGGTTTTATCAATAGAATAGCAAATTCAAAAATAATGAAAGAATACCAGGAGCAAAAACTAACTCAACCAAATGAAAAATTACACTGAGGTTATTTCACATTATTAAGGGACTTTTGGCTTTATGAAAAATAATTTTTCTTTGTGGGCATTTATACATTTAAAATGAGATTAAACTTACATGAAAATTGAAAATGACATTTTTCACAGAGTACAGAGCATTGTGATATAAAGGATCAGCAACACTCAATAAAATAAAAATAGTTGGATTAAAAGCCATGCCATTACTACATTGATATTAGAAATAACTGCAGTCGAAAACTTTACTTATAAGAGGCCAAGTGTGGTGGAATCCTAGCACTTTGGGAGGCTGAGGCAGGTGCATTGCTTGAGTCCAGGAGTTTGAGAACAGCCTGGGCAACATGAGGAAACCCTGTCTCTACTAAAACTACAAAAATTAGCCAGGCATTGTGGCACATGCCTGTAATCCCAGCTACTCAGAAGGCTGAGGCAGGAGAATCTCTTGAACCCAGGAGGTTACAGTGAGCTGAGATCGCACCACTGCACTCGGCAGCCTGGGCAACAGAGCAAGACTCTGTCTCAAAAAATGAACAAACACACACAAAAAAATAAAAACATCTTTATTTGCAATCTGCATTTTGTTTATATTTTTACATAACATAAACGGTTTGTAACCAGAATTTTAAACTATAAAGAAGTTGCTTAAAAATTTTTATTTTGGGGAAGACAATTTCTACCACTTTTTAATGAGTTTATTTATTGTTTATTTCCACCACTATAACAACTCTCTTTTAGATGAGGCATTATGACTTCTGAGCAGTAATCTGATAAGTCAAAAAGTAAAAATGCCATTCAGTATACAAAAATGTGCCACAATGGTGATTCTTCTATTGTAATATTTAACAAATATAATCTGTTGCTTTCTTTCTATTAACACAGGCTTTATTCTAACCTAATGTGTGCTTAAAAGCAGAGTTCTCAGCAGTTTTTCTGGGGAAGCATTTGTTACATGATCTAGTAATCACCATATGTGTATGTGTGTATAATGTGTATGCATGCTATGTTACCAATACTACTTTTGAAAAATAAATTGCTTCTCAATCTGCTTTGATTCATTTCACTCAAGCAAAAATACACTAACGCTTCATGGGTTGCCTTAAGATTGCAAGTCAAAGAAAAAAATGTAAAAAGGTTTGACAAAGTTCAGAGAAATGGAACATCAGCCTCCATGGTTGATGAGGACTTAGATTTCACAAATTTTTGATACTCATAATTATGTTTGTGATTTACAAGCCTGTGAAACCAGAGGCTTCCCCATCAGGGCTTGCCCTGGTGGACCCTGCATCCTCCTCCACATGCTGCTGTGACTTCCGGCACAGGGACTGCTGTCTCTCAAGAGCTCCACCTCAATTGGCTCAGTCACCCGGACAATTAGCAGCTTTCAGCCTCACGTCCTCTCCTCCCCTGGTTAAAGGACTGCTTCTAAAAGCATCTTTTGAAATGAGGGTCCAAGTAGATAGAGAGGGACAGGAGTCCAGTGACACTTGTTCCAATGATAGACAAGGCTTTCAGCTGTGTCTGCTGTGTGCTGCTAGCCGAGGGCTGCTGAGGGTGTGAACCTCTTCATCCTCTGACCACTCGCAAGAACTAAGTGGCGGAGAATGGTGTTTGCTAGTTTCCTTGAGGGGCCACCCTGCCAAGTGACAGGTGCGGGCATATCCTTCCTTTAACACACATGCAAAGCTAAGGCTGACTTTCACATTCTTGGCAGTCAGGGGCATTTTGGTGAAATTACACTAGAGTATCTTCTGGTGGCCTTGTTGCTTTTAACAAGGTTTTATATATATAATCACAATCCACATATTTTAAGAACAGGAACAATAGCAATTTTGCCAACTAGCTGAGCACCAGATTCCAAAATGGAACAAAAACAGAAAAAGATTAACTGGTAAAGCCATTTCCCAGTTAGAATTAACTTGAGATTTTTAAATACCATTTTTTTCAAATGGTATTTCATATGCTTTATATCAAGCATCTTACATGCTGCCAGAATTAACCCAATTCCTCACTCAAGTTGGATAAGTAATATATATAAACTAAGTAAATTAGAAAAGGTACAGGGCAAATGACAACTGGTATCCAACCACCTGCTCTTAGTTGTTAAGTCAGGAATAGGACTTGGGTGTAGGCTTGGCAGAGAAAATATGTCTCATTCAATGTGTAAGTGATCCAGAAGTTTGGCTCAGGCTACATCAGTGGTTTTCAAATTGGCTACACATTGGAATTACCTGGGAAAGCTTTAAAAACATATTGATGCCTGGGTGCCAACCCCAGATATTCTGACTGACTGTTTTGGGGTATAAGAAGTTTTTTTTTTTGAAATGGAGTCTCGCTCTGTTGCCTAGGCTAGAGTGCAGAGGCATGATCTTGGCTCACTGCAACCTCCGCCTCCCAGGTTCAGTTCAAGTGATTCTCTTGCCTCAGCCTTCTGAGTAGCTGGGACTACAGGTGCATGCCACCATGCCCGGCTAATTTTTTTTGTAATTTTATTAGAGACATGGTTTCAACATATTGGCCAGGTTGGTCTGGAACTTCTGACTTCAAGTAATCCTCCTGACTTGGCCTCCCAAAGTGTTGGAATTACAGGCATGAGACACCACACCCAACTTGGCTATAAGAATTTTTGAAAGCTCCTGGGTGATTATACTGTGAAGCCATTCTTCACAGTATCATTAGAGGCATTAGTCTATCATTGCCAAGGACTTTAGATAGACAAAGCTGGTTCTAGCACTTGCCAGAAGCTCTGATTTCAGAGCTCAGATATAAGCTCAATTTAAAGATTTCAAATCACCCAGTATCTCAAAGAAGTGTTTCTTTCTGGAGATAGTAAAATTTTTGTAATTTTTGCCCTTTGGAATAAAATGATAACAACAGAACAATAACAACGCTGCATGTGCACATGCACACACACAGCCACACACACAATGAAAGTTTTAAAGTTTGCTCATCAGTTTGACATGTGGCCCATTCTTCACAGTGCCAGTAATAGTGATTAGCTTGTAGAGTACACTATCATCAAAGAGCTATCAAATCACTACATATTTTAAAAACATATTCCTGACTTACTCTTTAATCTCAATGCCACAACTTTTTTTTCTATAGCAAAAAGAAGTTAATTCTTTAGCTTGTGCTTTGCATTTTTTGCAGATTAACTTTTTCTCTGGGAACTGCAGACAGTTTAGCCCCCAGGGTACTACAATCTCCTACAATTTAGGCAGCACGATCTTGGTGTGTAAAAATAAGACATCATCTTTTTAGCTTCAGTTAGGACCCATTTAGGAAGAGTTGTCCAAGTTCCCTTATGATTGGCTCTTGGCTGATGGCATCCCTCTCAAGCACTTATAAGAATCAGAGTTGGTAGAGGTTTAAAGAGATAAGCAAGTCCAACTCTTGGCCTTAAAAAAGGTCAGCCTTTACCATGTGACAGAAATCACTCCCAATTAATTTACATTAGCAGACAAGGAATTCCAGATTTTTTAAAAATAGCCAGCAATAGATTTTAGAAACTCTTATAATCAGAAATTCCTCCTTATGTCTGACTTAACATATTCCTCTTAGTCATCAATTAATGTAATTGTGAAGGGGTTCTGCAATGTGGTTTGTATTATTCTCAATTTCAAACGTGTGGAGGTTGGGTTTAGTATGTATTACCAATTCTGTGATTTGAGTATTGCAACTAATACTTTAGTCTGTTAAACAGCTTTATGCCCTCTCTTAGGATTTTAAAACTGAAAAAATAGAATAGTTGATATGTATAATAATTTATGAAAATTCGTATTGGCATTACTTATGCAAAATGATTATTGACAAACACAGAATACTGTCATAAATATATGATAACTTTCATATATTAAAGAAGCCAGAAATAGCTGTGAAAATGCTTTTACATTACAAGTCTCTGAGGGGCAACCACCAAAATCAGTGCTATGATCAACTCATAAATATGGTGGTATCTGCCCCATCATACTGACAGTGGCCTTAACTCTTCCAATCGGGAAGTTCCACAGACACTGAGATAAAGGCCATGTGCAGCATGACCTGCTTGAAGTAAGAAGGATGTGATCTTATTACTCACTATACACTCTGATATCCGTGTGATATATTCCTATCTCGTGGACATAATTAGCGCTAAAACATCAAAGGAATTTAAAATATTGCATCTTAAAATATGTCATATAAGTTCACCAGAATAACAGGTTTTGAAGTATATTTTAGGCCCCAGAAACCTGGGAGCTCTTCTGGAAAAGGAGGTCCAAATTCTGCAAGTTTTCTTGTAAATTTGGCCAAGTACTGCAGAATTCCTGGAAGACTGCAGAATACACATACTCAGAACCAAGGTACTGTTATATCCTTGCTTGTACAATTTTATTACATAATGAAACATCTCCATGTCAGAGCTGAATATGGCAATGAATCATCAGAGAGCCCTACGAAGGGTGTAAATTGAAATAGGGATGCTGAAGGAACCCTGATTTAAAAGGCAGTCAAATTGAGGTAGAAACAAGAACATCAGTTCTTGTTATAAAAAATTTTCCAGTATTCTGAGCCCTCCTTACATCTATATTACATCATACATATCTTTTTAATACCAACATTTTTACTCAAAGCACATTTGAAAACTATTGTTAATATTAATATCAGTTCTCTCAAATAATTAGTATTATTCTCAAATATCTGAAAATATTTTTAAAGCAAATTGGCAATATGTATTATGGTTATAATCTTCAACTCAGTAATGCCCTTTTTGTGAATGAATATTAAGGAAGTCATCCATGACCAGATTAAGTAAAATGTACATGAATAATAAATAACATTATTTACAATGGTAAAAAATAAAGACTGGAGTCATCTTAACTCTCACACGATAAGAAAATGAAATAGATAGCAGGAATATATCTATA
Source organism: Homo sapiens (assembly GCF_000001405.40). Classification (NCBI taxonomy): domain Eukaryota; kingdom Metazoa; phylum Chordata; class Mammalia; order Primates; family Hominidae; genus Homo; species Homo sapiens. Next base: position 144,660,710 of record NC_000004.12, on the reverse strand, counting down.
TTTTTCCTGACTTGTTTCTTCTGATTTGGGTCTTCTTACCACTGGAGTACAGCACAACAAAGCAAGAAAGAGTTCATTTCTATGTGAGTAGAAGACTATAAATCCTCCTTCAGGTTTTTTTTTTTCAGTTAAGAAATGAAAAGGATAACCAGTTCTTCCCAAATCATATTGTTACTTTGTTTCATTCTAAAATAGGCATGAGCTATTAAATGTGTCTTAATTTTAGAACGTCATAATTTGCTTTATGGTTTAGTACTGCTAATGTTATACTGTGTCACTCTTGTGAAACAAACTTGACAATAATTTTGTTTACATACCTAGGTTATTTAAAATGAGAATTCAAATTAGAGAAGTGAAAAAGAGGGCAATATATGTTTTATAGGTGGCTAATTATAGAAATATTTGACTTACCTGTAAAAACATTGTACAAGGAAGTTGTAGTATAAGTAGTATTTTTTATGAGACAGACTCAAAAACAGAGATGGTGAAAGAATGATTTGCAATTGCCAAAATAACCAAAAGACCTCTTTGTTTCTACTAGCAAATGCTGATGTACAGTCCTGTGTTATGCCCATTAAACAATATTTAAACAATACTTTATAAAGCCAAAGATTCCTTTAAATGTGTCAATTACATGGGGAAAGCATGTCAAATATCAATTCGATTGCAGCGCACAATAGTCAACAAATAACAGAAATTTAATGTCACTGTCCTAATTCAGGTGCCATAATTATTGTTTCTTATGTTGCCCCCTTATTTTCTCCTGCAAGATTCTTTCTTTTATTACAAAGAAATACCTTCAGTGAGGAAGGTAACACTAAAATAAAATTAACGTAGCCAGCACAAAAATAAATAAAATTTAAAAAGCCAACCTTTATTCCACTTTGAACAAGTTTGTGAATGTCCAAATAAGGCTCCTTGAAAATTTCTCCTTCAGGGGTAAGTATCTTCACATAACCTTCTTTTTCCAGAATGAAGAGACGTTGCGAGCCATCCCCACTATGCAGGGCACCAACGGGCTGCCGCAGCCCACTCACAACCTCCTGAATACAGAAGCAGTTGTGTTTGTGCTTTCTAAACAAATTAAAGAAAACCGGTAAGCTTTTCTTGAGATGAAGGAGATAAGGGATGCACTTGGCATCCTTTTCAAACTCTATTTCCTCTAGGAATCATGGTTTTGAGAACCATGAAGTGCTTGCTAACCCAAGGGTCACAATATAATTCTTTTAAGTGGTTCTTTTAAATTCTTTCAATGGCAAAAAACAAAACAGCCTTCTTTCAGAAAGTAAAATAAGAGAATCAAAACATGTATATATTTTCAAATGTCATAATCTCATTTTCTCATATTTCAGCGACTATAATTAAAATTAGTTTTACTCACAATAAATAAACCTTATGGAAGGCATGTAGAGAGAAAGTTCTAAGATCTATTTAGAAAAACCTGATTTGCTAATGGTAATTGTGCTGAACATTTTCACAGTGCCATAGACTAACAACAATCATAAAATTCAGGCTTAAAACTATACCCATAAAATTGACATGAGTCATAGAGAAGCCAAGCTCATAATATACGATTAGTAGTCTAAGTATTAAAAGCATTTAAGCTAGAATTTTAGAGAAACAAACTACCACAGAGAAAAAACTAAAGCATCTGGAGGATATAGCTGCTGAACATAAGCACAGACAGTTGATTCACTGTCAAAACCACAAGATTTGTCAGTTGGGTTTTTTTAAAAAGATTAAAGAGCATTTATCTTTATGAACCTGCTGATCTCTTCCACTTTGTCATATTCTTCCATCTGGTCCAAGTAGTTAGATGCTGGTCCTCTGACTTGTTTTCTTGGAAAATCTGGAAAGCACAACCCACCATCTTTTCTTGCATAGTAAAAGCAAAACTCATCCGCAGTTGTTTGAAGGAAACCTTTAAAAAATATAAAAAGACTCATTAGAAGCACCTAATGTCATAGTAAAACCACCTTATTTGAAAGATATAAGATGAGGAAAAGAATTTTGGGAAACTAGGTGGATATTTTAGGAAGAACCTAGACTGAAATAAAAACAGTCCTGTAATCCCACCACTTTGTGAGGCTGAGGTGGGTGGATCACCTGAGGTCAGGAGTTTGAGACCAACCTGGTCAACATGGCGAAACCCCGTCTCTACTAAAAATATAAAAATTAGCAGGGCATGGTGGCATGCGCCTATAATCCTAGCTATTCGGGAGGCTGAGGCAGGAGAATCACTTGAACCGGGAGGTGGAGGTTGGAGCGAACCAAGAACACACCACTGCACTCTAGCCTGAGCCACAGAGCGAGACACCTTCTGAAAAAATAAATAAATAAATAAATAAATAAATAAATACTAAATAAAAAGAATGAAAAATATCGGGGGTTGGGATTCCCATTTGTGTTTTAAACTAAATTTAAAAATTGTGGTAAAAGTGAAATAATATTGTGTTGAGTATTAAAAGGCTCCCATGAAGTACAAATAAGACAAACTCAGCATTTATCTTGCTATTGCATTGATGTCTTTTCAAGATTCTCTAGTTACTGTATGTTGTACCTGTGAGCATATCTCATCAGTATTTAGCATTTTTTCCTACAATACTAAATAACTTCCTCAGATGAACAAACAAGAATCAAGAAGGAGACAGGCCATCAGGTGCCAGTTTTGGTCATTTTACAAGTCTTAGTGTATTGCCACTTACATAAGATTAAATAATAAATCTAATGAATAACACAAGGTCATTATATGCTATAATAAACAACTGACTCACTGTGTAATGATCAAGCAATGAATTGGTGCTTATAACAGAGCCTCCATTTTCAAATATATAAGTGCCTTTTTCCTGCACCTCACTTATAGGAGATAATGATTAATGTGTAATAGAAAAATTATATTTAAAATATTCCTTCAATCGTCTCAAACAGAAAAGCTGACATATCAACAAGCCAAAACAAAAACACAACGGAGTTACTTAATAGGATCTAAAAGTAAGATGTGTTTTCTTTTCTTACACATTAAATATTTTATCATATAAAGACAGCTATCTTTGAATATGAAAGGAAATAACTTTATGGCAAAAAAGTTTTGATATTACTTTTACAATTTGAGTTAATAAGGTATTACCTTTCTGGGACATATTAGCAAGACTCACTTCCACATTCTAATGATTTCTGCTCTCAAAATATGACGGTATTACCAGAGTCAGTCTTATATATGGTCCTAAATTGCTGCTTCTGGTCTTATACTTTATATTATATATCTAAAGTTTTTATTTTTATATAACAAATTATATTTTCACACCTCATCAATTTTGTGATAAACATACTGAGTAGCTCAGTAGAAATTTAGAAGTTGTATAACAAATTCAGATTTAGCAAGGATTTCTAAGAACAAGAATTTGGGATCAGCCAAGTGAGACTCATCAATGGCGCATAAAAGACACTACAAGTTTACTTTCTGTGTGCTTGACCTAGGATCCCTCAAACCTAAAACTTATCTTAGAATGTGAAGGTCCCAAATGGTTGTAAAGCTTGAAGTACATTTTGACCTAACTTTTGAGTGAAATGTCTCACCCTGAACTTTCTGAGAGAGACTCTTCCCTGCCAATTTCTGACTAGGCTATTGGAAAGGATCTTGTCTTGGCAACCAGGCAAGTAAGAGCAGATGTCCTTGGGAGTGTGTGTGTATGTGTGTGTACATGCATGCGGTGGGGGGCACAGAGAAAAAGAGGCAAGCAGCTGGGAAGTGCTCCACGGGAGGGGCAAGGCAATTGGAAAGTTATTTTTCTTTGAAAAAAAATTCAAGGATTAGAAGCACTTTTCCCTCCCTTCTTAAATGGGTAAGCATTCACATGAAAACTGCCTAATAGTGTTAAACAAGTCTCTTAGAGGTAAAAAGAAAAAAAAAACTAAATTGTTAAATCAAACTCTTTGCACAGTTTTGGGCTAGATCTTGTTTTGGAAATATTTACCATCAGGCAACAAAATCTCCATGCCTATATTATGCATGCAGGAAGACTGTCATACTATGGTCATATTTATAACTGGATATGTGAGTGAGAAATATAGTTTTAAGGTGATGTTTGCCAGAAGGGTTACAGAAAAATTTCAAAATGCAATTCAAAAGAAATTTCAAGCTTGCTTAAAAAAAATGTGTGTTTCAGCATTACTGTCTACTAACCAATACCATCTTAAGGTGAAATTAATAAACAATGCTGGTGGTCAATTCCAATTTAAAGGGAATTAGTAACTGGGACAAATACGAGGAAATGAGAAGTCATTTTCAAACGGAATATCTAAAGATTAATGAATATATATTCATAAACTTGGTGGCTCCAGAGGTACAATGCCTGCTTAGCAAATTAAGAAAAAATACAGAATGTTAACAATAAATTTACTCCAAGCTTCTTATGTAATTTAGACAAACTGAATAACCTAAGTGTGAAAACCAACTCAGAAGATTTTTACTTAAATACATGGGCTTTTTTTCTTTACAATCATGTAATTTTATTTGAATTTAAGTATCTAACACTTTTATTAATACTTTACCTTAAATGACCCGATTCTGCAGTGAACAATGATGAATAGGGAGATATATTTTAACATTTATTGCCAGGGCTCCCTTTTGTTTGTCATTTTACTGAAAGTGCATGTTTAGCTCACTCGGGATCATCATAATATGGTCAGGTCTACTAATAATGAACAAACACCAAATATTCTAGCAGCTGTATTTTTTTTAAGTTCTGATCATTTATCAACTATCTTGGATCTGTAAATATTCTGCTGGATCATGAGCCTGGTTCTGCTATACCACAAAGCACCCTATAAATACTGACGTATAAAATAAATGCTTCCTTGGAGTATTCTGAGTTCTCCCTTTTCTCTCAGCATGTATTCCAGGGAAAAGTTATTTTTCCTCATTATAAGTGCTGCTCATCATGATAAGGAAAAAAAAGTTACTGACTCTTCATGAGTAAGACTTACTCATGAACATATTCTGATAGAAGTGGTGGATTTTGATATATCCATCTGTTTATTCCTTCTGGTTTACTCTCCTTGGGACTAAGAAGACACATGTGTAAGCTAACTGGCCGGGGTTAGGAATGGCTATGGACTAGAAAATTCAGTTGAATCAAACCCTTGACCTTGGCCTTCTTAGCAATAGGATTATACCAATTGAACTAATTGTGTGCAGACATTTCACACTACAATAACCTACTGCTGAGAAGATGAGGTCGAAGAGTGATAAACATCATTATGACTACAGGTACAGAGGAAGAAGCAAGGCCAATAGACGTCCATCGATATGCTTCCCATAGAGTGTGTTATGCCTTCTTTTAGTGACTAGCAAAGTAGGTACCCTGCTCAGTTAAGCAGAAGAAAAGTCCTGCAGAAACAAGTGGAGAGTTTTTGGCATTTTTAGAAGTTTTGAGAATTTACTTCCCTAAGTGAATTCACAACTGGAAAATATTATGATTAATAAAACTCTAGTATATACTCACTATATTGCTTTGTAATATCTTTTCCCATTTTTGGGAAAATAAGCAGACTATGACTATTTCTTAATTAAGCTTTCTAGGAAGTAGCTATCTTATAGGTATATGAATATTCTAAAGTGACTGTGCTTTCTTAAAGCCATGAAGTCAAAGCAAATGGTTAAGTCATTTATATGTACATTTCTTCATGCATTGGGCAATAGGGAACAAATGAAGATGTCTCTGGAATCATTTCTCTCTCCCAATTCTTCCAGCATTTGGCTTCTTTTAGCAAAATACATCCCTCGGGGTACCTTCCTCTTCAAGTTTTTGATTTGTAGAAAGATGAAGCTATTAATGAGGATAGTCAAAATATGTTGATTAGTTTCTTCTAAAAAAGAATCACAAAGTAGCTGTTCCAACACTTTGAACTTCAGAGGAAAGTGAACCATATCATTAAATCAACTTAAGGGAAAACTATTAAAATTTGCTTTTATAGTAATTTCCAAAAAATCTGTGTTCCACAATTGTAAAGACACTTCTGTGCTGGGGGCAGGGGCAGGGAAGGGTGGGGATTAGCATCTTATTTATTGTACTTTAGGAAATGGTAACCTACATGCCAAGGATCAATCCAGGCAACAAATCGATTAGCATAAGTAATGCAAAGACTGTGTTATTACAGCTCACTTTTGGGGCAAGTATTGAGAATGATCATTAGCATTTGAGGTACGCAGGGGCAGCCCCCTCTGCTTGTCAGTAAAGCCTTCCAGAGTCTCTGGAAAGCACTGTTGCTGCTCTGTCCACTTCTAGAGTGGAGCTTTCATCTGGTTATCTTTCAAAGCAGCCTGGGTGGCCACCAAAAGCACTTGACATCTTGATGCACTTCAGCAGTTTTACATATATACAAACTTTGTAGAAAAATAAATTTGTCATTCGTCACCACATATGTTGATCTGGGGAGCGAGGTGCTTGCAGTTCTGGCTCTGAGCTGTTTGCTGTGCTCTCTCTTTCAGTGGATATTACTTTTATTTTATTGTTTTTGGAAGCTAAAATTACTTCAAATATATAAAGACCCCCACAGTTAAGTCCCCAAATCTAGCATGTTGTAGTTATCTAAAGTAGATAATGGTAAATAAAAATGCTAAGTGTTGATATCACTTTCAATTTATAGTCCTAAAGGCAAATGTTCAAGACTTGAAGTTTCCAGCAAACATTTATGGTATCTAATCTGTTATCACTTCTTTGTAGGCCATCTAGGCAACCGTGACCTATTCTACTTTGCTTTGGGGAATGTGATAAAGAGGAAGAAACAGCTGCTTGAGAAAAGGCTTAGAAACATGGCTGTGGTTTATGAAGACAATAATAATATTTTCATATTGAATGGGTTTAGATATATGTTATGCTAGATGCAAAGGAGCAAGCAACCCTAGTCAAAATGTTCTATAAGGTTATTAAGAGAGCTATATTAAAAATACAAAAGTCTACACTTTCCTGGGTCAGAGAAAAAAGTAAAATGTACATAGCACTTAAAAAAATTCTCTTGGTGCATTCTACGGTTCTTAAAGCTTGTTTTTTCCTTAAATACTGCTTAATCTTCAGTAGATTTGTGTGCGACTTTGCCCAACTAAACAGAATGTCTTGTTAAATTATTTTCTTCCTCTATGTTGAGTCTTCCAACTAAAGCAACAGCAACCAAAATTTACAAATTTTTGATGATAAAAATTAATCAATGAATATATAAGCTTATTGGAGTCCAAACTACAATAGTGACTAGGCATGTTCATGACACTATATGCATAAGAAATTCCATATCTCTCCTATCACCTTCTCATTGTATAACTTTGATTAAGGTGTTTGACTTCTCCCAAGGCTCAGATTTCCTCATCTGCCAATTGGAGAGGACTCCACTCTTCCTACCTAGCTTACAGGGTTTTTGAGGAGAAAATTAGTCATTTTATGTGAAAGTGCTTTGTAAGATATTACTTTTTGGATTCCTAATCATATTTTGTTTAAGGATCTATCTTACAAGTCAGTGGACTTTCTCCAATATATATATGTATCAGCTATGTAGAAGAAGACACTGCCTTGATATTGAAGCTGATGTTATGGTAAAGAAGGCACCAACGAGGAGTTTGGATTGAGAATCCAACGTGTGTAAAGATTACCACCTGTAATCTGTTAAGCTGTTATTACCAGCTTAACAAGAAATATATAACAAGTCAACAAAACCAATTATAATGTTTGCAGACTGAAATTACAATATTCCCTTTAGAGGCAGTAAAAGTTATAAATTTGGAAATGTTAATTATGAGGTAAAATAGGTATTTTTAAAGGCAAGATAAATTTTACAAGTTTTGTAAATAAGCATTTAAGTACAAGTATCTTACAAGGATATTGTGCAGTGGTTTATTTTACTTATGCATTTTTTTTTCTTACCTGGAATATGGCCTCGGCAAGTGTAAAAGAATTCTTTGCAATAGTCTTTGCAGAGCAGAGGAAGTACTAGGTCTCTTTCCAAGACTTCTCTCTCAGGTGAGTGGAACAGGCTTTGAGAATGTGGAGAGCAAAGTGCACATTTGATTTCCTCCAGTAACTTCCCACATTCTGTGTTGTTGGTAACAGAAAATATCTGAAAGCCATAAATCAGAAGCAAACTTTTTTTAGTAGGTAAATTTAGGTTTAGCTATTATTATTATTTTTTGCAATTGTGTAAGTAGAAAAGTCTAATTTAGCCAATGAAGTTTTTTGAAAAGAATTACTGTGTCACAATACAGAATGCCTTTATAAGGATACAAGTATAGTCTCTGGAGCTGGGCTGGGAGAACAAAGGACAGGGATACATAAAAGTGCTTCTTATTCCTGCAAATCAAAGATTTCATCTGTACTTCAGGTGTGAAAAATTAAAAGGCAATTATATTTAGACTCTTTAAGCCTTTATCACTTCATTCTGCCTCAAGTATATACTGAATGATATTTAACTTTAAAATTCCAACCTTTGTCCAATCGCATGCAAAACAGAATTTTTCAAGACATGGCTTATTTGTGTCTTATGTGAAAATCTATTTCATTCCTGAAATTCTTAATATGATAATGTCAAAAATATACTTGGGTTACATTTTTTTAAAATTTCAATTAGTTTTCAATCTGCAGACTGCATTAGGGAAAATTTTCTAAAGTAGGATTTGCTGTTCATGTTTTATAAAAATAATATCCAAAGTGAAATCAAACAGGTTTAAAACCAATTTTTATTATTCATTATATCTTAGCCAGGAAAAATTTTTTAACTAGGTCCTCAGGTATGTTATATGCATGAATAAACACAAGAGTTTAACGAAGTGCTTTTGAATAATATGTAGTGAATTTTAATGAAAAATGGCTTACCTTCATCACAATTTTTACAATGACATGTCTTTTATTTCAATAAGACCATTTTGAGTTATTGAATCATTGAGTTTAGCAATTAGTGGACAGATAGGTCTTGTTGTTTAGCAGTAACTTTAAAAACCTGACTTCAGAATCTCCTTTAATCTATATAGAAGGCAATATCAACACAATATTTGACATGTGAAATGTAGTGCTGTCAAAATCAAGTATTGATTTTTTATATTAAAAACATCATAATGGAATTGAATTTTATACCTTTTCCCAATTCATCTATATTTATACTTTATTACTTCTTTAGAACTGTCAACCAAAATTAGCATTTTAAATTCTAGAGCACTGTTTTAAACAAATATTCCATTCACAAATTAAGGTTCTAATTTGGGTAAATCTATGGCTTCTGTTTTTTGGGATAATGATATTCTAGGTCATCACAAAAATTTGAATCTGCAAGAGCAAAGTAACGAAAAAAATTGAATACAAGCATACTGAAATTTTAGTATGCAGCAAGTCCAATAGAAGTTATCATATTTTGGAAAAATGTATAATGGGTTGTAGCTACAATATAAAGAAAGGTTATTATTAATTACAATTATATTTACTGTCTTATCAATTTATTTAAATAACAATTGCTTAAATGGATAAAATTTTCTAAAAGGAAACATACACTACACACTTAGAATGTGCATTCCAAGAATGTTTTAAATGCCTTTTATCATCCATACTCTGGCAGACCTCACCAGATCTATTTAAAATTAATAGTGTTCAACTGTGTTCTGTTTGTTTATCATATAGCAATTCTGTTTGTTTATCATATGGCAGTCCACTAAGAACAAAACAACTGCAGGATGCTGAAGGCACCTCTTTTGCTGGCTGAAAAACTGGAATGTAATTACCTTTGGTTTTATGGAGATTATGCATTCTTCCATTTTTTATAGCTGAAAACAAAATGATCCTCATATACTCTCTCAGCTGCTATCCAGGAAGAGCTTGATTTTAGTGCCTAAGGAATTTTGTCTTTTACAATTTTTGGAATGTGTTCTGGTCACAGATCTCTCATCAAACATTTCAGAAGTAGGATTCAATAAATTATCTGAAATCAAGTATAATATTATTCTTTTTAAAGTTTCATGCTGTTCCGGCCCAGCAGGATGGTAACATTTTTGCTCTGTGTGAGGTCTGCAGTGTAAATACCTATTTGAAGATAGATAGAGCCATCATTCTGGCTTTGGTTTCAATGAACCAATAGTCTTACTGAAGTCAATTAAACTGACTCAGCCAAAGCTGCAACAGTGTTTTAGACAGATGAGTCTGGGTGTGTGTAGGGTAATTTCTTCCTCTTTTTTGCCTATGTGTCTGTGTCTTATATAGGTCCTTAACTTTATTTCTGATGATGCCGTCAATCTTAAGAAGAAATTTAAGCTAATTTCCTGTTTCAATTTTTAAAAGCCGTATACAAAACCATCACAGTGGTTTAAACTAAATATACTTCAGAAATCACGTAAAACTTCGAAACATTATTACAGCATGCCTAGTAATCATTGTGGCTGTTGCTAATTTATAACATCTGGCAGGTCATCCTTTAATCTTTAGCCACACGAAAATAAAATCCATAGAAGAAGGGTAAGATAAATAGGGGATACACAGTAAAGTGTGGCCTCCAACTATAGCTTATCAACAAATAGTAAAATGGGTGACAGAGACCTTCTGTATTTCTCTTTATTTACCAAGTAACTAAACAAAGAGGGCAAAAGGCAGCCACATGGGTTCGATGAGGGGACAAAAGGAGAAAATACATGACAGTATATTAAGATGTCGCCTTAAGATCACTTGGTACACAAAAAGTTATTTCTAAAAATCATATGCCTACAAGGTTGTTCAGCTGTTGGATAGAACACATGTGTCTCTGAACTATAGTGCTGGATTATGTCATTAAAGAGTTCAGTTTCAATTTTAGGCTAATATGTAAATAGATCATTGTACTAAGGCAGCTGTTAAAGGGACCCCAGGATGAGTTATTTGTTTAGTTGGATGTGTTCAACAATAGCCTTTGTCCCTGAAAGAGCCAGAGCAAACAAATGATTGTAAAAGGGCACACTTGAAAACAATTACTTTTCACCCATTCCTTGACAGCTTTGGCTGTGAAACCACCCAAGGTAGAGAGAGCTTCTATGCCTCTGTGGCTACAAGTTAAGTTTTAGAAATGAGGGTATTTCAGTTGGTTGCAGATTCAGTTTGGTTAATAAGAATTAGATCCTTTTAGCATGCTGTATTTAGAAAGTGCGAAAATATTGCTAAGATAATATGACTTCCTAAATTTTGACAGTACTTATTTGTCATGGTAGTTAACAATCTTATTACAATATACAACATTATTAAAATATACAAAAAATTAAAATAGAGCATAATTCCATGGCTAAAGAATTGAACTCAATTCTAGTTCATTAAAAAAATTTCTTAGCCTAGAAACAGGACTTAATTGCATAGCTGAGCATGCTAATATTCCTACCTAGTTTGCTACTATCTATTTGTCTAAGAAATTTCTTCCTGTAGGAAAAAGCTACTACTGTAGTTTCTTGAAAAGCTGCAGAAATCTTTCTGGGGAATTTTTTTTTTTCTTCCATAAACAAAAAAGGGCCCTTTCAAATAGCAATCATCTCTCCTGTATACACATTATGAAATAAGATCCTAACATATATTATAATCCAGGAAGGCTTACGGGAAAAAGGGAAACACTGAAGTTTATTATAAAATAACATGTTTTAAAAACTATTAAAACTTGAAAACTAACATAGGTCAAGAATGCATATGCATAGCTATAGCAAATCTCTGTTTTGAACAATTTGGGTATTGTTGATTTATAAACCTCTTGTAATAGAACCAGCAAAAGTCTAGTGTACCAAACTTAATTCAGACACACTTTCCAAATGAGTAGGGGTTTGTTGGAGATTGGAAGCACATAAAACAGAAAGGAATGTATATAGTTAACATGGCAGATTGCTTCCTAAAGAATGATTTCTTTAAAAAAATTTTTATATAACTTCTCTTAAGGGCTATAACTCCCCTTGGTCCCATCCCCCTTCCCCTTCTCCTCACCATTTAGTCAAGAACAAAATTTTCATTCCACATGTCTCTGGAAGAGTTGAGTATTGCAGGGGTCTCTAGATCATCAGTATATTCATAGTACGTATTGCACCAAGGGAGACTTAATGGCAAATATTTCTAAACTTTTCTCTGAATTTCCTGGTTCTTTAGGGCTCCTGATAAAACCTTTAAGGTGACCTGAATATAGCTATTTTGAAACTTAATTCAGTTGCAACACAGGAGCTTAAAGACATTGCTTTGAATAAAATCCTGGAATATCTGTTCCCTGAATCTCAGGCTCCTGCTGCATATGGTAAGAATAAAAAGAGAGTTGCAGCTGAAAACCTGCAGCAAGACAGTTCTCACTCATCTGGGAATAGAAGGAGTTGGACAAATGCTCCCTCAAAAGGCATGAACATTTGGACAGAGCTGGGGACTGAAAGAGAATGATGTTCTCTAGTTTCACCCATTAGTGAACCAACTAACAAATACAATGGTGTTGTTGTTATTCTTTTGCCATAAGCAACAGGACTCTGTGTGTGGGCAGCAGTTTAGTGGGGAGGAGGATAAGTCGACCCCTTTTTGTCCTATTGATTTTTTCCTATTTGCATGACTTGAGCAAATTAAATGATGCAATATGGCTTTTTGTTACAAAACAAAGTGAGAGATACCACCCAGACACATATGTTGATTCGTAGGAGCTGTTTACATGAGAATAGAGTGAAATCTACCGTGAACTGAGCATAAAAATTAGATTCAGCCTGGGTATTTTTTTTTTTTATTATGCCTGGGCCAGCAAGACTGAAGCACAAGTTTTCCAAGAGTCTCTCAGACCTTGACAACTGGCAGTGTTCTAACAGAGGAATTCTTAATTAAACCTAAAATGGGGAAAGGGAGGGGGAGCAAAGACACCTGATTGTTTATTTCACGTGCAGTGATTGTTAATGATGTGAGCCAGCAATGATTCCTTGGAGTACAGTAGATACCACCCATGACTGCATCTCCTGGCAAGAACGATATTGCAAACTCAAAAACAAGCGTGCCTTTACAGTCAACAAACACCATGTTAGTATTTAAACTTATTAACACAAGGATAACGTAAATGCCATTACTCTTAAAACAAATTCTTAGAGTAGATCTTCCAAGACACCAACTGACCCTGAAAGTCTGAATTTATAATGTTACAAAATGACGGAGAATCGTCTCAGTTTTATGTGATAAATAACGCCCCAGCAAAATCTTTCGCCAGTTTTTTTCAGGTCCCTAACCGGAGGACCAGGAGTTCCTTTCTGTTGGTTTAACTAATGTAATGCAAGACACCCCCCTCTGACGGGGCTGGGGATCATAAACCAACCATGCTTCAACATCCTTTACGATTCAATCCTCTCCCTAACCGAGCACGTGGAGAAAACAGCACAAATCTTTTTACCCTAGAAAAATAAGCCGGAAACCACAGCCACCTTAATTTACAGTTTCACCGCAGCCAATGCCCCATTCGATCCAAAACACACTGTTCATCGCGATTCTTTTAAAATATTTACCCAGCCCAGGGTGCGGGTACCGCAGAAACGTCTGTTTTCAGAGATAGGCAAGTTTGCACAGCATCCCGACCGCGGACTCTGGGGGAGGAAATGCTACTTGCTTACCCCAGAGGAACACACAACGGAATCACGTTAGCGCTATAGAAAAGTTATGGAAAGAACTCCCCCAAAGAAGTTTTGACCTTCTTACAACCACCGGCTTTGCCAGAGCCACAGGGAACCCCACCCAGCCAATATGCCAAGTACGCATCCGTGAAGCCGGTGAGTGCCTACCTTATTCTCCAGGCGCCCTAGCCCCGGGCTGTCACTCCGCAGGCAGCAGGACAGCCGAGGGTAGAAGCCACCGCACAGCATCTCTCCCCCACTCAGCAGCTCCAGCTGGGACATCATCCTCCTGTCTCTCCTTTTCAGGCGCTTCGGGGGGTTCCCATTCAGGCACCTTCTCCTCCTTGCTCCGCTCCCTTCGTTTCTTTCCCCAAACTTAGCATCTCCTTCAAAGAAGCCCAGAGCCACGGCCAGCAGCAGCAGCTTAAAGGAGAGCATCTTCAGCATCGTCTGCCCAGAGCAGCAGGGGCTGGGCGCGGGAGGATGGGGGGGAACGCCACTGCCCAGCAGGGGCACTAGGGCGCAGCTCCAGGAGGAGTTTGCGGGGCTGTAGGGCACTCCAGAGACAGAGGGAGGTGGCGGGGACAAAAATATGTACAGCGATGCAACTTTGCAAAAAATAAAAGACGCGGCGATGGGTCCAATGCCTTAGGGGAGCCCGAGGAGCGAGATAAAGTTGTGCGGATGACACCGTTTGCAGTTGTGCCAGTGTCAGTTGGGTTGGGGGCTTTCTGCTGCGGCTGGGAAGTGGGAGGAGGAGAAGGAGTTGGAAGAGGAGGAAGAAAAGGAGAGGACAGCCACAGATGTTCACTTGTCCGTGTAACGGGAGTTGTTTAGGTGGGACAGTAGCAGGAACAGAAACGGCGACGGCGGCGGCGGGGCAGGCGGAGGCAGGGCCAGCGCTGGGCTCTAGATGATGCTGAGGTCTCCTCTGCCGGCGGCTGCAGCTTCTCACACAGCCTCTCATGTTTCGTTCCCTCTTTTCTTCTTCTTTTTAACTAGCGCGCGGGGAGGTGCTGCCACAGCGCGCCCCTTGACGTCACCGCTTCTCGCGCGCCCCCGCCCAGGGTGGAGGGAAGGGGAGGGGGCGGCCCCCGCGCGAGCGCGTCCCCCGGGCCCCGGCGGCCTCCCTGCTGCGGCGGGGAGGGGCGGCTAGCCGCGACGGCGGCGGACGGAGGGGGAGGGCCGCGAGCCTTCGGAACCAGCCTCGAGGGTGCTGAACCCCGCGCGCCCGCCTCGCCGCGGCCCCCGGGTGGGGGCGTCCACGGCCCGGGTTCCCGGCGGGCTTGGGGCAGGGACGCAGTCCGGAGATTCCGGGACTGCCCGGCTGCTGCAGCCCGCAGGCTCCTCTCTCCTCCCCGCTTCCCCTCCGCACTGCCTGGGCTAAAGGCGGCCAAGCTGAGGCTCCGAAAGAAAGTAAGTAAGAGTGGGCCGTAGGAGGTGGGAAGGGAGGGACCCCTTCCAGGGCCATCCCCACCTCAGCCCCCCGGCCCGCCCCTCGCCCCGTGGGAGGGTGAACTAAGTGGGCTGGAGCGGACGGGAGGGAGCTTTTGGGCCCCTTTGTCTCCCCCAGCCGCACTGACACCCCCATTTTCCACACTGATTTTCAACGTGAAGCTCAAGTCCTCAAAGATCTTTCTTGGGGTCTGACTTAGAGGCAGGGGGACATCCCAGATGCCGTTGAGTAGGCTGAGATGGTTTGGAGACTCATCCTCGCCGGAGGTCCTGCAAGCCACTGAAGTGGCACAGACGCGTGTGCGCGGAGTGGGGCGGTGTGTCGGGCCACAGGCCAAGCCCAAGTCGGCCTCCCAGAGTGTTTGCCACGGTTTGGGCGGGTTAGTCCCCGACGCCCCTTTCAGGTCCCCACATGTGTTCGGGAATAAGCCGGGCCCCGCTGGTACCATCTGGGAACACAAGTTCTTGGGCCGCAGGTGGACGGAGAGAGAAGCTGGGCGCGGAATTAGTGTTCGTTTTAACACACACAAACACACACACACACACACACACACACACACCTGCACGCACGCGCGCGCAGTCCCTGGGGAGAGGTTCCCCTGGGTGTAGAAACAGAGGCGTTAGATCTGGAGAAAGAATTAGATGCAAGTCTGAGGGCATCCAGAAGCGCTGTGCTCTACTTATCCCCGTGTATACAAGTAAATTAACCTTTTCCCCAGCTAGACAAAGTCTGTGTAAATAGTGTGTCTAAAAAGATGTCTACGTTATCAGGAGCGGTGACTTGAGGTTTACTGGATCCCTGCAAGTTGGCATCAGGACGAGCTTCTATAGGGTTGCCCACAAAATGCGCTTCTAGCCCACTTGGGTATTTAACAGAGAAGCTGATTTCCCAGAAGATGGGCTTTGATGAGGAGATAAGGCAGTTGTCCCATTTTGGCAATGGAGGAATGTTCACCACATTTGGGTTTGCTTCACTTGTTGGACATTGATTTCGCCAAGTGATTGCAAAAGTTGGTGATGGTTGAGGTGGGCAGTTGATTAAATTAATCACTTCTGGTCACAGTGGCTAGGTAAGGCTTCTGTCTTTTTCACTTCCTGAGCCTGGATATTAGTGAAGTTAGGTTTTTCCCCAAAGAGATGACACATCAGAATAACTGAAAAGAATCTGCTAGGATGTTTGGCCCAGTCCTCAGCTAAATGTAGAGCCCCCATGACATATTTAACATTTTCCCCAGGGGCTGTTGTATACACATGACTTCTTCATGCATGTGATTGTAAGTCCACTTTGGATCTCACATACTTTTTTTTATCTGACATTCTTTCTGCTTTGAGGACTTTTAATATAAAATTAATCAGAAAGCAGTAAGCACTTTAAGACTTTAAACTCATTAATAGATCTCCAGATGAATCTCATCAAATTTAAATCACTTGCACAATTTCATCTCATTAGGTAGTTTGAGAATAAGGACTCGGATCCAATCTGGGGTGCTTTCCACTATCTAACCCTTTCTTCCCAAATTCCAGTTTTATATTCTTTTTCCAAAATAAAAGTCCTTCTAAAATCGTATTTCAGTAGTTTGAGCTCCTACTCTGATAAATTCCTGTTAGTAGTTTTGAAACAGGCCTTTCTTATGGCTTATACTAAGGCCACTTAAAGGTAAATTTATTTTGGTTTTAAAATACTATGCATCTGTTATAACCTACGACCCTAAGATATAGAAAGTTTATAAAAGATTACTGAAATAAGACATGCTTGTTATTTCTTGATATATGGAAATTAGAATTGATTTCATATACTGTTTGTCCTGAAAGTCAATAAATTGGGTCACTTAGGAGATAGCTTGAGCTTATTCTTAGTGTTACTGATATAATTTCTAAACAGTTACTAAGCAGTGTTATACAAATGGACTAACTTCTGATTTGTTTTTTCCAGAGGGAAAATTGCAACCCTTGCCTACAACCAGACTGACAGCATAATTTCTTAGGAATCAAGAATCAATACAGGGTTATTTCTTTAGATTAAACCTTAAAAGCCCCCTTGGAGGCTGAAGAAGCAGAGGATAGCCATGCATACACTTGAACGTGAAAAATGGTCCTCTTTCATTGGAGAGGTCTTCCTCTTCAGCTAAACCGACAGAGTGGTGAAAAGAAGAAGGGACCCCTTGTTGACCAAAATAATCCAGACAAATCAAATCGGCCCTTTCCAGCAAGGAGTGGAACAGCCCAAGGGTGGCTAGATCACATCTTCTGCTCACACCACCACTGAGCAACCCTCTCCAGGACTGCCACCTATGCATAGGTCATGCCCTGTGCAAGAGCACATAAAGTGGGAGCTGAAGTCCTGCCCAGGCTCCATTCACCAAGCAGAGCTTATGTTGTTGTGTGTCTGTGTCTACCCAGAGGATGTGGGTCCTTTTTAAAATGTGCACCAATGCATCTTGTATGAGCTGGCACCAGCTCGGACCATCCCACCCTCATACCCTGGTCCTATCCAGGGTTATATTCCCTACTTTAGAAGAATTAATTATTTTTATGAACGTATTTAGTTTATTGTAAAAAATGAAATATATGACACAAATTGAAATTAATTTCAGAGGTAAAGGTCAGAATATTACCATGTATGTGAATTATGTTTGTATGTATATGTATATATCAAGAGAGTTATATGAATATACATTTTTGTGTATCAGAAGTGAGGACAATTTAACTTTGTTAAGTGTTTGAAATAAAATTATTTTGAGTTTTGGAATCAGTTTTATGTATGGATTTCTGGCCTTCACAGAAATATGTACTATTTAATTCCATTTCAACAAATATATATTAAGTGTCAGGCACCGTGCTAAACAGTATGTATATAGTACTGAAAAATAATGCAAACACCCTGCTTCTAGGTAGTTAATAATCTAGTATAGAAGACAAATGATAAGGTCACAAATAAAATTACAGTTATAAATTGTGGTAAAAGGTATGAAAGAAATGCTAAGGTACAGAATAACAAAGCACACCTATTTCAGATTAAGTGACTGGAAAAAACTTCTCTGGGAAAATGACATTTCAGTTGAGACTTAGGATGACTTGGAAGGAGTACGAAGTGACTCCAACCACTGTTTAAAGTATAGGATCTTTTGAGTTCAGAATATAATTTGATACATTTGAGGAGAAGTGCAGAATAGATAACTCAGAATGGAAAGGCTAGAGGCCAAATTCGTAGATTTTTAGTTTATACACTCCAGGTAACTAATTAAGTTAGTGCCATGTATTTGTCATTTCCTTTTGTTTTTGCAAGTGCTCTTTCTTTCCTACCTTATACTTATCCATCTTTGTCTCTTTCTTTAAATTCTGGCTTAACAGCAACCTCTTCTAAGAATTATTCTAGTTTGAATGGCCTTTCAAGCATTGCACTTCATCTAAAAAGCATATAGATACATTTTATTTATTTTCTTTTGTGCATCATTGGTAAATACCTGAGATGTTTTTATATGTGCAAGTTGAATATTCATGAGATTATAATCTCCAGAAGGGCAGGAATTGCATTTCCTTCTTTGGAGACGCCAACATAGTTTAGTTTAGACTCATAGTAGAGCAACCGGCCTCTCAATAAATGCTGCTGAGTGGCTGATCTTGATTGAGTTGATAATTTTTAAAGGTTTAAAATGGAGCTCATATTTGCATTATAAAAACTTTAAATTGGGCCAGGCACAGTGGCTTGCCCCTGTAATCCCAGCAACTGGGGAGTCCAAGGTAGGAGGATTGATTGAGCCCCAGAGTTCGAGACCAACCTGGGCAACATAGTGAGACTCCATCTCTAAAAAAATTAGAAAAATTATCCGGGCATGGTGGAGCACACCTGTAGTCCCAACCACTTGGGAAGCTGAGGTGGGGGGATCACTTGAGCCCAGGAGATCAAGGCTGCATGCAGTGAGCTATGATTGCACTGCACTCCAGCCTGGGTGACAGAACAAGACCCTGTCTCAAAAAGTAAATTTTGAAATAGAAGAAAGCACACAATTTAAAGTGCACCATCACTAAGGAAGTGCAGCTGACCTTTCTACTAAAGTGTGATTCCACAGAGGAAGGACGGCCAGCAAAGCGAGGCAATAAATACACAGCCTTTAAAAATTAAAGATTGGTTATAATTCAGGTAAATGGACACAATGGTAGGGCTGCTTCTAGGATTTTTTCTACAGTTAGTCTTTCTTTCAAAAGTCAGCACCTACTGTGTGCCAGAGCCTGCTCTGGACCCTAGGAACACAGCAGTGAACAAAACTTTTTTCATGGAACTCATATTGTAATGGGGAAGACGGGTAACGATATAGAGTATACCAGATGGGGAGGAATGCTGCAGAGAAAAGGGAGCATGGGGAAAGATTGCAGGGGTTGGGAGAAATAATAATTTTGTATACATTGTCAGGAAAAGTGTTTACTGGGGCAATATTTGGGCAGATACAAGAAACAAGGGCAGAGAAATAGCCAGGGTCCACATTGCATGGGATCTTATAAGGTATGTTATGGATTTAGACTCTTAATTCGGAATGAGATGGTTTTCAATCAGGGGCCTTTGTCAGAAATAAACCATGCTAGCTATTTTCACAGTGCAAATTACATATGAGGAATTAGTTAAATAGGTGTCAGGGAACTGAAAAGGCAAAAGGGGAACACTACTGCAGGAAGCCACTCCCATCCCTAGGGATTGAGGACGAGGGAAGAGTTGGGGTTAATAGAACCTAGATGCTTGTTGGAGAGCCCTTGTAGAGCTGTGTAGATAGGGTTGCTGCCTAGCGGGTGTTGATAACCTGAGATGATGAAATGAAGCTGATGATGTCAGTGCGGGAAGAAGATTGGAGGCTGAAACCAGTTGCTATTGACAGGATATATTCCTTTCCTAGAACTGCCTTAACAAGGTACCACAAAACTAGGTGGCTTAAAACAACAGAAATTCGGCCGGGCCGGGTGGCTCATGCCTGTAATCCCAGCACTTTGGGAGGCCGAGGTAGGTGGATCACCTGAGGTCGGGAGTTTGAGACCAGCCTGACCAACATGGAAAAACCCCGTCTCTACTAAAAATACAAAATTAGCCGGGAGCGGTGGCGCATGTCTGAATCTCAGCTACTTGGGAGGCTGAGGCAGGAGAACGCTTGAACCTGGGAGGCGGAGGTTGCGGTGAGCAGAGATCGCTCCATCGCACTCCAGCCTGGGCAACAAGAGTGAAACTCCATCTCAAACAACAACAACAAAAACCCAGAAATTTATTATCTCAGTTCTGTAGGCTAGAAGTCTGAAATTAAGATGTTGGCAGGGTTGGCTCCTCCTAGAGATATGAGGCACAATGTGTCTGGGCTTCTCTCCTAGCTTCCGGCAGCCTCCAGTGTTTTTCTCCTTGGTTTGTAGGTAGTGACCTCTCTATATCTGTTCTCTATGCATGACTATCTCTGCATCCAAATTTCTCCTTTTTATAAGGACACCAGTCATATTGGATTAGACTTCACCCTAATGATCTCATGTTACCTTGATCATTAGCAAATACACTATTTCCAAATCAGGTCATATTTACAGGTACCGGGCATTAGGATTTTAACATCCTTTTGCGGGACACAATTTAATCCATAACACAGGATAAGGGCTCATTGCTGGGGTAATGTAGCCAGGAACTGCAAACTAAGAGAAAGGAGCAAGTCTTTTCTCTCTCTCTTTTGCCTTCTAGCCTCCCTCTAGTGCCCTATCTTAGGTAAGATTTTCTATAAACAGAGGCTGAAACAGGGATTCTTGGAAAGTAATTCATTGAGAAGAACTAAGGAAGAGGAGGTTGAGAACAGCAGAATATGGCCAGGGAAGGAAGCTAAATAAGGGTGGAAGCGGGATCTATCTTCAGCCTAATTCCAAGGGGGCTCTGGAGCATGAATTGCACCATAGAATTGGTTCCAACTTGAAACAAGGGTAGAGGGATTAATTTTTTTTAACCCTTATAATAGTGGGTTATTATTTGCAGGTTTTCCCCTTAGGGGTCATGCATCCCCAGGTAGGCAGGTTCCATTCTGCCAAGAACAATTCTCTGGAGATAGGACAGCTGTGAACTGTTAGCAGCATGGTGAGCTGTGGTAGCCTCCACTTTTCAAGGAATCTGTCCATTTCATCTATTGGCACAAAGTCGTTCATAACGATTGCCTTGTTATCCTTTTATTCTATAGAATCTGTAATAAAGTCACTTATCTCATTCCTGATATTGGTGGTAATTTGCATCTTTTTTTTCTTAGTTCTTCGTCAATCTGACTGTAGGTTTATCAATTTCACTGATTTTTTTTCAAAGAACCAGCTCTTGGTTTTATTTATTTTCTTTATTGTTTTTCTTTGTAATTTAATTGATTTCCTCTCTGATCTTTATTGTTTATTCTCTTCTGCTTACTTTGGGTTTAATTTGCTCTGATTTTGATAGTTTCCTAAAATGAAACCTGAGGTCAGTGATTTGAGACCTCTTTCTGTCTTGGTGTCTCTCTCTCTTTCTAATGTAGGTATTTTCCTCTTAATACTGCTTTAGCCACATTCCAGAAATTTTGAAATGTCATGCTTTCATTTTCATTCAGTTCAAAACACTTTCTAATCCCTCCTTTAAGTTCTTCTGTGACCAAAGACTTGGGGATTTATTTTTGAAGACGTTCGGTTGTTGATTCTAACTCAATTCCATTGTTTTTAGTGAATATATTCCATATGCATAGAATTTTTAAATTTTTGGCACTTTCTCTGGGCAGGAAAATGGTCCATTTTGATAAATATTCTGTGTACAGTTGAATGTATGCTCTGCTGTTTTTGCGTGGAGCGTTCTATGAGAGTGTGATTACGTCAATTTAGTAGATAGCATTGTTCAAGTCTTATGTTTTCTTTTCTATTTTTTATCTACTTGTTTGTTAACTATTGAAAGGTTATTTATATCTCTGAATAGGGGTTTATCTGTTTCTTCTTGCAGATCTATTAATTTTTGCTTTGTGTAATTTGAAGCTTTGTTGTTGGGTACATAAACATTTAGGATTGTTATGTCTTCCTAATGAATTGAACCTTCTGTCATCATAAAATGTCTTGCTTTCTTCCTAGTAATATTTTTTGTCCTAAAATATTCTATTATTAATATAACCACTCCTATTTTCTTTTGATTAATGTTAACATGATATATTTTTTCCCATCCTTTTACTTTTAACCTATTTCTGTCTATTTAAAGTACAGCAGCATAGGATTGAGTTTTGCTTATATTTGCCAATATGATAACCTATGGCTTTTAATTAAGATGTTTAAACCCTTTACATTTGATATAATTAGTAGTTCAGTTGGGTTTAAAATCCATTACCTTACTATTTGTTTTCTATTTGTCCTATCTATTGTTTATTTCCTTTTTACTCTTTTCCCTATTTTGGGGTTCATCATTTTTTATTATTGCATTTTATTTCTGTTATTGGCTTATTGCCTCATATTCTTTTTTTAGTGGTTACTTTAGGGTTTAACTTGTCACATTATATGTTCAGTTAATATTACACCACCTCATGTATAAAAACCTTAAAACAATATACTTTCATTTCTCCTTTCCAACCTTTGTACATATGTTACCTGTATGTTATATACTTCAGTATGGTATTAATATTTTTTATTTAGATAGACATTTATCTTTTAGAGAGATTTTAAAATAAGAAAAGTCTTTTAGATTTATCCATATATTTACCGTTTCTACTGCTATTTATTTTTTAGTGTAAATCCAAACTTCTATCTGATAAGATTTTTCTTCTGCTTGAAGAACATGTGTTAACAGTTCTTGTAGTAAGGATCTGGTGGTGATAGTTATATTTTCAGCTTTTGTATATCAGAAAAAGTCTCTACTGCTATTTGTTTTTTAGTGTAAATCCAAACTTCTATCTGATATGATTTTTCTTCTGCCTGAAGAACATGCGTTAACAGTTCTTGTAGTAAGGGTCTGCTGGTGATAGTTTTATTCTCAGCTTTTGTATATCGGAAAAAGTCTTTTTTTTTTTAACCTTTGTTTTTGAGAGACAGTTTTTCCGGGTATAGAATTTTAGGTTGACAGATTGTTTTTTTCCCTTCAGTATTTATAGATGTTGCTCTATTATCTTCTTAATTACATTTTTCCAGTGAGAAATTACCCTCATTCTTATTTTGTTCCTCTGTATATAATGTGTCTTTTTTCTCTGATTGCTTTTCATATTTTTCCTTTATCAATATCTTTAAGCCATTTGATTCTAATATACCTTGGTGTAGTTTTCTTCATATTCTTGTGCTTGAGGTTATTCTTGGATCTGTAGGTTTATAGAGTTCATCTAATTTTTTTGGTTATTATATCTTCAGTGTTTTCCTCCTCCCCATCTTTCAAGGACTCTGTATATATATTAGGCCACTTGAAGTTGTTCAACAGCTCACTGAAGCTCTGTTCATTTATTTTTTTAGCCTTTATTCTTTGTGTCTCATTTTAGATAATTTCTGTATCTTTTAGACATTTAGGTAATTCTAAATGTCTAATCTTCTGTTTACCTCATCAAATGTATTTTTTTTAATTTTAAGCATTGCATTTTTATCTCTAAATTTTGATTTGAGTCTTTTAAAGTCTCTTCAGTCTGTTCTTTGCCTGATTCATCTTTCTCTACATTCTTGCACATTTTTGAGCATAGGGAATAGACAGTTTTAATACCTATCTTAATGTCCTTGTGTATTGATGTTGTTACGTGTGTCAGTTCTGGAACTGATTTTGTTGATTTTTGTCTCTTTTACAGCTCATATTTTCCTGCTTTTTTGCATGCCTGATAATTTTTATTAGATTTTGGTTTTAGACAAAGTGTTTGTGTCCTCACAAACTTCAGATGTTGAAATCCTAATTCCTAATGCGATAGTATTAGGAGGTGAGACCTTTGGTAGGTAGTTTCTGCATGGAAGTGGAGCCTTCATAGATGAGATTGGTGCCCTTACTGAAGAGACTCCAGAGAGCTCTCTCACTTTTTTCTGCCATGTGAAGATACTTGGAGAAGTTGGCCATCTGCAACCTGGAAGACGGCTCTTACCGGAACTTAACCATGTTGGCACCCTAATCTCTGACATCCCACCTTCCAGAGCTGCGAAAAATAAATATTTGTTATTTAACCCACCAGTCTATGGTAATTTATTTTAGCAGCCCAAACTAAGACAGATTATAAATACTGTGACATTTACTTTGTTGGATGCTTGGCATTATAGTTCTATAAATATTCTTGAGTTTTGCTCTGAAGTACAGTTAAATTACTTAGTAATAGTTTGATCTTTTCAAGCCTGCTGTTAAACTTTGTTAGGTGAAACCAGAACCACCTCCATTCTAAATCTTATTTTCTCCACTACTAAGACAATACTATTCTAAGTTTGCCTAGAAAAAAATGGACACTACCTGATTTTCCTTGAATTATGAGGTGTTCTCCTCTGGCTCTTGTAACACCAACTATTCTTAGGCCTATGTGAGCTCTAAGGACCTACTTCTTTCAAGTGGTTCTTCCCTTTTCTCTAGTAATTTCCCAATATGCATTCTGTGCTGAATACACAGCTAAAGAATTGGAGGGTATCCCTCTGTGGATCTCCATAGCTTTCTGTGTGCAGCTGGCTCCTCTCTAGTACTCTGCTTTCTTAACACCAGTTCCCTTGGCCTCTCTAGACCCCATGTCTGTCTCTTCAGTTCAAAGTTAATGCTTAGCTCTCTCTCAATTCCCCCTCCCTGCATTGCTGCCTAGAAAATCTGTCTGGGCAGTAAACTGGGACAGACATAGGGCTTACCTTGTTTGTTTTCCCTCTCTCAGGGGTCAGTGTCCTCTGCTTACTTATTTGATATGCAATGCCTAAAAAATTTGTTCAGTGTTAATTCCCATTGTTAAAATATCATAATATTAACTATTTAGTAGTTTCAGGGGGTTGATTAATCTGATCCCTCTTATTCCATCTTGACTAGAAGCAGGAGTCTTAGATCTTTTTATTCGTGCATATAGGAAGTTTTTCAATAACCAATTCAATTACTTTAATAAATACAGGGTATAGCACGCCCAGTTACCAAGCCAGTGGGTGATTCATTTCAATATTTTATTATCAGCCTCTGTTCATGTCTTCCTGTTTCTGTGGGCCTATCACTTTATGTAATCTACAGTGTCACAAAGTAGTTGGTGGGAGTTTATTTCAGTCTTTTTCCATTTTTGCTCTTTATTATGAATGGTAATCCTAACTACATTTCCCTGTCTCATATCTAAACCTTTTAGTTCTGTCTATCACCTTTTGTTTCCAGACCCGTGACCGTGCCTTCTTCCCTACTCTGCCATTACCCTGGGGAACCATGACTCTCAGAATGTTTTTTTTTTTTTTCTGGTACTTCAACATCCACAGTTACTCATTTTGTACAGCGTGTTAAATTTATTTTGAAAACACACAACCCTTTCTATTTTTTTTTGCCTAGAGGGTAACACCTGGCTGCTGTGTATTCTGAATATAAGGAAGGGAAATCAGTAGCAGACTTTCAGTAACTGTTTCTGTTTTTAGTCTTATGCTGTACTCTGCTGCCCATCACACCTGGTATCCTTGAGTCTATAACCTCCCCCAGGTTCTGAAAGACAGAATGGCTCCCGCCTTGGCTGCAGCTTCTCCATATTTATTCTGGACTGCATCTTTTCCCAGTCTGCTTTATTGAGCTCCACTCTTCCACTAGTTTTCCACTTTCTAGAAATGTGTTGAACTAGTTTATCCACTGATAAACTTCTTATTGTTCTTTTCACAGCTCTGTGTTTGCCTCTGCCCTTTTAAATTGGTATGCAGTAATCCTTCCTTAACCTTGGGGCTATGTTTCAGGACCGCCAGTGGATGATTGCTATCAATTGAAACACATTCCTATTCATGTCTTTTACCCACAAATTTAATGTCCTTTTCATCTTAAATCTAAGATGAAAGCACTATGGCTATAACTTTTGCAGTTTGAGGTGCAACAGTAAAACTAGCACAAATTTGTTTTTCATTCTTCACAATTTCACAAATAGATTTGTTTTTACTATAGAGCTTAGCAACCTCAGCCTAAGACTTTTTCCTTAAGTAGAGGACTTTCACTTTTTGCTTCAAAAAAGCACTTTCAGGCCTCTCTCTGGCATGTCCAAATGGTCAGTACCACTCTTCTTGCACTTTGGGACTACTATTAAGTAAAATAAGCATCATCCCATCTCATCTTATAACTGAGATGCCTACTAAGTGACTAAGGGGTGGGTAGAGTATTTAGTGTGAATATACTGGATAAAGGAATGAATCACATCCCAAGTGGGACAGAATGGACAGCATGAGAATTCATCACACTACTCAGGATGGCATGCCATTTAAAGCTCACAAATTGTTTATTTCTGGAATGTTTGATTTAGTATTTTTGGGCTGAGTTTGACCACAGGTAACTGAAGCCATGGAAAGCAAAATCTTGAATAAGGGAGGACTACTGAATATTATTTTAGTGGAATCCCAGGAAAAAGATGGGATAAATTTATAGGCTCAGTTTGCCGTCTTGAACTGACACCACTTGCTATTTAGTTGCTAAAACTAAAGATATATAGTAACTAACATTTAATTATTTAATTGACACTGTGACAAATTCCTTTCCCTGAAACTATGTCTTCTCCTGTTTCAGTAACTCCAGTCTCAACTGGGTTTCCTATTTATCTGGATACAACTCCTCAGCCTTCACTTCCTCTCTACATCTCTTTTACATGTTTATGTACCCCTAATTTCTATCCTTGGCTCTTCTTGATATTATCTTTGGACATTTTTGCTTGGATATCCAGCTAGTATTTCAAACTCCGCAATCCCAAACTGAACTGGTCATCTTTATTTCTAAATCTGCTCCTCCACATGTACTTTCTGTCTCGATGAACAGTACATTAGTACTTTTTTTTTTTTTTTTTTGAGATAGAGTCTCTTTCTGTCTCCCAGGCTGGAGTGCAGTGGCACGATTTCGGCTCACTGCAACCTCCATCTCCCAGGTTCAAGCGATTCTCCTGCCCAGTCCCCGAGTAGCTGGAACTACAGGCATCCACCACTATGTCCCGCTAATTTTTGTATTTTTAATAGAGATGGGGTTTCGCTATGTTGGCCAGGCTAGTCTCGAACTCCTGACCTCAGGTGATCCACCTGCTTCTGTCTCCCAAAGTGCTAGGATTACAGGCATGAGCCACTGCACCTGGCCAGTACGTTCATACTTCTAATCACAAGTCTAAAAATTTATGAGCCATCCTCACTTCCTCTTTTAGATACAATTGGCCGTTATGTCTTGTGCATAGTACCTCTTAAATATTGCTCAAAATTATATACTTCTTTCCATCCTCTCAGCTATTGCTTCTTTAACAAACATTTTAAATTTTTCACTATAGAAAATTTTAAACACAGTAAAATACAACTGTGGCTCCGCTTCATCAATTACCAACATTTGGCTAATCTAATTTAATGTATATTCCTCTCTATTTCATCCCTCCACTGGATTATATTAAAATAAGTACTGGATGCTATATCATTTCCTCGGTAAAACGTATGCATTTCTAAAAGGAAAAAATTCTTAAAACATAGGAACAAAATTCCTTAATAATTTATTCTCGTGTCCACTATGAAATATATTAATATGTCCACTACATTTTCTTGATTGTCACATATATTTATAATAGGTCCGTTCAAATCTGGAACTAAGCAAGATCCATGCAATGCATTTGGTTGACATAACTTTACTGATTCTTCTTTAGTTTAGAGAGGTTCCTCCTTTTTTAAAATTTTTAATTTTTTAAATTTTTTTATTATTTATTTATTTATTTTTTAGACAGAATCTCAGTCTGTCGCCCAGGCTGGAGTGCAGTGGCATGAGCTTGGCTCGTTGCAACCTCTACCTCCTGGGTTCAAGCAATTCTCGTGCCTCAGCCTCCCGAGCACCTGGGATTACAGATGCGTGCCATGCCACAATGCCTGGCTAAATTTTGTATTTTTAGTAAAGATGGGGTTTCTCCATGTTGGCCAGGCTGGTCTGGAACTCCTGAGCTCAAGTGGTCTGCCCACCTTGTTTTCCCAAAGTGCTGGGATTTACAGGAGTAAGCCACCACACTCAGCCCCTTTTTGTTTTTCTTTCCCATTTATTTACTGAAGAAATCAGGTCGTTTGTTCTGTAGGATCTCTCTAAACATTGCAGATTTATTTGATTGTATTGTCCTAATATCTTTAAGCCAGTTTCTGTATCTCTGTATTTTCTGTAAACTCATATTTAGTTCTAGAGGTTTGAATAGAATTTTTGCAAGAATATTCCATAAGTGGTTTCTATTTCATCATATTTGGGAACATATAATGTATGGCTATTTCTCTCATTGTAAGAATAAGACTTTTCAATGACTTTAAGCATTATTATACTAATCCATTCACTTAAAAAATTTCTATAATCATCTATCTAAAGGGTTCAACAGCTATTCATGATCATTGTCTAGGTCCATTATATGTTAGGGGCCTATCATTTCTTATCAGCGTTACTATAACATCTCCCTAAGCTTTCCAAGCCTATAATTTATTTCCTTCAACTCTACTCCATTATGCCTAGTGCCACTAAATGAATTTTTGTATACCACGACTCATTTCATATGCTTCTCCTGCATAAAATTATTCAACGAATTCATAGTCAATTAAGAAAAAAGTCCAGATTCTATAGGAAAAATATATGAGCTTTTATCATCTGACCCCTGCTGACCTGTCTATTATTCACTTTACATTTATAAGTGCTTAAATTTTTCTGAAATAGAATTCTTCTTAAAGTAGGGAAGTTGCAAAATATTGGTTGAGCCTTTATGGGAATGAGAAGTAAGTTGCTGACATACAGGCAGATGGCAGAATTATTTTTATGGAGATGACATCTAAGCCCTCAAGAATGGAGCACCTGGAGAGGTCTTTGGCCCCATCAACAATAGCAACGTGACATGCTTAAGACCATGCCCCAGAGTATTGACTCCAGAGCAAGGAACTTTGGGGATGGATATTGGAAAAGGGAGGAGTTAATTTTGGCAAAGTTTTATTTAAAATGCATTAATTGTAAATTTGCCAAAAAAGGTGCATTGTTTGCTTAGGTTGTATCATCTTTTCAAGCTTCATTCCCATGACATTTTCTCTTAAAGTTACTATGCAGATATATTAATTACAGTTTAATTCATATTAAATAATCATAATTTCATAATTGTTTTAAATCTATTCAATTTATATTTAAGTTATTCATGAGTCATTGTAACTATTTTACTATATAATTAATTCATTATAAAACAGATATTAAGGACTATGTATTAATTATGTCTTATTGTTTGTACTTTACATATTATATTTACTTTTTAATTCCATTGGATAAAATTTTGTTGCTAGATTTAAAATCTTTAGGAGCAGCAGCACTTAGCAGATGGCATCTACATTTACTAAATGTCTACAATTGGTACTTTATCATGTCTGAATCATGATGGAATAATCTATCTGCAGCATTCACTACATCTGGCTACAGCTGTAGGCTCTGTAATCTACCGCCATCCCCATAGCCTCTTTGGTGCTGCCAGCCCTGTATCCTATATGTGTTTTTGAATCTCCATAACTTTGTTAACACCCCACTGGACATCCTCAATTCACTGATTTGCTCTCTGCACATTGACTGGAGTCAGTGTAATAAGGACAGAATTGAGATGGAGATCCCTGGATGCCTGCAACAGGAGTCTCATGTAGATTTCTTATGATGCCTGAAAGTTATGTCTCTTGGAATTGCATCTTGTCAAACCAAACTCAGTTAAAGCATAGCTTTATTTAGTGGTAATGGCTTAACTGTTATTTTTATAGTATTTCTTTAGTAAGCGTCAATTTTCTGTAATACCTGAATCAGCTGCAAGTGGTGTAATTTATTAATACATTTTCCTTCCATGGAATTTCAACGGTGAGCTAATGGGAGGAGAGGGTGTGCAGAAATGGTACTTAATTATAAAATAATGGAAAACAGTCTCTACATCGTGAAATTACCTCATAAAACAGAACGATCACAACTGAGATGATTCAGTAATTAATGATTACATCAATTAAATTAACTTATTTGTATCTCAACTCTATGTAAATGTTATAAGGAAGTATAATACCTTAACTATGTAAACAATAAAATATGGAAGACATTATAAATTCACAGAATTGAAAGCCTACACAGCTATCGAATTAATTACTTTTGTGTGCATTAGGTGTTTTGGAAAGTAAGAATTAACTTCCTGGCTTTGACTCATATCAAGACCACCCTGTTGGAAAGTTTAACTCTTCAATGAGTGTCTATTTATCATTTAGCTAAATGTTTGGCAACTAAGCCACTAAAACAAAATACGCAAATGAATATTTGCTAATGACTAAATGAAAACCTGCTCTGTTTTTAACTCAAGAGTAGTGTAAAAATACTAAGACATTTATTCAAAACAGGCTACCTTAATCAAGACACAGAACCAATCCTCAACAATACTAAGTTGTGTACAATTTAGTCAGTTAGACAATTTGGTAAAACATTTTTTAAAAAATTTGAAGGATAACTTTATTTCATATTTTCAAAAATATATAGTTAGATCAAACCTAAATATATGATAATTTAAATATTATCAACCATTTAAAGCATTCCTTATCTTATAAATAATTATCTTGGAAAAATGCCGTGTTATAAAAACGTCTAAACCTAGTTTAAAATGTGTATTTGCAACAATTTTTTTGGTCATGCAGTCTAGAAGGGGACAGATACATTTCTGAAAAAATGTTCTGACAGACTGAAACAAAAACTTATGTCAATTTTTGGACCAAAGACATTATTAAAACTAAGGCAACAATATCTGATTTAATAGCATGTGACATAGTTAAAAATTATTTGTGTGGTGTGGAGCATGATTGCAAATTCCGTCTTTTTCTAAAATTTGTGAATTGTATGTTTTGTTTTATTTTCCGAATGTGATTTACTTATGAAGAAATTCTTCAGGTTTTTGTTGAAAGTATTCTAAATTTTATGTCCTGCCCAAAGGCATGAAGTTCTACAAACATTTTCATTTATTAATAGTTGTAAACACCTGGGCATTTGGTACACATTACGGATACTTTTATATGCAAAAAATTAGAATAAATGTTGGATATAAGAGAAAGCTTTTATACTTTAAGAACTATTTGTATTTCATAAGACCAGAGGTTCCATGAAATTTAACCTTTTGGTGCTTTGATTTTTTATCTTACATAAAATGTGATTTTTCTATTTAAAATATCCAAAAAATATATTCGCAAACATAACCAGTTCTTGAAATTTCTTTGGATAGTTCTAAGCATAAATTAATCTAAATATCAGGATTGTGTGCCCTTCAAAACAGGTGATCTTTCTTTCTCCTTGGTAAAGAGATGGAGAATTACATGGTGGGTTTTCCTTGTGAGTGTGAATCCAAAACATATTGAGCCAGACTTTATTTTCTTATGAAAAATAATCCTATGCTAATCACCATGTGTGCATTGTTTATTGCTTTTAAACGATAGCTTATGATGATTAATAAGCACCTGAGGAAGAATGGCTTTACTTTCATCTTGAAAAAGTGACAAGCACTGTATATGAGGCCAGTCGAAAGCTAGCACTGCATCTGGAGGTACAACATAGTTCTGAAATAAAGTCTTTACTCACAGTTAGAAAAAGAAGGGTTTAAAAGTGTGTTGCTTTTGTGAGGTATGGATGCTGATTTAGTATCTCCTCAGGGGAAAATGAGATCATATTTCTGAAAGTTAGTGTTACATTCTGTAAGTCTGTAATCAAGCCTTACCTCATTTCTTTTTAAAAATGGGCTTTTCCTCCTTCTTCCCTTCTGGGACATAATTAATTTATCAATTTTTTTGTGTGGTATTCTACCTATCTGGATGGATTAGGTGTTTGTTTGTTTGTTTTTGTTGTTGTTGTTGTTTTTTGAGTTGGAGTCTCGCTGTGTCTCCTAGGCTGTAGTTCAGTGGCATGATCTTGGCTCACTGCAACCTCTGCCTCCCGGGTTCAAGCAATTCTCCTGCCTCAGCCTCCTGAGTAGCTGAGATTAAAGGCATGTGCCACTACACCTGGCTAATTTTTGTATTTTTAGTAGAGACGGGGTTTCACCATGTTGGTCAGGCTGGTCTTGAACTCCTAACCTCAAGCAATCCACCTGCCTTGGCCTCCCAAAGTGCTGGGATTACAGATGTGAGCCACCGTGCCTGGCCTGGACGACTTTTTAGAAATAGATTCTTCTAAGATCTTTCTTTGACCTCTTATGTGATATTTTCTAGTTTTTGAATTCATTTGATCAATTTATATGTGTGTGTGTGAAGTAGGAGTTTCTTCTGTGAAAAGCTGGTAGAAAGAGTTATATTTAAGCCTTACTTTATGCCATGTGCAGTGACAAGTGTTCTCCATCTATTATCTCATTTAATCATCATAACAACCCTACTTTAATATATACATTTTATACATAAGAAACAAAAACTCAGTGAAGAAAATTTCCCATAGTCACATAGTTGGTAAGTCACAGAGTTATGTACAAACACAGACATGTCAAATGACCAAGCTCAGTAACTGCATTGAGGCTTCCAAAAGACTGGGCTGTGATTATTGTTTTATCCTAGACACAGATATCCTATTATTGTGTTCATTTTTTGATTATCAGTAAAATACCACATCCTTCCGTATGTGTGCTGCCAACAGTTCTCTCAATAATACCTTTTGTTTAATCATATGTCTTCAAAGTCTGAAGTTCATTGCATATATAACTTCTTAGTCATTATGGAACACAAACAAAACATGATTCTCTAAGTCGTTCTCATTCTCACTGTTTCCTTCCTTCACTTCACCTTATCAACCTACTACTGAGATAACCCAGTGCTTGTCATCACTTCTGGTCTGACATTCCTATCTCTGATGACATCCTCTGCATTAGTTATATATGCTTTGTAACCATATTATCACAAAGTCAGCAGCTTAAAACAAAACACATTTATTATCTCATAGTATCTATGGATTAGAAGTACAGGCTTGGCTTCAGGGTCTTTCAGTGCTGCTATCAAGATGCTGGCTGGGGCATCAGTCTCAATGAAGGCTAGACTGAGGAAGGACCCCCTTCCACTGGCTTCTCAACTCACTCCATTCTGGTTTTCAACTCCAGTGTTCCACTGAAATGGTCCCTGCTAAGCTCACCAATGATTACTATATACAGTTACTATATCCAAGTAACACTTTTCAGTCCTTGGCTTGCTTAACCACTTAGCAACTATAACTTTCTCCACTCTTTTAAAATAATATTCTTTTCCCTTTTTTTCATGTCAAGACATGCTTCAGGATTCATGTTGTTAGCAGCATTCAGTCTCTTGCAGGCTGTTGGACTGAAAGCCTCCATTTCTTGTTGGCTGCTGTCCAGAGAGCATCTTCAGTTGCTTGTCACATGGCCCATGACATAGTCAAGTGCGCAATATGGCAGCTTGCTTCTTCAAAGCCAGCAAGGGAGAGAAGACAGCATTTACAGGCTTACATAACGTAATCAGGTGCACATAATCGGGCATATTCCATCTCCTTTGCTGTATTTAGTTGGTTAGAAGCAAGTCATAGGTTCTCTAAGTTGTTCTCCCCATTCCCACTGTCTCCTTCCTTCACTTCACCTTATCCACTTATTACTGAGATAACCTGGTGCTTTATCATCACCTCTGGTCTGGGGAGGGAATAGGATCCCACAAAGACCTGAACACCAGGAGGTTGGCAATGTGGGGCTAGGCTAATATCTGCCACATCCTCCTACACTTCAAGGCTTCCTGCTTTACTATTTCTGCCATGTCTGTCTTTCTAACTCATTTGGTTCTCCAGGCCATTGATCTCTCTTCTCTCTACTGATATACCAGTCTCCTCCTGTCCTTGTCCTTCATATATTTGATTTTTTGCATCCGTATTTCAATTGCAGTCTTGCTAACACTCTAGCACCCTTGACCCTTTGTCAGCTGCATTTACTTGGATAGCCCCCAACTCTAGATGAGCCCAGATACCCTCCTCCTCTGCATCTAAACTCAGATGGCACTACTGTCACCAGTTAAGGGCTCTGTTTCCTATAAGAAGTCATTTCCTCCACCTGAATCTCATCCCTACTTTAACCTCTAGTTTCAACCTCTTTCTCTTCATGGGATCTTTCTCATCAACATTTAAGTATGTAAATATTTAAACCATTTATTGACTCTATGTCCCTCTGTGTAGCTATATTCTTATCTTTCTCCTCCATTTCTCAGCCTGACTTGTTGAAAGAGTTCTGTACACTATCACTTTTAACCTACTTTCTGCTGTCTTCTCAACCCACTGCATTCTGATTTTCATCTCCAGTGCTCCACTGAAATGGTCCCTGCTAATCTCACCAATTATAACTATATCCAGTTACTATAGCCAAATAACACTTTTCAGTCCTTATCTTACTTAACCACTCAGCAGCCTCAACAAAATTTTCCAGTCTTCTTTAAAAGTATTGTTTTCCTTTTTTTTTTTTTTTTCACGTCAGGACATGCTTCAGGATTCCATTTTTCTTTTGTTTGCTCTCAATCTTCTTAGCTAGATTTTCCTTCTCTATTAAACTTTTAAGTGTTGTCATTCCTTTAAATCCTGCCCAGGGTCATTCCTTCTCCTCATTTACACTTTCCCCTGTCTAGACAATCTCACCTACTTCTGTGTGTCTCTATTTTTATTTATTTATTTATTGAGATGGAGTCTTGCTCTGCCACGCAGGCTGGAGTGCAGTGGTGCGATCTCGTCTCATTGCAACCTCCACCTCCCAGGTTCAAGTGATTCTTTTGCCTCAGCTCCCCGAGTAGCTGGGAATACAGGCACGTGCCACCACGCCTGGCTAACTTTTGTATTTTTAATAGAGGCAGAGTTTTGCCATGTGGGCTAGGCTCGTTTTGAACTCCTGACCTCAGGTGATCTGCCTGCCTCAGCCTCCCAAAGTGCTGGGATTACAGGTGTGAGCTACTGTGCCCTGCCAGCTTCTGTGTGTCTTTAATTTCCATTACTATGTCAAGTAATTCTGAATATGTACATAGACCAAGTGTCTCATGGAACTCTAGAATCACATATCTGCCTTTTTATTATCTCCACTTTAATAATTTCATGAACGTTTCAAAGTTAACACCATGAGATCTAAATTGATAATTTTCATTACGTAGACCTCTACTTTCAATGTTTCATACCTCAATAAAGAGCACCATTATTTATTGGCAACTTCTTCAAGCCAGAAAACTGTTGTCCTTGATCATTCTTTTTGCCCACTCCATATTTTTAATTAGTTACCAAATCTTATACTTTCTATCTCTTAACTAATGAATATCTCTACTCGCTATGTAAACGGATAACATCTTATACTAAGTTTCAATCATCCCTCTTTGGGACTATTGCATTGGCCTCTTAACTTGTCTTTCAGTATACACACTTACTCCTTTCCAATCTATCTTCCACATTTTAACGTAACAGCCTTTAAAGTGCAAACCTAATCATTGTCTCTTCCTTTAAAGACTTTTAGTAGTTTGTTACTGTCTTTATGACAAATCAAATTCCTCAGTATGGCTGATAGGCAGGTAGGATCCATGAGGGCAGAGACCTTGTGTCTTGTCTGCATCTCCAGTGCCTATTTTAGCACAGTATCGGGTAAAAAGTTGGTGCTAATAAACATGGGATGAATTAATAATAACTATAGGATCCCATATAGTTTGTGCTCTATTTGTATCAATTAGCTTTTGCTATGTAACAAACCATCCCAAAATTTAACAATTTAAAACAACAATGTATTTGCTTTTAATTCTGTAGGTCAGCTAGGCATTTCTTGTCTGGGCTGTCTTGGCAGATCTCTGAGGTTACCTGGCAGCTTTTCTATGGCTGGATAGTCCAAGAAAACATCACTTCTATGTCTGGCTATTGAAGGCTGGATGGCCTAACAGCACTCAGCTGGAACAGCACATTTCTGTTCCACATGATCTCTCATCCTCCAGTAGGCTAGCCCAGGCGTGTTCATGTGTGGTGGTTTCAGGGTTCAAAAGAGCAGACAAGAGTGACTTGTCAAGGCCTTGCTAAAATTGTGTCTGGTATTTTCCTATTGACCAATGCAAGTCACATGGTCAAACTGTGTATAGCAGAGGTGTGAACCAATCACGGGCCTTTACTGGAACAATCTACTATACTCCCTCTGCAGCTTCATCTTGACAAATCTACCCCTACTTTCAAACTAGTCATATAAAAGTTTTATGTCCTTTAATGGGTTATGCAAATTATCTTTTTGTCTGGAATGCTGTCCTCCTCCTCTTTTGGTTTACTTAGGCTCTCCCCTCAAGACAATGTTAAGATATATGTTGAATTGTGTGTAGCAGAGAACAACAACAACAACAAAACCAGTAGTAAACAAGACTGTATTTTATTTCTCTTTAAGCTGGTATGGCTGCTATGCTCTGAATATCATTAGAGGTCATATTCTTTTTTTTAATACTCTCTATCACCATAGTTTCCTTTACTTGCATTGTCCAGGATGTCCTGTCACCATGATTATATTCCCGACAGCAGAAAGTGAAGAAAGAAAAGGCAAAATCAGGTATGTTTTCTCAAAGGGTACAATTCAGAAGTTCCACACATGTTTCTACTCATATTTCATTTGTCAGAAATTGGTTATTTGACTTTATTTAACTGCAAAGAAAGCAGGGAGTCTTTATTCTGAATCTCTATGTAACCAGGTAAAATTCTATTCTTGGAATATGGAGAAAACCAATATTGGAGGACAACTGATATTAGTTCTCAACACAATTTCCCCCAGAAAGCCTTTCCTAAAATTCCATTAAAGATTAACTCTCCCTCGGGAGATTCCATAGTACTATACATTCTTCATAGGACCCACTATTCCTGGTTGTTATTGGTTCAATAGCAGTTATTCCTGTCAGATCACAGATAGACCAGAGATAATATTCTTGTTCACACCATTATTTCCTCAGTACCCAGCACAGGGCCTGGTCTATTGTAGGCAGTTGGTGCATATTGGTTGTAGAATAACTGTAACCAGGGCCAAGCCAATTATCAATTGGTCCAGGAGAAAGAAAGCCTGGTTGCTTTCATAATTTTTATAACTAATTGTTCACATTAATTTTTTGAAATTTAAATGAAGAGAAAATAACATTAAAATGTGAATGAAAAGCCAAGATCTGGTTGATAGCAAGTGAGAAGCTGTTGCAAATAACTGGTACACCATCCCTATTAAGTGTAATTAAAAGTGCTTCTTGGAGATGTGACTTTAGTGCGACTGAATAGAGTGGTTTCAACAGCCTGTTTAGCAAACTAAAACAAACCAATACATTATCAAACAATTTTTATTAGAATATATGAAGTAGAGATAACCTCTAAATTGCAGAGTAAATTTGTACAATCCAGTCCCCACATCTTTTGGATGCAATTTCTTAACATAATAGGTCTTATCCAGGGAAATCAAAAGCAAATTCTTAACATTTTAGACCTTCTCAATAATGTGATTACTGTAGTACTATTCAATTATAAATTACTTAACCATTTTTAAATACTTTTGGAAATATTCTTTCTATTTTTTTCCCTTATTGTACAATAAGGGAAACTTATCTGAGGAACCAAGAGGCTTATGAATCCATGTACATATTTTTCCTTTTTGTTATGCCCACAAAGTGGTAACATTATAATGATAAACTTTTAAAAAATATATGAACTGAAAGCATTATTTTGAATCTCCTTATAAAGACCCAGAAAAAAGGAACATGAAATTTCTATTTTCAATATATGTTGTGAAACTGCAGCAGCTTCGTATCCCCTGATACCTTGCTATTCGGTTAGCTCCAGTGTGTTTATGTATAACATCATCTGTCTGGAATATGTCCTCTATAACTCCAAAGAAAAGGATTCCTTTAAAGGGGAACAGATAGATGAAGGGAGTTGGGGGTATATTAATAAAATCTTAGATTGTTAACATACTTTTTGACAATCCCTGCGTAATCAAATTGGTTTGAACTTATGTGCTAATGGGAAGTTTCTTCAGTGCCATGTTCGGCAGTTTTACGTTTCTATGTTGGCCTGG
Organism: Homo sapiens; assembly: GCF_000001405.40. Taxonomy (NCBI): domain Eukaryota; kingdom Metazoa; phylum Chordata; class Mammalia; order Primates; family Hominidae; genus Homo; species Homo sapiens. The sequence continues at coordinate 144,622,538 of NC_000004.12, read as the reverse complement.
AAGCCAACTGATAGATTCCTTCTAATAGACTCCTAGAACAAGGCATTTCTGAGGTTGGTGTTGATGTAGGACTTTTCTTCTCGGTTACTTTGCAAGCTGGGGACCCTGGCTGGCGCCACCCTGCCTGCGCCTCATTTGGCCACACTGGTATGCCCCAGCTTGCCGGTGTTATAGCTTGCAGCCATGTTTGGTGATTTCTGAGATCTTGTACTGTGCCCAAGAAGAATTAGGATATGCTGGATATTCAAGGGTGAGGAGGGCAAAGAAGAATTTTTATTGATCAATGAAAATAGCTTTCAGCAAAGAGGGGACGCGAGTTTGGTCCTCCTACCTGAAGGTGGGAAAGTTTTCCCATGTGGCTCGGCCCGGGGTCTTTTATGGACTCAGAAGGCGGAATGCATGCTGATTGGTTTGTGAGTATGCAAAAAAGGTTAAAGGGAAGACACCACTCAAAGGTGGGCATGACAGTGTAGAAAACAAATTAGGAAAGGGTACTTATATATAAAACAGGGGAAGGGTGGGGACAAATCAGAGGAAAGTGCACCAAACAGGAAGACAAGTTCTCAATCCCGTCTGAGGATTTAACTTGTAGCTTGGCTTTCAGGCTTTAAACTGCCTTTGGCTGGGAGGTAGGGATTCACTTGGGACCTGTCCCTACCTGTCTGGGCATTTGGCTGCCTCCTGTTGCTATCAGTGTGATTATAGTTCACTGAGAGAAGTACAAGGCTCCTAACAGGTAGCTTGGGTACGTCTTTTGGCCCTTTTTCCTTTAGTGACTAGAACATTGTTTCTGAGATTTAAAATGCTGTGAATTTCGAATAATCACCCCATTAGAATCTTGAGCCTTCCTCCTAAGCCAGAGGAATGATTTCTAGGAATTCTGTCTTCTTACCTTTTATTAATATGTTCATAAGGAAATGGTACCACAGTGAACATATCTCTTATATTCTCTTTTTTTTTTGCGTATGGATATTTACACTTAGATAATAATATTTATGAGTAGGAATCTAGAAAAGTGAGGTGAACTGGAAATTTGCACATTAAGAAAGGTGCCCTTGGCTGCCATTACTTTCTTAATGGATACCATTTCAGACTTGCTGTTTGCATGGATGTCAATGTTCATGTACGTAAGAGAAATAAAATGAAGGTGACTTGTCCTTGAAACACATAGCAAAGTGAAGCTTAGCAGCCATTGTCTAACCAAGAACAACATGGGGAAATTTTTGTTTTATTTTTGCTTAATTATTGAATTAATATCCACTGGCATACTCAGATTTTCACGTCTAGTATTATCATGCTGATAATACAACAGATTTTAGAGGGCAAAATATAGCATAACATATTCAGAGAAATAGTGCTCATTAATTTCTTAATAATTGTTCCTCATGGAGTTAGGAGAAAATTATGAAAACCAAAAGAATCTAACTTTTAACTTTCAATCATCATCAGTGTTTTGTATTGTTACCTGAACCAAGAGAGTCAATGTCAAAATAAATAAAGAGGAAAATCCCAAGGGCAATTTAAGAGTTTCATTTTTTTATTACATTGCATGTAGTAATTTTTAATGAATATCCATTTTAAAAGAAACTTTAAAAAGGAGAAGAGGTTTGCCCAGGTCCCAAGTGGGACAAGTTTACTCTGAATGTGAGAAGCAAATATGATGGGTAAAACCTTTCTATTTTTTCAAATGCTTTGTGTTATGAAAACCTGCTGCATGTTTTTTTTCCCTAAATGAAGTCCTCCTTAATTTAAACCCATGAGCATTTCAAGGAAAATTTAATAAGCAAATGCTTTTCTGGCCAAAAAGAATTCTGTGCTATGCAAACAATGAAGAGAACCATGAAAGAAGATGCTGACTGCTTGCTGTGCCAGGTCTTAGTTCCCTTTCCTGGGTAGCTTATCCATGCACGGAACTCCTTGAGAGTCAATGAGAAGAAATTAACATGCTACCCAGAGCAGAGAAAATTGAAATCTGCTGAATTAATATTTTGGATCATAAAAGTCATTCAAAGAGAATTATTTCAATGGGGTTAACCAAAGTTTGGTTATATAATTCTTATATAAACCTTATATTTTCCTTCTGAAAAGAAATTTATTTTTCAGAAAGGAAGAATGGTACTGCTTAATTCCCCCAGAGCACAATGTAAGCTTATTTTAAAAATTATTTTTAATTTTTTTCTGATTATAAAAAATATACTCTCAATGTAGAAAATTTGGAGAAGGCAGAAAACACTAAAGAAAACAAAAATTACAATAATCTCACTCCACTCATGCCCCCTGAGGTAAACACTGGTAACATTTTGGTATATTTTAAAAAATCATAGTGTTTTGAAGCCAATAAAGTTGGTATCTAATATTGCTGAAAATATATTTGAGTGTATTTTGTCTGAATCAATTTTTTTTTTTTTTTTTTGAGACAGAGTCTTGCTCTGTCGCCCAGGCTGAAGTGCAGTGGCGCAATCTCGGCTCACTGCAAGCTCCGCCTCCTGGGTTCACGCCATTATCCTGCCTCAGCCTCCCGAATAGCTGGGACTACAGGCGCCCACCACCACACCCGGCTAATTTTTTTTTTTTTTTTTGTATTTTTAGTACAGACGGGGTTTCGCCGTGTTAGCCGGGATGGTCTCCATCTCCTGACCTTGTGATCTGCCCGCCTCGGCCTCCCAAAGTGCTGGGATTACAGGCATGAGCCACCGTGCCTGGCCAAGATCAATTTTTAAAAAGATACTTTAGCACCTATAAAGAGAAGGTGGCATTGTAATTGTGAAAATCTTGGAAAATTAGACACTCTGTTGATGCTTGCTTCCTTTGCTCACGGTATTTTAGTTTCTTCTTTCTTGTAATTGCTCTCAGAATCATTTCATGAGCCAAAAGAAAAAGTAATCTTGTAATTGTGTAACCTCAATGCTTCTTTAAAACACTTTTTCTTCTATTTTTTTGTTTGTTCGATTGGCTTATTTTTTTTTTTTTTAGATCATCTTTATCTGGAGAAGCAAAACAGAGTTACTTGTAGATCAGTTGGGGGAAACAAATGCTTGAGGAAATTTTATGGTGTCTGCAAGTGTACTTAACGTAGGTTCAGCCTCAAATATTTCTGCTAATGTGAGGTGATGTCTTGCATAAATGTTCCAAAATTTTATGTTATCCATTGGTTTCAAACTGTGTAATATATCTGTTCTTGTCGCATTTGCTGAAGAGCTGCTCAGCAATTATAACACTGACACATTTGAAATTTAGTTTTTAGTGATCTACTAATGGAGACAAACGTTTACCTTCACCCTAAGCCTTTTTTTTTTTCTTTAGAGGTTATTCCTTTTCAGAAACAGACATTGTAAGACTTCTTGAAAAGACTGAGGATGCAGGAGATTAGTAGTATCTCTTTGTTAACAATCATTAAAGGCATACAGATGTGGTTGTGAAATAAAATGTCTTGATGTGTATGGGTGAATTATGGAATGTCTCTGTTTATATTCCCACTGTACAGCAGTGACCAATGGATGTGATGGTGGGGGTGGGATGGAAGTGCATAACTCCAGCATCTGCTAATGGAGGATATAGGACTGACAGATATAAAAGAGACTTAAAAGCAAAAGGTACTTTCTTTTTGGAAAAAAAGAAGTCATGAATACATTCAGCAGTTGACACTTTTGAGACCTGCCACCTTGAAACTCCCCTTCTTGGGTGTCTGTGGAGTCATGGCATTCCAGTTGGTTACATCCAAGTAGATTTTTTTCCATAAATCAACAATTCTTTGGTGCCTCTCTTGAGGGGCGGTAACTAATTAATTATGTCCCTACCTCATGAAAAGTGCTGTTACATGTTGTTCTTCTGTGTGCACTTAAGTATGGCAGTAGCAAGAGCAGTAATTTTAAAGGATAAAGACTGAAGATGGAGACCTCCAATTTGTTATTTGCCAACCTATCAGACAGTAGGGAAACAACTGTTTTAGTTGTCAGATTATCTGTGACAATGGAAAAAAGCAAACTCTAAAAATATTTTAAGGAGGTTTATTCTGAGACAATATGAGTGACTGTGGCCCAGGGGAAACACAAACCCAAGAATCCTTGAGTCAGTGGTCCCCAAGCAGTCAGATTGTAACTGTCGTATACATTTCAGGACAGCAGAGTTGCAGGAAAAATCACCAGCCAATATATGAAGATCATACATTGGTTTGGCCCAGAAAGGCAGGATATCTTGAAGCAGGGGTTTACAGATCATAGGTGGGTTCAGAGTTTCCTCAATTTGTGATTGGTTAAAGGAATAAAGCTTTGTCTAAAAACTTGGAATCAGTAGAAAAGAATGTTTAAGTTTAATTTTAACATACGGTAATTAAGATAAGTTGTCCGCTAATCATCATGCGATGCTATGCCAGAGTCAGGTTGTGAGAGCAAGACAATATACTGGGTCAAAGTGACCTGTGAGGGTGCATAACTCAACTCTTGCCTATCGTGGCCTTAGGACTTATAATTTGGTATCTTACTGCCCCAAAGAGGCTGTTCCATCAGTCTTATGTTCTTAATCGTATTTTAACAGTAATGCTGATCGGTTGCTGTGTCTAAACTGCAAAAGGGAGGTTGTATAACAAGGCACGTCTGACCTTCCATTCCCATCATGGCTGGGAAATTTTTTTAAGGTTTTTTAAGGTTTCTCTGGGATTCCCTTGGCCAAGAGCGGGTCCATTCAGTGGTTGGGGGCTTAGGATTTTTATTTTCAGTTTACACCTGAAACACTCCACAATTATTAACAGAGAGATATTTCCACTTTAGAAATAGTACCTAGACCTGGCTAAGATTCACCTTCACCAAAGATGCTACCACTATGAAGGTTTCAAGTGCACAAATGTGGATACATGACTCCTTTTTGTTCTCCATATCTCCACTAAGAGAGAAACAACACCTTTATTTATTTCTACATATATAAAATACCTGTTTTAAAAGTCAACTTTTATCTTAGATTCAGGGGGTACATGTGCAGGTTTACTGCCTGGGTATATTGCATGATGTTGAGGTTTGGGGTATGATTGATCCTGTCTCCCAGGTACTGAGCATAGGACCCAATAGATAGTTTTTCAGTTCTTAGCCCCCTCTCTCCCTCCCACTTCTGTTAGTCTCCAGTGTCTATTGTTCCCATCTTTATCATCTTTATGTCCGTGAGTACTCAACGTTTAGTCCCCACTTAAAAGTGAGAACATGCAGTATTTGGTTTTCTGTTCCTGTGTTAATTTGCTTAGGATAATGGCCTCCACTTGCATCCATGTTTCTGCAAAGGATGTGATTTCATTCTTTTTTATGGCTGTGTAGTATTCTATGATGTATGTATATCACATTTTCTTTACCCAATCCACCACTGATTGGCACTTAGGTTGATTCCATGTGTTTGCTATTGTGAATAGTGTGGTGACGTACCTATGAGTGCATGTGTCTTTTTGGTAGAACAGTTAATTTTCTTTTGGATATGTACCCACTAATGGTATTGCTGGGTTGAATATCACTTCATTTTAAATTATTTGAGAATTCTCCAAACTACTTCACACAGTGGCTGAACTAATTTACATTCCCACCAACAATGTATAATTGTCCCCCTTTCTCTGCAGCCTCACCAGCAACTGTTTGTTTTTTGACTTTTTAATAAAAACTATTCTCATGGGTGTGAGTTGGTATCTCATTATGTTTTTGATTTACATTTCTTTGATGATTTGTGATGTGGAGCATTTCTTCATGTTTATTGGCCACTTGTATGTCTTTTTTTGAGAAGTGTCTGTTCATGTCTTCTGCCTATTTTTAGTGGGGTTTATTCACTTTTTGCAACACATTTAGATGAGATGTTGAAGTTTTGGGTTAACAGAGGGTGAAAAAGAAAATAAAAACAAAACGACAAAACAATAATCCCAAGAATAACATGAAATTGATATGATAAGCTTACAAAATGTTCTTTGCCCCCTCCGGGGCTGGTTGGCCCTGTCCCATCTGATCTCCTGCCCAGCTACTTTGTTGTGGTCATGTTCTACACCAATGAACAGGAGTCTCCATCATTATTGAAAGAGATGATCTAGACAGTGAGGCCCAGATAAATAAAAAGTTCCTTCTCCTGTATGCCCAAAGCCAAAGTTATTGGCTTTTGTATGGGGATCTGCCTTTTCTGCAGTTGCTTAAATATAGTAATGCCATACACATTAAGGGGGATCACGCCAACCCATGTGTATTAGTCTGTTCTCATGCTGATATAAAGAACTGCCTAAGACTGGAAAATTTATAAAGAAAATAGATTTAGTTGACTCACAGTTCTGCATAACTGGGGAGGCCTCAGGAAACTTAGAATCATGACAGAAGGCACCTTTTCACCGGGTGGCAAGAGAGAGAATGAGTGCAAGTAGGGGAAATGCCAGATTCATATAAAACCATCAGATCTTCAGAGACTCACTCAGTATCATGAGAACAGCATAGCGAAAACTGTCCCCATGTTCTGATTACCTCTACCTGGTCCCACCCTTGACGCTTGGGGATTATTACAATTCAAGGTGAGATCTGGGTGGGGACAGAGAGCCAAGCCATATCACCATGGCCTTACCTGGCATTCAGCATCATAGCTCTAACTAAACATAGTACCATAACTGGACAACCTTGTAAGAGCTAAAATATCAAGGAGGCTGCCTTTTTACTGTGATTGTGAGAAAGTCACATTTGAACGTGCTGAGACATTAAACCCCCATATATATAATAGATTTAACACACCAGTTTCACAGATTGGTTGCCAAGATTAAATGAGACTATGCTAGCAAATAATTCATAACTCACGTATTATCCTAATTTAAATCTCTTTTGCCCTTTTATAAACTCTTTCTTTACTATCAGTTGGTGAACCTAACCAAGGTTTTGCTTCTGAAATGTTTGTGTCTATGGCATCTCTTTGGAACTTGTTTCCTTGAAGATATTTCGTAATCCTCTGCCACCCTCACTCTGTATCACACACAATACACACTTGGTACATTGCTGTCCATTGATTTTTCTCTATTCAACTTTGCCATTGCTGTTAGGAAAGGACCTGCGCTTGTAATTTATAACTACTGCAACTTTAACTCTGCAGTGGCATCTGGAGAAATGATAATCAGCTGAAGCAGCTTTTCTTACCCTCTTGACTGTATGACTCAATTCCACGTTGTCATCATTCCCATTAGTTGTCACTCCACATGACTCAAAAGGAAAGATGGAAATGAGTCTCACCCAAGACAACATAATAGTAAAGATAATATAATAAATCAAGATTTATACTAAAACTACAAAGGAAAAATGGTGATTCCAAGAAACATAGATTAGTTTTTTGGCAATTTATTCCAATTTCTTCCTCAGCCTCATCACTAATTTTTAATTCCTTCCAGAAGCTATATTCTGAATGAAAGGGTGGAGGTACCAGGATGGTCTTGTTGAGTGATGGCTGGAGCCTGTTATGATAATGTCACTACTATGTGTTTGTCTTCTGGAATATCCTTTGGAAATTATGATACCAGTAGCCAAGAATCTGCTGGTAATGCAAGAATGTCATGTGTGGGGTAGGTCATCTTGTTTAAATTAGCAACACCCTGACAAAACTAAATTAATGCATGAACAAAATTATTGCCAAGCACGAATATTTCTGGTTAATTTACACTTAATTCATTTAAAATATGTGTTATTGAATTTCTTTATTAAATGAACTAAAAATCATCAATCAATTTAAACTTGGAAAGAATACTAACACTCATGTGCTGTCTTAATTGTTTTCTTTTCCACAGAATTCTTTAATGTGCAAGGAGAAAATCCAATCTTGCAGTCACAAGTCACATTTTATTTAATTTCTTTTAATTTTGCTTCCTTGAACTTTTTAATATTTTATCCATCCAATACCAATTGCTTCTTTCCCTTTGATGCTTTCTGAGGATAATGGATCTTTTTTCAAAGTATTATCCTGAGTTTGTGATCCCTTGCTTTGTGCTGTCACTTTTCCCACCATAGTTGTGCTTCTCACAGTGTTTTGGAATGTCTTGTTCTTTTTGTATCCCCTTCTACTAATGAAGAGGAGTGACCATGTTTTATTCCTTTCATATACTCAGTGGCTGGCATAATCCCTACCACTTTTCACCTGAAATTTCCTTTACAAGCTGGAAGGAAAGGAAATAATGCCAGTTATCTGCAGTGACTAAATTGAGGCAAGAGGCTTGGGGTATGATTAAGACCCTTCTATGATATGGGTAGACTACAGCTAAGAGTTTGGAAGAAGGAGCTGTGAAAATCCTAACCAGGACTTGAAAAATATCGTCTTTCTGCCTCATGATGTGGCACTTAGAGAGCTTACGGGTAAAAGAGGTGGAAGGAAGTAGAATTCCATGGGTTTGGGGTAAGGATGGGAAAATAGCCTTTGACTAATTGTACAGTTTACAATGACTCTAATCCCTCAGAATTCACCCCCTCTACACATCCACCTCCTCCCCTGGGGTACCCACGTTTGGTTGGGCTACAGTTGATTGGGAGAGGCAGGCAAGGGAAACAAAAGGGATCTAACCCAAATGGACCAATTAAATTCTCTGTTATATGAGTTTGAATTTTGGATTCAGAGGCAGCAGTGTTAGTCTCTGCAGTGGCTGGGGGTGAGATGATATAATCTAGGAAGCTCTGGGCATATTGAGAAGCTTCTGCATTAGGAAGCTTCTGCATATTGAGAAGCAGAGAAAGCAGGTAGTCACGGAGAGAAACATCATAAGTTTTGAATGAGAGAAGGGAGGTAGACTGAGAGAGCAAACACATTTCGGGATTTTGAAAACTTTCCAGTTCCTTATTTCAGCCCTGTAAGAGGCCTACTACCCTTTTGTTCCACAAGGCATTTATATCACTTCAATAAATTGTCTCTTTTGGATTAAGCTAGCTTAAATTGGTGTCTGCACCAAGAAAAATAGGAAGCATTAAGGGTCCCTACAACTACCGCAGCAGAACTGAAACACTGGAGCCTAATCTTTCCTTACAGTTCTTATTTTCTGTTGGCCCTTTATTCTGCATTCATTTAGCATTCATATAATCACATAATCATGTTATGTGTTTCATAGCATGCTATTTTTGCATTTATGGTTTCTATAACTGTTTTCCAACTGTGTTCTATTGTATTGGTGTTTTCTAGAGCATAGAATATCTTGTACACAATTCAAGTTCTTGGAGTTGTTTTTAAGCTCCTTAACTGCTCAAGGGGGCTGAGGTCTGTTGTCATTATGTTGATGTCTCCTGTTATCTGTAAGAAGCTCAGGCTTGTGAGAATGATGGAGCAGAAATGAATTTGGAATCGCCTTCCAAACCTATGCCTTTCCTCAGAAGGACAACAAGGTGGGGACAGTCCTTGGTAGGACTGAATCCCAATTTTTTTTTTTTGTCTATCTATTGAATAAAAAGAAGTGATAAATCATTACTTTTCAGTAAGGATAAGTACTGAAAATCAGATCCTAGGAATTAGCACTGAGACGGTTTAAGATTTTTTGTTTTAATTATCTGGAAGAAAAGTAAAGTGAGTGATGAGATTATCATGTTTGCAGATGACACGAAATTCTCCTAACAAGAAGTGACAAGTTGGAACATTATAGACTTCAGGTCTGTAAGTTTTCACATGGCAATACAGTTGGTAAAATATATCTTTCTCAATTATAAGGCTCTGAGCTCTCACAGCTTAGGAGAGAGATCTAGAAATGTTTTGTGCTGAATGGAATTTGGCACTCTTCTCTATTGGGGTTCAGATTTGCTTGTTTTTATGTTTGTAGCTAATGGTACATTCTCACTCTCTGCCAGGCAGTGTGCTAAGTGCCTTAAATACATAAGCCCGTTTAATTTATGAAACAAGCAGTAAATCAGGTTCAATAATTACTCCCATTTTATCCAGAAAGGTTAATTAATTCATTTGAGTTCCCATGGCCTGTATGTTTCAGGGGATCCAAAGAGGATAATGAATGAAACTGCACTCATCTAGTCATCATTCAATTAATTTGAGTGCCCACTGGATAATAGACATAGTCTAGATAATTGCAATATGTCTACGAACAAAAGAGAACAAAAAGATCCCTGTCCTTATGTGGCTTATATTTTAATGAGAGGAGACAGAAAACAAATAATAGTTATATTAACATTAATAAACTATATGACATATTAGAAGGTGATAATTGCTATGGAAAAAGAAAAAATATACATAGCAAGTAAAGAGGAACAAGAGTTTGGGAGGGAGGGAATGTGAGTAGTTATTCTTAAATAGGAAGATCAGAGTAGGTTTCCATGAGAAAGTGATGCTAAAGCAGAGATTTGAAGAAATGAGGGGTAATCCATGCAGGTATCTGGGTGGAAGAGCATTTTGGGCATAAGTGAAAACAGTGCCAAGGATCTAAGGCAGGAAGGTACCTGGTGTGTTCAAGAAGAAATAAAGATGTGGGAGCTGGGCTGGAAGAAAGTCAGAGAACCAGGGGATGATGGTTACAGATTGTGGAGCCCCCTGCAGGCTAGTGCAAGGCTTTTCAGTCATACTTTGAGTGAGATGGAGAGATCACTACAAAAACTGTCAACTGTGCTTTTCTGCTTCAGCCATGTTTGTCTAATATTCTGGCAAAGTAAACACAGAGAGAGGACTAGGATGGAAGAAGCTTGCAACACAGAGCAATGGAAATCCTCCTTCAAATCTTTACCTACTGTGTAGTGGGTGTTTCTACCTTAGAAACATTTCCCCTCCACAGTTTCAATAACTAGAAGCTTATTTGGATTTATAAAATCCTTTTGATATGCAAATAGTGTCTTGAGACTATCACTTTTTATGTCTTTTTGAGAATCAGTTCACTTACCTAATAAGATTGGTTTCTTTCCAACACCTAGTTGGGGCCTTGTCTCTTTTTTCTTAAATCCCATCCTTCATTGATAGTGACTGTTATGGGAGTCATATTGCAGTTCACTGTCTCTAAAGGACAATATTCTGTTAGTTCCATAGAAATAACAATGTGCATAATCATGTTAGGATTACTGTATTTCTTTATAGAAATATCTGAGACTGGGTAATTTATAAAATAATGAGGTTTAATTGGGTCATGGTTCTGCAGGCTGTACAGGAAGCATGGTGGCTTCTGGTTCTGGGGAGGCCTCAGGAAACTTACAATCATGGCAGAAGGCAAAGGAGAAGCAGGCATGTGTTACATGGCTGGAGCAGGAGGAAGTGGGGGGAGGTGATACACACTTTTAAACAACCAGATCTCACAAGAACTCACTTACTATCATGAGAACAGTACCAAGAGAGGGTGCTAAACCATTCATGAAAGACCACCCCTGTGATCTAATCTCCTCCTACTAGATCCCATCTCCAACATTAGAGATTACAATTTGACATGAGATTTGGGTGGGGACATAGATGCAAACCATGTCAATGTCATACTAAATATTTCTAAATAATCTCTTCCTAAATAATCAATCTTAAAAATGCTATGTCAACAATGATCTGTTTTAAAATAGCTCTAAATATTAAGACTACAAGTTTAAAAAGACATATAAGATTCAATATGGCAGACAATAACAAATAAAAATATAAAAATTAAAAAATAAGTTAACAAACAATAAACAATTCTTTGTAGCTACTCAATAAGCAGTTACTGAAATTGCTTGCGTAATTCTGAATACTTTTTTCTCTATTGATTATTGTGCCACTCTTCTCTATGAGTCTCTTGCATTTTTTTCAGGTCTGGTGAACAGAGGCACTTACTATCTTTATTCCAGGGAATCTTGTAAAGGTTGTTTGTAGAATGAACAGCCTTGGAAAATATAGGGTCTCCCTTGGAGCAAAGAGGGGGTTTGTTTACTCTCTAGTAGAATAAAAATGGTATCTTCTTCTGGGGCAAAAGTCAGGGAGACTTAATGCCTATTATAAAATATTTGGGTTCTCTTTTCTCCTGTAACACAACCCATTCTATGTGCAAGTGCCAAGTGACTTGGTGGGAGCTGGGGTTTAGGGAAGCAGAAAAAATGCTGATATTCCAGCTATCACTATACGTAGGAGTAACAAACTTTCCTTTCTTTTTGATTCAGGAGTGTCAGGCCTCTGCTGGCGACTGTAGCAAGTTAACTTGTAAAATCTCAGTAGGGTAAAATTTTAGGCCCTTCATACTTCTTAACACTAATTTTCTATGAAAACAACAACAGCAATAACAACATAAGCCTTACTTCATTTCAGAAATATGTTGAAATAAAGCACATGTGTTTTATTTATTGTATCCTTAAAAGAAGGTCAAAATTTCTACCAATTAGTGTAGGCAGTTCATTTTCCAGTCAAGTGCTGCCTTATACCATAAGTATTCATTGCCACTCTTGGTTCCAAATGATGAAGCTAAGGTAATTGAAGAAGAATGTATTTATTCATATGTCTAGGAAATATATTCAGGAAGGATATTGGGATAGCTCCTGTAGGAACCAGGGTTAAAGGACTAGAACTGCATGCTCAGCATGCCAGAATCCTCTGCTTCACTCTGGTTCTCCTTCTGTGTTGATAAAATGCTCTCCTCCTTTCCATGGCAGAGGAATATTTTCAGTGGCATCCTTAGCTCAGAGAGATGCAATGTGAAAAAGTCCTCGCCTGCCACTGATGGCAGGAGAGGGGCCTTGCCTTCAGCCAAGGCATGTGGGTGGTCTACTGAAGAGAGAAACGGAAAGGGAATGGATTCTCATCTAGAGAGCCCAGAAGAGAATGCCGCCTTGCTAACACTGTGCTTTTAACTTGGTGATCTCCAGTAACCTACGGAATGGTAAGATAATAAACTTGGTATTGTTTTAAGCTACTAAGTTTATGCTAATTTTTAATTGCAGTAATGAACTAATATATCACCCAACTCTACATTCAGTGATATCATGTTGGTATCTTGAGATTGGCCATGGTGGGAGTTTTTACGTTGTTGAAATTGAAAAATGCTACAAAACAGAGATCTAGTTTTTCAGAGAGCCGGTTCAACATTTTTTAGCATACCACTGGAAATAATTCCTCTCCATTAAGGTTCCCCAAGCAAAGTTGAGTTGAGTTTAATCACATTAGGAAATCGGCCTATAATTTGGGAAGAAAATCACTGTTCATTAATACAGCAATTTATGATAGTGGTGAGGGCAGCATCTTGTAGGTTGGGAGAGGGAAATGAGTAGAAGGAGAGTGGTTAGGGGCCAGAAAAGGGATACTAAAATTTTACTTTGTTTTACCCTCCCCAAATTAGCGCAATTTAATGATCTAAACACAGTCTTATGAACTCTTCAATAGCTTATACTAACTGGGAGCAAAATATTCTTGTTTCCAAGATACTGTGGAACTGACCAGTAAATTTCCCAATAAGATTCTCTGGTCATGTTATGTATTTAATGTTTGGATTTCTTTAAAAATATTCCCACCAAATTGTTTCCTATCCTTAATCACCCTTAGTGAGTGGAAATTAAATTTGTTTTGGAGCCATCCACTTCACATTTGGACAGCTGTCATTACAGGACAGTTTTGTCTTATACTGAGCTTTACTCTGTTTCACTTTAACTTCAGCAATATTCTAAAACTCAGTCCTCTTACCTCTAACCGATCTAAATCCAATCCTTATCCAATCCTTAGTCATGATGTAGTAGAATGGAAACTTCACCTGTTCGATATATCATACTTCAAGTAATAAAGACTCAGTTTCAATGAGCTTTTCTTAGAATGCTCCACCACACTATCAACTTAACAAGGAAGCTCTAAGACAGTGGTGAATTGTGTGGACTCTGGAGCCAGATGACCTGAGTTCAGATTTCAGTTTATCGTTTACTATGTATGTAACGTTGGGCAAGTTACTCACCTTCCCATTCTTCAATTTCCCCTTTGGGGGAATGGTGATAACAATAGTACCTCCCTAATAAGGTTATAGGAGGATTTCACAAGCTAATGTAGGGGAGAAAGAGCAATATCTTTCCCTCACCCATTGCAAGGTCTATGGCTGATATACCTATAAGAAAACACAGAGTAGAAAGAGAAAAGCATAATAAATTTATTCAACAAGAGTTTCACATGACACAGGAGCCTTCAGAAGTGAAAATCCAAAAACCCAAGGAAAACTGCATCTTTATGCTTAGGTGCGATGAAAAATGGACAGTGATGTGGAAGTATGGTTGGACAAAAAGGGTATGATTTAATAGTAATAAACTGGTGGGGGAAACCCAGCAAGCCTTGTCTGTTTAGATTCCTCTTGGCCTCCAGGAGTAGGGAAGGACCCTTCTGGAATGAGGGTCTTATGACTTACTTTTGGGTGAGATAGGTCAGAGAATCCTCACATGGAAACACTGGGGAAGGTCTGAGTGACCTTGTTTCTAAAGCCCTCCCAATCTCCTTTGTGGTAGTGTTTTCTAAGCCCTGACACTAATATCTGAAAAACCTTTAAAGCAGCACCTGTCACATAGTAGTCATTCAATAAATGCTAGTCGTTAAAGAACAGTCAACTACAGTTGCTAAATATTTTCTACACGTGCACTTTGCCACATTTCTATCAACCACAAACTTAGGAGGCTTGGCTCTTGGACCTTACAGTATAACTTCGTATGTATCCCACATAGTTTTTTTGTCTTAATTGACTTAGCCCATGTTTGAACCTATGGAAACCACCTACCCTGTATTTGGACCCTCAGTGTTCTCTTTCCATGTGGTAAATCATCGGTTGACATAGCCATCTCAGTCAAATCAAATTAAATGTGTATAATCTTTTAAAGCATACATTGGAAGTTACTTTTCTTTTTCAAATCACAGTTACAAAGTTTTTGTTTTGTTTTGTTTTGTGAAAAGGTGGCTAAGTCTGAAAGGATGGTGGTGGTGGGAACTGAATTTCTTTGAATAATAGAGTTAAAACAATGGAAGTCAGAACTGCACCATAGGAAGGAAGGACTGAGGGACAAAAATGGGAGGAATGCTAAGAGGCTGGTGCATGGAGTGGTGGAAAGGGTGTAGGGAGGCTGAAGGACCTCGAAGAATAGAATGATTGAGAGGGAAGTCATAAACAAAGATGGTGGCTAGCAGATAGTAACATTAACGTGAATTTATGGGTACCCACAGAATAATGAAGCTTAAAGATGACAGACCAGATGTATATACATACACATAAATACATATACACAATGCATACATACACACATATACAGGTGTGTGTGTATTTAAACTTTTAGGTTTGGGGGTACATAATAATAATAATAAAAATTTTAAAAAATGCACAAACTTGTGCAGGTTTGTTACATGAGTAAATTGTGTGTCATTGGGGTTTGATGTACAAATTATTTTGTCACCCATGTAGTGAGCATAGTACCCGATAGGTAATTTTCCATCCTTGCTCTCTTCTCATCCTCCCTTGGAGTCTATTGTTCCCATCTTTGAGTCCGCACACATATATGTATACATATGTATCCTATGAAGTAGCCAGCTGATGAGTGCATCTTTGTCCAAATTTTGACACTCTACTGAGTGATTGGGATTGGTTCGGGCACTCAAGAGTTTCAGTCATATAACCTACTGGCTTTGCACTCACATGAGAGAAGAAAAAAACCAATTAAATTTTCACCCCGCTCATTTTGTCATATGAGAAAATTCAAAGTGAACTAGAAAAAGGTAGGTATATAAGACAAGAAATCAAGGGACTTTGCCACAATCTTAAGTGACCTATGATACTTTCATGGCCAATATACACTGAATGTCAACTAGGTGCCAGGTGCTATTCTAAGCTCTTTGGATACAATAATGAACAAAGAAAAGTCCCATTTCTTAAAGAGCTTATATTCTAATAGGAGAGAGATAGAAAAAAAATCAATAAGCATAATAAATTATATGCTTAGAGAGATAATAGATCCTTGGAAAAGAAAAAATTGAGAAGAGGGTAAAGAGAAATGAGAGTGCTGATAGTGGAAGTGGTTTGGTGGCAATATGAAATAGGGAGGTTTGTGTAGGCTTCACTGAGAAGAAGACATCTGTGCAGTAACTTGAAGGGGATGAGTGAATCAGTACTTTGGATATCTGTCAGAAGAATGCTCCAGGAGAAGGGATCACCTGATCAAACACCCTAAGGTGTTTATTCCTAAAGGAATAAAAGAAAGATGCCATTTATCCTCTGAATTCTAGCAGTATTTTCAACTGGATTCCAACCTGGGGGTTCCTTGGAGCTACATCAGGGTTGTTGTTGTAGGTGATACTAGGACCAGTGGGATAAGCTCTGGTGTTCTTCGCCTCTGCTAAAACCAAAAAAGCTTAGTTTTTATTTACTTTGTACATTAGGCTTCTGTGTGTGATACAACTTGAAGGGAGAGTTTCAGTTGCCAAAACAAACAACAAACAAAAAAAAACCCAGCAGTTTGCAAACCACCATACTAAATGTTTTGTCCCAGCTGTAATATTCTAGGTTTCTTTAGAGAAAGCATGTCTGAATCTATATATAGTGGGAATTACGATATACTGGAGCAACCATGTAATATTATCTTACTCTGTTATTAGTGATTCAGCATGGTCCTGAAATGTGAAAGACTTGTCAAGAGAAAGTCTATTCTAGAAGCATACAGAGCTTTGCTTAAAATCAGTTATTAGGGCTCCACATAAGTGTAAACTCTGTATAATGTTTTCAAGGGGATCAAAATATTTGGATGAGAAATTCTGGGATATGTTTTATTAAGGTAATACTACTTGAAGAATATTAAAACTATTTAAAATGGTGTTTATGGAAACATTTTAAATATTTTGGGTTAAAAGAGAAATTTCAAAAAACTCAGTTTTATGGAAGTACAACTTACATTTAGTAAAATGCACTCATTTAAAGCATTTGAAGTCCAATAAGTTTTTGCAAATGTATACATCTGTGCAAGTACTATTACAGTAAAGATATAGAATATTTTCATCATCTCAAAAAGTTTCTTTTCCCTCTTTTTCATATTCTAAATTACTGCAAGATTATTAAATATAAAATAATTTAAAAATTTTATTACAGCGTGAAAAAAATAGATTGTTAGGAATTTCTTATTGTGAGAAATTTGAATCATTAGCATGAGTTTTCAAGGTTGCTGTGAAACTTACAGGAAATCTTTCACGAAATAAATTAATGACTTTTTTCCTGAGGCATTTTTATTCTGTTTAATTGTGGAAAAGGAGTTGAGATAAAAATTTTTAGAGGATTTTTTCAGAGAAGTACGTTTTATGGATTGTAAAATTCTTCCCAAAAGTTCTTGTTAAGAACAGTACCTATCAAGTAGTCGATACCTTTTTAATATTTAAAATTCTTTTCATGCCTGTAATCCCAGCACTTTGGGAGGCTGAGGCGGGCAGATCACAAGGTCAGGAGATTGAGACCATCCTGGCTAACACGGTGAAACCCCGTCTCTACTAAAAAAATACAAAAAATTAGCTGGGCATGGTGGCGGGTGCCTGTAGTCCCAGCTACTCGGGAGGCTGAGGCAGGAGAATGGCGTGAACCCGGGAGGCGGAGCTTGCAGTGAGCCGAGATGGCGCCACTGCACTCCAGCCTGGGCGACAGAGCGAAACTCTGTCTCAAGAAAAAAAAAAAAAATAATAATGATAGTAAAAATTAAAATAAATAAATAAATAAATAAAAATTTAAAAATTTAAATTTCAACTTTTATTTCAGATACAGGAAGTACATGTGCAGATTTGTTATATGGGTATATTGCACCCAGGTAGTGAGCATAGGACTCAATGGGTAGTTTTTCATGTCAACTCCCTCCTCCATCTAGTAGTCTCCAGTGTCTACTGTTGCCATTTTATGTTCATGAGTAGCCAATCTTTAGCTCCCACTTATGAGAAAGAACATGTGTTATTTGGTTTTCTGTTCCTATGTTAATTTGCTTAGGAGACTGTTCCTGCATTAATTTGCATAGGATAATTTCCTCCAGCTCCATCCATGTTGCTTCAAAGGACATGACTGCATTCTTTTTATGGCTGTGTAGTATTCCATGGTAGCAGTGGGGTTGATTTGTTCTTATTTGATGGTTTTATTCCCATCAAACTACTATTGACATTCTTCACAGAATTAGAAAAAACTATTTTAAATTTCATATGGAATCAGAGAAGACCCCATATAGCCAAGACAATCCTAAGCAAAGAGAACAAAGCTGGGGGCATCATGCTACCTGACTTCAAGCTATACTACAAGGCTACAGTAACCAAAACAGCATGGTACTGGTACCAAAACAGACAAATAGACCAATGGAGCAGAACAGAGACCTCAGAAATGACACCACATATCTACAACCATCTGATCTTCAACAAACCTGCCAAAAACAAGCAATGGGAAAAGGATGTCCTATTCAGTAAATGGTGCTGGGAAAACTGGCTAGCCATATGCAGAAAATCTTAGTTTTCTACCTTAATAATCAGTCTAATGCTGTCAGTAGGGTGTTGAAGTCTCTCACTATTACTGTGTGGTTGTCTAAGTCTTTTTGTAGGCCACAAATAACATATTTTATGAATCTGTGTGCTCTGATGTTGGGTGTGTATATATTTAAGATAGTTAAGTTTTTTTGTTGGATTGTACCCTGTATCATTATGTAATGTTGCATTAGTCCATTTTAACACTGCTATAAAGAACTACCTAAGACTGGATAATTTATGAAGCAAAGAGGCTTAATGGACTCACAATTCAATTCACCAAGCTTAGCAGGAAGCATGACTGGGTGGCCTCAGGAACCTTACAATCATAGCAGAAGGCAAAGGGGGAGCAAAGACCTTCTTCACATGGTGACAGGAGAGAGAGAGAGAGAAAATAAAGGGGAAAGAGGTGACACACAAGCAGGCACCTCCTCCAATTCAACATGAAATTTGGGCAGAGACACAAATATATACAAGAATAGTGACTCCTTTTCTCCTTTTGTTTCTGTTTGCATGGTAGATTGTTCTTCATTCCTTTACTTTGATTCTGTGAATGCCATTAAACAGGTTGGATCTTGCCTTTTTATTTAGCTTTCCACTCCATGTCTTCCAAGTGGGGGTGCTTAGTCCATTTACATTTAAGGTTAATATTGATATGTGTGATTTTGATCTTGTCATCATATTTTTAGCTGGTTGTTATATAGACTTGATTGTGTGATTGTGTAGTTACTTTATAGTGCCTGTGGGCTATATGCTTACATGTGTTTGTGTGGTAGCAGGTGTTATTCTTTTTTTTTTTTTTTTTTGACGGAGTTTCACTCTTGTTGCCCAGGCAGGAGTGCAATGGTGCAATCTGGGCTCATTGCAACCTCTGCCTCCCAGGTTTAAGCAATTCTCCTGCCTCAGCCTCACAAGTAGCTGGGATTACAGGCATATGCCACCACACCCAGCTAATTTTGTATTTTTAGTAGAGACAGGGTTTCTCCATGTTGGTCAGGCTGGACTTGAACTCCCGACCTCAGGTGATCCGCCTGCCTTGGCCTCTCAAAGTGCTGGGATTACAGGTGTGAGCCACTGCGCCTAGCCAGTAGCAGGTGTTATTCTTTTGATTCCATGTTTAGCACTCCTTCAAGAACCTCATGGAAGGCTGATCTAGTTGAAACAAATTCCTTCAATATTAGCTTGTCTGAGGATTTTATTTCTCCTTCACTTATGAAGCTTATTTTGGCAGGATATGAAATTCTTGGTTGGAATTTCTTTTCTTTAAAGATGCTGAAAATAGGCCCTCAATATCTTCTGGCTTGTAAGATTTCTGCTGAGAGGTCTGCCTGATGAAGCTCGCTCTGTATGTGACTTGATTCCTCTCTAGCTGCCTTTAAGATTTTTTTCTTTTTGTTGGCGTTGGTGAATCTGTTGACTATGTGACTTGGGGATGATTGTTTTATATAGTATCTATCTGAGGTTCTCTGTATTTCTTGGATTTGTATGCCAACCTTTTGAGATTGGCTTTTTTTCTGCTGAGCACAATTCCCACGAAATCTATCCAAGTTGTTGCATGCATCAGTAGTTCATTCTTTATTATTAAAGTCATCCCTCAGAATATATCGAGTGGTTCCAAGAGTTCCCCTCCAGACTCCCCGTACACAATTTGTAAATGCTCGAGTATCTTATATAAAATGGCACAGTATTTGCATATAACCTATGCATATCCTCTCATATACTTTAAATCATCTATAGATTACTTATAATACCTAACACAATGTAAATGCTATGTAAATAGTTGTTATACTATATTTTTATTGGTATTATTTTATTGTTATTTTTCTTTGCTGTTATTTTATTGTTATTGTGGTTTTTTAAATTTTTTTTTCTGAATATTTTCTACTGGAAGTTGGTAGAATCTGAGGATGCAGAACCTGTGGATATGGAGGGCCTAGTCTAGTGAGTCGTATTTCATTGTATGGATGTATCACAAGTCTATGTATACATACATATATTTTTAGAGATGGGGTGTCGCTCTGTTGCCCAGGTTGGAGTGCAGTGGTGTAATCATAGTGCCTTGAATCTTGGGCTTAAAAGAGTCTCCTGCCTCAGCCTCTCCAGTAGCTGAGACTACAGGCGTAGGCCACCATACCTGGCTAATTTATTTTTTATTTTTTGTACGGATGAAGTCTGGCCATCTTGGTCAGGCTGGTCTCAAACTCCTGGGCTCAAGCAATCCTCCTGCCTAGGCCTCCCGAAGTGCTGGCATTACAAGCATGAGCAACTGCACCCAACCTGTGTATTTTTAATTTACATAAATATTTATATATATTTGGCTATATATACAATTATGTTATTTACTGTTTTTCCTTCAACATTATATTTTAAGATCCATCCACGTTGCTGTGTGTACTTTCAATCCTTTCATTTTTAGCCTCCATGTAACATTTTATGGTAGTATCTCTCATTTTTTATTTATGCATTCCCTCAGAAATGGATACTTAGACTGTTTCCAATCCTTTACTATCAAATAACATTGAAGTGAATAATATTGTTCATTCCACTTTTAAGTATAAAAATGTCTGTGGAATATTCTTTTTTTTTTTTTTTTTTTGAGATGGAGTCTCACTCTGTCACCCAGACTGGAGTGCAGTGTCCCCATCTCGGCTCACTGCAATCTGTGCCTCCTGGGTTCAAGAGATTCTCCTGCCTCAGCCTCCCAAGCAGCTGGGACTCCAGGCACGCACCACCACACCTGGCTGATTTTTTTGTACTTTTAGTAGAGATAGGGTTTCACCATGTTGGCCAGGCTGGTCTCGAACTCCTGACCTCAGGTGATCCACCCACTTTGACCTCCCAAAATGTTGGAATCACAGGCGTGAGCCGCCACGCCCGGCCTTGTCTTTGGAATATTGAAACCCAACAATGAGATTGCTGGGTCATAGAGAAGTGTATACCCAATTTGAGTAAACACTGATAGTTTGTACACACTCTTCTACCCTCCTTTCAGCAGCACACAAGTGTTCCCATGTCTCTGACATCATGAGCTATGATGATGTTTTCTGATTTTTCAAATACAATAGGTGTAATGTAATATCTCATCATTTTTGAGTTTCTGTAATTTCTTAATGACTCTATTTCTAATGTGATTGTCTTTTGTTTATCTCTTCTGAGGATCTTATTTTGGCCATTTAAAAAAATTATGGTCTGTTTTTGTTGTTATTGTTTGATTTGTAAGACTTTCTGATATATTTCAGATATTAATCACTTATTAATTTTAGAAATTTTAAATAATTTCTCCAGCCTTCATCAGTTTGTCAACGTTTTCCATGGTGTTCTTCATGTAATGGAAATCCTTAATATTGATATAATCAAAGTAATCAAAGTTTGGCTTTCCGCTTTGCACTTGGAGTTTTATTTAAGAAGTACTTCTCCACCACGAGTTTGAAATCTGTAATACTGTATTTTACTCTATTTCCTTAATCAATGACAATTCTATCCTTCCATTTTCTTAGACCAAAAATCCAGATCATCCTGGACTCACCCCTTTTTCACACCCCTCGCTCAATGTACCAGGAAATCTGATGGCTTTGGTTTCAAAATGTATCTGTAGTCTAACCACCTCGTTCCATCTCCTCTACTGCTACCACCCAACCCACCATCCCATCATCTCTCATTTGGATTATTGCAATTACCTTTTCCCCCTTGCTGTCTTTTGCAACTCAGCAGCCAGGGATTCTTGAAAAGTATAGATAAAATGATGTCATTCCTCTGCTTAAAACTTCCAGTGAATTCCCACGTCAAGCCCTAAACTTGCTCAGCTCTAGCCACACTGGTGTCTTTCCTGTTCCTAGAACATGACAGGTACAGCTTCCCTTAGGGCCTTTGCCCTCTTCCCGTAATACTCTTCCTCCAAATACCTGCATGGCCAACTCCCTCACTGTTTTCAAGCCTCTGTTCTACCATCACTTCCTCATTAAATTGTACTGTGAGTACCCCTTTTAGAATTGTGACTCCATACCTTTGCACTTCCTACCTCACCCTTATTCCCTTTTTCCCCTTACTTGATTATTATTATTTGTTATGTTGATTGTCGTTGTCTGTCTCCTCTGCTAGAATGTAAACTCCTCAAAGGTAGCGAGCTTGGTCTACTTTGCAAACTGAAGTATGCTTGGTACCTAGAGCAGTGCTTAGCACAGAGTATATACTCAATAAATATATGCTGAATTAATGTATAAATAAGTTGATTTTATGATGTAATGTTTTACATTTAGATCTGTAATCCAACGAAGTTCAGCTTGACCTTTCTCCCTATAGTGAGTCAGTTTTCCCAATACCATTTACCAAAGTATACTTTCTCCAGTGGTTTGTGGTACCACTTTCACTTTTACACTCCCATTTATACATGAGTTTACTTCTGACTCCTTAGTTCTACTCCACTGGATTTTGTGCTTATATTATTACATCATTTTAATTATGGCTTTGTGGTATGTTTTTATTTTGGTAAGGCAACTTATCTTTCTTTGTGTGTGTGCTTTTTTTCAAAATTGGTTTAGATATTCATGGACTTTTCCCTCCCATGTAAATTTAAGAATAAATTTATTTAATTCTTTAAAAAAGTGATTTGAGCTATATTTATAGATGAATTTGTAGATGTATCAGTGAGGAGGAGAAACAACATTTCTATAATATTAAATCATTCCATCTAGGAGCACGGAATGCTTTCTCCATTATATCAGATTTTCCTTTATGTCCTTTAATATTGTTTAATATTTTCTTCACACAGATATCATTAATTCTTTGTTGATTCCTAGACACTTTAAAGATTTTAAAATGCTACTGTGCATGGTCTTTTATAAATATTTAAAAGTAATCACTTGCAATGTAGAGAAATTGTGATCATTACTGAGGGTTGTAAGTTGACCTTAGATCCAAAAACATTGTTCAGCTGACGTAGTAGTTCTAATAGTTTACTATGCAAGTATTCTGGATAGATAAACACATCGTTAGAAAATAATGGCAATGCCATCTCTTCCTTCCCAATGCTTACACCTCTTATCTCCTTGATTTTACTTATAGCAATGACAGTGGGCATAGTATTCACAATCTTAAGCATCTAAAGTTTCTTCATTATAATGTTTGCTTTGTGTAATGTTTACCAAGTTAAGGAAGTTCTCCTTTATTGCTAATTTTGTAACATGAAAGAAAAACACGAAACCATAAGGGACGTTGAAATGTATCAGCTTGCCAGCCATCAAAATCCTAACACTTACTACTTTGTTCGGGATAGATGGTGGCAGGTAGGAGGAGGATGCTTGTCAAGGACAGGAGCCCCCAAAACTGTCCTGATTTTTCACCGAATATTATGTCATTAGTTTCCCCCAACTCTTGTAATAGTCTGTAAAAGTATGATTTTTAGCACTTAATTATGCAAAGTATCAAACAAAAGCTAGAATATATACCCATATCCTGTATTTTATAGTTCAAAACATTTTTCTGTATTAAGCATGTTAATGACTTTAATATAATTTAGAGCATTTTTATAAATGTGCCTCAAAATCTTACCTTTGTAATATTGAAAAAGTACAAATAATGGATCACAATTATTATAGTAAAAATGGTGTCTCAAAATTGAGAATTATATGTGTGTTTTAGGACAAAAAACTAGTGTATACCTAATTTTTAAGGTATACTTAGGAGGAGAGTGAGAACTGGACCTTCAGAAAGCTTTACCTTGAAAAATAATTGCTGTCAATTTTTGACAATTCAATTTAGTGAAAAACATTCCTCCATGAAGTTCATTTATCTACACTAAATTTTCAAATTCAATTTAAACATACAGTATTTCAGGAAGCTTCGGTGGCTGTGTCAAGCTAGATCTAGGCAGACAGGTTTCTTTTTAAAGATTTTATGGTCAAAATAATAAATGTCCTGAAAAATAAATTTATTTTTGAAAATTTTAAAGTGGACAAATCCATGAATTTTCTGAATTTTCATAGGCTTCATGTTTCAGCTCTACAGGTAAAAAAGGAAAGCCATAAAACCTATAATGAAGAAAGGTCACAGGCAAGTTCACTTGAAGATTTCAGGCACAATAAAACTACAAATTCTGCCATTTTCCTGCTGTTTTGCAATTTTCTGGTTTGAGTATTGAGTGCCTGTGAACCATCCACAGGATAGCCTTTTGCCTCCACCTGTGCACATGAAATATTTACACAAATGTCGCTTCTCCATAGGATGAGTCTGTGTGTGTCTGTGAAAGATTATCTTCAAAAGTACCTTTAAGAGCATTTCCTTATTTAAGAAAGACAACTTTACAATTGTAAGATGGATCTTCTTATAACCAATGCCCATTCCCTTTTATAGAACAGTAGAAGACTAAAGAGATTGAGAAAGTCACATTGCTCAGACTAATTCTAACTGTGTTCCCCTTAAATTAGTCTGACCATTTTATCTTGTCTTCAAACACTCTTCTGTGGGGCAAGAACATAGTGGTTGGGAGTGAGGAGAGTTTGGAAATTAGAAAAATATTTTAAGATAAAAGGGTGTGAAAAATAGAAAATAAGACCAACTCCCTTTTACCAGTAGGAACCAGAATGAAGCCACGGATAAAGAACAAATGGTTTGGTTCCCTTGCAAGCATTGTTGATCAGGAGATAGAATTTCCCCATACATCTCTAGGAAGCATATTAGGTATGCATACATTTAACACACATTTCAATGTCATTCCTTCCTTCCCCACCCCAAATACTTTCAGCCCAGGCCACTCCCCAGGCCCCCAACTTCCCCTTTCTCCCCCTACCTGTAGAGGGTAGTGAAGAGTATAGTAATGCAGTGTAGACACAACAGAAAGGTCATTGCTCTGTGAGCTCCAACACTTGGACCGTGACACCGGCTCGGCTCTGAGCTCATTCTAGTATAAAGCTGAAGTCCCTTCACTTCTCTGAGTCCCATTTTTATAACTTGTCAAGTAAAAACTAGATAGTGTCCATGGTCCCTTTTAGTTCAGGGGCTTCCCACTCTTCAATTAAATCTGACCACTGGTAGGATTTGGCACTGATTCTTTCACCTGTACAACATCCCTCCACGCATGCTGTCAGGCCTTGCAGTCACCGGCAGCTCCTTCCTGAGCATATCACCCCTGCATCAATTCCAGCTGGCAGCAAAGAAAGATACACCCTGAAGTGAGAATCACAGGGAGGGATTTTTAAAAGTTCCCCAAGAATTCTCAGAGGCAGGGGAAGACACACGACCAGGCTTCAACCCTTCTATTTCTCTACTAACTGGGTGACTTAGGGAACACATTCTATCCCTTTGAGTCTTCGTTTTCCCAACTGTAAAATGGAATAATCACCTTTCTCTTCTTCACAAATACATTATGAGGCATAATTCATGCTTGTAAGCTTTGAGGTTTTGACTGGAGACATTACAGAAGTGTAACCTATTATTATAACTAATTACAGAGCACTTGTGTGTAAAAGACACTCAAATGACAATAACTTTACCTGAAAACAGAGAAAGAGGGGTGTAGAGATGGGTAGAACAAAGATGAATAAGAAAGGAGAAATAAATGGAAAAAGAAAACGCAAGTGTAGCAGAATGGAGTAAGACAAAAGGAATACAATTTTTAAAAGTCAAGTATAAGAAAAGAAAATAGACAGACATATTGGAGAATAACTAAAAAGAAAAGTTATCCAGAATTTATGAGGAATTTATAATAGCTACCATAGCTGTTATATACAAGAATACGAATAATGGTGGAAATGAGCTATTTGCAGCTGTACCACAGCTATTAGCATGTGTGGTAGGTAGAATTCTAAGATGGCCCCATGATGTCTACTTTCTAGTGATGTTCCTATGATTATGTTATTTTACATGGCAAAAGGATTTTGGAGATGTAATTAAGGTTATTGATCAGTTGATGTTAAAATAACGATATTATCTGAGTAGGGCTTACCTAATCACATGAATTCTTTAAAAACAAAGGGTTTTCTTGGCTGGTTTTAAAAACGGGGGTCCTAAAAACGCTCTCTAGCTGGCCTGGAAGCAAGCAAACATCATATTGTGACCTGCCTATGGAGCCACATGGAAAAGGCCTGAGAATGGCCTCTAGGAGGTGGCCAGTGGCTATCAAGGAAAGGGACACTTCAGTCCTAGGACTGCAAGGGACTGAATTCTGCTAACAACAAATAGGAGGTTCGAAGTGGATTTTCCCCAGAACTGCCAAACTCAGCCAGCTGACAACTTAATTTCAGCCTTATGACATCCTAATTAGGAATCCTGTCATGCCACACAGGACTCTGGCTTACAGGACTGCGACCCAATAAATGGGTGTGGTTTTAAGCTACTAAACTTGTGGTAATTCATTACTCAGCAAGGAAAAGCCAATACAGCATGCATGGTAATACAAAATAGAAATCGCTACATTCTAATATAGCTCAATCTGCAAATACTTTTTCATTGATTAGCTTCTGGGCCTAGAGCTACATTAATATTTAGGAACTGCAGTAGTAAAATTGTGGGTTTCTTAACAATGACCATGATAGCCAAGGAGAACAAGGAAAAATGAAATCATAGCAAAAACCCAACTGTGATCTTACTTAGAGCAGCTTTAAATCTATAAACTAGGTGTGTGTTTGCAAATTAAGCCATGTTTGGGGGAAGTATTTTTTTTTCTTTTTTGAGACAGGGTCTCACTCTGTCACCCAGGCTGGAGCAGAGTGGTGCCAACATGGTTCACTGCAGCCTCAGCCTCTCCAGGTTCAACCGATCCTCCCAACACAGCTTCCAGGGAAGCTGGGACTACAGACCTGTGCCACCACACTTGGCTAATTTTTTGTATTTTCAGTACGAACAGGGTTTTGTCATGTTGCACAGGCTGGTCTTGAACTCCTGGCCTCAAGTGACCCACCTACCTTGGCCTCCCAAAGTGCTGGGACTACATGCCTGGGCCATCATGCCTGGCCTTGGGGGAGTATTATAAAGGGCTTTCCAGGCCAACTGTTTTGAAAGGAAGGAGATATGTTTGCATATTATATGAGCTTTACCTACTTATTTTTGTGAATCTCGATTTTCTTAGTTAGGTTTCCCTCCAGCAAACTCCTTTTGTAGTCAAAACTTTTATTGACAAGTAGCAAAATGGATTTATTTAAATTATATTTTCTCTTACATTTTATTATGTTTTCTAACAGAGCAGTGCCAAACAATGATGGGGCCAAGGAAAGGAAATTAAAGACAGATATGGAAAGCCAGAAAAACATAACTAATTTGTGTGTTTCCTTCCCTGAAGCGTCTTTGAGACAGGGAAGTCTCTAGCACTGATCTTTCCTGTTTTGCTGCTCATTTTGTTCTAAATATCAAGGTTCTCATCAAGGACAGTTATAAGAAGTTAGTAATAAAGTCTTGCCTTTCCTTCTACAAACAACTAAGAACTCCCCTTGATGTCCATTCTAATCTGAATAATACCACCATCCATTCAGCATCCAAGACCTCAAAGCTCTGAGTCATCCTCCATCCCTCCTCTCCTTAATCCCTCAGATCCTACAATCAGTTGCCAAATGCCTATAAAATTCATTTATTTTCCCTAGCCCCACTGCTGTTAATTCAAGTCCTTGCTATGATTTGCCAGATTGTTGCCATAGCTTTTCCCATCATTCAGTTGTCTGATTTCCCATCATAATCCATTTTACAAATCAATGACAGAATATTCCTGTTAAAATCCGGTTCTAATATTGACCTCGTTTCCACTCAAAGATTTTCGGATATCTCCTTTGGCCTGTGGAATGAACACTTACTTAAGTTGTTAAGTTCTCCACAATACTGACCCCATTATTTCCTGTTTTCCTGTATTTCCTAGCCTTATTTTTCAGTGCTTTCTGTACATGTATCCTATTCTTCTTCTTCTTCTTCTTCTTCTTTTTTTTTTTTTTTTTTTTTTTTGAGGCAGCACATTGCTCCCTCACCCAGGCAGGAGTGTAGTGGTGCAATCTCGGCTCAGGACAACCTGTGCCTCCCAGGCTCAAGTGATCCTCCCACCTCAGCCTCCCAAGTAGCTGGAACTACAGGTACACGCCACCACACCAGCTAATTTTGTTTATTTATTAATTTTTTGGTAGAGATGGGGTTTTGCCGTGTTTCCCAGGCTTGTCTTAAACTCCTGGGCTCAAACAGTCCTCCCACTTCAGCCTCCCAAAGTGCTGGGATTACAGGCATGAGCCACTATGCCCAGCCATGTATACAATTCTTTAGCTGAGTTAGACTTAGATTCCTGTGTCTCTCAAAATATGAATTCTGGAATCAAATACAATTGCAATTAGATCCTGATTCCATCAGTTACTAGCTATGTGAACTTGGACAATCTCCTAAATCTCTGTCAGCCTCAGTTTTGTCATCTGCAAAATGAGGGTAATAGTATGTCTCACAAAACCATAGTGAGAATTAAGTATGATGGTATACGTTCATTTCTGGGCAGAAGGCCTGGCACATAAATGGTGAATAAATGATACATTTTATTATTATTTTTCCTCTTCTCCCTTTCCCTCCTCTTCTTTCCATGTCTTCTGCTCTTATTTGTGGTCATCTTAGTATCGTGCCTGGCAATTTCTGTCTCCTTGCTTTTGTTTGTGATGTTCTCTCCACTGGAATACCCAAAACTCCATTTCTGCTTATTTAACTGCATACTGTCCATTGTGGTGTCTCCCCTAAATCCCTTCCACTGCAAAGGAGAGGCAGTCTAGTCCAATTTTGGTAACTGCTTTTCCTTTGCAGATTGGTTAAAGAAACTTTATACGGCCCAATCCAGGCCAATAAGATGCAAAGGAAATCTGCTGCTAAGGACTTTATCTTTCCAATGAAAGTGACTCTCCCCTTTCTTTATTTGGACTTGGCTATATCTGGATGTGATACCGGAGCTACTACTACCAAACTAAAGAGGAAAGTGTCACCAAGAATGAGGGAGAAAATGGAGAGCACCTGACTCATGAAGTGAATTCTGCTGAGCAAAGAGTCTTCTCTGTCTCTGGTCTTCTTGCCATGTGAAATAAATTTTTTTCTTTATTGAAGCCTATTTGAGTTGCGACTTCCTTCTTGTAATCCAAAGGATGTGAAAATATTCACTTTCTTTCAAGGTTAAGTTCAGACACCACTTTCTTGATGAAACTGTCCCTAGTTTCTCCCGCAGATGTAAACGTGTTCTTTCTCCTCTGTACTTCATTGCATGTTGTCAGGTCTCTCCCTTGTACCTATCACAGGTTGCCATGGAGGGAGCCATGCCTATTGGTGTCTTTGTCTCACTGGAGAGATGTTTCACTGAAGGCCATGACTGCATCTTAATCTCCCATGCATCTGCGCAGGGCGTGCCATAGTGCCTTGCATATGCTGTAGTGTCTTATTCAATACACCTGCTGATGTAGGTCATTTGTTATTTGTTGGGCTTTTGTATGTTGATTTTTTATAGTTTGGATATAATTCAGTGGTTGTTTAAAAAGGACAATGGTCTTGATATACAGATGTATGAACATCTTGTGTGAGCATATAAAAACAATCAATTCTTTAGAGGGAAGCCCTAAATATACTATAACTAGTGGTTCTCTGGTAGAAGAGAACTTAAGAGGTTAAGAGTATAGGGGAGGGAGAGGGATGAAATCTGGGTGCTCTGCTTAATGCAGTCTATTAGCAACATCAATGGACATCGGTGCACAGACCTATGGAGGAAGCACTAATGTTTTCCGGATGTACTGATGACCTCATTTGTGATAAAGCCTTTGTTTTTCTTAATATATTTGCAGGGCAAAAGGATAGAAATTGCACAGTAGTATCTTTCTAAAACTGAAAGAATCAATAAACTTTATTCTTTCTTCAACATAAGCCATCTCCTTATCATTTTGTTATCAGACCCTAAACACTGATCACTTGAAGACACTCACATTCAGGAGCACAAAATATTTAAATACACTGATTTTATTGCCATTTATCATTAATTCCTTCCTTTAGGACACTGATAATTTTTTAAACCTTTAATGTTATTTCTAGTCAAAAGCTACATTATGGTCTTTACTGGCATGAGAAGTAAATCCCTCACTACTGTCAATAACTTGGGTTCTTATGAAATTTTATAACATTTCTGTCTTCAAGGCTTAAAATAATACAGGTGGTAGATTCTTATCATCTGCAGTTTGTTTAAATGTGTCTGTATCTGAAACAGAGAAGATTTGACTCAGATTGCCTCTCAATGTCTCTTTTAGTCCTCTGATTTTACAATTTTAGGTATCTATCATATTGCAGGGTTTCAAGAAGAGCCTTGAAGGAATTACAGTATTAGGAAACCTCTAAATGGAACACGTAGGAGGAAGTGATGAGAAGATCTGAGGTGCCTCTTGGGAGGCAGGTTTACTCATGTAGACTGTTTCTCTGATGTAAAGTTTGGCACATATAATTATGCTTTGAGGAGCCATGCAATGTCTTCCCATTCAGGACAGGCTGGGTAGTTTACAGTGCCTTGGCCCAAAGGGAGGGCCCATCAGGCTGGGAGAGAGAGAAGGGTGTGGGCCCAAGTTGGGGAGCAGGCACATTTAAAACCGGCATGACTGTTAGTTATGACTGCATGTCAGCAGCTGCTTTGCTTCTTAGCAAACACTTCTTAATGCCCCACTCTGGCAAGAAGCCCAGAGTGAGGGCTTTCTTTCCTCATTGTCTGCTGCTGGAGAGGTACTGCTGGTAATCTGTAATAAGTTAGTGGACAAAGCAAAACGGTGAAGTTGAACACTGCTGAGTGTCAATTTTACTAGCTTCTTCCGTGGTCTTTAGAAGATCTTGATCTTCATGGGTAATACATTAGTCTTCCCTGACTTAACACTTTAAAAATTACCTTGTTTTGGCCAGGCACAGTGGCTCACTCCTGTAATCCCAGCACTTCGGGAGGCTGAGGAGGGTGGATCACAAGGTCAGAAGATTGAGACCATCCTGGCCAACATGGTGAAACCCCGTCTCTATGAAAATACAAAAAATTAGCCAGCGTGGTGGCGCGTGCCTGTAGTCCCAGCTACTCGGGAGGCTGAGACAGGGGAATCACTTGAACCTGAAAGGCAGAGGTTGCAGTGAGCCCCAAGATCGCACCACTGCACTCACTCCAGCCTGGTGAAAGAGCGAGACTCCATCTCAAAACAACAACAACAACAACAACAAAAAACGAACCTTGTTTTATTTTGTTAATCAATTATTTTCATTACCTCAACAAATGTCTTTCTGAGCATCTACTCTGAGCCAGGCACTTTTGTCTGCGCTGTGGACACAATGAAACAGTGGATTAAGAAAACATGATCTCCATAATTTTGAAGTTTATGATCAAAAGTAAGGGGCAGAATATTGGGGAATTAATTATTGCTTAAACAGCTTTTACATGTCAGGCCTCTTTGAACCTTTCATATCTCAGCTCCAATGCTGCCTCTCAGGAGATGCCTTCCTGGTTGATCTAAACTCAGGATTCTTTTTTTCTCACAAACCTGTCTCTATTCCATCATCCTCATCCATAATTCCCAAATCCAAATATCTCTGGAAAACTAAGTTTTTTCCCTCATAATTTTGGTGCAAACCAATGAGCACCAAATGATATGATGCTATCATCTTTATTTATTCAATTTATCATGAATGTTGTATATTGATATTTTACTGAAGACATATTAATGTGTTTGATTATGAGATGCTCCATCAGACTCTGTTGATGTAACAAATAGTGTAAACTGCATTACTTTTATAAAATTAAAAAATTCTGAATTTTGAAACACTTCTTGTCCCAGTGGTTTTGGAGAAAGGATTGTGAACCTGTTCTACTTAAATTTCTCTTGCTTACTCCTTAGCTGACTTACTTGGTTTCTTGCTTCCCAACTGAGAATGATAGCACAGCCCTTGTCTCTCTTGCTCACTCTATCCAAAATCCAGAACAGTAACCTAGTACTTAAGAAACACTTGTTACGTGAATAAACAAATGCTTTCATACAAAAACTACCTTATACTCTAGTGTAGATTTGGCTGGGGGAAGGGAAGAGGCAATGTTAGAGAAAGGCTTCTTAGAAGAATTGATATCAAGTCCAAAACTTAAATAATTACCTAAGCAAAGTGAAAAATGCAGAGGGGGAATAGGAGCAGTATGTGCCAAGGATAGTGGCATGTTTAAGGAAGGAAAAGAAACTCAGTCACTCAAGCAGAGAATTTAAGGGGTGGGTATGGCAAGGGATGAAACTGCAGAGTGAATTAAAAGTTTTAAAATCACATTAAGGGATTTGGATTTTATTCCTTGGGCAAAGGGGAGTGATGATATTTTAATGGTATCAACTCATATAATCCTGCCAATAACCTGTAAAGCAGGTACTATTATTCCATTTTACAGTTGAGAAATTTCAGAGTCATGACAGTTTCAGTGGCTTGCCTACTATAGCACATTTCATTTGTGGTAGAGCTAACCACAGTCTGGTGGTGAGCTGTGGGGGCCTGGCTCTGGCTTCCATGCTTCGTTTTAGATGAATGGTGAAAACTCTTTATGGGAAGCAGAAAAACTTTGATGATGAGAAGTCACCACTGTCACCATGAAGTAACATCTCATAAGTGTCTTGGCTGGTGAAAACACTAAGCTGGTGATTTCAGCATCATTTGTTCGCTGAGTGTGCTAACTAGGTTTGATGCATTCTACCAACAGAGACTGTGCTTCTACCTCTACCAGCAGTCTTACTAATGTCCACAGATGCCTTCGCTGCAGAGGGGATGGCTGGGAGAGACAGTGTAGATGAACAAAGATCAAGTGTCATCGCATTAGAAAAAACAGCTCCAGAGGCCTAGACTGTTTTGCGTGAGCATCACTGTTCACATGTGTGGAGGATACACATCACTAGTGATGGTCCTCAGGCATCATGACAGGTGTGGGAACTTGTTGGTCACTCCTGGAGATGGACAAGGAAGCGGATAAGAAGTGAAGACTGTTAGGAGAGTTTAAAAGTTATATCCATACCGCTACATTTCTTCATTTCTTGATCAGAACACACTGGTTTTTACTCTGCCTTCTAAGATTTAAGGATCTATCCTAAATAAACATATGTTACTCTAAACCTACATTGCATGAGCTTGGAGAGTCCTTATTCCAAAATACAAAATGGCTAAATTGTATATATTTCTCATAGTTTATTATATCTACTATTGCTAGCAACTTAAATTTCTCAAATCAGCTTCTGTGAGTAGCAGCATGTTTCATAGACTACCAGCTTCAGCAAAGGCCTGGACTTGAACTTCATAAATGATTGGGTCAGTGGAATCAACTTCATCTAAAACAAAATAAAACAAGACAAAACCACACACACACACACACACACACACACACACACACACACACACACACACACACGTTGTGGGAAGTCAGGGACCCCAAATGGAGGGACTGGCTGGATCCGCGGCAGAGGAACATAAATTGTGAAGATTTCATGGACATTTATCAGTTCCCAAAATTAATACTTTTATAATTTGTTATGCCCATCTTTACTGCAATCTCTGAACATAAATTGTGAAGATTTCATGGACATTTATGAGGTGGGTGGATACAAGGTCAGGAGATCAAGACCATCCTGGCTAACACGGTGAAATCCCTTCTCTACTAAAAATACTCTTATAATTTCTTATGCCTGTCTTTACTTTAATCTCTTAATCCTGTTATCTTCGTAAGCTGAGGATGTATGTCACGTCAGGACCACTATTGTACAAATTGATTGTAAAACATGGGTGTTTGAACAATATGAAATCAGTGCACCTTGAAAACAAACAGAATAACAGCGATCTTAGGGAACAAGGGAAGACAACCATAAGGTCTGACTGCCTACAGGGTCAGGCAGAATAGAGCCATATTTTTCTCCTTGCAGAGAGCCTATAAATGGATGTGCAAGTAGAAGAGATATCACTGAATTCTTCTCCTAGCAAGGAATATTAAATATTAAGACCCTAGGAAAAGAATTGCATTCCTGGGGGGAGGTCTATAAATGGCCTCTCTGGAGTGTCTGTCTTATGTGGTTGAGATAAGGACTGAAATACGCCCTGGTCCTCTGCAGTACCCTCAGGCTTATTAGGGTGGGGAAAAAAATCCCGCCCTGGTGAATTTGAGGTCAGACCGTTTCTCTGCTCTTGAACCCTGTTTTCTGTTGTTTAAGATGTTTATCAAGATAGTACGTGCACAGCCAAACATAGACCCTCATCAGTAATTCTAATTTTGCCCTTTTTCCTTGTGATCTTGCTTTGCCCTTTGCCTTGTGGTCTTTACTGGCCTCAGAAGCATATGAACTTTGTTCTCCTTTCTTGCCCTTTGAAGCATGTGATCCTTGTGACCTACTCCCTGTTCGTACACCCCCTCCGCTTTTGAAATCCCTAATAAAAACTTGCTGGTTTTACAGCTCAGGGGACATCACAGTCCTACCGATATGTGATGTCACCCCAGGCGGCCCAGCTGTAAAATTCCTCTCTTTGTACTCTTTCTCTTTATGTCTCAGACCAGTCGACACTTAGGGAAAATAGAAAGAACCTACATTGAAATATTGGGGGCTGGTTCCCCCAGTACACACACACACACACACACAGATAATGGCTCATCTCTGTAATGTGCCCTAAGGCACTTTAACACATGGCTGTAAGAGTTGTTCTTTGTCTCTCTTTGCTAACTCTGGAAGTCCTTCCTTGAGGAAAAAAAGAAAGGGGATATATTGACTTCAGATAGAAGTCCTTATAAAGATTTAGAAAGGAGATACTTGCCAATTTGGCACCAACACTGTGGTGTAACAATAGTGGCATTGGTTTTGGAGTCAGAAAACTTAAGCTTGATTGCTAACTCTATCACTTCTTGGCTACTGGAAAGTTATCTAATCTTTCTGAGCCTGAGTTTTCTCACCTGCAAAATAAGATAATAATAACTATCTCATAGGGAAGCTATGAAGATTAAATGAGATTATACATATGATAGGCGATTGAAAGAACTATGCAAATTTCTACTATTAATATTAATAATTGATACTGACAAGAAGAGAAAAACTAAAAATCTTTTAAATATAAATTCAGATTTCTTTGGATGGTTTAAGAGTGGAAATTGATTAAGAAGGCTGTCCAAAATAATTTCTCTCTTATATGTACAGTTTCATGAAAGTTGTGTCATAAGAAGTACAGTTGAATGAATGAGGAATTTGAGCAAATGCTAAAGTGGAAAAAACCCTTAGAGCAATACTATGTTTAACATTTAGCATGCCAGGTAATGTGTTTGAAATATTTAAGTGACTTTTTAAGAAAGTTTGGCAACTGTCATGCTGTTGGTCTGATGTCGTGGGAGAGGCTGTGACACTGATACATGGCAGGCCATGGGAGTCAACATATGACTCACGTGTATTCAGCATGAGGGCTAGAAGCCTGTTGAATTATCCTGAGGCTTTGTTTTACTCTGTGAAAAAATATCAGTCCAGGTTTTTAAAAAATGTAGAGAGAGGTGCTAGCAAGAAAAGATAATGTTGGTAGCTATGTTGCCTTAAATATTGTTAGGCGGCTGGGCGCAGTGGCTTATGCCTGTAATCCCAGCACTTTGGGAGGCCAAGGCGGGTGGATCACTTGAGATCAGGAATTCGAGACCACCCTGGCCAACATGGTGAAACCCAGCTTCTACTAAAAAATACAAAAATTTTGCAGCCGTAAAAAAGAATGAGATCATGTTCTTTGCAGGGACATGAATGAAGCTGGAAGCCATCATCCTCAGCAAACTAACACAGAAACAGAAAACCAAACACCACATGTTCTCATTCATAAGTGGGGGCTGAACAATGAGAACACATGGACACAGGGAGGGAAATAATACACACCGGGGCCCACTGGGGATTGGGGGATAAGGGGAGGGAGAGCATTAGGACAAATACCTAATGCATGCGGGGCTTAAAACCTAGATGATGGGTTGATAGGTGAAGCAAACCATTATGGTACATGTATATCTATGTAACAAACCTGCATGTTCTGCACATGTATCCTGGAATGTAAAATAAAATAAAATAATATAATATAATATAATATAATATAAAATACAAAAATTAGCTGGGCGTGGTGGCGGGCACCTATAATCCCAGCTACTCTGGAACTTGAGGCAGGAGAATCTCTTGAACCTGAGAGGGGAGGCAGAGGTTGCAGTGAGCTGAGATCATGCCACTGCACTCCCGCCTGGGTGAGACAGCAAGACTGCATCTCAAAACAAACAAACAAAAAACTTTAGGAAAGTTTGGACAACTCAGATAATGTAAATTTGTCATTAAAGGTAACCCTTTTGCAGGGAAGCTACCAGCACAGATTTTCGATTATACTCTCATTTCCGCTTTGATATTTTCTTGTCTGAGACATTAGCCAGTTTACTTAGTCTGAGCTTATTTACACATCTGTAAAATGGGGGTAGTATTAATACCTTCAGTTTAATTATTGAATTGATTAATAAAGCAGTACACACATAACCCGATGACTGAAGTAAGCACTCAGTAAATGGTTATTATATCTGTAGATCATTTCAAAACTTTAAAAAACTGTTTTTCAATCTATTTCTGCAACATTCTTTCCCCAAAGAAAAGAATTAACCAGGCAGTAGCAAAATCTAATGTCATTATTTTGACTCCTTGTCCATTTCTTTCTTAATAAAAGAGCAGACCCAAGAAAAGAACTTAGATGTGCAGTCTCTACATAACTAGGATACAACCTTGTGAAAGCCCAGGCATGGACAGGGAACGGGGCTTATGGGCTTCAGGTTTTGCTAGTGTTTGAATTCAAAATAAAATGAAATGGAAAAAAAAATAGCCTGACATTGCATGCCATCCAATAGCACTTGTAGTGTAGTGCTTTTTTGGAAAGAACTCCTAAGTGGAGAAAAGAAATATTCAAACCATGGAGTTTTACCAAACCTATGAGAGTGTGGAGGAAATCCTTTGTTTGTTGAAGAAATGACACTCTTACATTTGCAAAAATGGGCCAGGGGCCAGAGGAAAAGAAGAAGAAGAAGAAAAAACAAATCAACAGGTAAGATCTGCTGTAGTAATACACAGAACCTGATGTGAACCTCACATGAGAACCTCTTTCCCACCTGCAGCAAGAAGCAATTGCAACGACTGAAACCTTTTTGTCACAATCGACCTATTTACTGCTCTTAGAGCCCAGCCAGAGACAACTGCTGTGTTGACTGAGTGGGGAGACATTTCGGTGGGGCCTGCAAAGGGAAGAAATCCAAAAGGACTTTGGAGGGGGGTGGAGAGGTGTTGGCCTTAGGAGGACAGTAAAACACTTATGTTCAGAGGTAGCTCACTATAGTTCTAGGCTCTGTTCCCTGGGGAGGCCCGGTGCCTCCCAAAATCTGGCCTGAAGGAGAGACCACAGGCTTAGCTGCTGTGGAGAGCAGGGCTCTCTGCTCCCTTGCTTGGCTCTGGGCATGGAGCATGGTTTATGGACGGGCAGAGGAAGAACACAGTTTTGTACTTCCTGGCTCAGCTCTACAATGCCCAGTGGTCCAAAAGAGACACATGCTCCCTCTAGAGATGAATAGTGTGAAACTGTGAAGGCAAATACAACTTGCCTTACCCCTCTCGATTTCAAATACTCAACTGAAAACCAATCTTATAAAGAGAGCTTTATTGTATAATAACACTGAGGGAAGGTTGGGAGTCTCTGGGGATCAAGTATACACAGACATTGTTTTGATAGGCCAGTAAGTAATGCTGTTACCAAGCACTGAGAGGGTCAGCAGCTTTGCTCTCCGTGCAGTTCATTAGACGGATCAAAGCTGCAGTGTCAATGAAGGGGTGGATAAAGAAGATACAGCATTTGGATCTTTAGGAGCTCTAGGAAGCCTAAATATCATTTCTGAAATGGGCAAAAGGGCAAAGTGACACTGGGAATCTTGATTTTGAAACTATGGGGGCTACCATCAGAGCTAGTGTTGGAGAAGCCACTGGCTGCAAGCCCACATGGCTGGGACGTCTGGTGAGAAGGATGGAAGAAGGAGCTGGTGGAGAGGTGTGAAGAAGCAGAACTTCTTTCTTTCCTTCCACTACCCTCCACAATTTAGACAGTATCCACTAGATATGCTGTGTGGTGGGGTCTATGGAAGGAGAGACAAGGGAAGAGAAAAATGAAAGTCAGGTGGAGGAATGATAATGAGCAATAAGGAAGGCACTTTGAAATCTTTTCAAATGCAGAGATGTAGTAACATTCAAGGAGTTAGGATGTTATTCTTCCTCTCTTTATTCCACTTCAAGCTTTGATACTGCTGCTCTGTGTTGCAACTTCAAGACTTATGAAAGCTTTGAGAGTGAATAATTGACAATGTTGGATCAAACCCAACTATTGCCCACAGCAGAGAGCAGTGAGCTGCTGGGATGACTGCCCTTGGTGGATTTCCATATCTTCTTCTGAAAGGGACAATTTTTCTATCTTTTCTTTCACCTCCCCTCCCTTTCCCTCCTTTTATTCTTCTCCCCACTTCTCTCTTTCCCACCCTCTCTGTCTCTATCTCTGTCTCTTTCTTTTGTTGGTATTGGTTTTCTATTTAAGTTACTTTAATCTTACCACTCAGGGTGGCAGTCATTAATTTTCAAAATAATTACCTAAGGGAGGAGAAATGGACACTCTAGCTTCTGGAATATGGAGTAGCAACTCGGTGGGAGAGACCTTACCTGAGCTAACCTTCCAGGCCACACTCTATCCTTTGCCGCTTGCTCCTTTTTTTTTTTTTTTTTTTTATACTTTAAGTTTTAGGGTACATGTGCACATTGTGCAGGCTTGCTCCTTTAATCTCACCCCACATTGCCTCACTTAGCTATGAAAGTAAAGTATCATTTAACACATGGTTGTGAGAAACACTAGAGCAAATACTAGACTCTTTGGCATATGCTGGGCTTACGAGCAACACAATTTTTCTTCACTTAATGCTATGACTGCTGAAAAAAGGAATACAGAGCACTTGAATTGCAGGGCAATGAGGAAATGAAGACAGTTAAGCAAATATTAGTTCATACGTGGTGATCCTCTCCTTTGTGTACACTTTGAACTAAAACAACAGCCTCTTAGCAGAGTGGTTGAAGTTAAAGTGCTCTGACACACATTAAAAAAAAGAAAGTTTTAAACAGCAGTCTGCCTCTGTGGTATACAAGGTCTCCCAAAGTTTCAGTCACGATGAAATTAACGTGCTCTTAAGGTGTCTGCTTCTTGCACTGGGACAAAATTAAATAGAAGTTATTCAGTGACACTGAAATTCTAAAGGT
Source organism: Homo sapiens (assembly GCF_000001405.40). Classification (NCBI taxonomy): domain Eukaryota; kingdom Metazoa; phylum Chordata; class Mammalia; order Primates; family Hominidae; genus Homo; species Homo sapiens. The sequence goes on along the minus strand of NC_000004.12, from coordinate 144,582,885 downwards.
GATAAAAGAGAAAGAAATATTCCGGAGGAAGAGTGCATGGTTTGACTACTGCCAGGGAGTTAATACATTAACGAGGAAATACTGGACCTAAACAGACTAAATTCATTATTTTTTCTGCTGCTAAAATTTTGTTTGGATAACTGAAAACGATGAAGTGGAAAAAGGAGACATTCATGTCTCATATGGAAGGAAAAGGCCTGGTTGTGTCTGATATTGGAGAATAAATTTTTCTAGGACTATTCATTCTAGTGAAAATATTACCTTTGTGTCTCTGCCAATGGGAGTGTTCTCATTTGTGATTCAGGATTATTTGTCCTGTTGTGGTTGTTTCATTCTCCTTTAAAATTCTTCGTTTTTCCTTCAGTATTTGTTTGGCTTTAAAACTCTAGCTGATGTACATGGCTGGATAGTTTTCTAGAAGATGAAGCTAAAAGTCGGCCCTCGGCTTTGCTACCGTGAAATTTGCTCTTTGATTCAAAGTTACACAGGTATTCCCATTTGGGAATATATATGTGCATTTCTAACTTGGACTTGGGCAGCAAGTTAATAAGGCCTCTTCCTTGGAATGGAGCCATAACTAAATGCCTTTCATTGTACATTAAGGTGAGGCATGAAAATGGCATCCAGGAATACAGAATGGACATTTTGATTGGGAGGTAATCAGTGGGCCCACCCCAAAGTCTGAGAGTCTGAGGACTGGACCACTGAGTTTTCTTTGTAGTGGGTCCAAATTGCCCAGCTTAACGACACTTATGGAGTCTCCAGATCACAACAGGATCATTCTGAATCCTTGGGAATTCCAGGGGTGCACAGATGCTTTAAGGGCTTTGTTTCAACCTTGACCCTTTTTTTTCCTTTTTAAAGAATATCTATTCCAGGTGTCTTGAAATGCATGGAAGAAAATGCAGGCATCCAGAGGATTGCAGTCTTTCTGAGAGTCCCCCAGAGAACACTGATGAAAATTTAGTTTTACACAATTCTGTAAGGGCTCACCCTGTTCAAGTGGGTCCCCAAGTCCTTAGAAATTCCTCTTTCTGTAATGATTGCAAATCCAAATAAATTTCTGAGAACTTATTTGATCCAAAGTCACATGCTCCAGTGTTCTGCCACATTTCCAGAGTCTCAGCTCACCTAGGTGTAAAGAAGTTGAGTATGTACTGGGTTCACACCCCTCTGTGTCTGGCTTTTGGCCCACATTCAAGGGTTCTAGGTACCTTCCAGCCTCTTCACCCGCTTTTGAATCTTAATTTGGAGGCAATGGTGATTCAGAAAACTGAAGGTGATTTATGCTTGAGAAAAAAAAGAGATGGATCAATGAAGTACCTTTTCCCAAAATTAATAAACTGTTCACTTTTTACTCTCCCAGAAGTAGACTGTTAGTTTTGAAATGGGAAAAGTTCCCTTATCCCCTTCACAGGGCATACAATGGGGTGTAAATCATTTCTTCAGGGTCCCACATCTCAAACCCCTAGGGGGAGCATGCAGACGGGCAGGTCGTGGGGAGCTTGTGCTCTGACAACACGGCAGCATCTAGGGTTGAGTGTTTATAGCTCCTGAAGCCCCAGTGGGCGTGTATTATAGTGTGCTCTTTCAGCTTGGCCATCCTCAGGCGGGTTGTGTTAATCAGCTCAATTAGACCTTCTGTCTTATCACAAGGACAGTGGGGTTTCTGTTTCCCGGGTTCTTGCCTTAGTGTACCGGAAAAATCGGATCACATGTGGGCTTGGAGGATGGGTGCAAGGTTTTTTATTGAGTGGTGGAAGTAGCTCTCAGCAGATGGATGGGGAGCCAAAAGGGGGATGGAGTGGGAAGGTGGTCTTCCGCTGGAGTTGGGCTGCTCAGGGGCAGGGCTCTCCTCCGACTGCCCTCGACAAATTTCCCTGGGCGTCTGTGTTGTTGCGCAGTGGATGGACTGCCGGTGTCTGTGTATTCTTCTGTGGCTGTGTTCCTCTCCACGTCCAGCCGCTTTTGTGTGTGCCTGCTATGGTATCAGTGTTTTTATAGGTCCGGGATGCGGGGGGCATGGTAGGCCAGGGTAATCTTGGAAAATGCAACATTTGGGCACAGAAACAGGAGTGCCTGTCCTCACCTAGGTCTGTGGGCACAAGCCCCAGGGTGGAACCCTCGGCAGGAACCCCGCCTTTCTCTACCCAGCGTTTCCCTGTCTCTCTCCCGTATCAGTTTCAACATATAATTAATAAGGAATTTGTGATCTCAGTCTTGCAGTCCATCAAATCATGTGTGTCTGTTTACATTGCTTACATTTACCTTGTTGATTGTAATCTACAAGTTCTTCAATTCAGAGTCATGACACAGATCTGACATCTGAAGTGAGATCTGATGTCTGAAGGGAGAAACTCTTGATTCTTTCATTCTCATTGACTGCCAAGACTATTACTGCTACTAGTACATTTCTCTAACATTTAGTTTCAAATTTCTGTATTAAGTAGCCTCTTATATTTCCAAGGAATATTTGAATAGTATAGAGGATTTTTTAAACTGCATAAGATTTGGTTGTCAAAAAGGAAATAATTCATAATTAAATTCATGTATCAACTCCTTTGCCACTGAGTTTGAAAACTCAGGGTCAACAGGCAGGCAAGGCTTATCTTTCTGAATTGGGAACAAGTATAATGAAAGCACTTATTATATTCCAAGTAATCTTTTTTCTTTTTTTTAAAGAATTTTATGACAGAAGAGCATATGGAAAATAAGAAAAGTATATATAAAATATATATATAAAAGTATATATAAAATATAATATATATATATATCAGGATCAAATAAGATTATACCCTGTAAATTACTTTGAGTTGATTGGTTGACAAGGGATAGTAGCATTTAGTGATGTTTTGTTTTTCTACACCAATAGCAATTTAAATTTTCTTGGCATCTGAAGCATGAAGATAAAAATTTCACAGAGAGGATCATATTTTGAAGTCAAAAAGCCTTGTTTTGAAATCATCTTTGGACAAAATTCTTCATCTTTCTCAGTCTCTGTTCTTATCACTAAGACACATAAGAATGCCTGACTCACATCCTAGTTATGAGAAATAAATATAGTATCATATATAAAGCAGATGATATATTGTCTGGCACATATTTGAATTCAATAAGAGGTAGTAATTGTTTTGTTTTTACTATTTTTATTGTCATTATTATTTAAACCTAGCTAGATCATCTACCCAAGCATCCCTCCTTAGCTATTAGTATTTTTCTTGATATTTCTTCTCATACATGCTCACTTCCTGCATCCTGAACTCTTCCTTCTATATAACCTAGCCCCTAAAATTTCCCATGAGTAATGCCTCCACACAGGAAATCTTGATCCTTCTTATTGGCTCTGTTTCAGGTACTTGGACCTTTGCTTTTTCTGAAGATTTTCTAGGATTTCTAGAATCTCCTGAGTCTCCAACTGTCCTGATGGAGGGTATCAATGATAATAGCTCTGTGTTTGGCATATATTTAGTGAGAACCAAGGAACTTAAGGTTGTACAATAGAAGGTCAGCATTAGTAAAAGAAAACCTGTACTGGACATTTGTTGGTTTCTTTTTTTTTTTTTCTTGAGATGGAGTCTCACTCTTGTTGCCCAGGCTGGAGTGCAATGGTGCAATCTTGGCTCACCGCAACCTCTGCCTCCCAGGTTCAAGTGATCCTCCTGCCTCAGCCTCCCGAGTAGCTGGGATTACAGGCATGCGCCTCCATGCCCAGCTAATTTTGTATTTTTAGTAGAGATGGGGTTTCTCCATGTTGGTCAGGCTGGTCTTGAACTCCTGACCTCAGCTGATCTGCCCGCCTCAGCCTCCCAAAGTGCTCGGATTACAGGCGTGAGCCACCATGCCTGGCCTGCACCTATGTTTTTCTCCGTTATTCTTTTTGAAAAGTGTAAGAGGAGAAGCCATTTGCAAATATCCGATGATTCCATCTCAGAAATGTTTCTCAAAGTTACCCTCATCTGCTGGTATCTTAGTTTAGTGCTCCTAAGACAACAATAGTTAGCCTCTGAATCACTATTCTCTTCTGTCACCAGTGTATTCTTTACATGGTTTGCATGTGCATTTATCCAATGAACAACACTCAAGTCCTTTGATGTGTCAGGCACTGGATTGAACATAAATGGTAAATCATTATGTGAAAATGTCAGAGACCCCAGCCTGGCAGTGTAAAGGGCCAATCTCCTTCTCCCTTTATCTCTGCTTGTATCTCAATATGGCTTTGTTGCTGGAGCAGAAGGAGCAAATTTTGTGTGTGCATAGACTTTTGAGGAAGATGAGGGAGATGAAGTTACCATGTTTGGATCCTACCATGTCCCTTGAAAAAAAATTGAACATCCATGATTAAACAGACAGAGATTGAAGAAAGCATTTTTATGAGTCTCACTTTGTCCATTTTGGGGCACAAACAATGGTTTTAGAGCCCTGGTGACAAGAATTAAGGCAACAACCCTTCTAAGTCCCTTGCATGGAACCCAGCACCACTCCAGAGCCCTGCAGACCAGCAGTTCCCTTTCTTGATAGGTGAGCTAGCATCATTGATAATGAAGTTTCCTGAAGTGGCTTCTTGGACAGTGAATAAGGACATACAGAAGCAAGAGCTGGGAAGGAGAATATGACCAGTGCTCCTGGTAACTGCAGTTGACAATCTGCAGTGCAACAGGTTCAATGTTGAAACCTCAGAAAAACACTAGAGAGGCTTTGAAGGATGCACATACGTCGGAGACAGAGAGGACTGAGATTCTGCAGTAATGGAGGGCTCAGAGTTACTGTAATTAGGCCACCTATATTAATGTCCATAAGTTATACTTACAGGCTTTTGAAAACCACAACCATGGAGTCCGCTTCTCCAAACAAATCTGAACATATTTATACCTGATTTCCATTGATCAATTTCAAACTCCCCACACTTGTACACAAGGCACTTCACAATCTGACCCCAACCCCTTCCGTACATCGTCTTCTGCCCCCTTTCCCCACTGAGCCTGTTGTCTATCTTCTTTCTCCATGTTTTTCAGGTCACTGACTTATACCTCTCCCCATATTTCATCAACAATATCTTCCCCACACCTATTTGTTTCTGATTTATTTATTTTCATCGAGTCTTTCTGTCTTAATCTAGTTTTGGTTGCTCAAAGCAGAATACCTGAAGCTGGATAATTTATAAAGAAACAAAATTTAATTCCTACCGTTCTGGAGGGTGGGAAGTGCAAGGTTGAGAGGGATAGTCTTGTGAGGTGAGGGCTTTTTTTTTTTCTGAGGTGGTCTCCTTCCATCTCAGCCTCTCAAGTTACTGGGTGGCTGGTGAGGGCCTTGTTATTGGTGAGGACTCTCCACAGAGTCCCAAGGAGCCACAGGGCATCACATGGGGAGGGACTGAGAGTGCCAGCTCAGGCCTCTCTTACTTTTCTTACAGCTACTAGTACCACCTCCAGATAGCCCATTAAGTCATTATGCCGTTGATCTATGGATGGATTAATACATTCATGAGGGCTCTGCCTCTTAAAGGCCCCATCTCTTAAAGGCCCCACCTCTCAATACATCACATTGAGGATTAAGTTTCAAGGTAAGTTTTGGAGGGGACAAACATTCAAATCATAGCACTCTCCTTTTGTTATTGAAATAACCGTTCCTTTAACCAGTCTAAAATCTGCCTGGAGGTGGGGCAGAAACCATGATTTAGATTCTAAGTAAATGCTTGTTGTTTAAATGTAAAAACTTATGGGGTCCATAGAATTTAGAACAGTAGAAAATAAAACTGGGGGAACAAACCCAAAAAAACAAAAACAAAACCTCCCACTTGTTACAAACTAGACATTTGTTGATTGTCTACTTAGAATCAATTTCTTTATATTTCTTGCTAACAAATGGCAGATTTTTAGGGGTAGATGCCTCTCTCACACAGCTGAGATGCTTCTGGGGTAGCAGTCCCTGTCTGTCTAATCAGAGTACACATGCAAGTACTTTGCTTAAAATGTAAGGCAAACACATTATCTCTGAATGTGCATCCTCAGATGTCAGCAGCATCTGGTGACCATGAATGTGGATGGCTGAGGTTGGTGCCAACCTCCAGTGTGGAGAGAAGGAGAGAATCTGGTCTCTAATGGGGTCATCTAGATGGAGGCAGAGGCCACCCCAAAGCCTGCCTTACTTTGGACTCTCACAATCTGCATGTCAGAAAATCCCCGTCCTTTAAATATTTTTTGAGCTTAAGTAGTTTCTGTCCTTGCAACATAAGTAGTTCTAATGAATACAAAACGTTACATGTCTCTCCCCTCCCATAATTATCTGAGAACAGGAACCCAAAGCCCTGGATCAAGAAGCAAATTTGTGACAAAGAGGAAAGTAGAACCCAGGTCTCTGCACTCCTGTTCCAGATCCCTTTGTTAAATCAAGCCTTATCACCAGCATTTTCAGTGTCGCTGTTCTACTTCTAAGCAGAGATGTGATCATTTACAAAAAATGTTTTAAACATCTTAGCATTTCATGGATTTACTACTTGACATTGAATTTGAATGTATGTTGCAATATGGCCCAACAATTATTTAAATTTATGTAGATGAGCCTTGTAAAGATAATATAAAATGTATGTGGCACAGTATTTGAAATGGGCATTTGAGATCTATTTGTTTATTTGCTTGTTTAAGCAGGGCTGTAACTTTAGTATGAACGACACGACCTTATTATTTCTTTTCCCTTGAAAATTGTTGAGAGCAGATTATAGGAAAATGTAGTACGTTCCTAATTCCAGGTACAGAATATCTAGTTCTATAAAGCCTGATGGAAACCATACATTAACTGCCACATCAGTAGCCATATGGTTAAGATGAAACACTATTGAGAGTTCACAAAAAGAGCATTAGATAATTTGCACTGTAGTCAGCTTTAATCAAACATTTGATAGGCATGCAGAGCTGTGTTATCAAAGTAATATAGAAATGTTCAGGCATATATGATACATGTTTGGCTGCAAAATATAGCATAGCATTCTCAAATTCTCTCTAGGGTTGATGTATCCCCGTTACAATAAATTTTTTAGTAAATATAACTGCATGCTGGCCAGTGATCCCCTGATGAAGCGTGTATGGCAAGTCATGCTTACTGTGCTAAGCTCTGTTAAGTGTCTCACAGTCTAAATAAACTCCCTGCAATGATTTGGGAGCCAGTATGAGGCAAAGTTTATCATTTTTGGTTCCTTGTGAAGAATCAGTAAGAACATTCTGTTTGCCTCTGCAAACAAGTGCTTTTGATGGGTCCAGGTCCCTGAAGTCAGTAGAGAGTACCAAATGTTTAATATTTGGAGGTTAAGAATGTCTTTTTTAACTTACGCTTTCTAAGATGCTGTTCTTTCCTGCTCTTCACATCTCCATGAACAACAGCTGCATACACATCACTTACCCTGACACTTGGAAAACAGACAAGCAGCCTTTTCTATTACTGCCATAAATGCCACTCAGTGAACCAGCCACTAGGTCATGCTCATGGGCAATGCAATCTGTTCCTCCCTCCTGGGCTCCAGCCTCACTTTCATAATGACTGGGAGGGAAAGCCGTCCCTTGGGGAATTTGTTGTTGTACACTTAGGCTTTTGGCAGCTGGTAAACCCAAAACCATTATTTTCCAAGTAAGCTAGTTATGATACAGACACAAAATTTCCAAGTTGGAAAATTTTGTTAAGCCAGGATCAAATTTCAATTGATGGAATTAGCTTCTCTATAATTTATAAGGTAATACTTAATCATGAAAAATATCCTGATGCTTTTATTTGTTCACATAGAATATAATGCTTTTATGAACACCTCTACCCTACATAATCCTCTCTCATATGTTCTTAAAGAAAACCCATCCTCCCTTCCTAGGCATTGTAAGGGGCATACAACAAAACTCTCAAAGTTGGTATGAGAGAGCCGATGGAGAAACTTGAAGATAAAGATTGGGAAGCACTGCAAGTGTAAGCCATGGTAGAAGATAAATTAGCTCTAAAATTATTTTGTTAATCATTAGGAATATAGGAATAATTGTACAAAGAATCTCAGCAGATTTCACATTTTAAAAGTAGGCTGCATTGCACCATTTTGAAATTATGACCTAGTGCTATTTTCTTCAAGTGCTCAGAAAGCCATACCTATAGTCCAAGTTTTCCACCTCTCAAACTGTACAGAGATTATATTTAGACAGAAGGATGTGGGTAAGATTTGTGGTTTATCATGCTCACAATGCCAATGCATGAAAAAGCTTCTCTTTTTAAAGCATCCTCGTCCCTCACGAATTCAATCTAAAAAAGTTGAGAACGCATACCCCAAGCATTCCTTTCTGCCCTTAGAAATCCATTCTGAATTTGACATTCAGTGCTATTAGCCCAATGTTTGGCACAGAGAAAGTAGGACCTTCATAAATATTTGTTGGCGAGATGAATAAATAAATGAATGACTCTCTTTTGGAATTTGTCCTGCTTTATCGTGTTCTGCCTCCAAGAAAGGGAATTCCACTGGTGCTGACATGGATTAGACTAGTTGGCCTTGGGTTTTCCTCTGCAATTTCATTTCAAGGAGTGTTCCCTAAGTCTAATATGTGGCAGAAAAGTCCACGTTGTTCAGCCTAATGATCCTGACTACAAAGAGGATGTACTTTGGAGTCAGCCAGTCCTACCTTGGAGTCCCTGCTCTGCTCTCTGTCACCAGCTGTGTGAAATCAAGCACTAAGACCATTTCCTCATTTGTAACAAGTGTGAGAGGGCACCTCTCTGCTAGGCTGGCTGGGAGCACTGAATGAGATAACATATTTAAAGAATTTAACATACAGTCTAGCTCACAGGAAACATATAGTACATTTATTATTATTTTAATTTTGCACCTGTGAGAAAGAATTCTGCTTTCTAAAGTTTATTTTCATAAGCCTCCCAGCCCCGGAGAGTGTCCTATTTTCCTTTCTCTCTGGAGGGGCAGTGACCATGAGTACTGCATATAATATTCCAGGGACTGTCCACTGTTGTTTTGAATGACATATACAGCATTAATATCTGCTATCTTATTGCTCTTTTTGTCTAGGGCAATATATTGGGATCTTTTATTCAGGGAGCAGCAAGCAGCAGTTTCTAGAAGTCTTTCTTAGTTCTAAGTAATGTCTCAAAGACCTTCATATTATAAGTATTATTTGGATATTTCTTCTAAAATGCAATTCTTCCCATATGTCCAAGACATAGCTCACCTGACCACTTGAATGTATTATTATGTAATTAACTGTTTCAGTTTTATATTTCAAATCTTCCTTCTATCTTTCTATCTGGAAAAATTGAATGGTATTTTCAATGCTGAGAATTTTATGAAAATATTAATCATGATCAGCATTGGCAATAGTTTCATGAAGAACTATTGTTAGCAGAGCTCCAATGAGCTCTACTTTTTGGATTTGGCTTTTAAACCTTTTTCCCATAATGGTTGTTGAGGTTGGTTTATGTTTTTGTTTTTATAGTAAATTTGTATATGATAATAACATTGACTGTCATCATATTTCTCACAAAATTTTTTAGTTTGCTTGGTTTTAATTTCGTTAATATATTTTTGACATGTAGAAGTTCTATGTTTTCATCTCATTAAACTTTTTAGTGTTTTTTCCCTCTTTGTGATTTCTTTTGTTGCTGTTGAACTTAGAAGTTCTATTAGTACTGAGTTCGATTAAAAATTCGCAGACATTTTCATCTAGGTATCAATAATTGTCATTTCAAAAAATTCATCGCATTAAATTTATCACTCCATTTACCATTTTTTTGTGTATGTAATACCTAAGAATATGACTTAAAAATAGGTATCCAATGATCTTAGCACCATTTATTGAAGAGTTATTTCTTTCTCCACTGATTTGATTTATAAAGCCAAGCTTATATAGTCAGTTTAAAAAATATATGTCGGCTTAATGTCTCAGAACTTTGGTATCATTGGTCTCAGACACCACTTTGCCATCCACTATCCAGCAGGTGGTGGTCTTTTTGATGGTTTCATGGAGTTGCTGTTGTCCAGGGCATCACCAAGATTGAAGTCCTCGTCATCTTCCAGCAGGCGGCAGTAGGTGGTGATCTCAGCCTCCAGCTTGACCTTGATGTTCAGCAGGGCCTCGTACTCCTGGGCCTGGCACTGTCCCTCTGGGTCTGTGCCAGCTCTGACTCCGGGTGCAGCAGGATGCCGTTGAGCTGCTCCATCTGCAGGGTATAGCGGGCCTCCACCTCACTCAGGCTGTTCTCCAAGCTGGCCTTCAGATTTCTCAAGGAGTCCAGGTCGATCTCCAAAGACTGGACTGTATGTCTCAGCTCTGTGAGCATCATCTCAGCAGCTCCAACCTTGGCAGGCTGCGTGGTGACCACTGTGGCGCTCTCCTCAATCTGCTGAGACCAATACTTGTCCAGCTCCTTTCAGATCTTCTGAGCCATCTCTTTGTATTGGGCCAGGATGCCTGCCATGATCTTGGCTAGGTTCTGAGATTTGGGGGCACCTACCTCCAGGGTCAAACCAGAGCTGGCACTCTGGGCTTGTAGGCCTTTTACTTCCTCTTCGTGGTTCTTCTTCATGAAGAGCAGCTCCTCCTTGAGAGCCTCAATCTCTGCCTCCAGCTACAGCTGAGTGACATTGGTGTCATCAATGACCTTGTAGAGCCCATGGATGAGACATTAAGCCAGCAGAAGCAGGGTACCCTTTGGGGAGCAGGAGGCCAATAAAAAGTTCAGAGATCAAAAATAAAATAAAATAAAATAAAAAATATATGTCAGCATCTGTTAATAGGTAATTTCTTTGTTGACAAAAACAGCCAAACTCTGTAAAATATTTCAAGAGGGTTATTCTGAGCCAAATATGAGTGATCATGGCCTGAGGCATAGTCTCAAGAGGTTCTAAGAATATGTACCTAAGATGGTTAGTTTACAGCTTGATTTATATATTTTTAGGGGGACATAAGACATTAATCAATACACGTGAGGTATACATTGGTTTGGTTCAGAAAGGTGGGACAACTCAAAGTGCGGCCTTATAGGTCACAGGTGGATTCAAAGATTTTTCTGATTGGCAATTGGTTCAAACAGTTAAGTTATTATCCAAAAGAAAGGGGTGCCTGGGTTAAGATAAGGGGTTGTGGAGACCAAGATTCTTATTATGTAGATGAGGTCTCATAGGTGGCCACCCTTAGAGAAAACGGATGGCAAATATTTTCTAGTTAGACCCTTAAAAGGTGCTAGACTCTCAGTTAATCTCCTCAGGATTGGGAGGGTTTGGAAGGGGAAAGATCTAGTTGTGTCAGCAGAGATTCTTTGCAGATGCAGATTTTTCCTTACAAAAATTACAGATGCAAATTTTCCCCCACAAAATGGCTTTGCAGGGCTATGTCAAAACATGCCAAATAAATATATTTTGGGGTAAAATCCTTTGATTTCCTTCAGGACCTGCTACCTGTCATGATACTATACTAGAGCCAAATTGGAATTTGGTATCTTATTGCTACAGTCTGTTTTGTCAGTCTTAAGATCTCTGTTTTAATGTTAGTGCTGGTCAGTTGTGCCTGAACTCCAAAGGGAGGAAAGTATGATAAGGCATGACAACCCTTTCCCATCGTGACCTGAATTAGTTTTCAGGTTTTTTTGAATCTCTTTGGTTGAAGTCAGGGGAGGGGGTGGGTTTGGTTATTCAGTCATTCTGTCTGTTATGGGGCTTAGAATTTTATTTTTGGTTTACATCTTTATATAGGTCTAGTTGCTGATTTCGGAGCTGAACCAAGGCTTTATTGCATTGTTATTATTAGCATATAAGATGTTTTAAGTATCTTAAATTAAATTAAATTATAAGTTCCTCCCATTCACCAGGAAATCCTGTCAGCTCTATCTTCAACATGAATTCAGAATCTGGCCACTAATATATCCAGAGTCCTACTGCTTTGCCTCTTGCACTGTGACTAGCTTTCTTTCAGCCAGCATCATCTCTTGCTAGGATTATAGCAATGGTCTCATTGCTCCTCTAGCTTTTATCTTGTACCCCAAAACCTATTGTTCAGACCACAATCACAGTGTGTACCTCAGTTATCATATCAGATCAATGCAGTGGCTTCCCTTTGTCCCAGAGTGCAGTGCCCCTGAGGCTCCACAAGACCTGGGTCTCACCACTCTTGCCTCCCTCACTCAGCTCCAAGCACTGCTTTTACTCAGGACGCTTTCACATTCTTTTTTTTTTTTTTTTTTTTTCTGTTTGGAATCATCTTTTCTCATTATCTGCATGGTTTGCTCCTTAGCTGCTCAGATATTACCAAAGAGTCTCTCCCCAACCCAGAGGAATAACCATCCATGCACCCCTTCCCCAGGCCCCATTCTCCTCACTCTGTTTTAGTTTTCTTAATTGTACATAGCACCACCTGTTTGGTATTAGCAGAAGAATGAAACTTTAAGAGGACAGGTTTGGGTTGGGGTGGGGGAAGGTTAATGGTTATTCCCAGAGTCTAGTGACAACAAAAATGAATGACTGACATAAAAGTCTCAACTTTTGAGGTGTGTTAAGCCAACTTTGGGGTGCATCTGTAGACAAATCTGTGGCTGTTTCTCCAAAGAGGTTTTCAGGAGGTTTAGGATTTATATATTTCCTTAAAGGGACTATAAGGCAAATGGTTGTATTCCCGTGAGACATTAGATTGTGCCCAGTAAATCTATATTTTACACAAGATAAGGTGAATGTTTGAAGAGAAAAAGAAAGTATTAATAACAGAAGAGCCACTTCTGTAGACCTCTCTGGATAGGCGGAGGAAATGAGTCTTGTCTTCACTCTGCACTTGCAAAGATAAGATTATAATAGATATTATCAGTGTGGAATTGAACAGACTTTAGTTTTAGGAGCTAGACTTAGATTGCAGATCATAGATCTAAAGTTACAAATGTCAAGTCCTTGTTTATGGGAGGCCAGCAAAGAATTTACTTATGAAAGATCTGTGGAAGCAGTTCTTCAGCAGGTGCCTGAGGTCTTTTACCTTTCCATGGGGATCTGGCTGAGGCATCATGCTAGGAACAGATATTCATTTGGAAGAGGGAGTTGCATGACTCAGCCTCCAGGGCTTAAGTTTCCCTTTTGCATAAGAAGCTTGGGGGTCCAGATATTTATTTTTATCATCCTTTACACTAGAATAATGCTTGGCATAATAGAATGTGCTCAATAAATATTTACTGAGTGACAAGGTTTGGGAATTTATTTGAGATAATTTTTGATAATAGAAAGGATTTCCCCCTTCCCAGGGTTGTTGCTCTCTTCAGGCTTTCTAATTCTTGGGACAACAAATATTTTCCTATAAAATCTATGTATTCACCAAATACTTACTGAACACCTCCATGTTCCAGGTAGTGTTCTAGATTCTGTCAAATCAGCACAGATTATTGTGATTTACATTTTCAGTACATAGTACTCTCTGTAATTTAAAATTTTTTAAAATTAAAAAATCTATTCCTATTCCTGTATCTCCTTTCCCATATTAAATTTGCTGTTTGCTTTACTTTTTTTTCCCTTAAGTTTTATAAGTGTTAAAATTTTTTTGGGTAATCTGAAATGGAAAAAAATATAATTTATAGATCTATTAATTGACTCAAAATATCATTGTATTTTTTTCTATTATTTCTATTTTGTGGACAATATTTTCAATTTACTCTTGGTCTTTATTTTTTTAATAAAAGCGTTTATAACAGTGACCTTAACTCTATATTGAGCTTTGATGACAGTTGATAAATTTTGCTCTTGTTTTAATACTATTTTAATTATCTTATAATTTTATTTCCAATGACTCAACACTTATTCACTACTATCCAGCAGTGTGGCTAGAGTTTAGTGAATGAAAGACTGAGAGGTATGCACATTAATTCACATGAATTAATTATATTATTCCAAAATTCCATGAAATATAGTTTTTGAAAACTTAAGATGTCAAAGGCAGAGAGGGGTATGCTAAATTCAGGATAAGGTGGAGGCAGTAAGCTGGGCAGAACATTCAGGGCTTCTTAGGACAAGTGAAGGTGTCTGTGTTCTAAGAGCAATGGGAAGTTATTGGAGAATTTTAAGGACTGTGCCATGTTTTATGCCTGCTGGGGGAAGAGTAGATTAAAGAGGGCTAAGATAGAAGTAAGGAAGATCAATTAGAAAGTTACAGAAGCTGTTACGGTGGGAAGAATATAATTCCTCAAAAAACACCACTGTTATGGAGAAGGAAAATGGTCCCTTTTATTTGTTGGTACAAGGCCCTGGGTCACTGAAATACATTTCAGAACAGTGTTCTTCCTTCAGGGTAAATAGAGCTGCTCTAAACATGGGTAAACTTTGAAAAAAAATTTTTTTTTCAGATTAGCCCCATTTAAGAAAATTTTTTCCTAACTGTATCAGTAGATTATTATTTTTGTTTGGCGTTTCTCTGTAGGTAATGAATGGGTGCCTGGAGCAAATTATGTTTGGAGCTGCTTTCTTGACACACTATTTTAAACTAAAAAATCTCTTAGATTTTAATTCATACTTTAGTGTTTCCATATTGCCGTGTCCTAGCAAAGTTTTTGTCAGAATTTGCATGCCATTTTAGGTCTTCATATTTTTTTAGACTAAACATGTTTTCTGTATTTTTTAGGCCTCAAACTGCAATTTACATTATCTGAATTGTTTGCCTACTTAGATCACATTCTCTAGACAGTGTTCAACTCTTTACTAGGCTGCAGATAAATAGGCTTATATACAAAATCTTCTATTTATAAAATCTCTCTTTTGGATAACAGAGTGCTTTTTGCCATTTGTAGGCCTCTTCTAGTTTTGGATGCCTAATTTTGGAAATTTTTAATTACAAACACGAGTGCTATCCTAAAGGAATACCAAAAATTCAGTGATGTACAATGTATACATATTAAACACAAATTTTCAGTTTCATTTTAGCTGTGTTTAGAAGAAATTTGCTCTCCTATGTCTTTAGAAACTTGATGTCTGAGAAGTCTTCTATGATTTTAGGCTTTCACTGGAATGTCTGTGAGTCCATTAGGGCTGCTACAACAAAATACCTTAGCCTAGGTGCATTAGTCTGTTTTCATGCTGCTAATAGAGAAATACCCAAGACCAGGTAACTTATAAAGGAAAGAGGTTTAGTTGACTCACAGTTCCACATGGCTGAGGAGGCCTCACAATCATGATAGAAGGCAAAGGAGGAGCAAAGTCACGTCTTACATGGTGGCAGGCAAAAGAGAGTGTGCAGGGCAACTGCCCTTTATAAATCATCAGATCTCATGAGACTTATTCACTATCATGAGAACAGCATGGGAAAGACCTGCCCCCATGATTCCAATTACCTCCCACCAGGTCTCTCCCACGACACATGGGAATTATGGGAGCTACAATTCAAGATGAGATTTGGGTGGGGACACAGCCAAACCATATCACTAAGTAATTTATAAACAACAGAAATTTTATTTCTCACAGTTTCAGAGGCTGGGAAGTTCAAGATCAAGATGCCAGCAGACTCAGCATCTGGTGAGGGCTCTCCGCTGTGTATATTGCAACTCCTTGTTAGATCCTCACATGACAGAAGGGGTGAACAAACTCCCCTCAGGCCTCTGTTATAAGGGCACTCATCCCATCTATAAGGCTTCTGCCTTCATGACCTAATCATCTCCTAAAAGGCCCACCTCTTAAGACTAGTGCATTAGTGATTAAGTTTTAACTATGAATTTGGGAGGGGACACAAACATTCAGACCACAGCACTTACCAATTGTGTGGTTTATTTCTGTGCCCAGTCCTCTGAGTTTATGAAAAGGAGGGAAAATTTTCTTTTCTTTCAACAAGTATCACATTCAAACTAGGCAAATTTGGTACACTCAAGTTTTTAGCCCTTTACAAAAACAAAATCAAAGTTTTCCTTTAGCAACAGGTTGATAAATAAAAGGAGAAAACTGCAGCCCAGAGTAGAAGGCCTAAAATGAAGGATGACACACAGAGAAGTTCCTTTCTTATGCCAAGCACAGGCTTTAACTTCACCAGACTCGC
Organism: Homo sapiens; assembly: GCF_000001405.40. Taxonomy (NCBI): domain Eukaryota; kingdom Metazoa; phylum Chordata; class Mammalia; order Primates; family Hominidae; genus Homo; species Homo sapiens. The sequence continues at coordinate 144,566,872 of NC_000004.12, read as the reverse complement.
CTGTCTTCCCCTAACACTGCCATACTTCAGGTCTTCATGTTAGTAAGATATGGATATTGTTGATGCTCCAAAAAGTTTATTTAGAAACTATACATATAAGGCCAAGAAATTAGTTTTCTCTTCTCGTAATTCTATGCAAAAAGTGCCTTCATTTATTCTTTTGGGTCCTTTCAAGTAGATAGTTTTACATCAGCTCCAACTTCCCATTATTCATTCAATCTTTCCTTCAACAAACATTTATCGCTAAGTTCTGGGTATGTCCTTGGTCTGGAAGTTTTAAGATGATTGAGATACTATTATGGAACTTCAGCACTTTATGTTTTTAAATTCAGGACAAACATGTAACAAATCAGGGCAGTAGTTTATACAATAAAATATTATAGGAAATATAAAATATAATTAAATGATAGAAATAGGTATTGAATACCATGGGACACAAAGGTAAGATGGTCAGTAACACTAGGGTGAAGGCAGAAGATGGTTTTGAAATGTTAGAAGGAAGCCAGAACCCATGAGTAGTCTTTCACTTCGCAGAACTCTTTTGGAAGGCTGTGAGTGTTATATTTTAGTGATCCCCTACTTAGAAAAAATTGTCTGAACACTTTAAATACTGATTACTTTACATACTGATTACTGAAGAAGACAGTATACTAGGTGCAAGATAGTACTCTAGGTGCAAACGTTGGCCAATTCACGCCACCTCCCTTAGCACACTCTAAATAGCCAAGATTCTTAAAAGGCTGGGCTATCAAGTTGTTCCTATTTTTCCATAAATATTACAAAACATAAAACACAGTGGCTATTTTGAAAAAGAAATAGTAAAGAGTGTGGTCATTTGGTACAGCTATGAAGATATGTATACTCTGAGCTACATTATTGTCTTCCACGTAAAGGGAAATTCCAACATTATGAGAGAGCCTGGGAAACAGAAAAATGTTCTTGTGGATTCTTTTTATCATATAAAAAACTCCACTAAAGCCCTTATAACTTGGTTGAAACTTTCTCCTGAAAACATACCTTTGAACACCTATTGCATTTTTGTCACACTGGAAAAAAGCATGAATTCACTTCCTCTACCCTGTGGGTTGTGAAAGTAGAAGCAGAAATTACTCTGTGGCCCACCACCATGAAGAGAAAATGGTTCTTCTTGCACAGTCGAATGCAAGCCTTAATCATTCCAACACTCTCTCCCCACTGGTTTAAGTATAGCTCAGAACTTGTGCTAGGTGGAGTTGTTGCTAAATGAGATGCACTATTTTCCACAGAGAGCTTGTGGGACACCCAAGTAGGCCACCAGGGTGTTGGGAAGAACCAGAAAAACAAAGGTATGAGGCTTCTCCTCCCACTCCACTCTGCAATTGCAGGGTTATCAAACCAGGGCCCTGAACAGGCTAGTGGCTGAAGGATTTGGGGTCTGGATGAGAGAAGAACAGGAGGGTGGGAAGAAACATTACAGAAAACTGATCCTATCAAACACCCAAAGTAAGTTCAAGGCATTTCAACATGTCTTCTGTTAAAAACAAAAAACAAAAAAACTGTTTTACTTTCCATGAAAAATTCTTGAAACAAAATCTAGGAATTTCTCACAGTGCACACAGGAAAATGAGTGTTTGCACTTTGGAACCAACTGAATGATAGACAATCAATGTGGAATATTGTTTCTGTGAACATGAATATAGGATATGCCTAGATACTTAGGAAATCTTTGTAGTCACATCCTTCTTTGAAAAAACTGTACACACACAGCAAGCTGTCCTGCATGTTCAAGGGGAGTTTTCAGCAGCTCAACCTGAAAACTGAGAAGGAGGTATGAAGGGGCAGGTTAAACTTTTTCCTAATTTGTAAGCCTGGCAGATGCCCTCCCTGCTCAGAAAAATCACTTTGGTTTAACAAACATGTGTAGCTACAGAATTTCCCTTGAAGGAGTTCCTTGAGTATTCCAGTGGTTGTTGAGTTAGAGCCCCATGCTTAGGTACATGGTGGCTGCATCCTCTTGTGCCACCACTCTCTCTCTCCCTCAGCATCCCCAAGGGAGATGAGGTTGCCCACGTCAAACACACACCTAAAGGAACTCCCAGTTTTTGCATGGGAGTCGATGGTAAGCACACCAATGGGAAGATAAAAAGTGCAGAGAGGATATTTCTGAAACCTTCTAATGGACTAATGGGCTAAAATTGCCTTCATTCATTGTCAAGCTCCTCTCTAAGTGTGAGCAAGCACAGGCAGCTTGCCAGAGGTTTAAGATAATCAAGACACCATTTGTGGGAACAAGAAGTTATGAAAACAGTTTCGGCTTTTAACTTTATAGTCTGATTCCTCTGATTCTTAAGTTAAGGGTCATTCTACGTTTTTTTTAATTCCTTTTGTACTTCTCTGCCCAACCACTTTTCACCCATTCAACTTCCTGTTCCTCTCTTGCATTCAGTTCTTTGTATGACTTGGCACCTGATACCTTTACATGTCCGGAATACTTTCTGAGCAAATATTTTATTGAACTTCCTAAAAATACACAGGTAGAATAAAAATATGACCATGAAAATAAAGGCAGTGGAGTGCTTATGTTTACTAGAAAATGTCCACAAATATGCTGATATAGGCTTCTCTAATTCTGTCACAAATAATTCTGTGATTCTTTCCAGTGTTAAAAATGCCATTAAACAAGACATACACTCATGGCAATTTCCATTTGACTTTCTGGACATGAATTTCCATAGTAATATATTTTTGAAGTTCAGAACAGTCTGTTCTGCCATAGTGTGATGGCTATGCTCCTCATATATTCCGTTATCAAAAAAAAAATCACATGATGGAATGATTTGCTCCAATGGGAAATATATGAAGCTGAAGAGATAAAGCTAATTTTTCTAGCAGTAATGTAAATATGTGCTTGGGCACATACTTTCTTGAAAAGAAAAAAAAACCTGTAGGTGCTTAGATATAAAAACTAAGTCCAGTATTTGAGTACTTCTAACTTTTCCTATTACTACTGATACTATTATTAACCCAACATCTTTATACATTTTATTAACATTATCACTTTTGTCAATCATCAGTGGGATAAGCCAAACAAAAACCCACTAATGAAAATATCTGTGTCACTAGGTGCTGTGGTCTGAATGTTTGTGCCCTCTACGATTCATATGTTGAAACCTAACCCCTAAGGCCATAGTAGTAAGAGATGGGAGTTTTTGGGAGGTGTCTGGGTCATGAGGGCAGAACCCTCATGAATGGGATTCTTACCCTTATAAAAGAAACTTGAAGGAGCCCTTTTGTCCTTCTGCCATGTGAGGACACAAGTAGTGGGCATCATCATTGAAGCAGAGAGTGAGCCCTCACTAGACACCATATCTGCTGGCACCTTGATCTTGAACCACCCCACCTCCAGAGCGTAAGCAACACATTTCTGTTTTTTCTATATGACCCAGTCTATGGCATTTTGTTATAGCAGCCAAAACAGACTAAGACCTCAGGGTAATAGTTTCCTTCTTACCCAAGTGCTAATTCCTATTCACAATTAGGCTACTACTTAAAGCAATCTGGGAAAATCAAATCATGCTTCTTATTCAATCAATTTCATTACATCAAATTGGCTTTATGGAAAGTTGTACTGCATTTGTAGATGCAAAATGAAAGGTATGAGTGAAAATTGAATATAAGTTGATTTTGGAACAGAATAAGCAGTCTTTTTGAGGTTGAAATACCATCTAACTGTTGACATTCACTGAACATCTTCTATTTCTTTGCATGCTATAAACTACTGAGACAGGAGCCAAAAAGGGTATTTTCTAAGGAATGCTCCATCTTCCTCCTGAGACATTTATTTTTGTTTTATTTTTGTCTAATCTTTCTAATGGGATTGAAACACTAACTTTGCCTATTTGTGATTGTAACTACACATTAAAACATAATGGGATTTAATGACTATTTCTCAAGTTATGATGTTTAGAATATAACTTTTAAGTATATTTTCAAGCAACCATTCAGTAGTGTGGAGAAGCTGCAGACACTTAATGAGGGTGAACCAGGTATTACAAAATAGCTTTTCCAAAGCAGGGAGCACTGAGTTAAGGGAAAGCAAGCAAAATTCCTTTTTTTTCTCTCCTAACTAAAAAGACCAGTTAACTTGCCAAGTGAAAACTCTAAGTCCCAAGAAATACTCTAAACACAGAAAAATAAGCACATCGATGAATGCCTCCCCTTTTCCTTGTTGGTCTGAAGCCGACTGACAGCACCAGGTGGCAGCCCTCGGGAACTGCCTGTTGCAGATGCCCTACCTGACAGCCAAAAGCTGGCAGGAATTAAGCAGAAACATGTGCTTCCTGTGGAGGGCAACGGTCAGCAGGTGGGATCAGCAGACTCTGTTACTGAGCCCGTCCTCCTGTGTGGTCATCTGGACTGCCTTCCTCGTAGGCACTGAGGGCCCGGAACAAGACATTTTCTCAGTGCTGTGCTGGAAGCTGTTCAAATGCAATTATGCTGTATGTCGTTGCGGAATAGATGACTTAGAGGTTCCACACAAATTGAATTTTGAGGCCAGCCTGAAATTACATTAGATTTGGGGGCTTTGACAAAAGCCTGTCTGAATCCCCCTGAAGTCCCTTAGGGTCATCTTTCTTTAATCATTCACTAATGTTTTTCTGGTTAGGTCACTGATTAATGGATGACGTACATCTCCATTCTCTGCCTACCTCCCAGTTTTTTAGTACTGTACATAATGTTTTATTAATTTGTCCTTTTTGGCTGCTGCCAAGACAGCATATATGGAACTGATTTTTGAACCTCAAGAAACTGACATTTTGAATTCTGCTTTGTATCATAAGCCTCAAATGCAAGAAGCTGTGATTAGAATGTGATAATAGCCGAGGTGCCATAATTCTCTGCTGTTGTATGTAAGTACACTCTTCCAATCAGAGAGCTCATGGGAATTAAATAGATTTGATTCATGAGAAAAATAAGAACTGGCCTCTCATGGGAGGAGGAACAAATGTCCATGCTCAGATCAACAGAATTCTGCATCTCAGATAATTACTTCATTTTTCTTGATAGCCTATTAAAGCAATAAATGTGAATCTCAGAAAATTGTTTAAGGCATAACAAAGCCAGAAACCTTTCTCCACCTTTACTTACTCTGTCTCTGCAAATTTAGCAGGCCACATAAGTATATAACCAACATATTTGTCAGGTTGTAGTATTTCTCTGATAAATAATAGAGTCAGCTTAGGCTACATATAAAAGTTTTTTTTACATTTCAGTTACAGAATCTATTAGGAAAACTTAATAAACAAAGTACAAGGCTGGGTGTGGTGGTCACACCTGTAATACCAGCACTTTGGGAGGCTTAAGAAAGAGGATCACTTGAGCCCAGGAGTTTGAGACCGGGTTGGGCAACATGGTAAGATACTATCTCTATAAAAAAATAAAAGTATTAGCAGGGTGCAGTGCCACATGCCTGTAGTCCTAGTTACTTGGGGGCTGAGGTGAGAGAATTGCTTGATCAAAGGAGTTCGAGACTTCAGTGAGCCGTGATTATTCCACTATACTCCCGTCTGTGTGACAGAGTAAGACTGTCTCAAAAACAAAACAAAACCAAAACAAAAAAAGAAAGTACAGTTTATGACATCTTCCACTTCTCTGATTAGCAGAGTTTTGCTAATAATATTTGAAGGCAGAGAAAAATGATGAAATGTTTGAGTGAAATTTGGGGGAAGAATTAAGAAGATAGTTGACATAAACTACTGCATAGTCTACTTGACAAAACTGATCAGCAAACTTGGCATCAAAGTATATTTTTATAAAATACAAAGTAAAATATATCTCAATAATTTTACTTTTTATTAACATTTACTAGAAGCCTACTATGTGCCAGCCTCTGTGTTGAACACTGAAGATATAATGAGACACTGTCCCTAGTCTTGATCAGGTTATGATTGAGTAGGGGAGACAGACATAGAAACAAAGGATTTCAATGCTAAACTAACTAAAAGGATTTCAAAACTAAACTAACTAAATTTAGTTTAGTTTTGCCTTCTTTCAAACTTTATATAAATGAAATCGTAAAGCACAGTTGACCCTTGAACAATATAGGTTTAAACTGCACGGGTCCACTTATATGTGAATTTTTTTTTCCATAAAAGTTATCCAGAGTGTGCCTGCCTCTCTTGCCTCCCCTTTTACCTCCTCTATCTCTTCTGCCTCTACCACCCCTGAGGCAGCAAGAACAACCCCTCCTCCTCCTCCTTCTCAGCCTACTCAATGTGAAGAAGATGAGGATGAAGATCTTTGTGATGATCTGCTTCCACTTAATGAACAGTAAATATATTTTCCCTTCTTTATGATTTTCTTAATATCATTTTATTTTCTGTAGCTTACTTTATTGTAAGACTGCAGTATATAGTATATAACATACAAAATACGTATTATTTGGGTGTTTATGTTATCAGTAAGGTTTCTGGTCAACATTAGGGTATATAGTTAAGTTTTGGGGTAGTCAAAGATTACATGTGGATTCATGTTGTTCAAGGGCCAACAATATGCACTCTTTTATATCTGGCTAATTTTCTTAATATTATGTTGGTGAGATTCATCCATGTTGCTTAACAATGGTTTGTTCATTCTCTATGACATATGACATTCTGTTACATGAAGATATCCCAATTTACCCATTCTCAGTGATAGAATTTGGGTTGTTTTCTGTTTGGGCCATTATAAATGTTGTCTCTATAAACATTCATATATTTGTCTTTTGATGAACATATGCCTTTATTTCTATTGCTTATACACCTAAGAGTGAAATTGATAGATTATAAAGAATGCATATAGACTATGAGGAATGCATATGCTCAGCTCTCTCAGATATGGCCAGCCAGTTTTCTGAAGTGATTTTTAGGAGTTTATGTAACCCCTGTTTGTGTATGTGAGTTCCATTTGCCTCACACTTTCTCCAACGCTTGGCATTGTCTGTCTTTTTTACTTTAGCAATCCTTTTAAATATGTAGTAGTCTGTCCTTGAAGTTTTATTTATGAAACCTGGGAGTTTCTTAATTATAAAGCCTAAGAGGTGTTTCATGTTTCCATGGACAACTCTTGTGAACAGAGAGCTGGGACATTTTGGAAATGAAGAGATCCTGTGATTTAGTCTGTTATTCAATGGGACTTTGAGTACTATAGTGTTGCTACAATATACTCTCAGAACTTTGAAGTATCCCCCAAATTCATGCCTTTTTCATAGTCTCTTCCATTCCATCTTGCTTTTACTTCTCCACTGGATTACCCAAACTCTGGACATAAGAATAAAAATGTAGTAATAGCTATTAGTTATTGTAGGCCAAGGACTATTTGCCAGGGACTGTTCCAAAGCACTTTACAGGTACATAGCTTTAAACCACGTGACAATTTTACGAGTTAAATGGTGTTATTTTTTTCCCCCCATTTTATACATGGGAAGAATGACGCACAGAGAGGGTAAGCAACTCATCCAGGTTACCTAGGAAGTCAAGGAGCCTGGATTTGAACCTAGGTGAACAGACTCCAAACTCAACCTCTCAGTCATTATAGTTCTCTATTCCAGTAGAGCTGGAAGCTTGCCCCCTTTCTCTTTAGTGTGTATTTATATTTTTCAGCAGAAATAAATTAGAAGAATCATAGTTTCTTGATAGATATCCTCATCTAACAAGATAAAAGCTCCAACAGTTATAGGTTTTTTACTGAATATGTATTGTTAGACATTGTGGTGCATGTAAGATGAGGAGTTTAATAAGATTAAATAATAAGTTTAATAAGTTGCCAGGGTCAAATGGTGTGTTAATGGCAGAAGCAGGATCTGAGCCTAAATTCAGACTCGGATTTCCTTATGAAGTTTGGAATCTAATGCACAGAAAAGAATTTAAATACATGGTAAAAAAATTGCAAAGGGTAAAATTCTGTATAATCCAAGCCAAAATTCTTCCAGGTTTTTTTTTGTTTTTTTTCATACGTTGTATGATTTAATCCTTATAACAAACTTACAAAAGCGGTATTGCAATTCGTATAGATAAGGCGAATGAAGCCCAAAACATCACGTAACTTTCTAAGGGACATGACTCTGAACTCTGATTTTGTTACACTTCATTTTGTCATCCCTTATCTCAAGGCATTTGGGGAAAGTCATATTTAATTATCATGTACTTATATATATACATATCTAATACAATCTTTTTTCTTTTTTGGTTTTTCTAATATGATCTTAAAACAGGTCACAAAATGATGTCACAAACCCAATGAAAGATAGTAAGGTGTGAAATCACTAAAGAGATCGCGTATTTTAAATTTTTTCTTTGCTTCCTGAACTATTTTACATAGGAGATATTGCTGATTACTGTGAGCAGTAGGTTGGCTTTTAGACATTTTGTTTAAACATAACAGCTGAGAAATATCAGCATTTGAAATTTACAGCTAAGCTTCATCTATTTTGGATAGAAAGATCTTTTTCTTTCATATTCTTAAATATCAATAAGAAAAAGAGAGAAAGCAATTCAGATTCATAATCTGATGACATCTTCTCTGGCCCAAGGAAGAAAGTACTAAGTTGACTGACATCAACAAACAGGTTCTGGGTACATACCAGCAAGTCAACATGGCCTATTCTTCCTAAACTTGGACCTGTTCCTTTGAGTACCCATGTTATTTTACACACGCATGTACACACACACTCTCCTTATACATGCATGTATAAACACACACACGTCAGAGTTACGGCATACTTCTCCTCCCCAATGTAAACAAATTATCTGTTTAATTGGATGATTGAAAACTTTTCTGTTGACATTTTAAAAAAAATTTTACCTCAGCCTCCAAAAGTGCTGGGATTGCAGGTGTAAACCACCTTGCCCAGTCTTCCAGGTTTTAAATGTAAACGACTCTATTAACTCTGTGAGTCAAACCATCTAAGTTGCTTTTAATTTGCCTTTGCTATAGCATATTTTAACTGGGTTTCTCTCCAAATTTCTGGTCTACTTTTGGGGGGATGTAGAGATTGTGTTTGTAATAGTATTGATATCCAAATCTCTTCATAAAGATCAAATTCAGTATTTGAATTACTAATGAACTTAAAAAAAATATATATATATATATATATATATATGAAAGATTGACTTAATACTAGATATTAGCTAAAAACCAAAAGGAAATAATGCAATCCTATTGTGTTTTTGGGCCATACAAGTCTACTCTTCTAGATTAATTACCCCAGAAATAAAAAGGAGAATCTGTTGTTAGTGACTTTTATGCCATCCGGTGGACAGCACTGTGATTTTCCTAAGACCAACTAAAGAAAACAAACCTAATTTCCATGTGCCACCATGCTGATAAATGTTGACTCTAAAAATGACATTAAGTATTTCAGTGCCACCCAGCATGTAAACATCTATGTCATATGTTACTTGTAAACTGACATCTGTAATGTTGATGAGGAAGGCAGGGTCAAAATTAAAATGTGATCTTGCCAACTTTACCACAATGATATTCTCTGTTTTCTTGCAAAGACTACTCTGAAATTAGAAAAACAAATCTTCCCATACTTTCCCTGAATTTTCCAAGTTGCTCAGACTTTTGTTTGAATTTGATGGACATCCTTCTTCATCTCAACCACATACACTTTGCTCTCATGGAGTCTCAGAGTCATTCACTTCTTTTTTAGATTTGAGACTCCTCTAAGGCACTAGTGGATTATGAAATCACGTAGGAGAGTGTAACCAGCATTTTAATAATTAAAATGACATAGAATAGAATAGAAAATAAGATATAGTGCGTCCCACTGGTTCGTGAAGCTTGTTGCAGTTGGACATGCGTGCAAAAGCTCTGTGCTGAGTCCTGATGTGATCTGTATTTTTGATTGTGGCTGTATCTGTGCCAGTTATCTCCCTATTGTCTCTCAGCTCCAAATCCACCCCCTCTACACTGCTCTGTGATGTTGGCATTGGGACCCTCCTTTGCCAGCTGGTTCCTTCTGCAAGTGGAGGAGAAGGTCAGAGGAAAGAGAAGAGGCTTCCTTTCTGTGTTTCTGTTTCCCTCAGCATGGCTCCAGCAGCTGCACTGGCTGCAGCCTCCGGCTTCTTTCAACTTCTTTCAGCTTCTGTCAGACCTCTAGCAGCAGAGCTACCAGCAGAAGTCAGATGCCACCACCTCTTCAAAGCTACAACATCAGCTCTTTGGAGCCCCTCCTTCAATCTTCTGGTTACAGTAACCCCACCTTCTACTTTCTGTCCCTCTTTCTCAAGGCATGGGCTAATTCCTGCTGTTATTATCTCTAGATATTCTTATAGTGTTCCCCTTCTGTTCTTTCAGCCTTTCCACACTTAAGTAATCAATTCCTCTGTTTGAAGAGCTAATGTGATTTTTATTTTCTTGACTAAATCCTGACTGATACCTGGTCAAAAAAATTTTTTTAAGCCACTGCTTCTGGGCATTGACTCTTCGTCTTACCTCACTCATACAATGTCCGTCAGAGCAGCTTGGACACACTGATACCTCCTAAATCCCACCAATCTTTGATGATAGAATGATGTTTGGCTCATTAGTATATTTTCACCCCAAAGGAAACAAAGAGCATAAAAGGAAATATGTACAACATAGTACATTTAATTTGAGAGTTCAAGGCATTTCAGCATTTATCATGGTATTATAGGCATGGGATAGAAGAGCAAAACTAGGAAGTGGCTAAATAGGAAGTAGAACCAGCTTTCCCGACACTTAGATTATCCTTGCTTCAAGATGCACTGCTGTGTTGGAGAGTTTTGGTGTCTATAACCTTATACCTGCCATGCCACCTACACACACACACACACACACACACACACACACACACGCTCGTGCGCTAAGTGATGAGTCATTGACATTTACCCTGAGCAGTGGTTAATGTTTGGTTATAGAAATGAAGGACACCAAGAGAGGACTAACTTTGCCCACTTAGGAAAAGGAATGGAGAGATCTAGGGATGAGGTTGCAAACTGGTAGCTCATGGGTTTCATCTGGCTGGCAAATACGTTTTCCTTGACCATGTGGTATTTTTTAAAGATATTAAAGATCCTATTTCCAGTGTCTCTTTGACAATCGGGAGCCAGTGAATACGGGATCCTCATCCCTACAGGCACCAAGTGCTTTATGAGGCATTCATTGTCTAGTTTGCCATAGTCCCTGCCAGTCTTTGGTACCTGGAATTTCTGCTCTTTTCTTTATGTTGCCCACCTGGCTCCTGCGGGCATTTGCATTTTGACTCTTAACCTAGAGGAAGTGTCCCAGGGTGGTAGGGACTGAAGCCATGTGGCTGCAGAAGAGATGGAGGAGGTGGAAAAGAAAAAAAAATAGATGCCAACTGAGGTGCTGAGTGAGCTAGGAGGGATGAGACAGCTGCCAAGGGAGAGAGCGTTTTGGGAATGTATGGAGAAGGGTAAATGTGGATGTCTATAAAGCTGTGCTATGTGATAGACCCCCATTCTCCATCTGTCCACAAGAATGCCAATAAAACTATCTTACTAGGGTGAGTGTGTGTTGCTTTCTTTTGTGGGGAGACCATTGGCAATGGGCTAACACTGACATAGAGACAGGTGGGACTAGAGGAGAAATAGCTTGGGAAAGCCCAGGCACAGGCCAGTACATGACATTCTCTGAGTAATTTTTTTTTAAATAAAGTTTTTGAAGTTCCTGAGTATAATTATTTAAACATTTGCTACAAAATATTAAATATAATTAATGATACCTATTAACATTCATCAAAAAATATTGCAAAAATAACATTTCTCAACTATTGCTTGATGAAATCACTCTCTTCACTACCTCTCCCATGGTCTCAAACACTTTTCAGAACCTTTTACCACTTGGTGCCGAACTTTTAAATATATATTATTTTATAAATAAGGTATATCTATCTGTCTACATATAACTATAAAACTATATGTAGAGTTATAAAGCTATATGCATAAAACAATATACAGCTGTATAGAAGTATTTAAAACTATCAACCTATAAATGACCTGGCTTTATTGATAAGCTAAAAATGTGCACCTTTTGTTTTAGGGAGTTTTGTAATTTATTTCTTAGATTATATGTAATTATTGGAATATTCTTAAAAAATAAGCTTGGCCAGGAGTGGTGGCTCACGCCTGTAATCCCAGCACTTTGAGAGGCCGAGGCGGGAGGATCACAAGGTCAGGAGATTGAGACCATGCTGGCTAACATGGTGAAACCCCGTCTCTACTAAAAATACAAAAAATTAGCTGGGCTTGGTGGCGGGCACCTGTAGTCCCAGCTATTCAGGAGGCTGAGGCAGGAGAATGGCGTGAACCTGGGAGGCAGAGCTTGCAGTGAGCCGAGATGGTGCCACCGCACTCCAGCCTGGGCGAGAGTGCGAGACTCCATCACAGAAAAATAAAATAAAATAAAAATAAAATAAGCTTGTGAAGTCATATGAAATCATCTATAATCCATATTAAATATGTATATGTGTGTGTGTCTGTGTATATGTGTATATGTATAATCCATGGCAACCAATGAAAATTGGGGTATCCTTTCTTCCAATTATTCCCTGTGTGAGAGTATGAGTAGCAGACATTTGTTTGTTGCTTCACCACCCACCCTTCCATTCCCCTTTCTTAAAGGTCACCTGAATCTCCTAGCCATGTGATTTGGCTGGAACTTACCTCACCTCTGGTTGGGAAGGATGGTGAGAGGTGTTACACCTTCTTAGCTACAGGGATGGGTTCAGGGTTGGGAACAAGAAATAAGACAAAGAAACCAGGACCCTGTTCAAACCCTCTTTCCCACCTAACTTGAATGAGAGTACCTGCAGCCTCTCTATGCTCTAGGGCAGGACCTACCTGCAAATGAGAGCAATGGCACAAAACTAGAGCGGAAAAATGTAGTGTGAGAAATGGGGTCCTGGCACCATATTTGGACTTGGATCAACCTTTGAAGCCAATTTTATCCTTGAATTGTTCAGTTATATTATCAATACATTCCCTATCATGCTCAAGACAGATTAATGTTTCATTTGTATATTTGTAACACCTTCTGATAAGGTATGCATGTGTGCATGTTGGTGGGCAGGTATATGTATAACAAAACTGCTATTATCCTGAATATGAAATTTATATCTTGCTTTCTCTTTCAAGTAACATTATATCATAAATAATTTCTAGTACCATTAAATAATCCTCAAAAACATGATTTTAATGGTATATAATATTGCACAAAATGGATGTGCTTTCATTGAAGTATTTCCTACCATCAAATGTTTAGGTGATCTCATGGGCTTTCAAAATACTTACATCAATTTCCTCAGTCTCCACTCACAATACTATACAGTTCACTTGCTCAAAATGGTCTCCTTTTGGTTTCTTCTTTTCTGAGCCCTGTGCTTTTTGTAGACCTAAGATAAACCTATCATGCTGTGTCCATCAAGTAATTCTCTCTTGTTTGCTTAAAAGTTTCTTCAAGTGTCACTTTTTGCAAGAAACCTAACCTTAAAAACATGTCCCAAAACCACCCATTACAGCATCACTGACAGATGATTGGTTTTTGTCAAGTTGTCCAAAGAAAACAATTTCTTATTTAAAAGAGAGAAAAGTATACATATATGGTGAAAACATTCTTCTTGTGTTGCCTTACAGTGTTAATATCTAGATATTCCATCAACATAAGACAACAGTAAGCCTGTGATGACTTAACTTCTAGGTTGACGACTTCCTCCTACCAAACGTTCACCATTAGTTCATTTCTCAAGATCCTTTATTAATTCCAGAGTTTATTGAAAGTAACGAAGGACCACGGCATCAATTCATTCTCCTTGCAGAGCCGACATAGACTCCAGAAACCAACTCAGAGCACTGGAATATTGCAAATTGGTGCTGTTTCCTTTGCCACCAGAAGTTTAAACTGAAAGATTTGCAGCGCTGAATGGGGTGGGTTTCTTTTTGGCAGGAATCTCCATAGCTTTTAGTAGAGATGAAAGTGATCACTTGTGCTGCATTTTCTTGCTTTTTACCTTAGGAGTTAGCTCCAGAGGAAGGGAGCTGATATCCTTGGTCACCATGAAGCTCCTTTTCCTGTCTTTACAAAGTTTAAAATTTTGATGTAAACTGTGAAATGTCCGTCAGTATCTGTTTGAATCATTCATCACTGTCTAACTGTGCCTGGTTTCTGATCAGTAAAATGGAGGTAAGATATTTCACAGAATGTTTGTGAAAATGCAAGGACATAACACATATGCAAATGCTTAAACTAGACAAAATATAATTCTGTGAGTTGACTCAGTGAATTGAAATCTATAATGGTTCTGAGGAGTTTTAAAAATGTGTACTTAATTAAAGCAAAATGATCTGGAATGAAAAAATTCATAAAATGAAATGAGAATTATTTACGCTTTATGAAGCAATTAAGTTTAATTAAGCATCCAATAAACTAGAAATACTCTTGGCTCCACCTTACTGTCACTTTTATCCAGGTAAAAGCTTAATGAAATGTCTCCGCATTGACCAGACTACATTCTTCATTTATCAAACTGTGAAATAATCCTCTTCCTATACTTTTTTGTTATAATATTTTCACTTACTTATATTAGTGCCTTTAAAAAACTGAATTTAGAGAATTCTCAACTTCTTTGTCCACAATTGCTCAGCATTCATTACCTTTATTTCTAAAGGTTTACTTTCTTAGATAATACAATTGTTGTTGTGGGAAGTCAGGGACTCTGAATGGAGGGACCGGCTGAAGCCATGGCAGAAGAACATAAATTGTGAAGATTTCATGGACATTTATTAGTTCTCCAAATTAATATTTTTATAATTTCTTATGCCTGTCTTTACTGCAATCTCTGAACATAAATTGTGAAGATTTCATGGACACTTATCACTTCCCCAGTCAATACCCTTGTGATTTCCTATGCCTGTCTTTACCTTAATCTCTTAATCCCGTCATTTTCATAAGATGAGGAGGATGTATGTCACCTCAGGACCCTGTGATAATTGCGTTAACTGCACAAATTGTTTGTAGAGCATGTGTGTTGGAAAATATGAAATCTGGGCACCTTGAAAAAAGAACAGGACAACAGCAATGTTCAGGGAACAAGAGAGATAACCTTAAACTCTGATCACCGGTGAGCTGGGCGGAACAGAGCCATATTTCTCTTCTTTCAAAAGCAAATGGGAGAAATATCGCTGAATTCTTTTTCTCAGCAAGGAACATCCCTGAGAAAGAGAATGCATCCCTGAGGGTAGGCCTCTAAAATGGACCCCTTGGGTGTGGCCATCTTTTATGGTCGAGCTGTAGGGATGAAATAAGCCCCAGTCTCCCATAGCACTCCCAGGCTTATTAGGACGAGGAAATTCCCGCCTAATAAATTTTGGTCAGACTGGTTGTCTGCTCTCAGACCCTGTCTCCTGATAAGATGTTATCAATGACAATGTGTGCCCAAAACTTCATTAGCAACTTTAATTTCACCCCGGTCCTGTGGTCCTGTGATCTCGCCCTGCCTCCATTTGCCTTGTGATATCTTATTACCTTGTGCAGCACGTGATCTCTGTGACCCACACCCTATTTGTACACTCCCTCCCCTTTTGAAAATCCTTAATAAAAACTTGCTGGTTTTATGGCTTAGGGGGCATCAGGAACCTACCGACATGTGATGTCTCCCCCAGACGCCCAGCTTTAAAATTTCTCTCTTTTGTGCTCTGTCCCTTTATTTCTCAAACCGGCTGACACTTAGGGAAAATAGAAAAGAACCTACGTGAAATATCAGGGGTGAATTTCGCCCGATATCTGGCTGAATTTCCCCTGATAAGTTGTCTCTAAGTATCTATGGGAGAATTGGTTTCAAGACCACCCCCCACCCCTGCTGAGATAACAAAACCTGCAGATGCTCAGGTGTCTTATATAAAATGGCATAGTATTTGGATACAACCTATGCACAGCCTCCTGTGTACTTTATCTCTAAATTATTTCTACCTAGTACAGTGTAAATGCTATGTAACTAGGTGTTTATTATAGTATTTAGGGAATAATGACAAAACCAAAATCTGTACATATTCAATACAGATGCAACTATCCATTTATAAAAATATTTTCAATTCGTGGTTGGTTGAATCTATAGATGTGAATCCTGCAGATGTGGTGGCCCAACTGCATACTCAGCAAACTGCCTACAGCTAGTTCCTGTGCTTCCCTGCCCCTTGCTCTAGTTATATGGTTATATTCTACTGAGAGGCAAGTTTTAGAATGGCGAGACTCTCACCAGTTTGTTTCTTGTGGTATCCCAGTACTTAGAATCATGCCTAGCACATAGTAGACTCTCAGTGGATATTTTTAATGATTGAGTAAATGAATAAACAACAACAATAGTAGCAATCACATAAATGAGTATAGTTTTAGCTTCTATTGCTACTGTAAATTGTCACAAACTTGATGGCTTAAAACAATATACATTTAAAGTTCTTTGGATCAGAAGTCCAAAAAAGATCTCACTGGGCTAAAGCCAAGGTGTCAGCAGACTGCATTCCTTTCTGGAGGATCTGGGGAACAATCTCTTTCATTGCTCAGTTAGATTTTTGGCAGAATTCTGCTCCTTGCAATTGTAGGATTAAAGCCCCTGTTTTCTTGCTGGCTTTTTAGCTGAGGAAGATTCTCAGCTTCTAGAGCAAGCTTGTCCAACCCACGGCCTGTGGGCTGCATGTGGCCCAGGACGGCTTTGAATGTAGCCCAACGCAAATTTGTAAACTTTCTTAAAACATTATGAGTTTTTTTTTGCTTTTTTTTTAAATTTAAGCTCATCAGCTATTGTTAGTGTTCATGTAGTTTATGTGTGACCCAAGACAATTCTTCCAATGTGGCCCCGGAAAGCCAAAAGACTGGACACCCTTCTTCTAGAGGCTACCCACATTTTTTGGCTCATGGCCCCTTCTTTTGTCTTCAGCCAGCAATGGTAGGTTGAGTTCTTCTCATGCTTCAAATCTCTCGCCCTCTTTCTCTTGTTGCCTCTCTCTCTGACCCACTCTTCTGCTTTCCTGTTTGCTTTTAAACACCCACATGATTATACTGGGCCCATCCAGATAATCCTGGATAATATTCTTATTTTAAGGCTTGCTGACTAGCTACCTTAATTTCATCTGCAACTTTAATTTCCTTTTGTAATGTAACATATCACAGGTTCTGGGTACTAGGACATGGATATCTTTGGGGGAATTATTATTCTGCCCACTGCACTGGATTAAAAACTTTTTATGGCCTGGTGTGGTGGCTCATGCCTGTAATCCCAGCACTTTGGGAGGTCGAGGTGGGCAGATCACTTGAAGCCAGGAGTTCGAGACCAGCCTGGCCAACATGGTGAAACTCCGTCTCTACTAAAAATATAAAAATTAGCCAGGTGTGGTAGCATACGCCTGTAATCCCAGCTATTCAGGAGGCTGCGGAAGGAGAATCATTGAACCTGGGAGGCAGAGGTTGCAGTGAGCCAAGCTTGTGCCACTGCACTCCAGCCTGGGCGACAGAGCGAGACCTCATCTCAAAAAAAAAAAAATAATAATAATAAATAAAAATAAAAATAAATAGAAATGAAAACTTTTTTTACTATTATCCCACTTAATATTCAGAACTAGCCTATAAGGGAAATTTTTCTTATTATTTGATAGATAATAAAATAGAAGCACAGAGAGGTTAAATAACTCCTCCAAGATTATAGGATTAGTAGAGGGCAGGCCAGGATTCCAAAATATTCTGTTCGAGTCAATAGCACACATACGAACCATAATGTATTCATATGGTATGAATACAATTCTGATGGAAATTAGTCCCCTTAGAGTTGTTCAGTGAATGAGTGCACAGCTGTACATGCCAGCTCTGACTACTAGTACATACTGCCTTTGATTTTCCCAGTGCTGCCATGGTGAAAACAATGATATCTTTCTTTATCTTCTGGAGGAAATGAAGAACTTTCAGGATAAGACTAATCTGAAAAGTCCTTTCCATTTCCTAAAAGGCTTTAAACTCCAAAATATTACCTATTTATTACTGACAAATATTGTTTTTACCTGTGGCAACTTTATAATTTACTCTTTTGCCAAATCATAGCAGCTATTATTTAGGCTTTACTTAATGATCATTTTGCACAGTAGTCTATTCTATGGCTCACACTTTGGGTACATCCTTTCTGTGAGAGCTGCCTGATTGACCTGTAATGCATCTCAGACTATAGCAGGAAGTCTCCAGCTTATTTTAACTATAGCTTTTTCCATTGTAAAATAGGCAATGATAAAATGAGTAGATGTAAAATTCTAAGACAAGTGGTTTCAGACTTACATAGCATGCTTACAGATGTCTCTTCTACAAAATCTGCGGAATTAGCTGGATGTTAAAAGGAATTCTCATTCTCATCTATTGTCCCTCTCACCTGCTTTTTCCTTCTTCCTTCCTTGAATTGTGTTCAGAAATTCCGACTTGAGTTCCATCTTACCAGAAGTGGCTATCAATGAGAAATGGAATAAAATTTCAGAGGCATGGGAGGAGTGGTCAGCATCGGTCAATCAGAAAGCAGGAATATCCCAGGGCACAATACATAAGCCCACCCCAAGGAAGTCAGTTCAGTTCTACATTCCACCAAATGAGGGAATCCAGGCTGCTTTTCTTCCCTTGCATCCAAGACCCTCTTGGCCCAGCTCTTTAGATTGGACTGGGCTACATTTGGGAGAAATCAATAGGCCCCGTACTGCAAGACTGAGAGGAACAGAGGCATGTGGAAAGAGGAAGTAGCCTAGTTCTACCACAGAGAGTAAATCTGACAAACATTTGCTAAAAGTTGGTGGTGATTGTCCTCCAGAGAATGTGGGAAATAATCCAATGAGAGGTGGGAAGACAGAATAAGAACTTCCACTATATTTTTTAAAAATCCTATGTTTAAAAATATTTCTTGTTTTTACATATACATACATAGATGTAAGGAATCAAGAAAAGTTTGGAAATGACTATGCTCAAGCTCAGTTCTCAGTTCCTCTTGACAAGTTTCTAAGGTATATTTCAGTGACGCAGAATGTTTCACACCATGTTCTTTGAGATGTAAGGAGCATTGGGGTCATCACAAGAGTAGAGAGGGTTGGTCTGATCACTCAACTTTGTTCAGTTAGACAGCTTCTCTTTGGTTTCTTTTGTATACTGTGGCTCTACCTAAGATTTATTTTAATAGATAAATGACATTGATTTAAAAATAAGGTTACCTTACTTTTAAGGTACATCAAACAGAGTAGTGTGCTATATGGCAAGCAGTTCTCTGTATCCACGGGTTCTGCCACCACGATTCAACCAAATATGGATAAAAATATTTTAAAATAATATTAGTATAATAAAAATAAAACAGCAATACAAAACAATACAAATAAAAACAACACAATATAACAATTATTTACATAACACTTACATTGCATTAAGTATCATAAGTGAGATGATTTAAAGTATAGGGGAGGATGTGTGTATGTTATTTATATGCAAATAGAGTCATCTGTCAGTGTCCGTGGGTGATAGGTTTCAGAAATGATGTGGATTTCAAAACCTGAGTATGCTCAAATCTGTATATAAAATGATATAATATTTGCATATAACCTACACACATCCTCCCATAATCATCTCTAGAGTACCTATACCTATACAATCCCTAGATATCACTTCATTCTTGTGTATTCAATGTAATACACGTTGTGTGGCAAATTCAAGTTTTGCTTTTAGAAACTTTGTGGAATTTTCTTTTTTCCAAATATTTTCGATCCTCTGTTGGTTGAATCCACAGATGCAGAACCTATGCATATGGAAGGCCAACTGTACTACTGAGGAATTTGGACATTCACAGATTTTGATATCTGCAGAGGTCCTGGAACCAATCCCCCACAGATACCAAGGGACAACTGTATCAGCAAATATAGCCTAAATGTAAATATCTTTGTGTTACTTATGAGGCAATGACAGACTGTATCCATTAAAACAGTGAGGCAGAGGTCTTTTGTTGCCTGGAATGTAGAAAGCTGGAAGGAACACTACCTCTACCCTGACAATGAGAAAAAGCCAGATAAACCACAAAATTGCAACTTCTCTTGAGGCCATCAGAGAATTGAGGTTGTGGAACAATTAGGCGGTCTGAAATCTAAACAGGGGCACCTTTGCAACCACCCACCCCCTGGAAAGAAAGGATGCCATGATTGACTTACCTATGCTTTGCAAAGCACAGAAGGAAAATGCAAGTGAAAAGGAAGAAATCAGCTAAAATATTAATGCATTTCTAAAGGTCGAGTGTGGGGGTTCATATTCATTGACAGGTTATTTTCCTTAGATCTTTTATGGATGGTCATGAGAAGGATTAGGGTCGGGGCAGGGTACCAGAGAGAGCCTCTTTTGTGCGCAGATTTGGTGGAGGGGATCAGTCATGAGTGTGAGAAAAGACATGAAGCCCTCCCCAGTTTGGACCTTTCTCTCAAAGAAAACAAAAGCC